>NC_000009.12:77595552-78220552 GCF_000001405.40 Homo sapiens
TCAAAGCCCGTTTTTATCCAGCCCATCATACTACTCCCTTCCGAACTGTTGTTCTCGAAGCAAGATGCTGATTGTGTGATTATAAAACATTGCGCTTCTCATTTCCTTTCCCTTCCTGCTACTCTCAACTAACCCACGCTATCACTTGACAGGCATGTGAATAGGATAAAGTAAATCTGGGCAGCACCACAGGCAGGAAATGAATTTTACCATAGCAGAATTCAAATTGCAACCATTGTATTCTCTCAAGAGAGAGAGAGATAAGACGCACTCAAGGCAGTTAGGGATGTTTTCAAAAAACAAGCACCTCTTCATGGACTGGGCTAATTTTTTTTAAAAGCAAAAACAAGATATGAGTCCTTTGGAAGATTGCCCAAGCACAGGGCTACATTTGTCTCCCAGGATAAGGAGAATAGAGATGGCACACTGGGGCTCCCTCAGACCTGCAGGGAGGGAGCTGGTATCTCCCCTGCAGGTCTAGAGTTCACAAATGCATTTCTAAGTGCACTGCGTATAAAAAACATCTGGCATCACACATGCTTCTGAACATAAAAATAAAGGCCACTTCATATTTTTCTGCAATATGACAGCCTTCTCTCTGAATGCCAGTTACACCTAAGCTCATCATTTATAGAGGTCAATAAACAAATGTCATTGACTGCATCAAGCAGAAACGTAAATATTGAGATTAACAAAAAGATATAATTTTCTGAGTGACTGAAATTAAGCCATGTTCATTGAGCTGATTATAACAACTTTCAAAGGATGACAGTGTTTTACAGTGATTTTTTTTGTTTCTGAAAAGAAACTTGTTGCATATAACATTGTATTGCACAACTGATTTTTGTTGTTTTACCTAGGATTAGAAACAGGTCTGAGAAATCACAAAAACTCCCTTTTAACAAAGGTTCTTGCTGTACCCTACGCCTCCTCGCCTACACCTCCCTCCTGCATCCCATAATAAGTGCCTCTGATGCTGTGGTGTGATATGGCATAGACTATATGCTTGTTGGGGGCATATGTCAGGTGGCGACATGCGGGGAAAGGAATAGGAAGAAGAGATTATACCGATCCCAAAATGATCCAAAAAGGAGAAAAAGGAAGTGTGAAAAGAAAATAAATCTTGGGCCCCCAAATCTCTCAGCTATAGGGAAAAGTCAAGCTGGGAACTGCTTAGGGCCAAGCTGCCTCCCATTCTATTCAGTCACCCCTCTGCTCACTGAGATAAATGCATATCTGATTGCCTCATTTGGAGAGGCTAATCAGAAACTCAGAAGAATGCAACCATTTGTGTTTTGTCTACCTATGACCTGGAAGCCCCTCCCCACTTCAAACTGTCCCACCTTTGCTTCGAGTTGTCACACCTTTCCAGACGGAACCAGTGTTCACCTTACATTTGTTGATTGATGTCTCATGTCTCCCTAGAATGTATAAAACCAAACTGTGCTCTGACACCTTGGGCACATGTCAACAGGACCTCCTGAGGCTGTGTCATGGGTACACATCCTCAAGCTTGGCAAAATAAACTTTCTAAATTAACTGAGACCTGTCTTAGATTTTCTGGGTTCACAGAAACTTGGGCATTTTACTATCTTATTTCAAGTCTTGAATGTCAAGCCTGGTGGAGTTTGTTGAACAATGTTACAGCTATTGGCAGCACTCCCAACAAACAACATTCCTCAGGACCTAACTTGACCCATCAGAACTGCTCTGACAAACCAAACGTCTTGCCCTTTTAGTTCCTTCTAGAGATGTTGCATTTGTACCATGTAAAACCCTTTTCGTCTCATAGCCTGAGTCTCTGGAGAAATGATGAACAAATTTAGCAAAAAGGGCTGTAATTCATCAGCCTTGAGTGGACACAGTATAACGTTAAAGACAAAACTGAGTTTTGAAAACAAAACCAGACACCATGCTCAATCATGTTGAGGAACTTGATGAACAGCTTCTGCCCCAATTCAAATGATTCTTTTTCTGACCCATTTTCTTCAATAAGCTTTTAAAATATCGGTCTTGCCTATGGTTCTATCTTCAGTGCTCGTCTTGGTATTAGGTTGGTGCAAAAGTAATTGCGGTTTTTGCCATACTTTAAAAAAAGTGGCAAAACCCGCAATTACTTTTGCACTAAATGAATAGAATCTTTTCCAAGAAGACAGAAAAATAAGCTATTTGATAAAACTCTCCCATAAAATTTCTCCAGTAAAATTTTCTATTAAAAAACTTTTAGGCCGGGCATGGTGGCTAACGCCTATAATCCATCCCAGCACTTTGGGAGGCTGAGGCGAGATCACTTGAGGTCAGGAGTTCGAGACCAGCCTGGCCAACATGGTGAAACCCCATCTCCATAAAAAAAATACAAAAATTAGCTGGGCGTGGTGGTGCATGCTGAGACAGGAGAATAGCTTGAACCTGGGAGGTGGAGGTTGCAGTGAGCAGAGATTATTCCACTGCATTCCAGCCTGGGCAACAGAGCAAGTCTCCGTCTCAAAAACAACAACAGAAAAAGCAAAAAACTTTTTTGTCAACATATGGAACCTCTTTCCTTTCATCTATACTAAAACCTTGCTGGTATGTTCCTTAGTCCATTTAGACTTTTTGTGCTAATTTGGCAGTAAGTTATGGGGCTGGGCAAAGAACTCTATTACTTTTAGGGGTTCTATCACCCAAAAAGTTTGGAGCTCACACTAGTATACTTCTGAGTGAGCACTCTTTGTATTCCCATACCTAGGGAAGAATGGGGTACACTAGACAAATATTTGTCAATTGAATGAACAAATAGAAATCCAATTTATCATTCCAGGTCCAGCTCCAAATCCACTCCCATGAAGACTTCTCTAATCACCAAAGTCTGCAGTGATTTCTGACCCCTCATGTAGTTTATCACGTTACACATTTCTCTCTCCAGTTATAAATTACCTCCTCAGAGCAGGTTTGGGGTACTCCTTTGTATCTATTACAGCACCTGGTATTCTGCCTCAAAGACAGTGCCCTCTGCTCATGAACACATCAGAGAAAACATAAGACGCAACTTTCCCTCAAATCCAGAAAACCAGAGGATTTACTGGCATATATGTGGAGATTCCCAATGCTCCGGAAACTCAAGTAAAAAGCAGGGAACTAGGGCCAAGCCATTCTTCACAGAGTTCTTAGTAATTCCTGATCTAACCCTGACTGGAAGGCAAAATAGCAGCTGGTTTCTGGGAAAAGAGCCAAGAGGGTGCTGTCCTTCCAGCTGTCTACACTCCAATCAGCTGCTTTAAAGAGTCGTCTTTAGGAGCCCCCAATTAAGGGAAAAACACCATGGTAAGTACTAAGTTTGATTGACCAGTTCATTCAATACCATGATCCAGTCATTATTTATTTGTTGAGCACCTATTATGTCTAAATAATAAACCATGAGCTGGAGATATAAACAAGAACACCACTGCCTCTGATCTCAAAGGGTTACAGGACATCAGGGGAGACTGACATGTAAATATTTATTAAGCAATGTAAGAAATATGAAAATATATAAACACTCTACTACAAGCATTCAGAGAGGGAAATAACTTACTCACTTGGAAGGGTCAGGAAATTTTTCAGAGTAATTGATATTAGAGTTCAGTTTGGCAAAATGGATGAGATTGTTACCAGATGTAAAGTAAGGAAACAGTACTCTAGACGATGATGACAACATTGGCAATATAATAGCATAGCTGGAACAAGCACTGCTATTAACATCTTTGTTGTTTGAATTTATTCATCAAGTTATTAGGTCATTCGGTAAAATAAAGACCCTGGAAGAAAAAGCCACAGAACGGAGAATTTTTGAATAGGGGGAAGGAGAATGGCAAGGCCCCTCTGCTGGGATTCTGAGCATCCCTGTAAGGGATAATGGGCCGTTCCTGCTACACAGAGGGTAGTAAATGAGGACTGAACCCGGCCCAGTGGATTTATTCTGAGCAGTAACCTTTTTCCAGTTCCCACAAAGGGAGTATGAAAGCTCATTGTGACTTTGTCAGTAAACAATTTGATAGTCATACAGAAAACAGGGCTGAGTAGAGGCAAATGCCAGTTTTGTAATTTAGGATAAGCATATGCCAGCCCCGGGGAGCCTGCCATGATCTGCTTCCGGGAATGGCTTGGTCAAGTACAGATGCATTGGGAGGGTGTGCTGGGCAGCGCGCTGACATGCCGTCGGGCCTCCTTCAATCTATGGCATTTCTCCTAGTGAGACATCCCTTCCGTTCTCCATCACACCAAGTTACATTGAGGTTTAAGATTATAGGTGTCCGTCTCCCAGGATGAGGTGGCTAGTGACAGGAATAATGACAATTAAATTTTAAAATCTAGCAAAACAAAAAATTGTAACTATAGAGTATGCACTGACATCATAAAGTATCTCAATTTTAAAAGCAAGGTAACAATATTTCCTTTTTCTATTAAAAGTCAGTGATCTGCATGTATAATTAGCTTGATTTAGCCATTCCACAATGCATACATACTTTAAAACATCATTTGTACACCATATATTGATTTTTGTTTGTCAACTAAAATAAATTAATAATAATAACAAAAGCCAGCTATAAACAGCATGAATGTCCTTGTTTGAGGGCCTTTTCACAACTCTCTGGTTAAAAATGTATTGGAAGCCCAGATTTGATTCTGATAGTGCAGTTAAAGGAGAGAGGAAAGCCAAAGTACACCCCTTTTCTTCCGTGCAATTCGCACCAGTAATTTTTTTCCCAAACCAGCTATTTTTAAAGACGGTCACGTCCCTATTTTGACAATAGAGTTCAAGAAAGAGCTTTCATCAGTAAAGACAATTTTTTAAACCATTTTTTCTTGTGAAACTGTGAGAGCAATTGATTTCTCCTTTAACTGCTACCTGGCGTACACAGGTATGAATGAGTATTCTCCTTGGCACAGGTGGGAAACTTGTAGTCTCCAGTCTTTCCTGCACAGGCCCAAAAGATACAAACTCTCTAATGTGTGTCACATGGCACCCCGGCGTTGGCAAAACCATACTCGGTCAGTTTCCTTTAAGAAACTCAGGGTAGACCAGAGAGCAAGATGAGGAATGAGAGTGTGAAAAACAGATTAGGGCCGGACGCAGTGGCTCACGCCTGTAATCCCAGCACTTTGGGAGGCCGATGTGGTTGGATCATCTGAGGTCAGGAGTTCGAGACCAGCCTGGCCAACATGGCAAAACCCTGTCTCTACTAAAAAAAACAAAAATTAGCAGGGCATGGTGGCGTGTGCTTGTAATCCCAGCTACTGGGGAGGCTGAGGCAGGAGAATCGCTTGAACCCGGGAGGCGGAGGTTGCAGTGCGCCAAGATCGCGCCATTGCACTCCAGCCCAGGCAACAACAGTGAAACTCCATCTCAAAAACAAAACAAAGCAATAAACAGATTAGGAGTGAAGAAAATGATAGACACAGGAGGCGGATAAGGAAAGGGTCGTCCGAGAATCTCCGATGCGCCTGCGCACTGGGAAAAAAGAAGGTGGAGCTACGGGAAGTTCGCGCCTTGTGCAGGGGGAGGAGCGTGGGCTCTTCAGCTCGTGTGTGGTGGCCTGGTATTCAATCTGTGAGGTGGGAGCCCTTGGCAGGAACCCCTCTTGCTTTGCTGAGACGTTTTTTTGTTGTTGTTTTTGTTTTTTTGTTTTCTTTTTTCCTTTTGCCCAATAAATTCCATTCCCCTCACCCTTCAATGTGTCTGTGTGCCTAACTTTTCCTGGTCGTGACACAAAAACCGAGATTTAGCTGAACTAAGGAGCAAAAAGATCTAGTGTTCTTTGGCTAGGAAAGAGAAGTGAAAGAAAGAATCTTTTACTCAAGATTAATCAGACACTAACATCAGCGTTCACAGATATAAACCTCATTTACGCTAATAGAACACACGTTATTTGAATAAAGCTCTCTGACCTTATATGTTTTAGGAATGAAGAGTTCCAGTATTTTCATATTGGGAAAACAATGCATATTTGTGTAACAATAGAAATTCTATTCTTTCTACTCTGCATAGAAAGAGACATCATTTGCAGGAGTAGGTAGCTCTCCTGAAACAGGAAATGGAATGAAAATCAAGTGAGTTTAGGAAGAGCAGTAAAATAATTTCCTAATTAGTCATTAAACCCTCGTAGCTCACCAAACTGGCCTATTGGAGAAAGAATACATAAGCTACCTTGTTGTCTGGGACAACATAGGTCCCGGGCAGTGGGCAGTCCCATCTGACGGAAGCCCACTGGTGCCGGGCTCTTAGTTGGAAGGGTTTCATTCATTGGATGATACTGTTTGTCTCTTAAGCCCTCCACTCTTGGTAACAATGTTTTACTTCAATGCTTTCCAGGGCCACCAATGGGTCTGCTTTTTCCCAGTGACTCATCTATCAGGGGATGCAAACTGATAGCCAATTAAACCTAATCTCCAGACAGACTGTGCTCAGTCCTGCATCATGTTTTACAATTATTTGATTCTGAGCATTTTTCAACAGGCCCCATTCTCTCTGGCTTGCCTTAGTCACCATTGGTCCTCATTGTCCTCACACATACGTCTTCCCTGCCTGGTCCTGTTTATATTTGAAACTGGCCTTTTGCACCATGAATGATATTGCCAGAATGAATAAATGAGTACTGTGTTTGATTGCTGACTGCCGTAAAGCTTGAATTATGCTCATAGCCTTTATATTTCACTGAGGTTCAAGTTTCCATCTTTTAAAAAGACATTGGAATCACTATCCATGAATTCAGAGGTGAATTCTCTGAAACTCCTCCACACTATAGACTAAATTCTTTTCCCAAGACGAACAAAACAAATAGTAATAACTTGTTCACCATTTTCTGACCGCATAGCAAATGCAACTACCAATGGGTTTCAATGAACGGTGTAAAACAGAATCCTACAATTATTTAACCAATCAATTTTGTGCCTTATATGGATGTTATTCTGTCAACTAGAATATTACCCACTAGCCCTCCCGACCCACCCCTGGGAGAGACCTGGTTTGTAACATCAGATCTCTGGGTCATTCTCTCCAGCCTGTAGCATTCTCCTCTCTCCTCCTCTCCAGCATAGACCATGGCTTTTCCACACTTCACTTACAAAGCAACCTTGTTCCTCATGGGATTCGCCTTTCCTTTTTTCTCATTTATTACCTTTGTATTAATGGTTTTGTTTTTTTTTTCCTTCACACTCAAACTACACCCACAACTTTCCCAATTTAAGAAACTTTATCAGGGCCGGCCTCATGGGCATGTGATCTGTGCAATTGCACAGGGCTTCATGCTTTGAAAGGCCCTGTGCTTTGTTTAATGCTCTGCTGTTACTGTCTTGAAATTCTCTATAACTTTTGCCCAAGGACCCTACATTTTCATTTTGCACTGGCCCCACAAAGTATGTAGCCTGTACTGTACACATTTAATCTGCCACCCAACTCATAAATGCCCTAGATTACATTTCCTTGCTGCCAACTCTTTTTTGTCTTCATTAAAGTAGGGCAAACATCTGGTTGTACCAGGCTTCCAACAAATTAGTGGCTCCCAAAGTTTGGCCCACAAAGCTCTTCACACAGTTGGCTGGCTCAAAATGATGACTGCTGCATGGGTGTACTCATATTCTTCTTTCATGAACAATTATGTTTATATTAAAACCAGAGATCATCTCCTACTGTTCCAAAACCAATGCCCTTTCTCTTAGCCATTGTGATAGCTTTTGTGTGTGAAATGTTTGGTCTGATGGCTGTAAATGCCTAAGAGCCACTGATGCAAACCCCCCAACCACACATTTTATCTGGCATCAAGGGTCAGGAGGAGCTCAAGTTCCAGGGTAAGCCTGGAACTTTGAATAAAGCTTTAGAATAAAGCTCTCTGACCTTACATGTTTTAGGAATGAAGAGTTCCAGTATTTTCATATTGGGAAAACAATGCATATTTGTGTAACAATAGAAATTCTATTCTTTCTACTCTACATAGAAAGAGACATCATTTGCAGGAGTAGGTAGCTCTCCTGAAAGAGGAAATGGAATGAAAATCAAGTGAGTTTAGGAAGAGCATTCTTAAACTGAGACGAGTTAAGAATCAGAAATTCTTAAACTGAGAAGAGGAATCCAAGGGCAGCCAGCAATGTGTCACGGGAGTCAAAACCTCTGAGAGGCCGGGCACAGTGGCTCACGCCTGTAATCCCAGCACTTTGGGAGGCCGAGGAGGGCAGATCACGAGGTCAGGAGATTGAGACTATCCTGGCTAACATGGTGAAACCCCGTCTCCACTAAAAATACAAAAAATAATTAGCCAGGCGTGGTGGCGGGAGGCTGAGGCGGGAGAATGGTGTGAACCTGGGAGGTGGAGCTTGCAGTGAGCCAAGATTGCACCACTGCACTCCAGCCTGGGAGACAGAGTAAGACTCCATCTCAAAAAAAAAAAACAAAAAAAAAAAAAAAAAAAAAAAAACACCTCTGAGAAAAGTCTAGAGAGTCACTATCACTCATTGCAATTAATCTGGAACATTACTTTTAATATGGTAATAAATATTTTACAGCATAATGTAAAATTCCCACAAATTTTTGTAAATATAAGACTTCAGAGCTATTTCGGCTGAGATGCCATTGCTTGAGCTCCTGCCCAGGTGTTCCTCTTTCATCCTTCTCTGCTGCTAAAAACACTTCAGTCAACAAATTTGCAATGCTCTGTTCTGCTACACCCAAAACCACAGCCAAATAAGACAAGGTCTCACAGACTGACAGTCCTGTGCTTTGTATTTAGAGAAAATCAACTATCCGGTAGAGATAGAGGTTTCCAGAACCTATAAAAATGTCAAGCATCAAAGGCTGAAGTTTAGTCTCTCTCACTTTGGTAAAGCCCTAAGTGGAAGTCTGAAGTCAGCAGAGTAGGGTGGGATTCAGTGTTGGTCACGTTCCTTACACATGCTGTCACTAATCCTCTAAGTGAACCTGGCCACATGAGCAATGGACAGGCTCATCACTCAAGTCCACATTTCCATGGATACTGTCTGAAAACACAGTAAGATAAATTCCTCTGGCTGGCTTCTCATTGCTAAGCACCTGGTAATCCTGACCATCCACCTTTCAGTCCTTACCAAAGAAGCAGAATGACATGGAAGCAAAATCACATAATCCAGAGCCCAGAGGCCTGAGATCAAGTCATGGCTCCACCATTGGCTCAATGTATCTGGGTTTCTGCACATGTAGAACAGAAACAATACCTGACCACCTATGGGGTTGTTGCAAGGACCAAACTAGACAAAAGCACTACGTAAACCCCGAAGATGCTACCAATGATTCTATCATTCTTTCTGCTTTGCTCACTGATTCAGCATCCCCCAACATTCCAGTCCTCTGGTGGATGAAGCAAAAATACATCTTTGAGTTTCCACTTTTTCTTACCACCCTCGTGCCATGTCACAGAAATTCATTCAACATTTCATGAGCAAATGCTTCACCTTTCAAACACTGATAAAATTTACCTCCGAATAGCAGACTCTTTGCCTTCATGTTCTAGACACTCGGTTTAAATGTCACTGTAACTTGGTATTTAACCCTCTAAAAAGTATCTAAATACCTCAACATGAACTTTTTCGTTAAAAGATTTAAATCTATAAATCCAGCTGAGCTATGGTGAATGAGGGAAGCAGTGCTTCTTTATTGTCCACACATTTGTCAAAGTTTCTGTGGGAAAGAGCTCATCCTGGACCTCAGGTCTTGACCAGAGATGACCAATCCTTGGGTGGAAAGATGCAAACATGGGCTCTTTACTTCAACACGTAAGTGCTTGGAATAAGATTTCTATACAGAGATGACATCCCAGCCACCCCGGTGATGGGGTTCAGGATGTGCTATCCTACAATATGGCACATTGGCATTTGAGAAAATGACAGAGGCAGGAAGGTCACTCTCACCTTCCTCCCACTTTTCTCCCCCAAACAGGTCATACAACCCAGGAAAGATTTCCTGACCCTCCTCTAAACCAGGTCATAAGACTTTCATGTGAAAGGATAAAGAAAATGTGGTTCATTAACACAGTGAAATACTACTCAGTCTTTAAAAAGAAGGAAATCCTGTCATCTGTGACAACATGGATGAGCCAGGAGGACCTTATGTTAAGTGAAATAAGCCAGGCACAGAAAGAGAAATATAGCCGACAAAGACCTATCCAACTAGAAAGGAGACCAGTATTATAGGCCAGAAACAGCACTGAGCTGAAAGCCAAAGAACTTTAGTTCTAGTACTGAATCTTTTCTAGTTAGCAAGTTTCGCCCCTTAGTCTCAGTTACCTCAGCTTGAAATTATGAAGTTGAATTCTATGATTTCTAAATTCCTTTCGAGTTCTAAGATCCTATTATAAGCAGCATTATTTTTCCACTCCAAAACAAAACTAGGTAAGAGACTATCCATTGGCAGAGGGTAATTCCTGATAAGTTTCATATATTCTGTTGAGAGATATCTCCCTTTCCTGTTAATGGAGGGAAAAAACTCAAACAATGAAGTGGTTCAGGAAATGTTTACCAGAACAAGATGGACTAGATTCTTCAGTGGGCAGCCGTGAAATGAAACAGAAACATTTTAAGTGCTTTATTACTCTAGCAGAAGGAAGAAAACTATTCTGTCCTTTTAAAGCCTTGACCCAGGAGAAATTATCAGCAATTAAAAGTTATTGTTTTCCAAAAGGGAAAGAAAAAAGCCATCTCCTACCAAAAAATAAATTCTAAGAAGGTTATGTTTCCAGTTACTAGGAAAAGAAGCCTCATTCTTACTCCTTCTTTCTCATCTTTTAAGTGTAAGTATTTCCAAATCTCCTTAAAGTCAAGCAACATTTCTCCCTACAAACTCATTAAGTTGGTTGTTATTTTTGGAATTAGTTAATGAATATTTTCCTATGATTATACAAAACCAGAATCTCACCCTCTTGGATTCTTCTTAATATTCATAGCCCTCTCTTTTCAGGAAGTGAATGGCCATTATCACTAAAAGAAGTAAAAGGAATATAAAAACTGAAATCTGTGTTTAGATGCTATGTCTCATGCATACTGGTAATGCTCAGTGCAACTTATCAAAGGCTCAGAAGGGAATTCTTTCAGAATGCTGCCACCAAATGGGTTGTAAAGGGTTTCCTTATTTGGGGTTCCTGGGGAAGCAGTTTTGTGGATTGTTGTGAAAGGAAAAAAAGGTGTAAGCCTCAACATCTTCAACCTCCTTAAGCTCTCTGTTATGAGCGGAATGTTTATGTCCCTCCCAAAGGTCATGTGTTGAAACCCTAACCCATAGTGCAATGATATAAGATGGTGAGGCCTTTGGGAGGTAATTAGGTTTAGATGAGGTCATGAGGATGCAGACGCCAGGTTGGGATTTATCTTATTATAAGAACAGGAAGAGACACCAGAATTTCTCTCTGCCAAGTGGGGACACAGTAAAATGCAGGCAATGCAAGCCAGGGAGAGGGCCCTCACCAGAACCCGAATATGGTGGCACTCTGATCTCAGACTTCCCAGCCTCTGAAACTATGAGAAATAAACGCTTGTTATTTAAGCCACCCAGTCTACGGTATTCTGTTACAGCAGCCCAAGCTGATTAAGACATTTTTCTCTTCTTATCTGTAAAATAATGGATTTGCACAAAATGATTGGAGATTTTCTGGGAGCTTCAACAGTCTGTAATAATAAATAGAACAGTTACCACAGAATTAGAGTAAGAGAATTTCAAGTTAATCACTGGCTCACACAGACGAGAGATGCCAAGTGACATGCTGAGAAGGCATATGTAAGAAATCAGAATAAGTGATTGCTGATGAATCCTAAAAGAAGAAGCCACCATAAGTCAGTACACAGGAAGAGAGGCTTGATGGAACCACTGTTTGAGTCAGAAGATTCAAGTGTGTATGGGAGTTGGAGTGGCTGTAGTAAGGTTCTCAAGGAGGGCATGCTAGGTCTAACATTATATGTGTCCTCTGCAGATAACCTTCATCTGCATCTCACACACTTGAACATCGGTGCAATAAAGAAAGGCTGTAATACCAACAAGGTTTCCAAGGAAACCAACTCTAAGAACTTTGCAAACTTCTTTAAGTGCTGAATGTCTTTTCATACCTACTTGCTGCTCTGTATTTGTTTCTTAGGGCTGGGTGGCTTAACAACAGAAATTTATTTCTCACAGTTCTGAAGGCTAGTAAGTCCAAGATCAAGATTTTCGCCAACAATTTAGTTCCTGGTTAGGGCCTGATTCCTGGCTTGCAGGCACTGGCCTTCTTACTGTGTCCTCACATGGTGGAGAGAGAGAAAAAAAAACTCTAGTGTCTTTTCTCATAAGGGTGCTAATCTCATTGGACTGGGACCGCACCCTCCTGACCTCACTTAACCCTAATTACTTCCTAAAGGCCCCATCTCCTAACATTACATTGAGGGTTAAGGCTTCAAAACATCTGAATTTGGGGTAGGGGGAACATTCAGGCCATAATATTCTTCCTCTGGGCTCCCAAAATTCATGTCCATCTTGAATGCAAAGGTGGTGGGGCTCTCACAAAAAGCCTTGGGGGCAAGACGGCCCCAGAGCCAAGGGCATGATGCTGCTACCTTAATGGGGACAGAAGGCAGAGTACTGAACCAAAGAAGATTATTCTTAAGCCTTAGCATCTAATCGAATTTTCCTTGCTAGGTTTTGGACTTGCTTGGAACATGTCATCTCTTTTTTCTGATTTCTCCCTTTTAGAATGAGAATATCTATATAACCTATGCCTGCATCATCAATGGATTTTGAATGTGCATAATTTGATTTCACAGGTTCACAGATGGAGAGGAATTTTGCTTCAGGATGAATCGTACCTTGAGTATCACCTATACCTAATTTAGATGGTATTTAGATGAGACTTTGGAGTTAAATCTGGAATGAGTTCTTCCCTGTGAGAGCCCAGTCTCCTGGCTCTCTGGAAAGGCCCACCCCATGTGATTCTCTAAGGGAGAATGAAGTCATGGGCAGAGGCATCCTGGCCAGCAAAAACTAGAATGGCCACCCAACCCTTTGAAACAGATGAGGAACCAGCCCTGCCCCCTTGACCTGTGGTAAGAGTGGCAGCTCTGATGCTCTCCAAATTGCCTTTGGGATTATTCTTCCCTTTTCTTGAAAGATAAAGCATGTTCACAGCCAAATGGCCCCATCATCCTATCCTGACAATGTACGAAGCCCAATATCCTGTTTTTTTTTTTTTTTGCTTTTTAATAATTTTTTCTAATTTTGTTACTTTAATTTCCCCATAGCACCTTGGCGATGGCCCAACATCCTTCTTTCAGTCACTCCTGTTTATTTCTGCCCCCTTTAGTCCCAGCTGGCAACATTTCTCTTGGTATAATCCCATCCCCATTCCCGGCTTCTGTTGAAATAGCTGATCAAATCCTTCATTCACATCCATACTATCTCCTTATCAAATAGTGTTCAGCCACACCCTTAGTGTTCTTTTCAGAATAATCTTTCTCATTCTTTGCAATATGGATAGCCTAAGAATTTGCCAAATCTTCAAGTTCTGGTTCCTTTTTGCATAGGAATTCCTTCTTAAATTCATTTCTCTTTTCTCCATTTTACTAGAAGCAGTCAGGAAGAACCAAGGTACTCCTTCAATACTTTGCTTAGACATTTCCTCAGCTAAATATCAACTTCACTGCCTGCACTGGAACACAAACACAATGCAATCTAGTGCTCTGTCACTTTATAATAAAGTAGCAGTTTCCTCCAGTTTCTAATAACCTGTTTCTCATTTCCTTCTGAGACCTCACCAGAACCGCTTTTAATGTCCATATTTCTACCAGCATTGCATTCATGATTACTTAAGTATTCTCTACAAAGATGGTGGTTTTCTCTCCAGCTCTCCCCTTTCTTTCTAAGCCCTCACCAAAATTGCCTTTAACATCCATATTTCTAGCACACACCTCAAAACTCTTCCATGCTCTACCCATTATCCAGTTTCAAAGCCACTTCCACATTTTTAGATATTTGCTTATGGCAGCACACCATCCTTGGTACCAAAGTAAAATACTCCTAACAAAATACCAGTCTAGGTGGCTTAGACAATAGAAATTTATTTCCCACAGTTTGGAGGCTGAGAAGTCCAAGATCAAGGTGCTGGTTGATTTGATTCCTGGGGAGAAAACACATCCTGATTTTTCAGGCAGCCATCACGCCTTATTGCTGTATCCTCTGTTGGGGTTCAGAAAAAAATCCTCAAAATATGGCCCTTTGGCATGCTGAGCGCTTTGAACAAATGTGATTTAAAAGCCTCAGAATCAAAGTCTCTCTCTGATCTTCTCCTGATCCAGCCCGCCACCACCTCTTTCCTTTTTGAAATGCAGGGAGGTTCATGTATCTGACCAAGGGAAGATTTTCCAGAAGGATTGCAATTGTCTTGATCCACCTCTTTAGGAAGCTCATCAAACAACCAGGGAAGATTAATCACTGCAGAAGATATTAAAAGTCAACACCACACCCAGACTGGCTACTACCTATTCTTCTGGAGGCTGCTCCAAAACAACTTTTATTACCTGAGAGGCTTTATCTGAATAATAACACAAACTTTGTTTACAGTTTAGTTCCACCCCTCACCTTCCCAGAGGAACTTTGTCCTAAGCTGTTGTCTGTTCTTTGGGTTCATTTATTTCCCCTAAAAATCATGTATTCTTCCTCTAAAATTACCTACATCCCCCACCTCCCTCTCCCCTATAGAATAGTTAAACTTTAGCCTTCTGGTCCTTTTGAGTTTCCTATTTTGTGTGGCTCCTGTGTGCTTGCACATTAACAAATATGTTTGCCTTTTCTCTTGTTAATCTGTCTATTGTCAGTTTGTTTTACAGAATCAAATTATTAAATCTTCATGGGGTGGAAAGTTCCTTCTGCCCCTACACCTTAAATGTTGAAGAGACAGAGGCAAAATCTCTGTTGTCTCTTTTTATAAGAGCACTAATTCCATTGGACCATGGCCTCATCTCCATGACTTCATCTAACCTATTTACCTCCTAAAGGCCCCACTTCCAAATATCATCACATTGAGAATTAGAGTTTTAACATATAAATTTTAAGAGAGATACAAACTTTTATTCCATAATATGCGTCTCTACACTCACAAACTTAAAGCTAAATAAGCCATTTATATATTAATGCCAATATCTATGAGTTTGATCAAATGATAGCAACCAAATAAGCTATTTCTGATACATATTTCTGTTATAATATTACAGACTAGAACAGAGAAGAACAAGAATCACCTATTGCAAATATCTGTAAGATGTAAGAAGACTGGATCTTGCTTATAATGGGACAGAGAGGATTAACAAATGAATGTCAGCAACTTTTCCTCTCTCATTTGTGTGAAAGGGGACTCTGGTTTCACTCCTTAAGTTTTTCTCCTCCCTTGCACTTCAAAGATGATTTTGTCCTTGCCAAATTGGGGTTTTAATAATGCAGAATGAATAGGAAAGGAGGAGGGGTAGAAAGATAGGAAGTAAGTAGGTAAGGACACACTCTGAGACTGGATCTAGTCTGAGCTTCATTCTAGTTACATTTGTTTTACATTACCCTATTCTCAAGTGGTTTTAAGGCAGCTAGAAGACTGGTAGCCAAGATAGTGGCTATCAAGAACTAAGAAGGGTTGGAGATTTTACCTTACTTGCAAGCTCCCATGTTAGCATGCTATAGATGCTGGTAGAAGGCATGAGACAGAGGGCTTTATTATTCATTGCATAGAAAGTAACATGAGTATCTACATATTTGCATCAGTTCTCCTGCTCCAGCATCCCAAGGGAGCTACATGGGCAGGCCCAGATGGATGCCTGAATGCTCAATGCTTGTGTTACAGGAGGGGAACTCTGAACATAGGAAACTAAATCTTTTATAGTGGGCAGTAAGCATGTCTGTCCTTTACTCTGGAGAAAGACATTGCCTCTGTCTTCCAAGACTGTTTGCTATCCCAACATCTTTGAAAGGAGAGTCCCTAAGAAGAACATTTAGAGCCTCACTTGCAAGACACAAGAAACATGAGATGCCCATAAGGAATTACCTCCCAACAATAGCCATGAAGGTGGAAAGCAGAGAGTTCAGACAATAGCTTTAAATCTCCTCCCTTTGTATTGTCCCCTTTCCAGCCTTTTTCTTACACGTATGATCATCAGAGAAAAAGAAAGAAGCAAAGCCAAGGCAATGAAAATAACTCATTTTTCTGCTGTTGGTGGGTTTGAGTAACTTCCCATTCTCGCACCCACCATACCCTGATGCTGAAGTTAAAAATGGAAGAGGCTATTCTGAGTGAGCCAAAATACATTTAGCTTTTGGGTTTCTACACTGACTTACCATTGTGGACACAAATACACTCTGAGTGCTCTCATGATCTAGAAGTTCCTAAACTTCAGTTGCCCCCAAAATGTAAAGTACTAAGACCCAAAAGCAATGCACAATTTAAGAAGCATTAACATCAAAGAAACTAGACAGGAAATAATAATATTGTCACTAATAATAACAATATTGATAAAATAGTTATTATTGAGTGGTTATAATATACTAGAAACTAGGCTAAAGATCTACATCTATTATTTGGTTTTACAAATAAGGAAATAAATGTAGTCCCAAAGAAATTAAGTTACTCATCAAGGGTCAAACAGTGAGTAGCAGCTGGAAAGTAGACACCAAAAACTAAGCTCTAACCCAATCCACTATTTTGCCTCTGACAAGAAAGAAAAAGTAAGATTACACCCACTCAAAGAACTAAAATCAAAGTCCTCACCAAACATTAAAGCTACAAGGTAGCCAAGGTGCCACAGGCATGGGAAAAGTTCTCCTCTAAGATCCTTTTCCAGACATCATTCCTACCAAGCCTGCAGGGAAAGTAGCTCCAAACTTAATCTGTATCTTGTCAGGCCAAACACTTCTCTCAGGGCTCTCATGCTCTGTGAGTCTACAATCAGGCAAAACGTTTAAATAAGTAAATAAAAACAAAAAGCAAATACTAAAACCTAAAATGTAAACAAAGACACAAGAGCAAAAGAAAGACAAAGTTCACTCCTGCTCAATATCACTAATCATCAAAAGAATGCAAATCAAACCACAGTGAGATATTACCTCATACCTGTTACAATGGCTATTATTTAAAAAAAAAAAAAAGATGACAAGTATTGATGAGGATGTGGAGAAAAGGGAAATCTAGTACACTGTTCATGGGAATGTAAATTTGTATAGTCTTTGTGGAAAACAGTATGGAGGTTTCTCAAAATATTAAAAAATATTGGACTTGGCAGTTAAAAAATTTAAAAATAGAACAAGTATAAGATCCAGAAATCCAACTTCTGGGTATTTATCCAAAGGAAATGAAAGCAGGATCTGAATGAGATCCCTGCACTCCACGTATAATGCTCCCATTGCAGCATTATTCGTAATAGCCAAGTTATGGATAAATGTCCATTGACAGATGAATGGATAAAGAAAATGTGACATAAACACACATGGAATATTATTCAGCCTTTAAAAAGAAGGAAATCCTGCCATTTTGCACAACTGGATGGACTTGGAGAACGTTATGCTAAGTGAAATAAGCCAGACAGAGAAAGACACTCATTCCATTGGACCAGGGCCCCATCTCCATGACGTTATCTAACCTATTTACCTCCTAAAGGCCCCACCTCCAAATACTATCACATTGAGAATTAAAGTTTTAACATATAAATTTTAAGAGACACACAAAACTTTTATTCCATAATATGCTTCTCTACACTCACAAACTTAACACTAAATTTGTGATCACACTTAGATGTAGAATCTAAAAGAGTTCAAACTCTTGGAAGCAGAGAGTAGAATGGCAGTTGCCAGGGAGTAGGACAATGGGGAAATAAAGAAATGACAGTTAAAGGATACGAAGTTTCAGTTATGCAAGATAAATAAATTCTGGAGACTATACGGCATGGTGCCTATAACTAACAATAATACATTGTATCCTTAAAATTTGCTAACAGCGTAGATCTTAAGTGTGTTATCTCTAATAATAACAAAAGGGGCAGGAGGAAATTTGGGGAGGGGAAGAATGTTTTTGGCCTTGATGGTGATAATGGTTACACAGGTATCTACTTTTCTCCAAACTTGTTAAGTTGTATTTGTTAAATATGTACAGCTTTCTATGCGTCAATCATACATGTCAATCAATAAAGTGGTTTTTAAAAAGACTCATTTATTCATGAGCTAATCTTGTGGAACATGAACTGATGCAGGAAAATCCCACCATAATGTGCGATGTGCTAATGATTTACCACTAAGTGGCTCCCACTACTTTCTCTCCTCTTCCTTGCCAAAGTTTTACTCCTGTTGGAAATGAGAGGAACATGTTCATTAAGGATTAGCAGCTGTTTCTCCCAAATGTAAGGGAAGAAACAGCAGCTAGTAGTGTAGTTAGTCAGAGTGGCAGAGAGGTTACCACTATACTTCTTGTTTGGAAATAGAATGTATTAGTCAGAATATGCTGGGCTCTGTTGCAGTAACAAATAATTCCCAAGATCTCAGTGATTTAACACAATTAAAACTTATTTTTCCCTCCTGTACATGGAGTTCAATGTACATGTTCATGGTTGGCCAGCTTTCCTCCATGCAGCGATTCAGAGCACAGGCATTTTTCTCTTGTAGCTCTGCCTTCTCTAACCAAAGGCCTCAAAGATGACTCTAGACAGAGACAAAGAGGACTGAGAATAGGAGATTTATTATAGGCCAGTCCCAGAAATGGTACATATCACTTCCACCCACATCCCAGTGACCAAAACTAGACACATACTCCTTCCATCTCATTGTCTCTGTCACACAGGGTCAGCCTAACCACCCTGGATCCTCAAGTTTTTGGGGTATCTGACAGTACCCCATTTTAGTGTTTTCAGTGTTTTCTCAATAAATCCTGGGGCCCCATGCTGCATAATTTTGCCACTGTATTAATTCAAATAAGCACAGTGAGGCAATGAACATGTACTTAATTCTCCAATCCTTTCTCAGTCTATGAAACGCCAACAAGGAGATGGATTCTTCGTTTTCACAATGCATCCTCAAAATATTCTCTTTATCCCTGACCCTCCTAATATCTTCCACACAGAGAGAAAATGCTCCCCGAAACTCTCCTAGTCTCAACACTCCCTCCAAAAAAGCTCCCTGCCATGCAGTCTCATGGCTGTTCTGCCTTCCTTCTTCCCCACTTCAGCTGTGTATTATATTAATAGATCAACTTGGCTTCCCTCAGTTCATTAGCATTCTCTCTGCATCATCCACTGCCTAGATTCTCCCCATGAAGAGCCCACGGGCTGACCCAGTGAGAAAGAATCTTTTCCTCAAAGAAATCGTCAGGGGTGGTAGATTGCAAATACTCCCACAGTCATAATTTACTGTAAATGCCAAACATATTTAAGGCAGTAGAAGCCAGCTTGCCTCCTAAAGGGTTATGAACTTGGAAAGACCAGGGGGTTTAAAAGTCTAATTTCACTGAAAATCCACTTATGTTTGTCAGTCTTGCTTTTCTCTTTACCCACAGTTCTTGGCACAGAGAGAAAGTTCTCCATTGCCTGTGGAATCAAGGCACATGGTTTAGTTGTTGAAACAAATGTAACAGCAGCACTGTCATGGAGCTTTTACACAGGAAGAAATGTAACTAACCAGCCACTTGATTCCTTCAGTCTCCAAATTAGCCATCAATTTCTCAGAGAAGAGACTCTCCTAGTGCCTCCCAGAAATTATCCCAAATTGGGGTTTCAGGAGACAATGCTTTTTTTTTTAGCCACTAAAGGTAAACCAATAGTCAGGGACATTTATTTACAATATGGAATATCTGAAACACCTTCTTTCTTCTGATCAGGTCAGTGCCACCTATTTGGCAAAGTCCTGAGGAGTTCCCATCACCTCCAGAAAAACTTGTTCAAGCTCAGACTGCAGGAGACAGCACTTTCTGCTCTCCCCTTACCCAACATTCAGCATGTACTTCCTTCTGCTGCAGATCACCAAGGAGATGGGAACCTCCATCAGAGCAGAATGACCAAGCAGGGTCCAAACTCACACTCCTCCCCACCCAAGACCAAAAGCTTTTTGTCTTTTCATCAACATGTTTATCATCATACACATTTCTGTACTTAGACCATCCCAACCCACTGCTGGTGGTTGAAAATGAAATACACACACACACACACACACACACACACACACACACACACACACACACACGTTTAAATAATCAGTGAAGAATTTTACCATATCCAACACTTCACTTTGCATGCGAACCTTCCAAGTCCAACAGAATCATCAGTTCTTTTGGTTTTTGTTTTTTTGTTTTTTGGGGTTTTTTTTTTGGAGAAATCCCAAAGTAGATAACATAGAGTCAAAGGGAAAGAGCAAGATTTTTGTTGTTGTTGTTGTTGTTGCATTATGGTCACTGAAATACTTCATATCTTGGTCTTCACCCACAGTTCATGCTATACATGCAGGGTTTGTCTGAAATCTCAGAGTTCTTTGCAATAGGATAGGATGAGGAATGCCCAATCTATCGCATTTATGTTGGGATACAAGTAAACCATGAGAGGCCTTGTCAACCCAGACACTGGCTACCATAGCACACATTGTGCAGTATTCACAGAATGGTAAAGCAGAATGGAAACCTAAAATTCATTCAAGAGATCAAGGACATCAACATTCTTGACTATTTGGAAGTGGCTGGTTCATTAAGATTACTCTTTCCAACTTCACATTGCTTAGGCGTGACCCTACCCATGGGTAGAACCATTGGTGATACTCAAAAGATTTGGCAATGCTAATGGCATGGCATGGGCACTGACTAATCAGAACGGATACTGTTCCACTGTAATGGCTGGAACGAAGCCAAGGAAGCTAACTGCTGTGCAAGGCACTACTTATTATGTGCTGAGTAGAGGGAGGTCAGGAGTACCACCAGAAGCAAGGCTCTGATGGCTAAGTCAGCAGCAGGAAGATGGGGGCACTCAGGGGCAGTGGGTATTTACCAAGAGACATAGGAATATTTCAGTATTACACACGAGGTACAGGCATGCTGATGCTCAGCAGGTGATTACAAACTTTGGAAACAGCTCTTTCCTAAGCACAGAAACAGGACCTCTTAGCAGTAAAGTTTTTATTTACTCTACGTCATAATTCCTGCTTCTGTCACTAACATCACTATCCAAAGAAAAGCATCAAAAAGGCCTCATCCTTATCCTGAGTCCATGCCTTGATGAAACAATAACTCCACCTCCAGCTCTCTGTGTTAGGGCAAAGTCCCTTCTCCAAATGTGTTAGATAAAGATGTTAAATCCCTCTAGCCACAATTTTTATTTTATTTTTTATTTTTGAGGCAGAGTCTCACTCTGTCGCCCAGGCTGGAGTGTGGTGGCACGATCTTGGCTCACTGCAAGCTCCGCCTCCCGGGTTCACGCCATTCTCCTGCTTCAGCCTCCTGAGTCGCTGGGACTACAGGCACCCACCACCACGACCGGTTAATTTTTTTGTATTTTTAGTAGAGACAGGGTTTCACCATGTTAGCCAGGATGGTCTCGATCTCCTGATCTCACAATCCACCCACCTTGGCCTCCCAAAGTGTTGGGATTACAGGCGTGAGCCACTGCGCTCGGCCTCTAGCCACAATGTGGTTATAATTGTGAATGGGATATTCACAATTATAAAGATGTAGCAACCTGAAAATGTCTAAAAACAGAACTGTTTGTTGACTGTCTACCTCCACCCCCTCACTCCACCAAATCCATTCTCCAACCTCTCTCACCCATCTCAGTAAGTGACACTACCAAGGACCCAGTTGCCTGAGCCAAAAACCTGGGAGTCATCCTGATGACATCCTTGCATACTCCTGGGCCATCTACCAATACATCCAATCAACTCTACCTTCAGAACGTATATCAAATCTAACCAATTTGATCAACCCCCTTCACTTTTATGCTAGTCCAAGTCACCATGACAGGTCACCTGGACATTCCATAACATCTCAACTGGTCTTCCTGCCTCCACCATTACCACATGTTATCTGTCCAGCAATCAGAGCTTTCTTTTTAAAAAGACCATCAAATCACTTCTCCACGCCAATCATGACTCTTCTTGGCCTCCCCTAACACTTAAATTAAAATCCAAACTCCTACTTCCCAGCCATGCTGCCTATCACTCTCTCTCTTGCTCAACTCCAAACACAATGCGTTCCTGTTCTTCCTCAAACCCACCAAGCCCATTTCCACCTCAGGCTGTCTCCCCAGCCTAGAATGCCCAGTCACTTCCTGGTACATTGTTCCCTGGGTCTTCATATAGTTTATACCATCTCTTAATCCAGTCTCCCCTCCATTGTCACCCTTCAGAGAATTACTCCTGGCAAAATTAGGCCCACCAGTTCCCAGGTCTCCAGCCTCCACTCTCTAATCTCTTACTCTGCTTTATTCATAGTACTTACCTAACCCAAAGGCATCCTTCATGTCTATTTACTGTTAAATCACAGTAAAGACACCATAAGACCAGGGCCTTTGTTCTCTTCTAAGTACCTGAGGCCTAGAATAGGACCTAGCCCACAGAAAGCTCTCAGATATTTGAAGGACTAATTGATTTAAAAAACAACAACAACAACAAAACCCACTAAAGCATGGCTGCTTTCTGAAAATCTTCTCTCATAGCACACATTCTCTTGACACTGCTTTGCCTTTGTGATTCTTAAAGGATCATTTCATTGTTGAATTAGTATCTTAAAATGTTTTCTCCGTGCTACTGAAGCAGGTAAGAAACAAGTGATCTCATAAAGGTAAACTACTTAAGGAGCACAGGTGCTTCTCATGATAGATTTCTAGAATTTCAGATCTAAGGTTTTAGTGATGATCCATTGCTATGGTCTCATTTTACAGTAGCTCTCCAGGGTTCGGTGCTGTGCTGTCTAATATGGTACCCAGTAGTTACGTGGAGCCATTGTGTACTTAAAATGTGGATAGTGAATGAATATAAGGTATCTCACTGAAAATTTTCATTGTTGATTATATGCTGGATGATTACATTTGAATATATATATATATATATATATATATATATATATATATATTTTTTTTTTTTTTTTTTTTTTTTTTTTTTTGAGACGGAGTCTCGCTCTGTCGCCCAGGCTGGAGTGCAGTGGCGGGATCTCGGCTCACTGCAAGCTCCGCCTCCCGGGTTCACGCCATTCTCCTGCCTCAGCCTCCCAAGTACCTGGGACTACAGGCGCCCGCCACTACGCCCGGCTAATTTTTTGTATTTTTAGTAGAGACGGGGTTTCACCGTTTTAGCCGGGATGGTCTCGATCTCCTGACCTCGTGATCCGCCCGCCTCGGCCTCCCAAAGTGCTGGGATTACAGGCGTGAGCCACCGCGCCCGGCCTTGAATATATTTAAATAATATACTTAAGACATATATTAACAATAATTTTACATATTTCATTTTACTTTATTCAAATATGGCTACTGGGAAGTTTAAAATTACATGTGTGGCTCACATTTGCATCTCACATTCTATTTCCATTGGACAGCCCTGGTTTGGAGAGATTACATGACTTGTTCAAAGTTCCACTGAACTGTAAGAGAAGATACAAGAGCACATACCAGACCCTTGCCTCCACTCAGACGTCAACCCAGCCAGGCATTCCTATAACGAGTTTGTTTTGTTTGTTTTGAGACAGAGTTTCGCTCTTTTTGCCCAGGCTGGAGTGCAATGGAGCAATCTCAGTTCACTGCAACCTCCGCCTCCTGGGTTCAAGTGATTGTCCTGCCTCAGCCTCCTGAGTAGCTGAGACTACAGGCGCGTGTCATCCAGCTAATTTTGTATTTTTAGTATAGACAAGATTTCAGCATGTTAGCCAGGCTGGTCTCAAACTCCTGATCTCAAGTGATCCACCCTGCTCAGCCTCCCAAAGTGCTGGGATTACAGGTATGAGCCACCATGCCTGGCCGAATGAGATATTTACCAAGGGCAGCAGTAGGGAACAGTAAGAGCAAGAAATCCCTGGAACCCAGCTCCGCATTTAGTACTGTGTGATATGGGGCAGCTCATTTCATCTTTCTTTAGCTCAGTTTCCTCATCAGTAAAATGGACAAAGTATAGTGCATACCACAACAACTTGCAAGGATGAAATGAACTGATAGATATAAAACCCTCAGAATGGTGTCTGGCCTATAGTCAGCACTACATAATGTTATTGCTATTGTTACTATTAAATGCTCCTATATTTTAAAGTACATTGAATTGAAGCTAAATTTTTAGCTAGTGACAAATGTGTCAGTCCATGAGCCATTTTTATGCTACTAGATAATTCTGCAATTAGAAGTACCAGTCAGACTACCAATTCATTTCTGTCCCTGACAAACCTGTTTTGATACACTGGAATTACTGCACATGTAAAGCCTCTTGCTACATAAAAATTCAAACACAGAGAACAAAGAAATATAAAGAAATCTATTTCTACCGTTTGTCACCAAGTCAAACAGCAACTAGATATTATTTCCTCAGTTACACTGGAGGCACATTACGTGTGTGTGCACACACACACACGTGCACACACACACACACAGAGTCTATCTGCCTTGAATGATCAAGGTAACTAAGCTTTCCACTATTGTTGAAGAGTTAACACGGAAACTCAGGGCTGGAAGGATTTAGAGATTGCCAAATCCAGCCTTTTCATTTTACTGATGAGGAGCCTCTGTGACTCTGTGACTTGTTGAAGGTCACCATGCACATTAGAAGCCATACTGGGATTTATACCAAAGATTTCTGGCAACTCATCCACAAGGCTTTAGATAACATCCAGCTTTTTCAGGTGATTGAAAGTTTAAAAGTATTAAAGGGAAAAGCAATTCATCAAACAGATGATGCAGCAAGTATAATAAGGAATGCTTAGAATTCCGGACAAAATACAAATTAGAAACAATATTTCTAATTAGAGCTCTAGCAAATATCATAATATAATTAACATATTAAGTTTTCCTAATCATCCTAATAATTAGAAACAAATCCATTGCTGGGCGTGGTGGCTCGTGCCTGTAATCCCAGCACCTTGGGAGGTCGAGGCAGGTGGATCACGAGGTCAGGAGTTCGAGACCAGCCTGGCCAGCATGGCGAAACCCTGTCTCTACTAAAAATACAAAAATTAACCAGACATGGTGGTGCACACCTGTAGTCCCAGCTACTCTGGAGGCTGAGGCAGGAGAATTTGTTTGAACGCGCGAGGTGGAGGTTGCAGTGAGCCAAGATCACACCACTGCACTCCAGCCTGGGCAACAGAGGGAGAATCTTGTCTCAAAAAAAAAAAAAAAAAAAAAAAAATCCCTTTCTGTTTGGCCAACATGATTCTCTTTAAATAAAATTTTTTAAAATGACTTTATTTTTTATTTATTTATTTTGAGACAGGGTCTCACTCCTATCACCCAGGCTGGAGTACAGTGGCACGATCTCAGCTCACTGCAGTCTCCACCTCCCAGGCTCAAGTGACCCTCCCACCTCAGCTTCCCATGTAGCTGGGACCACAGGAGCATGCCACCATGTTCAGTCAATTTTTATACTTTTTGTAGAGATGGAGTTTTGCCACGTTGACCAGGCTGGTCTCAAACTCCTGGACTCAAGCAATCTGCCTGCCTCAGCCTCCCAACGTGCTGTGATTACAGGTGCGAGTCACTGCACCCAGCAAAGATGACTTTAAACAGAAATTTCAGATGCTCAAAATGAACACTTTAAACAAATGAAGATAATTTTTTTGGATAAATTTTTGGTCATTTTCTGGTTTGCACCAAGATATAATTACATTGTAGATAGAATAGGTTTGATTAGCCTAATAACAAATTCAAATGGCCATTTAAGTGCTAATTTCAAATTATCTGGTGGTGTGTATGGGTAAGTGTGCATGCAAGTGCACACACACAGAATAAATTGGCTTCACCAGACCATGCCTAATTGATAGACCCTATGTTTAGTGTCCACTCTTATCCTGGTTGGCTTACGTAAAACAAACCAAAACCTCTTTCTCATTTCCTCCACCTGCCCCACCCGTTAATATAGACACAAATTAAATTATTAGGTAAGAGAGAGACTTCATCATTACCCTAAACCAATGGCAATTTGAAGATGGTTAGGGGAAGCTCAAGCAGTTTTCTGACACATGAGCTACCTGTAGACCATCTACAATTCCATATCAACAAATAAAAAGCAGAGAGATATTAAAAGGGATGATTTCGTCGACTTTTAGGCATTTTAGAACAAAGAAGCCGCATTTAAACACAAATATTTGTTTTGAAGGCTGCCAGCTGGTGGAGTTTTTGATAGGCCTATTGTTTATGACTAGTGCTTTATATTTCATTTGCTCTATTTCATATTGTTCGTTAATTCATTTTCTTTTTATTAAGACAGGGTCTCACTCTGTTGCCCAGGCTGGAGTGCAATGGCATGATCATAGCTCACCGCAATCTTGAATCCCTTGCCTCAAGCAATTCTCCCACCTCAGCATCCCAAAGTTCTGGGATTACAGGCACAAGCCACTGCGCCAGGCCTAATTTACTCTTAAATAGCTTAAATGTTTAAATGAAAGAAAAGAAACTTGTGTAAACAATATTAGACTGATGAGTTTGAATACAGAACATGCAAATCAGAATATGGACAAGCTTTAAGAAATGACCTCATGTGCACACAGTCTTTGAAATTAACAACAACAACAAGAAGAAATGAGCTCATATCTCTCACCTCTTGAAACTGAGATCTAATTTTCTTCTTCAAATTTAAGGAACAGCAAAAGAATAAGAAATATTGGTCGTGAGGCAGCTAAAAGAACTTAGAAAGTGTAGAACCCCTTCAACACAAGTTAGACAATGAAGAAACCAGTTGCCATTGTAGATGGGTGTGGGTACAGAATTGAATCACTAAATTAGATGATTAAAGAAATTTTTTTCGGCCAGGCAGGGTGGCTCATGCTTGTAATCCCAGCACTTTGGGAGGCCGAGTTGGGCGGATCACAGAGTCAGGAGATCGAGATCATCCTGGCTAAAATGTTGAAACCTCGTCTCTACTAAAAATACAAAAACATTCATGCCTGTAATCCCAGCACTTTGGGAGGCTGAGGCAGGCAGATCACGAAGTCAGGAGATTGAGACCATCCTGGCTAACATGGTGAAAACCCCGTCTCTACTAAAAATACAAAAAAAAGAAAAATAGCCAGGCGTGGTGGCGGGTGCCTGTAGTCCCAAATGCTTGGGAGGCTGAGGCAGGAGAATGGTGTGAACCCAGGAGGCAGAGCTTACAGTGAGCTGAGATAGAACCACTACACTCCATCCTGGGTGACAGAGTGAGACTCTGTCTCAAAAAAAAAAAAAAAGAAAAATTTTTTTTTCAGTTTCAGGTGGGGCACAGGTGGCTCATGACTGTAATCCCAGCACTTTGGGAGGCCAAGATGAGCGGATCACCTGAGGTCAGTAGTTTAAGACCAGCCTGGCCAACATGGTGAAACCCTGACTCTACTAAAAATAGAAAAATTAGCCAGGTGTGGTGGCATGCGCCTGTAGTTCCAGCTACTCAGGAGGCTGAGGGCAGAAGAATTGCTTGAACCCGGGGAGGCAGAGGTTGCAGTGAACCAAGATGGCACCACTGCACTCCAGCATGGGCAAAAGAGTGAGACGCTGTCTCAAAAAAAAAAAAAAAAAAAAAAAAAAAAAAAAAAAAAGGAAAGAAAAAGAAAAAAAAATTTGAAATGGTAAAAACTGGAATAAAAAAAATAAGTGACACTTTGGGCTGTAAGAAAATGTGTGAACTTGAAGAATCATCCTAAATCTTGGGCTGAGATTGTAAATCTCTTCCTAATTGGGTTGAATTTTTGTAAGCCCCATAAAGGAGAAAGAATAAGAATAAGTAAATCAAACACATATTAATAATACTCTCACAGTGGCTGGCAAGATGGCTGAATAGGAACAGCTCCTGTCTGCAGCTCCCAGTGAGATCAATGCAGAAGGCAGGTGATTTCTGCATTTCAAACTAAGGTACCTGGCTCATCTCATTGGGATTGGTTAGAGTGGGTGCAACGCACGGAGAGTGAGCCAAAGCAGGGTGGGGCGTTGCCTCACCTGGGAAGCAAGGAGTTGGGGAACTCCCTACCCTAGCCAAGGGAAGCCCTGAGGGACTGTGCCATGAGGAACGGTGCATTCTGGCCCCAATACTACACTTTTCCGACGGTCTTCGGAACCCGCAGACCAGGAGATTCCCTCGGGTGCCTACACCACCAGCGCCATGGATTTGAAGCACAAAACTGGGCTGCTGTTTGGGCAGACACTGAGCTAAATGCAGGAGTTTTTTTCCATACCCCAGTGGTGCCTGGAACGCCAGCGGCACAGAACCGTTCACTCCCCTGGAAAAGGGGCTGAAGCCAGGGAGCCAAGTGGTCTAACTCAGAGGATCCCACCCTCAT
The DNA here is from genome assembly GCF_000001405.40 of Homo sapiens. Taxonomy (NCBI): domain Eukaryota; kingdom Metazoa; phylum Chordata; class Mammalia; order Primates; family Hominidae; genus Homo; species Homo sapiens. The sequence goes on from NC_000009.12 coordinate 77,623,992, forward strand.
GGGGCCCAGCAAGCTACGTTCCACTGGCTTGAAATTCTCGCCACTAGCACAGCAGTCTGAGGTCGACCTGGGACACTCAAGCTTGCTGGGAGGGAGGGGCATCCGCCATTACTGAGGTTTGAGTAGAGGGTTTCCCCCTCACAGTGTAAACAAAGCAGCAGGGAAGTTCCAACAGAGCAGATCCCCCCACAGCACTGCAAAGCCGCTGTGGCCAGACTGCCTGTCTAGATTCCTCCTCTCTGGACAGGGCATCTCTGAAAGAAAGGCAGAAGCACCAGTCAGGGGCTTATAGGTAAAACTCCCATCTCCCTGGGACAGAGCACCTGGGGGAAGGGGCAGCTGTGGGTGCAGCTTCAGCAAACTTAAATGTTCCTGCCTGCCAGCTCTGAAGAGGACAGCAGATCTCCCAGCACAATGCTCCAGCTCTGCTAAGAGACAGACTGCCTCCTCAAGTGGGTCCCTGACTCCCATGCCTCTTGACTGGGAGACACCTCCCAGCGGGGGTCGACAGACACCTCATACAGGAGAGCTCCAGCTGGCATCTAGCAGATGCCCCTCTGGGAAGAAGCTTCCAGAGGAAAGAAGAAGCTGCAATCTTTGATGTTCTGCCGCCTCCGCTGGTGATACCCAGGCAAACTGGGTCTGGAGTGGACCTCCAGCAAACTCCAGCAGACCTGCAGCAGAGGGGCCTGACTGTTAGAAAGAAAACTAACAAACAGAAAGGAATAGCATGTCCACTCAGAAACCCCATCCAAAGGTCACCAACATCAAAGACCAAAGGTACATAAATTCATGAAGATGAGGAAAAATCAGCACAAAAAGGCTGAAAATTCCAAAAACCAGAATGACTCTTCTCTTCCAAAGGATCACAACTCCTTGCCAGCAAGGGAACAAAATTGGATGGAGAATGAATTTGACGAATTGACCGAAGTAGGCTTCAGAAGGTGGGTAATAACAAACTCCTCCGAGCTAAAAGAGCAAGTCCTAACCCAATGCAAAGAACCTAAGAACCTTGAAAAAAAGGCTATACGAATTGCTAACTAGAATAAACAGTTTAGAGAAGAACATAAATGACCTGATGGAGCTGAAGAACACAGAACAAGAACTTCGTGAAGCATACACAAGTATCAATAGCGGAATCGATCAAGCAGAAGAAAGGGTATCAGAGATTGAAGATCAACTTAACGAAATAAAGCATGAAGACAAAAAAAGAATGAAAAGGAATGAATAAAGCCTCCAAGAAATATGAGACTATGTGAAAAGACCAAACCTACATTTGATTGGTGTACCTAAAAGTGACGGGGAGAATGGAACCAAATTGGAAAACAGTCTTCAGGATATTATCCAGGAGAACTTCCCCCACCTAGCAAGACAGGCCAACATTCAAATTCAGGAAATACAGAGAACACAACAAAGATACTCAAGAAGAGCAACCCCAAGACAGATAGTTGTCAGGTTGAAATGAAGAAAAAAATGTTAAGGGCAGCCAGAGAGAAAGGTCGGGTTACCCACAAAGGGAAGCCCATCAGACTAACAGCTGATCTTTCAGCAGAAACTCTATAAGCCAAAAGAGAGTGGGGACCAATATTCAACATTTTTAAAGAAAAGAATTTTCAACCCAGAATTTCATATCCAGCCAAACTAAGCTTCATAAGCAAAGGAGAAATAAAATCCTTTACAGACAAGCAAATGCTGAGAGATTCTGTCACCACCAGGCCTGCCTTAGAAGAGCTCCTGAAGGAAGCACTAAATATGGAAAGGAAAAACCAGTACCAACCACTGCAAAAACATATCAAATTGTAAAGAATAACGACACTATTAAGAAACTGAATCAACTAATGTGCAAAATAACCAGCTAGCATCATAATGACAGGATAAAATTCACACATAACAATATTAACCTTAAATGTAAATGGGCTAAATGCCCCAATTAAAAGACACAGACTGACCAATTGGATAAAGAGCCAAGACCCCTTGGTGTGCTGTATTCAGGAGACCCATCTCATGTGCAAAGACACACATAGGCTCAAAATAAAGGGATGGAGGAATATTTACCAAGCAAATGGAAAGAAAAAAAAAAAGAAGCAGGGTTTGCAATCCTAGTCTCTGATAAAACAGACTTTAAATCAACGAAGATCAAAAGAGACAAATAAGGGCATTACATAATGGTAAAGGGATCAATGCAAAAAGAAGAGCTAACTATCCTAAATATATATGCACCCAATAGAGGAGCACCCAGATTCACAAAGCAAGTTCTTAGAGACCTACAAAGAGACTTAGACTCCCACACAATAATAGTGGGAGACTTTAACACCCCATTGTCAATATTAGATCAATGAGACAGAAAATTAACAAGGATATTCAGGACTTGAACTCAGCCCTGGACAAAGCGGACCTAATAGACATCTACAGAACTCTCCACCCCAAATCAACAGAATATACATTCTTCTCGGCACCACATTGCACTTAGTTTAAAATTGACCGCATCATTGGAAGTAAAACACCTCCTCAGCAAATGCAAAAGAACTGAAATAATAACAAACAGTCTCTCAGACCACAGTGCAATCAAATTAGAACTCAGGATTAAGAAACTCACTCAAAATCATAAAACTGCAAGGAAACTGAACAACCTGCTCCTGAATGACTACTAGGTAAATAATGAAATTAAAGCAGAAATAAATAAGTTATTTGAAAGCAATGAGTACACACAATGTACCAGAATCTCTGGGATACAGCTAAAGCAGTGTTTAGAAGTAAATTTATAGCACTAAATGCCCACAGGAGAAAGTGGGAAAGATCTAAAATCAACACCCTAACATCACAATGAAAAGAACTAGAGAAGCAAGAGCTAACAAACTGAAAAGCTAGCAGAAGACAAGAAACAGCTAAGATCAGAGCAGAACTGAAGAAGATAGAGACACGAACAACCCTTTAAAAAATCAATGAACGCAGGAGCTGGTTTTCTGAAAAGATTAACAAAATAGATAGACCACTAACAAGACAAATAAAGAAGAAAAGAGAGAAGACTCAAATAGACACACAAAAATGATAAAGAGGATATCACTACTGATCCCACAGAAATACAAACTACCATCAGAGAATACTATAAACACCTTTACATAAATAAACTAGAAAATCTAGAAGAAATTCATAAATTCCTGGACACATACACCCTCCCAAGACTAAACCAGGAAGAAGGTGAATCCCTGAATAGACTAATAACAGGTTCTGAAATTGAGGCAGTAATTAATAGCCTATGAACCAAAAAAAGGCCAGGAACAGATGGATTCACAGCCAAATTCTACCAGAGGTACAAAAAGGAGCTGGTACCATTCCTTCTGAAACTATTCCAAACAACAGAAAAAGAGGGACTCTTCCCTACCTCGTTTTAGGTGGCCAGCATTATCCTGATACCAAAACCTGGCAGAGACACAACAAAAAAAGAAAATTTCAGGCCACCTGAAATTCAGGCACCTGATGAACATCAATGCGAAAATCCTCAATAAAATACTGGCAAACTGAATCCAGCAGCACATCAAAAAGCTTATCCACCACAATCAAGTCAGCTTCATCCCTGGGATGCCAGGCTGGTTCAACATACGCAAATTAATAAATGTAATCCATCACGTAAACAGAACCAACGCCCAAAAACCACGATTATCTCAATAGATGCAGAAAAGGCCTTCAATAAAACTCAACACCCATTCATGCTAAAAACTCTCAATAAACTAGGTATTGATGGAACGTATCTCAAAATAATAAGAGCTATTTATGACAAACCCACAGCCAATATCATACTGAATGGGCAAAAGCTGGAAGCATTCCTTTTGAAAACTGGCCAAGACAAGGATACCCTCTCTCACCACCCCTATTCAACATAGTATTGGAAGATCTAGCCAGAGCAATCAGGCAAGAGAAAGAAAAAAAGGGTATTCAAATAGGAAGACAGGAAGTCAAATTGGCCCTGTTTGCAGATGACATGATTTTATATTTAGAAAACCCCAGTGCCTCAGCCCAAAATCTCCTTAAGCTGATAAGCAACTTCAGCAAAGTCTCAGGATACAAAATCAATGTGCAAAAATCACAAGCATTCCTATATACCAATAATAGACACACAGAAAACCAAATCATGAGTGAACTCCCATTCACAATTGCTACAAAGAGAATAAAATACCTAGGAATCCAACTTTTAAGGGATGTGAAGGACCTCTTCAAGAGAACTACAAACCACTGCTCAAGGAAATAAGAGAGGACACAAACAAATGGAAGGACATTTCATGCTCACGGATAGAACCAATAATGTGAAAATGGTCATACTGCTCAAAGTAATTTATAGATTCAATGCTATCCCCATCAAGCTACCATTGACTTTCTTCACAGAATTAGAAAAAACTACTTTAAATTTCACATGGAAGCAAAAAAGAGCCCATATAGCCAATACAATCCTAAGCAAAAAGAACAAAGCTGGAGGCAGCATACTACCTGACTTCAAACTATACTACAAGGCTACAGTAACCAAAACAGCATGGTACTGGTACCAAAACAGATATATAGATCAATGGAACAGAACAGAAGCCTCAGGACTAACACTACACATCTAGAGCCATCTGATCCTTGACCAACCCGACAAAAACAAGCAATGGGGAAAGAATTCCATATTTAATAAATAGTGTTGGGAAAACTGGCTAGCCATATGCAGAAAACTGAAACTGGACCCCTTCCTTACCCCTTACACAAAAATTAACTCAAGATGGATTATAGACTTAAACATAAGACCTAAAACCATAAAAACCCTAGAAGAAAACCTAGGCAATACCATGTAGGACACAGACATAGGCAAAGACTTCATGACTAAAGCACCAAAAGCAATGGCAACAAAAGCCAAAATTGACAAATGGGATCAAATTAAACTAAAGAGCTTCTGCACAACAAAAGAAACTATCATCAGAGTGAACAGGCAACCTACAGAATGGGAGAAAATTTTTGCAATCTATCCATCTGACAAAGGGTTCATATCCAGAATCTACAAGGAATTTAAACGAATTTACAAGAAAAAAAAACCCCATCAAAAAGTGGCCACAGGATATGAACAGACACCTCTCAAGGTATTTATGTGGCCAACAAACATGTGAAAAAAAGCTCATCACCACTGGTCATTAGAGAAATGCAAATCAAAACCACAATGAGATACCCTCTCACGCCAGTTAGAATGGCGATCATTAAAAAGTCAGGAAACAACAGATGCTAGAGAGGATGTGGAGAAATAGGAACGCTTTTACACTGTTGTTGGGAGTGTAAATTAGTTCAACCATTGTGGAAGACAGTGTAGCGACTCCTCAAGGGTCTAAAACCACAAATACCATTTGACCCAGCAATCCCATTACTGGGTATATACCCAAAGGATTATAAATCATTCTACTATAAAGACACATGCACATGTATGTTTATTGCAGCAACTATTCACAACAGCAAAGACTTGGAACCAACCCAAATGCCCACCAATGATAGACTGGATAAAGAAAATGTGGTACATATACACCATGGAATACTATGTAGCCATAAAAAGGATCAGTTTATGTCCTTTGCAGGGACATGGATGAAGCTGGAAACCATCATTCTCAGCAAACTAACACAAGAACAGAAAACCAAACATCGCATGTTCTCACTCATAAGTGGGAACTGAATAATGATAACACATGGACACAGTGAGGGGAACATCACATACCGGGTTCTGTCAGGGGGTAGGGAGCTAAGGAAGTGATAGCATTAGAAGAAATACCTAATGTAGATGACGGGTTGATGGGTGCAGCAAACCACCATGGCACGTGTATACCTATGTAACAAACCTGCACGTTCTGCACATGTATCCCAGAACTTAAAGTATAAAAAAAAGAATACTCTCAAGACAAACTTTAAAATAAGTAAACATGAGTCAGCACTGAATTTTTAAAATCTTGTCCTTATTTATGGTATTTAAATCTGATATTAAATAATCTATCAGAGTTGTGATTAGTTTATGATTTAACAGTAATAAATGTGATTATTTGATTTGATTACATTTAGAAACAATATTAGAATGTTTAGAATTAAGAGAGTATGGTTTTGTGGGGTTTGTTTTTTGTTTTTTTTTTTTTTGACAGAGTTTTACTCTGTCACCTAGGTTGGAGTGCAGTGGCTTGATTAGCAATATGTCGAGGCTCATTGCAGCTTCAACTTCCTGGGCTCAAGTTATCCTCCCACTTCAGCCTCCCGAGTAGCTGGGACTACAAATGTGTGCTACCATGCCCAGCTAATTTTTACACTTTTTGTAGAGATGCGGTTTCTCCATGCTTCCCAAACTGGTCTCAGACTCCTGGTCTCCAGCAATCCTCCCGTCCTGGCCTCCTCAAGTGCTAGGACTACAGACATGAGCCACCATGCCTGGCCAAGAGAGTAAGATTTATTTAATCGATCTACCAGAATCACTTAACTGCTTAGATTTTGCTTGACAGCTTTTTCGGAGGTTTGAAATATTTGAGGATACTTGGGTTTTTAAAATGTGTAAATAGGTTTAAAAATGTTTAAAGAAAATGTAATAATTTAATTAACTGAATTAATAAGTGAAGCAAACAGTAAATTGAAACCTAATCAAAGGATTAAGAAACATCCCTTTAATTTTTATATGCAAAAAACTAGATTTATAAAAATTAAAATGAGCATTAAAGCCTTAGAAAAACTAGTTTTTTTTAGCTTATATTCCGCTCTAATAAAGTCAGTATCAACTAAAACATGCAGCTACAAATGTCTCTTTGCACACAGAAAGACCCTATCAAATATTTGAAAACTCAGCAGCAGAGAAAACAGTTGTATCCCCTTACAGTACTGATGAAGATGGGAGGATGAGAGACATCAACAGAGCACTGCTCACCAGCTGGCCCACAGCATCATCCTATACCCTTCCCCCAACATTAGAGTCTATTTTTTTCTGCCTTAGGATTGCAAAAAATTTGGAAAGAATTCCCAGATATATTGTTGAGTATCAAGAGGCTAAGAGCAAAACAGCGTATATTATTTTATTAGTTAGGATATCAGGTTAGCTGCCATTTAAAAAGGGTCTAATCATTTATAGTTCAAGGCTAATATGACACCTTCATGGTCTCAGAGTCATAGACCCTTCCTATCATGTTGCTTTTTCACCCTTAACACCTTACTTCCATCTTATGGTAAAATATGGCTGCTGCAGCTCCTACCGTCAGGTTACATCTTCCTCTAGAAGGGAAGAAAGCCTCCTTTCCTTTTCAGGTCATCACTCAGAAATTGCTACATCACTTCAGTTTACATCCCATCATCACATGGCCACAATTAGCAGCAGCTAAGCTAAGAACTATAGTATTTAGCTGGGTATCCATGTGCCCAGATAAAACATCTTGTATTACAGAGAATCTGTATTCAGGAGACTGCTAGCAGTCTCTGCCACAAATATGCCACTTTTTATGTAAAAAAAAAAAAAAAAAAAAAGTAAAAAACCATCAAGAGCATCTATTCACATATGTGCATAAAGAAAATCTGAAAGTTTAGGAAGCACATAAGATGCATACAATAAATCAGTGGCTCTAGAACATTGGCCCACAGTACAATGTCAGTATCTAGTGAAGTTTTCATTAGCAAAAAGTAAAATAAAACAAAAACACATAATGAGCATGAGTTCATCATACATTTAAGTTTATTCAATTTAAAGTGTTATCTTCCATTAGGCCCTTCTACTATTTGAAGTTCAAGTATTCTTTCTTTATGCAATAATGTTGATACTAAATGGTAATGATGGCAGTGGCGGGCCATCTGGAGCAGCCGCTGCCATCATGCCGGCTGCAGCAGGAAAGCGTGGCTGGGGCTGCATGTTCCATGGAGCTGGTAAGAGGCAGGCACAAGCAGGATCCTCGCCCCTTCTGAGTTGGGGTGGAAGCTGCCTGGGTGCTGCAGCAGCCGCCCAAACTGCAGCTGCAGACCCAGGCATCCCTGTGCTCTCAGGGCTCAGGAGCAGGCAGGAGCCCTACCCTGCTGGCCACCGCTGCAGCTGCCAAAACCACAGCTGCAGACCCAGGCACCCCTATACCCTTGGCAGCCCAGGAAGGCCCCCACTGCCCTTGCAGGCTTGGAAGTGCCTGCTTCTGCTGCCTGGCTTCTCCCTGCTGTTGGCACCCACTCCAATCTCAGAGCAAAGTTGGGGCCATGGGAAGCCAAGGGGGGCACTGAGGGAAGCTTGGTGCTGGGCCACAGGCACCTCTTGGCACATGGGCATCCTGGGTGCCATGGGTGCCATGAACAGCAGCTGGAGGCAGACAGGCTCCTGGACAGGAGGTGGGTCCCTAGTGAGGGCCTGAAGGCTGTTGGCTGGGCTGCCAGTCCCATGGACCAGAGTGGGAACTTGTGGTGCCTTTTCCAGGCCTACCCATGGCCACCCATGGACCAATCGGTGCACACTTCCTCCCCTCTGTGGCCCTGTAGGGGCTAAAAGAGCTGTAACACAAACAGGGCTGAAATATGCCCCTTGCTTGCCACATTGTGGACAAAGAGGAGAGAAGAGCTGTGGCCCTTTGAGGACCCCAGACCTAGGCGTCCCCTAAGCCAGGGCTGTGACTCCCTTTGGGGCCCTAAGGTTCCTGGAGTCTCCAAGCTTCTGGATGCCACCATGTTCCCCAGTGCCAGCAGTGGAAGCTGCTTGTGGCGTGCCTGGTCTGGCCGCAGCCTCACAGAGAGCCGGTGCCTTTGCTGGCACCTGGAGCTGCCCACCCTGCTACAGCAAAAGGCATGTCTGACTCTGCACAGTGGCCGGACCCCATGCTCGCTCACACACCCCTCACTATTCCATGCCTGACTCTCCCTTGGCAGGTGTGGGACTCAGGCTGGTAATGTGAGCCAAGCACAGCTTGCCAGGCCAAGTGAGCAAAACAAGCTCAATGGGCCTTAGCAAAACTCAGGCAAAGGTGCCACCAGCCACAGAGGTTTCCAGACAGAAAAATACCCCAAAGATCCTGTAAAAGTAATGTATTTCTCCATTTAGCAAATGTTATGAAACACCCAGGCACTATACAAGTTGCTGAGGATTCTCATGTTACAATAGTCTCTACACTCATAAAATTTAGAGGCTAGCGGAGAAGGAGGATGATAAGTACAATTTCAAACTAGGAAAAGCACTATTTTTAAAAAGAAATGTAGAAGGTGCTATGGGAGAAATATTCTGAGGAACTTAATTTGGACTGGGGTGTCAGCAAAGGCTTCCAGGAGGAAGAGATATTTAAGATGCATTCTCAAAATGAGTATCAGTTCACTAGAAGACCAGCAGAAAAGAGTGTTGTAGGCAGACAGATTGGCATGTGCAGAGGCCTAAGAAGGATGAGTCTGGCCCGTTGAAGATTCTAAAATATGGTTCTGTGGCCAGAACTAAGTAATCATGGGGAATAATGGCAGAGGGTCATTAGGGGACAGATAAAGGGTCTCACAGGCCATGCACAGATTTAAATTTGCACCCAAGACATAGAAATGTTCTAAGCAGAAAAACAACAATCCAATTTACATTTTTAAAAGGTCACTCTGGCTGGCAGAGTGAATAGTGAATTTGGGGCTAGGGAATGATAGATAAATTTAGCAATTCAGATAGAGATGGGGGTGGCAGAGAGGATGGCAAGAAGCGGGCACAGCAGATATTTGCCCCCATGGGGTAGATTTTGGTGAGCTGTCTGGCTCTAGGAGGCAAAAGCAGAACTGTGATTAAGAACCAAGGCTCTGGCATCAGACCACCTGGATTCAAACCCTGGCCCCACTCTGGCCAGTCAATCTTGCCATAGGATAGGCCTCAATTTTCCCATCTGTAGAATGGAGAGGATACTACCTCTACCTCAAACATGGTGAGAAATAAATGAAATCACTGATTAAAGTACCCAGAATAATGACTGAATGTATAAACGTCACTGCTTTAATATTGCCTTTTCCATTATTAGCATTAGGTATGACAGAAAAAGAATAAAAAAAGACTCGATTCTGGTGAGCCAACTGTTTCAAAGTAAAGCAACAGAAAAGAACAATTTACAAATTTCTCAACTGTAGTTTTGGTTACATATCAAAATCTTACCATGTATAGTTACTAGGAAAAGTCTTTATGAAAATACAAGAAAATGGGCTGGTTCATGCCTATAATCTTCTGTGCTATGGGAGGCTGAGGCAGGAGGATTGCTTGAGAGCAGGAGTTCAAGACCAGCCTGGGCAACACAGGGACACCTTGTATCTACAATAAATAAATAAATAAGCTGGGCATACTGATGCACCTGCAGTCCCAGCTACTCAGGAGGCTGAAGTGAGAGGATCCCTTGAACCCAGAAGTTTGAGACAGAAGTTGATCACACCACTGCACTCCAGCCTAGGCAACAGAGTGAGACCCTGTCTCAAAAAGAAAAAAAAAAAAAAAAAGGAAGGAAGGAAGCGAAAGGAAAGGAAAGGAAGGAGGGAAGGAAGGAAGGAAGGAAGGAAGGGAGTGAGGGACAGAGGGAGGGAGGGAGGAGGCAAAAAGGCAGGCAGGCAGGCAGAATACGAGAAGTATTATTTTCCAAATCTCATCTTATTCCTGGAATCCAGGCTCAATTTTCATATCCTTATACCACTTATCCAAAAAAAATCAATTCTGGAATTCTCCAATTTTCCTTTCTTCAAGGCCCAGCCCAGGCCTGTGTTCCTTTTATGAACCTTCTTAGACAATCACAAACAAAAAAGACTTTCAGCTACTGTAAGGAATTCTTTATACTACTCAGCTGGTATTTCATGTAAACCACTATAAAGAGAGAGACATATCTTCATTCAACCAGTATTTGAGCTAAGTTCTGCACTTAGCATTGTGGGTTCAATAGTGAGCAGAGATCTCATGGAGTTCAAGGTCTCATGTGAAACTCTTCAACACTCATCAAATTGCCAGGATGTAGTCAATCCACAGTTATTCAGACATTGGAGCATATAATATCATACATTGGAGTTCCCACACACGTTTGGTCACTATTATTATTTCATTTATTTCAATAGGTTTTTTTGGGGAACAGGTGGTGTTTGGTTACCCAAGTAAGTTCTGAAGTGGTGATTTCTGAGGTTCTGGCGCACCCATCACCCAAACAGTGTACACTGGACCCAACGTGTAGTCTTCTAGCCTTCACCCCCTCCCCCACCATTTTCCCTGAGTCCCAAAAATCAAAAAATATGGAATGCTTCATGAATCTGCATGTCATCCTTGCATAGGGGCCATGCTAATCTTCTGTGTATCACTCCAATTTTAGTATATGTGCTGCTGAAGTGAGTGCATGGTCACTATTATGTTTTTAAGCCTTCTGTATAAATGACAGCATGCTATTCCAAGAAGTAACTATTTTCAAGATCGCATATAAGACCACTTGAAACAGAAACCAGTGGGCTGATGGCAATACACAGAGGTTTCTTTTCTAGTCTAATTTTAGCACTTAAATTGATTTCATAAAATCAAATACTATGTCAATAACTAGTTTTGACATAGTATTTGAATAGTTTTGCTTTGTTTTAAATTTGTACTATCTGGTAAGGAAAAAAGAGAGAAAAGTAAATTACCTATATCCTTGAGTCCAAGGCTTATGTCCATATAAATTAACATTTTTGAGGGTGAAATGCCTTTGCATTGATGTGTATATTTACTATGGTGGCATTTGCTTTTCTGAAAGGCTGTTTTCAAATCAATGGCATATCTCATAATCAATGTTGCCTTAGAAACTAGGAAATTCAACATGAAGACTCAGACTAACTCTGGGCCCTTCTGCCAATTAGCTACTAATCACCTGGCCCCGTGACATCTGCTGAGTCCCTTCACTCCTCTGGACCTTTGCCACCCCATCCATAGGATCAAAGTTTGTACTTGTGTTTCTCAAACACTGTAGGAAGGAACCAATTTTTAAAATTTTCCATCAGTTGTATTTCATAAATGTATCAGTCTTCAATAAAAATACTCTTTGATGCCACAGCAATGTTAAATTGCTATAAAGGTTTCTAAACACAGGTGCATTTTGAGTGGTGTTGATGAAGACTACTAATGGCTTACCACTAAATGGATTAGAAGATAATTCTACAAAAGATTAATCACCTTCATTTGATTTTTATTAGTAATATAATTAACATATTTTTCAATTACACAGTAGCTGAGCAACAGAAGCAAATATTCTGGGATGGGTTACTCAGAAAGGAAGGTCTTATTTATGGCAGATTCAAGAGAGAAATGGCATGGATAATCCATCTAATAATAACTGACAACTGATCATCAATACAGAAGATGGCTTTCAGGCAAAACAATAAAACATACATTTTACTTTTTTCTCTCATTCATTAAAAAAGCACAAAATATTAGAATTTGTCAGTCAATTTTTAAAAAGCAAACTTGACAACAGGAGTATTACTCTTTGGATGGAAATATCAGCCATCTTAATCCATTCTGTGTTATAAAGGAATACCTGAGGCTGGGTAATTTATAAAGAAAAGAGGTTTATTTGGCTCATGAATCTCATGGCTAGAAAGCTCAAAACTAGGCATCTGCATCTGATGAGGGCCTTGGGCTGCTTCCACTCTTGGGGGAAGGTGAAGGAGAGCTGGTGTGTGTAGAGATAATGTGGTAAGAGAGGAAGCAAGAGAGGTGGGGAAGTGCCAGGCTCTTCTGAACAACCAGCTCTCTCAAGAATACAGTGAGAACTCACTCCCAAGGGAGGGCACTAATCTATTCTTGAGGGATCTGACCCGACGACCTAAACACCTCGCAGCAGGTCCCACCTCCAACACTGGGGATCAAATTTTCAACATGAGATTTGAAAGAGACAAACATTCAAACCGCAGCACAAGCCAATGTTCCATGGAGAGTGAATTTTCAACGAGAAGACTGATATATGATGGCTCTTACTAGAATATGGTTCCTCAGCACTCCTAAGTCCATTAATAGAAGCATAACTACCTAATGGTTATTAGCCATAAGATCATTGCAGTTTTTAGGAGCACAGTTTTTTGAAGAGTACATGCAAGTACAAGGATCTATGCAAACATGAACATTTGCTACTTTTTGAAACGATTCTTGCCAAGGTAAAACATACATTTACTGGTGATGTTTACAGCTCCTGGAGTACTAACTTCTTGAAGAAAAAAATAGTTTCCATTAAGAGGTACTGGGTCATGAACTAATCAGATTTCTGCTGGCTTGAACTTTCAGCTTCCAAAGTCTTACCACTTTTCACTGTTCTTTGCTATTAATTTCCTTTTTTGTTCCACAATTCCAAGAATATCACTGTCTCCTTTACCTTGACTCTCGTTATAATAGACTCTTTAAACCTAAGAAGCACACACTGAAAAGGGAAAAAAACAGAGATCTGGCCCTAAAACCTGCAGTGGCCATTGAGAAGATGTTGACCTCATCTCACCCATCAACTTCAGAGAAAATTTAAATTTTGCACAATTCAAACCACATATGGAAGGAATTTCTATATCTTATCAGCAACCCTATAATTTTCTTAAATTAAAAAGTATATTTTAACTTGTTATCTATTCTATTGTTAAAGTTGTTGAGCTGGGTGCAGTGGCTCATGCCTGTGATTCCAATGACTCTGAAGGCTGAGGTAGGAGGATCGCTTGAGGCCAGGAGTTCAAAACCAGCCTGGGCAATAGCAAGACCCCATCTCCAAAGAAATATTTAAAACCTAGCCGGGTGTGGTAGCATGCCTGTAGTCCCAGCTACTCGGCAGGCTGAGGTGGAAGGATTGCTTGAGCCCAGGAGGCCAAGGCTTTAGTAAACCATGAAAAGAAAAATTGTTTTTGTTGTTAATACAGAGAGTACCAGGAGCAGGCATATCACATAGGTAATACTTTTCTTTTGTGTTCATATTCTAGAAAACTTTAGCTTTTATTGCTACTCTCTGGTTTTATATGCAAAAGTTTATTCTGAAAAAATACTGGAAGATCAATATATTAAATATCAAATGTAGTCTTATAGTGAAGTAATTAACGACTCTCTCTCTGAATAATCATGAGCACTTGCTTGTTCTATCTGTAACATGGGTATATCAACATGTATTCATGGAAGAATATTTCATATTTGATAGTCAACTAGCCTATCTCATTTCAGATTGGTCAAGTATCATTCTGGCTTTCAGTGCTCACACTGTACCATCCAGTCATTATTAAAACATTGCACCAGGCACAAAACTGGTTCAGGTGCCAGGATACAGGAACAAGATAGCACAGCCCCACTCTCACAGAGCTTGCAATCTATTTGGGGGCAGACAAGTCAACAAGTAAGCAAATAAGAATATCAGGTCAATTCCAAGATAACAGCTATGAAGAAATAAAGCCAAGTTATAGAACCAGGCAACTAAGAGTAAATGGTGCAAGGATAATTTCAGGTAGTGTGATCTGGAAAGGCCTTGTCAAGAGATGAACTTTTGAGCTGAGACGTGAAGATAAGGAAGAAACAGCCATGTATGTGGAACAAGAGTGGGGAACAGAAAAGAATGTTCCAGGCAGGAAAAAAAGCAAGCTTAAAGACCCAGAGGTAACAAATGTTGTGTTTGAAAAACACAAAGGTGAGTTTGGCTTCAGCCCAGCAAACCAGTGGGAGAATGACCCTGTGTACATTCCGAGAGGTAGGAAAGCATTTGGCATTTATTCCAAGTGTAAGTAAAAGACACTGAATTTAAGTAAGGTAATAATATAAATCTAAGTTTTTAAATGGACCAAAGAAGGGCAAATGTGGGAGATGGGAAATCAAGAGGACACTGCAATAACGCAGGTGAATTGCAGCTTTGGATAGGGGAAGAAGTGGTGAGATTTGGCAAATGTTTAACACCAGAGACAATGCTGGCAGATGGGCTGTGGCAATTTCCTGGGATAATAGGATACATGTGTGAAATTTTCATAGCCCTGTAGAATAAAGGCATGATTTTAAAAAACAAATTCAAGAAATTAACTAGAGCAATATTAAATACACCTTAATATTTAAAGACATCTGCCTCCTTTTCTTTTCATGATTCCACTGTCTGAAAGCTTACATTTTAGTTTTTGAGTTTGCCTTTACCAATCCATTTAGGAAAAGTTATTTTATGGAAAATATCACATTTTTGTTGTAGATCTTTGTAATTTGGCGCTGCCCAGCATCTGAGCACTTACCTTCTGGGGGAAGAGTTTCAAGAAAGGTAGGAGGCAGCAGCCCACCCCCTTTCCCTATGGTAGAAAGCTAAGGCTGGCAGAATTTTATTTAACAAGCACCTAAAATAAATAGCACTGACTATGTGCCAGGCACTATTCTAAACGCTCTAAAAATGACAACTCATTTAATCCTCATAATAGTACGTGCCTCATTGGGTTGTTATTCCCCTTTAACAGATGAAGAAACTAATGTACATTCCAGGATGCACACAGCTTATCAGTGGAAAAGCCTATATTTTAAACCCAGCAAGGCTGGCTCCAAAGAACATGCTAACCGCTGTGTCACACTGCCTCCCCCCAACAACCTGGTAGATGAGCACAATCAGACAGATGGAGGTTTTGAAAAGTGACACCAGGGTGCAGAAGATGGTCACAGGTGATTTGCAGCTCTGCTGTGAATATAAGTGTCTAGCAGCAGCAGCAGCAGCGACTGGCAGGGTGGTGGAGTCCACTGACTGTGTCCTTGACAGTCTTGTCTGGTACTAGCATTTGCTATGTCCAGAGTCCCTTAAATCCTGCCCTTTTGCGGAGCCTCCTCTCCAATTTCCATTAATTCTATTTCCTGCTTCCACTCTAATAAATTATTACTCTGCTTACATGGTCAACAATCAAGAATCTTGGCCAGCATGGCTAATTTACCCATCAGCAGAGAGCCAATCTTCATAATGAATGTGAGGGCTCTTGCAGAGGCTTTTGTGGTCCCTTCCAACTTTAGAGCCCTTGGATTTCCGCTAGTATATTTTCTTCCTCTAACAGTAGTTGTAGCTGTGGCTACCTGGCTCACAGGGATCCCAGTCCCCGGCCATCTGCACTCAGGTGACAGTCATGTCCATGATACATGTCCCCTGGCCAGAACTGATTGATCCAGGAGTGCACCCTGATGCCACAACCTGGCTATAAAGGTCTGCAGAGAGGGCTCTCAAGCTTGGAAGGGGATGGGGTCAAGTCCTGTTGATGGCTGTGCCTTGAGTCCCCTAACCCAACTGCCCTGGCACTTGCTCTTTCTCATTTATTATTCAAATCCTCTTTGAATTCCATGAGATGCCCTGGTGACAGTCCTTCCGATAAATGATTGTCTCCTCTTTGAATTTCAACCATCTTTAGTATCATCATAGCTTTGCTCCAATAATTCACTGAAAATCCCTCTCTGACTTCCCAATATCATGAACTCCCTTCATATAGCCCTACACATGGGAGTTGTTACAGTGGTATTTTTCCCTTTGTGGTTTAAGTATCATGGGAAATGAGAAAGCAAAAGATGACAGACTAGAAGGCATCTTTTAAAAAGAAAAAGAAAAAAAGACCATTTGAAGATTAAGACTTTATTTGCATTGCTTTTTGCCAAACTCCACTGTCAGATTTTTCCACTTTATATCTGCCCACAGCTTAAGACTTATTAAAGCCTCAAAAATTTCATCCTCTAATGACATGACTTAGCACCTTGATTCTTTAGGTACTTGGATACTGTACTAGTAATTGATCTGAATTAGGGACTTGATATCTTTGTTTCAAGTGGCTTAAAGATTTTTTTTAAAAGATCCAGTTCTCCAATAAAAGGAAGCAGAGCCCCTCTGAGAAACAGCTGATTTCTTCCCCAGCTGGGGAAGAATTGGTACAAGACGAGCCTGGGGCATGTTATGCCAGAAAACAATAAAATGCTCAAAAAAAAAAAAAAAAAAAAACAACAGACAGAGGCATGTCACAGTGACACAGGAGCCAGCTTGAAGGGGATCTCATTGCACAAGTCGGGTATGATTTGAGCACCAAAATGATTAAGAACAGTAATGAAGTAAAAAATCATTGAGGGAAAAAAACCTAGGTATTCACGAATTTGCATGGGAAGGAAGGAAGGAGGGGAGGGGAGGGGAGGGGAGGGGAGGGGAGGGGGGGGAAGGAAGGAAGGAAGGAAGGAAGGAAGGAAGGAAGGAAGGAAGGAAGGAAGGAAGGAAGGAAGGAAGGAAGGAAGGGCAAAGGTAAGGCTGTTGCAGTAGAATGTCAAATGCCAACTGGTAAATGTGGAGAGTGCTGGAGTTGGAAAATCATTCTGCAGATACCATGTTATAGATTGGATCAACTGGAAACCATCAATGACTCCTAAATCTTGATAAGAAGCAGGGTATTTACTAGCCTTATAAAGTGTCTCTCCACAAAATTATGATACAGTGGATAAAACAGACAATATCTTAACCAGGCCATCAGAGTTATCACCACCACAGAGGAGCAGATGGACATGGTGTGCCTCCAGATGCCACCCCCGAGAAGGACACAACAGCACGTATCCAGTGTTCCAGCCAGAAAAGCACAGTGGGGATCGCTAATCGTAAGAAAATCACCAGTTAAATCCCAAATGAGAAACCGTCTGTTAAAAAAAAAGGGAGAGGGGACTGTATTTTTCAAAAATTCAGTGTCGTAGAAGCAATGACTTTGTGGAAAAGTTCCAGATTAAAGAAACTAAAAGGATATGAGAACCAAATGCAATCCCTGAGCCTCCTCTGGACCCTGTACTGGAGGTGGGGGAACACCACTAAGGACGTTATTGGGTGAACCAACAAAACTGGGATATGGATAATAGATTGGACACAAATATTGCATCAAAGTGAAATGTACAGACCTTTCATAAGTGTACTGCGCTTATGTAAGAGATTATCCCTATTTTTAGAAAAACACGCTTAAGAGTTTAGGGAAAAAAAGGCCACAATACATTTAACTTACCCTCAAACACTGCCAAGGGAAAAGGGCATACCTATGTTGTTTGTGCTATTCTTATTCTTGCAAATTCTTTGTAAATTTTAAATCGGTTCCAAATAAAAAGTAAACAAACAAAAAAAAAGATTTGGAGCAGGAGATTGACTGCAAAGGCACAGGGAACTTTCCAGGATGATGGAAGTGTTTATAGATTGTGATCATACATTTGTCAAAACTCAAAGTGTACACTTAAGCCTGGTGACTTACTGTATTCAATAAAGATGATTTGCAAAAGGTACAGAGGGTAAAAGTCCAGTATTTCAAAAGGTTCTGTATTCATTTAAGGGTAGACAGAAGAAGAGGTACGTGCATTTGCCTCTTGAAAGGCCTCAGGAACTGCTGTGTTATAGATGGAAGCAAACTATCTAGTGAGATTGGTTTGCTCCAGCCAGGATGAACAGAAGCCACAGACAAAACCACACAATCCTCCTTTCTGAAGCATATTATGGCAAAAAAGCAAGCATTTTTATTTTAATGTCTATTTTAGAGTGAACACAATACTCACATAACTGGTTAAAATAAAACACAGGCCAGGTACGGTGGCTCATGCATGTAATCCCAGCACTTTGGGAGGCTGAGGCAGGCAGATCACTTGAGGTCAGGAGTTTGAGACCAGCCTGGCCAACATGGTGAAACCCTGTCTCTACTAAAAAATATATGAAAATTAGCTGGGCGTGGTAGTGGATGCCTGTAATTCCAGCTACTTGTGAGGCTGAGGCAGGAGAATCACTTGAACCTGGGAGGCAGAGGTTGCAGTGAGCCATGATCGTGCCATTACACTCCAGCCTGAGCAACAGAGCATGACTCTGTCTCAAAAAACAAACAAACAAAAATAAAATCAAACACAAAACTCAATGAAATCTGGTCCCCAAGGGATCCTTCATATGATCCCAGATCCTAAGAACACCATTTACTGTCCTCAGAAATTTCCCTAGATGGTGAGGAGAGTTTGTGCATGTCTCACCCAAGCCCCCATGCGCAGACAATTGTTTGCATCTTACCCTCACCATAGTTCAAGGCCCACTCAGATGATGCCTCCTCCAGAGGCTCCCCCTTTACGCTCTGCCTGTTCTACCTCTTAATCTCTGTTAAGCTTTTATGACCATCTTCCTCATAACAGCTATTTGTGAACTGTCCTTCTCCAACTCAGCCCTTGGGAAGGAATCCCTGCACTGTGGCTGGCACCTTGGAAAAGGCTGTTGCATTGAACTAAGCTCAGATAAAGGAACGTGGGCATATTTACCATTTCATTCCTTTTCTTCTTCAGAGTGGGAAGGTGTTGTCATTTTTTTTTTTTTTTTGAGACAGAGTTTCACTCTTGTCACCCAGGCTGGAGTGCAATGGTGCTATCTCAGCTCACTGCAACCTCCACCTCCCAGGTTCAAGCGATTATCTTGCCTCAACCTCCTGAGAAGCTGGGATTACAAGCATGTGCCACCACACCCGGCTAATTTTGTATTTTTAGTAGAGACAGTGTTTCTCCATGTTTGTCAGGCTGGTCTTGAACTCCTGACCTCAGGTGATCCGCCCGCCTCAGCCTCCCAAAGTGCTGCGATTACATGGGTGAGCCACCGCACCCAATCGGTGTTGTCACTTTCTACCTTAAAACTCACACTATTTGCACCATTTTCTGGAATGGACTTCCTGCCCAGGAACATGATGGCTAATTCTGAAATGGGATTTTGTTATAACCAATCCAATAAAACTTTTTGGGACCAGATTTTCAACTTTTTGGTGTAAGCAGGAAGAGGAATTTTAAATCAGTTTATGGCTCAGAAAACACTAAGGGAAACTCAAAGTAAAACATTTCTGTTAAAGCACTACCACAACAGTTTATACAAACTTCTATGCAACCCACAGTTGGTCAACTAAAATGGAAAATGACACCTCTCTAGGGCCTGAAAATACTCAAAAAACAGAGTGATGATAGCTGATACTGAGCACTCACTGCCATCCAAAGCCCAGAGAATTTAGTCCACAGCTAAGACACTGTAGGGCTAGGGTTCAAACCCAGGCAGACTGGGCTAAGAATCTACATTTTTCATCTCTACACCAGTGTTTCTGGCTGAATTTAGTCCTCCCGCCAAAGTTTTTATGTTGAAATCCCAACCACTAGTACCTCAGAATGTAACTGTATTTGAAGATAATGTCTTTAAAGAGGTGATTAGGATAAAATGAGTGGGGCCCTAATAAAATAGGAACTGGTATCCTTATAAGAAGAGGAAGTGGCACGACACAGTGGCTCATGCCTGTAATCCCGACACTTTGGGAGGTTGAGGCAGAGGGATCGTTTGAGCCCAGCGATCATTTGAGACCAGCCTAGGCAACAAAAACCAAGAAAAATAAAAATAAGCCCAGCATGGTGGCTCACGCCTATAGTCCCAACTACTAGGGAGGCTGAGGTGGGAGGATGCTTGAGCCCAGGAGGTCAAGGCCGTAGGAAGCCGTGACTGTATTACTGAACTCCAACCTAAAGAGTGTCAAAAAAAAAAAAAAAAAAAAAAAAAAAGACACAGGAATGTGCATGCCCAGAAGAAAGGCCATGTGAGGCCACAGTGAGAAGGCAGCTGTCTGCAAGCCAAGGAGAGAGGCCTCCGGAAAAACCAAACCTGCCAAGCCAACACCTTGCTCTTGGACTTCCAGCTCCATAACTGTGAGAAAATTAATTTCCTTTGTTGAAGCCTCCCAGTCTGTGGTATTTTGTTATGGCAGCCCTAGCAAACTAATTCAGCCATATCTGTTAAATGCTCAATTCCTCTTCCTTCCAGAGAGCTCCAAGGTAAGGTCTGCATCCAGAATTAAAACACTCAACCCAATTAACAAGCCACACTTCACCAATCTGCATTTAACAGGAAAATCAATAAAACATCATTTTCCCTTATTTAATAGCTATTGTCCTGACACTTTCTCCCTATGCTGATCAGTACTCACCAATGTTCTTATCAGAACTTTTTTGTCCTACTTTTATGCAAGGAACTGATAAGAAATTTCTTTCTACTAAATTCAACCATCTCCTTTATTTTCTCCATCTCTTTCTGATGAGAAAGTGTCACACCAACATCTTGCAATTATTAGCCTTAACCAAACAACAGCTTTTATCTTTCCCTAGTAGACACTGACCTGTGCTTTTATTAAGCAGAAACAGGATACTGCACTTCAGAAACATCCTCACATCATTTTTTTGCAAAAGCATGCTTCATTGTGAAAGAGATGGTGTCTTTGGGGGTCATCCCATACTCCACAAAAGGATTCCAAACTCCCATTTGCAAAGTGAGGTTTTTAACTGAGGCACCTGAGCAGTGGATGCTCTAATCTACCCACTAGAGAGATGGGTGAATTTTTCACTCGAATTGCATGACTTCAGACAAAATGGTGCACATCCTCCCCTAATTCCTGTCACTTCTGAGTCATTGGCTCTTCCTTGAGAAGAAATGGAGCTATGCCCCAGGACTTTACAGATTGAAATAAATCAGAGGTTTTGAAGTCCATCCTTGGAGTTCTGAACGGCTCTGTGTGGTTTAGAAACTATTTTTCACAGGAAAGTTTTCACTAAGGGGATATGCTAGTCACAACTCCGCAAGATGAAAATGGGAGTTTCCAGAGGTCAGACAGTGCCTCAAGGTGGTAGGAGGAGGGTTGGAGCAATGGCCTGGGAAGATAAAGAAGACCCTCGGGTCACCCTGATTAATGTGACTTTCAGAGCAAACAATTTACCTACAAACATTTCTCCCCTAGTTTGTGGGTAAATGCGAGAATTTTACATCAAACAGGCTTATTACCAATACAGTACAGCTCAGCTGACTACACAATTTTTCATACAAAGAGCCAGCATTTGTCAAGCTCCTGGTATATTCTGGACACTGTACTTCATACATTGACACAAATCAAAGCATTGCAAAATGAAATAGGGTTCAGCCTGCCCTTATAAAGAAAAAAGTTACATACGCAACTAAACCCCTCTGGTTTGTGGGGTTCAGGGCAAAAGTACAAAGCCCCGCACCCATAGTTATTTTCTAGTGTTAATCAAGCTAGCAAATTCTCACGTATTCCTCCTCCCTTGACAAAGGTAGCTTTATAACAGCCTAGAAGGCCAGGGACAATTTAGAATTTTCAGACTTTTCAAAGTTATGGGTCAGACACAGAAATAGCAGACCTGGCCAATGAACAGAGCCCCTTCCCTTCCCCACCCAAGCTCCCTCTCTCCTAGGGGGGCCTCTTGGGCACCCACGGGGACTCCCTCCACTCCTACCCAGCCCACATTTCCAAGCACTTTTACGCCCCAGCAAACAGCTGCCCCTTTGTGAGCTCTCCAGGGATCAGGTCTGCCTTCTTTTCTAGGGCTCAGGCCTTAGAAGCTGGTATGGGTCCCTTTGGGCTGGGTATTCATTCCATCCAGGTCTTGGGAGGGAGGGGGCAGCATGGTCTCTGGGTAGCAAGCCCCTTTGGACCTACAGACTTCCAGCTCTGTGGGGAGGGGCACACCCCCCCCCAACCCCCAGAAGGCCAGACTGGGCCCTTTAAACCCAGGGGATAAGGATAAGGGGGTTCTTCCGCCCAGGTCTGAAGGCCATACTGGCTGAGAGCCTTCTCTATATTACACTAACTAGATCAACTTTTTCTTTCCTTGAAGCTTTCTGGGAGGGTGATTCCTATACAAGGAATAAAGATGAATAAATAGATGGTATAAGAGAAGATTCCTGTTCAAAAGGGGTGAAAGAAAAAAAGTTGAAATCTTTGTGGCTATCTAGAAAAAAATTGACAGCTGATATCATGGTCTGAAAGGTAGAAAAGGTAAAATATTCCTCAAACAGCAAATGTGTTGACAGCGTTCTAGAAAGTCTGAGATGGGATCCTTGCCTCATGGCATAACTTGGGCAAACCTTAAACTGTGTTCTTTCTGTGTTTGAAAGTGGATGTCCTACCCAGACCTTTGCAGAGACACCAAAAGAGCTGGATGAAGACCTGCCAGAGGCACCAGGGCAGCCAAGCTGAATCCTAGGACGTGGACACACTGAGTCAAGCTGGGCAAGGGAGGTTTGGGTCCGCTGCAAACACAAAGGCCTGAGGGACCCCCATGGGAGGCAGGCATAGGAGCTCACGGTCAGAGGAGCAGCAACGGCATGGGCTTCACCCCCACAGCTGACCTAGCATCGGCTTTGCCTTTTCTCAATCAGGGCAAGTTGGTCAGTTCTCCAGGCCTCCATGTTTTAATTCTCTAGAATAGCGATATCACCTGCCCGCATCACCAGGTGGTGATGCCCTTAAGAACTTAGCACGATCTGGCACATGGTAAATTCTCAAGATGCTTCATCTAGAACTGAAAGCGTACGGGTCAGAGCTAGCGCTGAACCCAAGATGTGGGTCACCACAGACCCCAAGCTGGGTGTGCTGCGGGCGGAGGAGTGGACGGGGTTTTGAGGAGAGGGGCACACCGGAACACATAAGGTACAGCGGTCAAGAGGTTAAGTGTTACAGGTCCCTATCCTGTTTTGGGGCAGGGGAAGGTGTTGCTTTTGCAAGTCGCCCAGCCAGAGATGGAAAGAACAGGCACCTAAGGCCCCAAGTTGCTGGCATCCGTGAGCTCCGAGGGGGAGAAGGACGAAGCCGCCCTGCACCCCGCTGGGCTCCAGGGCCGCGCGGGTGCCAGTGGAGAGGCCGGGAGGGCTCGGAAGAAAAACGCCCGGCTCACTGGAGTCGGAGACGCAGCCACTCACCCAGCAGCAGCAGCTTAAGCTCACGGCGCGCGTCCTTCTTGTCCCGACGAAGCTGTCGCTCGATCTCCGCGCTGATGCGCTGCGACTCCTTCTCCTCCGCGGACAGGCAGCAGCAGCCGGCCATGGTGCGCTCAGCTCAGTACCCGACGGGGCGACGCGGCCCCGGGCACCCGAATCCTCGGCCCGGCCGCTCACCCGGCCAGCATGCGACGGGCACAGGGGTGTGGAAAGAAAAGACGGGGGCCGACTTGAGCTTTGGAGTAAGACGCCTGGACCTCCGAGGCTCAATCCCCCTTCGAAAGTCGGCTCTGAGGCGGGGTGAATGCCGAGCGCTGGGAACGCTCGAGTGCACCCCGGATCCGGGCTCAGCCCGCCCCACTCTCGCTCTGGGGAGGAGGAGGGCGAGTCGAGAAGTTGGGAGCGTTGCTGGCCCCGGGAAGATGCGCGCGCCCCTTGGCACAGGAGCCGGACAGCAGTCGGGGGCGCAGACGAGTTGGAACGTCGGTGCTCGGGGGAGAGTAGGATCTCCTGGGCCTAGGGGTGTCCCCAGGCGGGAGGTAGGCGCGGAGTGGGTTGGAGGCAAAGGACCTGGCTGGCCTTTGCCTGGAAAGTTCTGAAAACCTCAGCAGTGACCGCAGACTAAGACTGAGTGGAAAGGTTCCCGCTAGCGTTTGTGGCTCTAAGTGGCAGGAGGAGGCGGAGCATCTTGAACCTGCAGCCCTGGCGTCTGCTGGACTTGCCCTTCTGGGCACCCCAAGCCGAAGGCGCCTGGAAGTGAAAGGGGACGAGCAGGGGGCGCGGAGCTGGGGGTGGGAGCTGGCACCTCTAGGAGCAGCTCCCACACTTGCCTCCCTGGCTGGGGCGTCCCGGCCAAGGTTTGCTGTAATCTGCGCGTCTGGCCGCCAGGCACCGGGTTCCGACAGGTGAGTGAGTTTCGCCAACTCACTCGCTCGGAGAAGGCGGCAGCAGGCTGGAAGAGGAGCGGCGCCAAGCGTCTGTTGCGGGACACAAAGCCCCGGACCTGAAGTGGAAGCTTGCCCACCAGCTTCACCACCACGCACACCCGGATTTCCTAGACTGGCTCCTTCCGCTTCCCGGACGCCCCGGCCCAGCTCGGGCTTGGCCAAAGCCCTTGGTCAGCTCGGCAATTTGCCTGTAAAGTGTGGCTGGGCCTGAGCCTGCTGGCTCTGAGCTCGGAGAAGGAGCCGCCGCTGGGTTCAGTTATAAGAGAACTGCAAGAGCCCAGGGTAAATATCCTCTCGGTCTCCGGACGAGGGGGCTGGGGAGAAAGGGAACGGCTGATTGCTTTGCATTTTATGATGGGAAAGACACCTGCTTTGTAGAAAGGGCTGATACGTTCCTAGTAGCACCTGGCAAGTTTCCTGCCCAGCCCTGAAGCCTAACAGCCGCCTTGCGATTGTGTCCGCACTGACACCTTGGCCTGTATCCTGGACCGTCGGGGTCAAGTTTGAGCAGCATTAATAAAAACTTTAAAAGCACCTCTTAGTACTTAAGTGACACGATAAAATGCATATTACAACATCTGACTTTTGTCTGTGTAGATTTTGATGCAGAAAAGGGAAGGTGGGGAGAGGGGATCCTATTGGCCACAGCAATGAACGTTCTTTCCTTCTCAAGTCAGTATAGGCCATATGCTAATGGGGCGTTAGGCAATTAGCTAGCGCTTCCTCTACTAAGAGCAGGCATAAGTGCCTTTCATTTGAGTAGCATATATTTTATAAATTCAAACTGAGGAGCACATTGAGTGGAATGGTACGTGTCATTATATAAAGAAGTTGGTATCGCGATGCTATCTGGCTGCATGTTCTTATTATTTTACAGTTTAAGAAATGTAGAGGAATCAGACATTAAAAATGTGCATACATGCTTTAATGTGTGACTATTTTAGTTTTCTTGCAGGCATAAATTGACAGTAACAGTGACCCCTACAGGAAAACTCCTGGACATTTCAGATTTGATCTTTGGCCATTTAATAGCCTGTTTCTTCTCTCTTAGCTCTTACGGATTCATTTACAATTTGAGAATAAGATCTCTTGGCTTCTCAAAGTCATGGTTGCATCATAATTGTTATCATTTAAAAATTATAAAAAATTTTTAAATGATTAAAACTAGGGCAAATTTGAACTCTTACGTTAACGGGAATTACTGATACTGACCTATTAGGTTTAAAGTTGGCAAGATTTCAAAAACAGTTATGAAACATATTGATTAGGGCAAATCTGTACAACTTTCCTGGGCTAGTCAGCTTGGCAGTATATATCTGAAGCCTTAAACATGTCCGTCCCCTTCGGCCAAACCAGTAATTTCTCCCTTAAGAAATAACTAGAAAGAAGCCTCATGACTGATGCAAAGGTTTTATTGCCAATACAACAACAAAAACTCACAACCTAAATACCTAACAACAGGGAAGAGATCACTTAAATCATGGTTTATCCATACAATGAGATGTTTTGGAGCCATTAAATATGTGGATATGCGAGTAGTAAACATGTGAATAAATTTGGAGAAAATCCTCAAAATATATTGAATGAAAAAGGCAAGATCCAAAAATATAAAGAGTATGATAAGATTTTAGTATAAGAATACGCATACACATTTTTAAGAGACTGAAGGGACACACATCAAAAAGGTAGCTTGCTGTGAGTCATGGCTGTTTGGTTGATTTTCATTGTTCATTAGAAAATTTGGGCTGGGTGCAGTGGCTCACGTCTGTAATCCCAGCACTTTGGGAGGCCGAGGCGGGCAGATCACCTGAGGTTGGGAGTTCGAGACCAGCCAGCCTGACCAACATGGAGAAACCCCATCTCTACTAAAAATACAAAATTAGTTGGGTGTGGTGGCACATGCCTGTAATCCCAGCTACTCGGGAGGCTGAGGCAGGAGAATTGCTTGAATCCGGAAGGCAGAGGTTGTGGTGAGCCAAGATCACACCATTGCACTCC
Source organism: Homo sapiens (assembly GCF_000001405.40). Lineage (NCBI taxonomy): Eukaryota > Metazoa > Chordata > Mammalia > Primates > Hominidae > Homo > Homo sapiens. The sequence goes on from NC_000009.12 coordinate 77,650,633, forward strand.
AGCCTGGGCAACAAGAGCCAAACTCCGTCTCAAAAAAAAAAAAAAAGAAAGAAAAAATTTGGGGCAGCTTGCATAAAATTATTTAGGCTCCACTTTCCTTAACTATAAGATGAGAGGGATAAGCCAGAATAAGCTCAAAAGGATCACCCAACTCTAACATGCATTATTTCTTTGATGACATTCACACTTATCCAAAATAAATTTATTTAAAAATAATCAAAAACCTAAAGTTGTTATTGAGCATCAGCCACTGGTAAGAAACAGAAAACTGGGATATCACAAGTCAATCATTTTTATACTTCTATGTTTTATTCATCTCTGTTTTCCTTATCTGTAGAATCTGGAAGGTAAAATGATAATAATTTTAAGATATTAATTCATTGGAAACATCTTTCCAGGAAGGGGTAGTTTTGAGAAGAGTTCTCAATAAAAGAGAATATTTATTTTCCTAAGTTATTTCAAAAAAGCTGCAATTTTATTTTATTCATCTTGAAGACGAGAGCGCAGACTGGACCTGAGTTTCAGATATCCACCAAGTGTGGGGCTACAGGGGTGAGCTAATTGTCTGATATCCCTCTGAATGTCCACTAGGTCCATACCAGCCCCTGTACCAGGCAGTGAGGATTCAGGTAATAAGACAATTCCAGACTTTCGGTAGAGCTATAGTCTAGTAGAAAGAAGTAAAACTGAGACCCTGAAATCTGAACCTACCCCTTCCTGCTTCCTTCCAGAGAACAGTGAGAGCACAGAGTCACCTGAGGGCGCTCCCCAGGCCTACAGATATGCACAGCAGCCTCATCTTCCATCACTCTCCTGGAACTCTAGACAAATGGAATTTTCTGTTCTCCCTACCTCCTGCCTCCATGCCTCGGTGCATGCTGTTCCATCTTCCAGGAATACCATCTCTTACCCTAGGCAAAATTAGGTAATTTCTTTTTCAATTACATCTCTTCTGAGGAAGCAACTCCAGCCCTTGTCAGTTACATCCATCTTTCCCTACTGCTGGAACACTGTCAACATCTCACTCTATTACACCCGTCTGTTTCTTCTAATCTATGAGTTACTCACAGGTAAAGAGTTTTTCTTACTTATCCTGGTATTCCTAAATTAGCAAGTTTCAGTTGACTAACCTTAAATACTGAAACCAAGAAGAATTAGTCTGAGATGCAAGAAAAGAAGGTTCTTGTGGTGGAAGACAGTGAAAACCAATAAGCAAGTACAAAACAAATGAATGTATAACTTAGGAAGAACTTGTATATATGAGCTGCCCTCACCTGCCACTGGCCCCCTTAGAGAGAATGACTGCCCTGTTTCTAATTCAGAATGCCAAGGAAATGTGCAAATAGAGGGCTGGAAAGATGCAGTTCACTTTCACAAGTGTATTGTCTCTGAACTTAACAAGTAACATAGAGTAAAAATAGGACCTTGAGGAAGTTCACAAAGCACTAATACTAATGTACCTTTGCTGCTCTATGTCAGCATTTTTCAAACTGCAGTTGTGACACATTCCTAGGGTGTGGCCAATATTTTTTCTTAAGAATAAAATATAAAGAGCCAATATCAAGGTTGCTGTATGTATTATTATTTAATAAAATGTTTTTTAACTTTTTTTTTTTTAAGAGCCAGAGTGTCTGTCACTCAAGCTGGAGTGCAATGGCGTGATTATGGCTCACTGCAGCCTTGAACTCCTAGGCTCAAGCAGTTCTCCCACCTCAGCCTCCCAAATAGCTAGGACTACAAGCCCATGCCACCATGTCCAGCTATTTTTTTATTCTTATATTTTGTAAACGCAGGGTCTCACTATATTACCCGGGCTGGTCTTGAACTCCTGGCCTCATAGAGTCCCCCTGCCTCAGCCTCCTGAAGTACTGGGATTACAGGCATAAGCCACCACATCTTTAGTTTTATTTTATTTTTAAGCCAAATACCCAGAGTTCAGTGAGAAAAACTTTAGTTTTAATTGTACGTGTATCAACTCTTAAGCAGCTCAGTCATCAGTGGGAGTCTGCTTGTCCATCTCCTGAATGTGTTAGTGTAAATGATTCCAAATTTTCTAATTCATTTTTCTGAATCCAATATGTTCTTTTTTTTTCAGTTTGAGTTCAATGTGTTCTCTAAAATGTTTTCAATCCTTCTTCCCCGTCACTTCTACTCCCCATCCCACCCATTGGCTCTAGTTTGGTAGGTGAGAGTTGATGGAGCAATGATGGATAATGATTGATTGATTGATTGTTTTTAAAAAAATTTTAGATTCAGTGGGTACATGTGCACGTTAGTTACATGGGTATATTTTGTGATGCTGAGGTTTGGCCTTTAATTGAACCTGTCACCCCATTAGTGAACACAGTAACTAATAGGTAGTTTTTCACCCCTTTCCCCTGCCCCCACTCCCCACTATTGGAGTCCCCAGTATCTATTGTTCCCAACTGATGGATATTTAGATGGATGTGTAATACTGATGCTAGTGGTTGCTTGCACTCAACATCTATTTTTTTTAAGGCAATCAACATGTCAACATGTTGCTCTACAATATTCTCTGTCTGAAGACCAGAAATTGTTTATTATATAACTGTTACCGAAAACGCTGGGATGATAGACAATGAAGTCTGCCTTCAAACACACATGACTGTGAGTAGGCAGGAATTGATATTGTTTGTTTTTGAATGTGACTTTTCATTGAAGTTGGGGAATCTCAAGAAGAAATCAAACTCTTTAAAATGTGAAGTTTGGAGGTGATTATTTGGCTTGTTTTCTTTTCCTTTTTGCTTAAATTTCCCCCTCCATTTACATCACTCTCTTCTTGAATGATCCCATGTTAATAACCTAGGATGTATTCTTCACTTCTTTGTGCTCTGATAATCCTATATAAGAGTAAATAATTTCATAGACGTGTAAATATACACAGAGTAAGTTTGTCATCATTAGTTTTAAAACGAAGCTACATTACACGAACTCTATATTTTGTTTTTCTCATCCAAGAATACTTTGTGAAATCTAAGTAAACAGTTTTACCTCTGATTTATTCTTTTTAATGACTACATAATACTAGATGATGTGAAAGGACCATATATTATTCAACTTTTCCCTTTGAAAGGTACTCATTTTTGTTTCCAGTTTGGGGCCACTAAAAACAAAGCTCTAAAAGCATCTTTGTACATAAATCCTCATATGCTAGCGTTTTTATTTCTGTAAGATAGATTCCCAGGAAAGAGACTGCTGGGTTGAAGGATAAATACATTTTTCATTTTAATAGATGTGGCCAGATTCCCTTCCAAAAGACTGAAGCAATCCCATTTCTGCCACAAATATGAGCACCCATCTCCCTATATCCCCACCAGCAATAAATATTTTCGCTCATTACTTTTGGCAGCCTGAAGAAAATAAAATAACAATAAAGTGTTTCTTTACTTTGCATTCCCCTGACTACCTATGAATTTGTTCATCTCTTCATGTGCTTGTCAGCATTTGTATACGCTACCCCATGAATTGTCTATTCATATCCTTTGCTCATTTTAAAAATTGGATCATTTGTCTTTTTCTTGACAATCTGAAAGAGATCTTCAACATTACAAATCAACTGTTTGTCATCTGAATTACAGACTTTCCAATATATTGTTTGTCCTTTATCATTTTTAATGAAATCTTTGCCAGATAAAAGATTTTTTACGTATCCAAATACCTCTATTTTCTTGCATCGCTTCAAGAGTTTCAGTCTTTAAAAGAAGATCTCCCTATTTCTAGGTTGTACAAGCAGTATCATAGATTTTCTTGAAAGCACTTATTTTTTGAGACGAAGTTTCATTCTTATTGCCCAGGCTGGAGTGCAGTGGCACGATCTCGGCTCACCATAACCTCCACCTCCCAGGTTCAAGCAATTCTCCTGCCTCAGCCTTCCGAGTAGCTGGGATTACAGGCATGCACCACCACGCCCGTCTAATTTTTTGTATTTTTAGTAGAGACGGAGTTTCTTCATGTTGGTCAGGCTGGTCTTGAACCCCCAACCTCAGGTGATCCACCCGCCTTGGCCTCCCAAAATGCTGGGATTACAGGTGTGAGCTACCGCTCCCGGCCGCAAGCACCTTTATTATTTTGTTTTTCACATTTAATTACTTAATCTGTTCATTTTTATAGAACGTATAAAACAAATTTTATTTTCTTCCAGATGGGTAACCAGTTGTGCCAACATCATTTATTGAACATTCCATCCTTTTTCCTGATGAATTAAATTTCAATTTTTGCCATATATTACATTTTCATACTGACTGAGATACATTTCCTTGAGCCTATACAGTGCCACTGAGGTATTATCTGGTCTTCTATCAATACTAGCTTGCTTTTTTTTTTTTTTTTTTGAGACAGAGTCTCACTCTGTCGCCGAGGCTGGAGTGCAGTGGCACTGTGTGGGCTCACTGCAACCTCCGTCTCCTGGGTTCAAGCAATTCTCCTGCCTCAGCCGCCCGAGTAGCTGGGATTACAGGCGTCTACCACCATGCCCGCCTAGTTTTTGTTTAATATATATTTTTAGTAGAGACGGGGTTTCACCATGTTGGCCAGGCTGGTCTTGACCTCCTGACCTCAGGTGATCTGCCCGCCTCGGCCTCCCAAAGTGCTGGGATTAGAGGCGTGAGCCACCATGCCTGGCCTTAATACTATCTTAAAGCAGGGGTTTTCTGGAATGTTTTGATGTCTGATAGGACATATCACCTCTCAGTGTTACAGACTCTTAGGTGTGTTCAGACATTTACTCTTCCATGATAAACAATATCACTTAATAATGACTTCTTCCCTCAATTTCAAATCTTAACTTTAACCCTAACTTCAATTATCTTTTTGACATGTTGCCTTAGATGTCTAATGGACACCTCAATGAACAAGTGCAAAGCAAAACTCTGCATTTGTTTTCTAAAACTTATCTTTCTGCTTGCTTTTCCATCTCAGCAATCTAATCAATTGCCTCTCAACATCTAATCAATTGCCTCTCTACCTCACCTCCCCACCTCATCTAGCAATTATGGACTTTTCCTTTAAACAGCATCCTGAATTTATTTTGGAACCACTGCATGCAGCTTTTGCACTGAGCAACTCTGGGGATGTAATACACATTTTAGTTTTGAGGGTTCCTCAGTTGTCTCTTGCTATGTCATATGTGGCTTCTCAGGTATGTTCATTCCTGTTTTTGCTGCCACCACTTCTGAAAAAGCCACCAGCATGTCTGACCTGGACTAAAACAATATTTTTGTTTTGACCCTCTAAAATCTACCCATCACAGGACAGGACAGCCAGAATGAGCTTTGAAAATCCCCAAACACAGCCCATAATTACCTAGATTAAAATTCACCTATAGGCCAAGCATCTGTAATCCCAGCATTTTAGGAGGCTGAGGCAGGAGGATCCCTTTAGCCCAGGAGTTCGAGGCCAGCCTGGGTGATATGTGAGAACGTGTCTCTTCCAAATTTTTTTTTTTAATTAGCCAGGTGTGCTGATGTGCACCTGTAGTTCCAGCTACTCTGGAGGCTGAGGTGGGAGGATCACTTGAGCCCGGGAGATCAAGGCTGCAGTGAGCTGTGATCACACCACTGCACTCCAGCCTGGGTAACAGAGCAAGACCCTGTCTCCAAAAATTAAAATTAAAATTAAAAAAAATTATCCTATAGATTTCATCAGAGAATTAAAAACAAAACCCTCCTTATTCTAGACTGTGAGGCCATACATGATAGGGCTGTTGCCTACCTGTCTAGCTTCATATCCCAATACTCTCCCTCTCATTCAAAGGCACTCCAATCACACTTGAACCTTTTTTCTTTGAATACCCCTCAGGACCTTTACACTACCTGCTTGGCTGCCTGAATCACACTTTCTCTAGATGGTGAAATGTTTGGTTTTTATTTGTCATGTAGGTCTCAACATAAATGTGACTTATTGGTGACTTCCCAGGTGTGGGCTCCCCTGACCACTTGGCCTAAAGTAGTCATTCCTCATCAAATCGATATTATTATCCAGAAAATACTTCTGTATTTTCATTGTAGCGTTTGTCACTATCTGATTCCTCTTGTTTTCCTCCTTCTTTCTTTATCATCCTCCACCAGAAAAATAAGGTAATTTTCATTAGAGGAAGGACTGTGATTATGTTATTGACAACTGTATCCCTAGGGCCTAGATCAGGGGAGGCCACATGATCCTAAAATTGTACCACCAAACTGTTCAGGACCAATTCTCAACAGTAAGTTAAGTCTCAGAAAAGTTACTAATATGGGATTTGTGATTTTTCTATTTATCTGTTTTACACTATATTATATAATAGCCAGGAAAAAAAATCCCTGACAACCCTGGTTTGTGGGGATAAGACTCTGCCTGGGTTTCCCAGGATACATTGATTGCAAGTAACAGAGACTGAGTATAAACTGACTTAAGTTAAAAATGGAATTTATTGGTTCTTGGGACTGAGAAGTTCAGGGATGGTCTTGGTTTTAAGCTCTGCAGAATCCATGTGCTCAAGAGATTTCAGAAGGTACCCCTTGGCCAAGCACAGTGGCTCACGCCTGTAATCTCAGCAGTTTGGGAGGCCGAGGCAGGCGGATCACGAGGTCAGGAGTTTGAGACCAGCATGGCCAACATGGTGAAACCCCTTCTCTACTAAAGATACAAAAAATTAGCCAGGTATGGTAGCACATGCCTGTAATCCCAGCTACTCAGGAGGCTGAGGCAGGAGAATCGCTTGAACCCAGGAGGTGGAGGTTGCAGTGAGCCGAGATCACACCATTGTACTCCAGCCTGGGCGACAGGGTGAGACTCTGTTTCCAAAAAAAAAAAAAAAAAAAAAAAAGGAAGGCACCCCTCTAGTGCTCCATAGACATTTTTGAATTAATAAATGGGTAATTGTGAAGATTACAAGATAGAGTGTATATATCTAAAGCCTCTATCTCCTTGCCCGGAGCTAGTCAACACTCAGTAGGTATAGGTAGTATTATTTTTGTATTACTCTTATCATCACATCAAAAACTTCATTTTCTGGTTTTTTTTTTTGAGACGGAGTCTCGCTCTGTCGCCCAGGCTGGAATGCAGTGGCGTGAACTCGGCTCACTGGAAGCTCCGCCTCCCGGGTTCACGCCATTCTCCTGCCTCAGCCTCCCGAGTAGCTGGGACTACAGGTGCCCACCACCACGCCCGGCTAATTTTTTTTGTATTTTTTAGTAGAGACGGGGTTTCACCATGTTAGCCAGGATGGTCTCGATCTCCTGACCTCATGATCCGCCCGCCTCGGCCTCCCAAAGTGCTGGGATTACAGGCGTGAGCCGCCGCGCCCGGCCCAAAAACTTCATTTTCAACACAAGGAATACATTCATGATTCCACTGTACCGTGGGAGAAGAAGGAAGAGTCCACACTGTGCAGTCATTTGGAATAATTCCGACTGTCCAGGAGCGACAACAGCCGGAAATCATGTTCTGAGGCTTCCCAGCAGGGGAAGAAAAGTGCATCGACACCTAGCATGGCCTGTCTGGGCCCATTGAGTCCTGTTGGAAATAAATGTTGGTTTGTTGGTTTTAAGTGTGTGAGTCAAATAAGCAGTTTTTAAAAGGTCATTATGAATGAAGCACACATCAGAGGATACTCCAAGCTCTCCTCTCCTAAACACTATAGACATTCAAAATTTTCTTTTATGATTTTAAAATCTATAAGCTTAGTAAATGCCAGTTGGAAACGTAGAGCTGAAAAGTACACACACACAGTTGCCTTCTATCTTCGTAAGTGTCTGAGTCACCCCTTGATGGCCCATTAGACACATAGAAGTCCACTTGCCCCACCTTTTTATGTCATTGTGGTGGATTAAAGATGGCCAGAAATTCTTGGATACTCCTTCCTTTTTGAGGTGAGGCATATGTTTCCTCCTCTTGAAACTGGGCAAGCTATGTGGCTGTTTTGGCTGATGGACTATAGTGGAAATGATGCTGTGTCTGTTCCCAAGTCCAGGCCTTAGAAGACTAGCAACTTCCATTTCCTGTATCATGGATTAATAGGGAAGCTGTAAAAGACTAGCAACTTCCATTTCCTGTCTCATGGATTAACAGGGAAGCCATAAAAGACTAGCAACTTCCATTTCCTGTCTCATGGATTAACAGGGAAGCTGTAAAAGACTAGCAACTTCCATTTCCTGTCTCATGGACTAATAGGGAAGCCATCTCTCTCCGTGTTTTGGGTGGGCTTTCCTCTGAACTCACATCTCAGGTGGGTCTCTCCCAGCCTGACGGCAAGATGGCTGCCAGAAGCTCCATGCTTATTCATATCTGCTGGCAACCTCCGTAGAAAGATAACTTCCCCTTCCCAACATTCAAGCAAAAATTCTAAGACTGACCGTAATTAACAAAGCTCCCTCCTTGAACTGATTCATTATGGCCAAGGGAAAAGAATACTCTGACCAGGCTGGGATGGTATGTTCGCCCCTGAAGGGTGAAATTAATTTTAGCAATCTATTTTAAATCTATTTTATTTAACCCAATATATCCCAAATATTATTATTTGTTCAAAATTAATATTCCTGGTCATGTTCAGTGGCACACGCCTGTAATCCCCTCGCTTTGGGAGGCCAAGGTGGGCAGACTGCATGAGCCCAGGAGTTCAAGACCAGCCTGGGCAACATGGTGAAACCCTGTCTCTACAAAAAAAAAAAATACAAAAATTAGCCAGGCATGGTGCAGTGTGCCTGTAGTCACAGCTACTCAGGAGGCTGAAGCAAGAGGATGTTTAAACCTGGGAGGTCAAGGCTGCAGTGAGCCAGGATCATGCCACTGCATTCCAACCTGGGGACAAAGCAAGACCCTGTCTCCAAACCACAACAACAAAATTAACACTTCTAATGAATCTTCTATTTATATTAAACATCCAACTCTGGCTGGCTTTAGTGGCTCATGCCTGTAATCCCAGCACTTTGGGAGGCCGAGATGGGCAGATCACCTGAGGTCGGGAGTTTGAGACCAGGCTGACCAATATGGAGAAACCCTGTCTCTACTAAAAATACAAAATTAGCCAGGCGCGGTGGCACATGCCTGTAATCCCAGCTACTCGGGAGGCTGAAGCAGGAGAATTGCTTGAACCTGGGAGGCGGAGGTTGCGGTGAGCCAAGATTGTGCCATTGCACTCCAGCCTGGGCAACAAGAGTGAAACTCCGTCTCAAAAAATAAAAATAAAAATAAATAAAAATCCAGCTCCAGCGTGTATTTTATGCCATCAGCCATCTCCTTTTGGCGAGTCACATTTCAGGTGCTTGACAGTCATATGTGGCCAGGGGTCATCCTATTGGCCTGAGCAAGTCAAGAGATTTATTGTGGTATGAAAGGAATGGAATGGCATAGAATAGAACTGACAAGAGCAGAACACAGTTGCAATTTGGAACAAGTAGGGGAAGGAAAACTAACTTCCTAAGGCTCTGGGGCCCAGCCGGGGACCATCTAATATGTTGACATAGCTCCCGTGAGAGAGGGAGAGGGGTAGGCAGCGGAGCGGCAAAGGCTTTGAGGCAAGCCTGTGGGGACTTAGTAGGGCACAGAAGGGTGAAACACAGTACTTAGAAATGGAAAGGAATTGGGGCCTCTTAGTAGATGCCATAGCGAAAAGATGCAATGAACCAAGAGCAGTTAAAAGAAGGACCACATGTAGAAACCAGCATAGACAGATGACAACCCTGGGCCACATCTCACTCAGCCCTCCACCCTCTTCCTTCCCTTGGAGCTTAGGGAAAAGTAAAGTCATACAAGACCATGAATTGACTGAGAAAGATCTGATTTGACAGAGTTTACCCTCCACTGACTTGTTTGGGAAAGGAGTCTTGGGAAGGAAATTCCGTTTGGATGTAAAACATAAAGTAACATATATTGCACATCGGAGGTTATTGGCCTGAAAATATTACACCCAAAACAAAGTCTTAAAAACCCTTTGTGCTGGGCAAGTAGAGCCATACTCTTTCTCCTGCAGGCAGGGAAGTTTGGCAGTGGGTCTCAAACGCCCCTCAGGGGATATTCGGCAACACCTGGAGACATTTTTGGTTTTTACAACTAGGGAAGAGAGTGCTGCTGGCATTTAAGGAGTAGAGGCCAGGGTTGTTGCTAAACATCCTACAACGCATAGGACAACTCCCCACCGCACACACACACACACACAACCAAGGGTTGTCCAGCCCTAAATGTCGGTAGTGCTGAGGTTGAGGAACCCTGGACTAAGCCAACTTGAGATTCTTAAGAAGAATGTGGAGAGAGGAAAAGCAAGTTTTTTCTTTCTGTTGTTGAGACCAAGGGAACTTCCCCTCCGCTTCTGAAGTTTCACTGAAAAATCAGCTCACAAAAGGCAGATTAATTGGAGAAAAGTCATGTAAATTCATTTGATCATAGTTTTATGTGACATGGGCACCTTTAGAATGAAGACCTCATTCCCTAATGGGGTCCAGAAGCTTATATCCTAGCTTGAGGTTATAGAAAGAATGGGGGCTTGGGTCCTGACAAAACAGATTATGAGAAGGGAGAGAACAGGAATTCCATTGAGGGGCAATAAATGATTATCAGGGAGAACTTAATGGGCTTGAAGAACATATAATGGTCTGGGACAAAGTCTGTTGGGCCCACAGAGTGGACAATGGTTTGTGACAGAAGTCCGTTCAGGTTTGTTGACAGACTTTAGTTTTCCTTCCTGTGAGATGGGTTCAGTTAACGAAAACTCTGGGAAGGGACCAAGGGTAATTGTTTTCTTCTTTGTTCAACCTGGACTTGAAGCAGATAAGGAACTTCAGAGAATCCTATGCTTTGGGAAAACGGTGGGGGACGGGGTGGTGGTCAGAGAGAGCTTGAGGCTCCTTTTTCAGTTGAGCGTGTACAAAGCACCATATTTTGGGGTATCAGTTTCTGAGTCCCAACACTGGGTTGAAGTCAACCTATCACAAAAGGGGAGGCATGGCCTTAAGGTTGCTTATAATGTTGTTTCTATGATGCTGAAGGAATTGAGTTCTGCCTCAAAGCAGCAGGGCAAACAACAGGCTGGGGACAAACAGGCTGAGCAAGGCCCGAAGGCTGCTCCATTTTTGCTCCCTTCCTCCCATCCTCTCTCTCTCGACACTCTCCTCCAAGGTAGTCTCTCCCCCACCCCCAGGCTGTCGTGGGGGCTGAGGCAGATAAACTGAGGTGAAAAGTAGCAGCAGAATTTTCTCATCCCTCTGCCCTCTTCACCCAACCAGAGGCAGAGGCCTCCACTACAAGACACCCACTGCCCTAGTTTTGTTTCCCACTGCAACAGGAAACCAGGAGGCAGCTGTCGAGAATGAGGAGCAAGGCTGAGCGGTTTAAGACAACTCTCCTTGCTCCAAGCCTTTGCTTGAACTGTGTTCTCCTCTAAAACAAGAACTCGGAAATGATGTCTGAGAATCACCTGAAAAGCTGGTCAAAGCACGGATTTCTGAGCTGGACTCCAGAGATTCTGAGTCAGCAGGTCTGCAGCCCGTGGTGACCAACAAATCTCAGTTTACCTAGGATTTTTTCAGTTTTAGCATCAGAAGCCCAGCCCCCCTGGCAAGCACAGATGTTTGGTTACCCTAGGTAGGGCCCAAAGTTTTGCATTTCTAGAAATTCCCAGGTGATGCTGATGCCCTCATCAGCAGATAACACTCTGCCTGTGTGCCTCCCGGTTCAAGTGATTCTCCTGCCTCAGCCTCCCGAGTAGCTGGGATTACAGGCATGCACCACCATGCCCGGCTAACTTGTATTTTTAATAGAGATGGGGTTTCTCCATGTTGGTCAGGTGGTCTCGAACTCCCGACCTCAGGTGATTACCTGCCTCGGCCTCCCAAAGTGCTGGGATTACAGGCGTGAGCCACCGCGCCCAGCCTGTGTCCTCCTTTCTTTAGGATGTCTAGTTTAAAATATAAAATAACCTGGGGCTGCTCATGGTCATCTTTGCAAATACATGGAACAGTTCTACCTGAGTGTGGCACCAGCAAAGATACAAGCAAAGAGAAGCAGAGTGAGGAAGACAGTCATGTCCTGATTTGGTCCCCTGATATGAACCCCATATTCCCAGTTAACTGAGCCAAGAAATTTCCTTGTTTGTTTAAGCCAGTGTAGATTGAGTTTCTGTCACTTGCAATCAAAAGAATCATGGCTTAGGCTAGGCATGTGGCTCACGCTTGTAATCCCAGCATTTTGGGAGGCCAAGGCGGGTGGATCACCTGAGGTCAGGAGTTCGAGACCAGCCTGGCCAACATGGTGAAACCCCGTCTCTATTAAAAATACAAAATTAGCCAGGCATGGTGGTGGGTGCCTGTAATCCCAGGTACTCAGGAGGCTGAGGCAGGAGAATCGCTTGAACACCAGAGGTGGAGGCTGCAGTGAGCCGAGATTGTGCCATTGCACTCTCCAGCCTGAGCAACAGAGGGAGACTCCATCTCAAAAAAAAAAAAAAACATAAAAACCATGGCTAATGAACCTCACCTATGAGAAATGAAGAAGTAAGTGTTAGTGATAGGAAAAATATAATACCTTGAGGTCTAGTTATGATTATTTTACAGTGCCCTGATATTTCAATACCTACTTTATCAACTTCTGCAAGAAAGGATAATGGTAAATGGCCATCAGATTCTTCCTAGTTTGTCACAAGAATAAGCTGAACATGGACCAGGCAGTAGTTACACTTAATATAAATGAGCAAATGGGTCTTTTCAGCAACGTGGGGATCCTGTTTTGGTCTGACATTCTGCCAAATCGTCTTTCCTTCCCAGATGATCTTGATTGTGTCTTCAGTTACTACTTAAGGATCTGTGGTCAAATAGGTTTTTTTTTTTAAAAATGCTTGTATTCATAAACTATTTAGATGCAGCAAACTTACCAAATTTTGTGAGGACATAGAAGAATCTTTATGTTAAAGTTCTCCTGAACCTGTTCTTTTTATAAGCTGTCTCTCTTTGATATGGCATCAGTTGATTATTGAGAGCCAACTTGTCAGAAAAACCTGTACCTGTATCAAGATTATTTAGTTGAATCTGAAAAAAATAGAAGAAATAAGGATCCTGCTAATAAGGTCGAACATTCTAGTGCTTGCTTGGTAAAATTTGGAGAGCAAAGAGATCTTGGTGAATGATTACATAATTAAACTAAAAGATGGCTTTTCAGTGTCAGTGATTTTTGTTTCTGTTTGGATGATTATTTAAAAGAGTGACGTAGTTTCCCTCTGGCCACTGTCTTTATTTTCTTTGGCTTTTTGCTCATTTTGTGTGTAATGCACTGCAATGGGACCCTGAAGTCGCTAAGTGCCTTATGAGGAACTGGCTCCAATGACCTGCTTGCCAGTGCAAACAAGTCTGACAAGTTTAATGACCCCACTGAGCATAAAAGCAGCTGAGCCGGCCAGGCGGGCACAAGCTCTTCTCCGGTGGCATGCAACCAAGTCCAGGATTATTTCTGGTTTCAAATACTGAGTTTGGTTTTAAGGCTGTCTTCCAAACTACCCTGGCAACTGCTGTCTATCAATCATACCTTCTTTCCATCTTTCACAAATGTTTATTAGAATCTGCAGCTGGGGTCAGAGAGATGGGTAGGACTTGAACTCTTTTCTGATGGAACTTCCAGTCCTGTCAGGGAGATGGGTCTATCAATACACTTAAAAGGACACAGCCTAATAGTGCTGTGATGTGCCCCACAGGCTTAGGGATCATGGAGAAGGGGAGCTCTCTGCAATAGAGAGTATTTTCTCTATTAGAGACATTTTATTAATGAGTATGCTCGTGTGTAACACTCTTCCTCGGTAACGGTCATTTCTCAAAATACTTCTAAAAAAATAAAGAAAAAATCAGTTTCTCAGCTCTATGTGCTGTAACTCTATGATGAAGGTTTTCCCTACTTTTTATTTGGAGGTTTTTCAAACATACGGATAATTTGCAATAATGATATAATGAACAGTTGTAAACTCTTTACCTAGATTCACCAGTTGTTAACTTTCCCCCATATCTGCTTTATCTTTTTACTCTCTGAAAATATGAATTCACTAAATGATTTGAAAGTAAGTTGCAAACATCACGGCTCTTCTCCTCTAAATAATTCAACCAACACTGCCTAAAATAAGTGCATTCTCTTATAAACACACGATATTATTATTACACTGAGAAATGTAAAATTCCATAATATAACGTACAATCCATATTCAAATACACCAAGTTGTCTCAAAAATATTTTTTATGGCTGTTTATTATTTTAATCTAGGATATGATCAGGGTTTGTGCACTGGATTTGGTTCTCAGTCTAATCTAGAACAGTCCTCCTGCCTTTTGTTGTTTCTCATGCCATTGATTTTTTTTTTTGACACATTCAGGCCACTTGTACAATATCCCACAGTTTCTATTTATTTGATGGTTTTTCAGTATTTGATTCCAGTTTTTAAATATTTACAAGAATATTAAGGGTTATTTGGGCTCTTTATTTTACCATGTGATTAAAATTTAAAATCACACATTAAGATGTATCAAAGGCCAGGTGCAGTGGCTCATGCCTGTAATCCCAGCACTTTGGAAGGCTGAGGTGGATCACCTGAGGTCAGGAGTTCCAGACCAGCTTGGCCAACATGGTGAAACCCCATCTCTACTAAAAATACAAAAATTAGCCGGGCATGGTGGCACACGCTTGTAATCCTAGCTGCTCGGGAGGCTGAGGCAGGAGAATCGCTTGAACCTGGGAGGTGGAGGTTGCAGTGAGCCGAGAGCACGCCACTGCACTCCAGCATGGGCAACAGAACAAGACTCTGTCTCAAAAAAAAAAAAAAAAAAAAAAAAAAAAAAAAAAAAAAGGGTGGGGGGCGGGGGGTTATCAAAAACAAATCAGCTGATTTCTTTTCTGATTGATTAGAAGATCCAGTGATTGAAGTATTTACTATTCAAAGTGTGGTCAGCAGACCTTAGAAATATAAAACTGCAGGTTTATTAACTCAAAATCTGCATTTTAACGAGATTCTCAGGTGATTCAGGTGCAGGTGAGAGTTTGTCAAGTACCAATTTAAGACAGTAACTAGAGGATGGGTGTCCGGCACTGTGTTTTCCAAATCAAATGGTTACTTGCAGCAAACACTCTTAGGATACAATATCCATTTTCTCTTTTTCCCAACTTAGAAGTCCCCAATTTGTATTTAACTACAAAGCTACATTTTCAATCTTTTTTGAATTAGGAGGTGCCATGTGACAGAGTCTAGCTAATAAGTTGGAAATAAAGGTCACGGGGTGGGGGAGGTTCTAGAAAACAGCACAGATGCACCTGGCACTACTCTTCAAAGTGTGGTCAGCAGACCTTAGAAATACAAAACTGCAGATTTATTGAATCAGAATCTGCATTTTAACGAGATTCTCAGGTGATTCAGGTGCATGTGAGAGTTTTGCCCTTCCCCTTCCTTCTTCTTGGTACATAGACATGTGGAGATGGACGAGCTTTTTGTGACCCTGAAGCATCAAACCACACGCTGAGGATAGCTGTACAGAAGGAGTCCAAAGAAGCTCCCAACTGCCTACGTCCAGACCTCACTTACACAGGTAAAATGAAGCCTTCAGTTTAAGTTATTGTTGAATTCAGTATCTGTTCCTTGTAGTCAGACTCAATCCCCAACTGATACACTATCCAAAGGATTTCTTGGGTAGGTGTGGTGGCTCATGCCTATAAACCTAGCACTTTGGGAGGCCGAGGTGGGAGGAAGGATTGCTTGAGGCCAGGAGTTTGAGACCAGCCTGGGCAACATAGTGAGATCCCCATTTCTACAAAAATAAAACTTTTTTAAAAATTAGCTGGGTGTGGTGGCACACACCTGTAGTCCTAGCTACTCAGGAGACTGAGGTGGGGGGATCACTAGAGCCTAGGAGGTCGAGGCTGCAGTGAGCTATGATTGTGCCACTGCACTCCAGCCTTGATCGCAGAGCAAGATTCTGTCTTTAAAAAAAGGGGGGAATTTCTTGACAGAGATTTTGGGGAGCCACTCATACAGAGTCCAAAGTAAAAAGAGAGAAAAATTGAGATTCTGTCTCAATTTTGCATTGTTTTATAATTTTTTCCACTAAGAGAGGCTGAAATATAAAAAGTATTCCTTCTCCATTTGTAAACAGGGACAACTGGGTCTCTTCTGGAGGTCTGTCATGAGGATGACAGATTCTTGCCGCAAGAGCATTTTAATTTAAATTCTTGGATCCACAGATCGTGAACACTCCTTGCTGCCTATGCAAGCCAACCTGTATTAGCAAAAAGGGGTGAACGAAAACTCACTCTATGTTGCAAATGCTTTTCCTGCTCCTGTGACAGCAGTTGCTGTTGCCGTTAGTGGCTCATGATCTCTATTCATTTCTTTAGAATTGACCAAAGAAAAGGAGATGTGTTTGTGTGCATGTGTGTGCACATCATGGCATGCATCTTTCCAAATTTATTATGCATCTTACTCTGAAAAGAATTGAGATAGTTCTTATGTCTCAGTTTTTGTCACTATTCAAGACTGACCTTTTGTACAGAAGAATTTTCAATCCTCAATATTTGGCTTCTTTTCAGCTAGGTATAATTAATTGCTGCTTAGATGTAGTAAGTTCAATAAGGGCTTTAATGAGTTCTCATTTAATTTTGAAACCTCTGCCTCTCCCCATAATACTTTGGTAAGTGCCTTGTATTCAGTAGAAGGTTCATAAATATTTGCTGAATGAATCTATCTGTTAAACATTTATTAAGCACTCTATTTGCAAGGACTGCACCTGGCCACAGAGATTGGCAAAGTTTTCCTGTAAGGGGCCAGATGATAAATATTTTAGACCGCATGTGTCAAGAGGCAAAACTGAGTATATTATGTAGGCACTTATAAAACCATTTAAAATGGTGAAAACTAGGCTTACTTCACAACTACATATAAAAATTAAATCAAAATGAGTTAATGACTTAAATAGGGGGACTTAAACTATAAAATTCTAGAAGAAAGCATAAGGGTAAACCTTCATGGCCTGGATTAGG
Source organism: Homo sapiens (assembly GCF_000001405.40). Lineage (NCBI taxonomy): Eukaryota > Metazoa > Chordata > Mammalia > Primates > Hominidae > Homo > Homo sapiens. The sequence continues at coordinate 77,667,622 of NC_000009.12, forward strand.
CAGTGATCTCTTAGCTGTGATAGCAAAAGAACATAGATAAATGGGACTTCATCAAAACTGAAGGCTTTTGTGCATTAAAGGACACTATTAAGAAAGTGAAAGGCAACCTACAGAATGGGAGAAAATATTTGTAAATAATAGGTCTGATGAGTTTAATATCCAGAATATATTTAAAAAAACTCCTGCAACCCAGCAACAAAAAGGCAAACAACCCAATTAAGATTTAAAAATGGACAAAGGACTTGAATAAGCATTTCTCCAAAGAAAATATATAAATTGCCAATAAGCACACAAAAAATAGTGCTCAACATTATTAGTCATTAGGGAAATGTAAGTAAAAACCTCAATGAAATATCACTTTACATCTACTAATATGGCTATATTAAAAAATATATAAAAATATTAAAGGAAAATGACAAGGGTTGGCAAGGATGTGGAGAAATTGGAGCCCTCATACATTGCTGGTGAGGATGTAAAACAGAGCAACTGCTACGGAAAACAATTTAGCAGTTCCTCAAAAAGTTGAACATAGAATTGCCACATGACCCAGCAATTCCATTCCTAGGTGTTTACCCCAAATAATTGAAAGCAGGAGCTCAAATGGTTATGTGTACACCAGTGTTCATTGCTGCATTATTCACAATAGCCAAAAGAGGGAAACAACCCAAGTGACCATCAAAAAATGAAGGGATAAACAAAATGTGGTCTATCCATACAATGGAATATTATTCTGCCATAAAAAGGAGTGAAGTTCTGATGTATGTTATATAATGGTTAACTTTAGGTGTCAACTTGACTGGATTAAGGGATACTCAGATAGCTGGTAAAGCATTATTTTGGGATGTGTCTGTGAGAATGTTTCCAAGAGACTGGCATTTGCATCAGGAGGCTAAGTAAGGAAGATCTGCCCTCAGTGTGGGCAGTCACCAATTAATCAGCTCGTGGCCCAGATAGAACAAAAAGGCAGAGGAGGGGTGAATTTGTTCTCTCTCTCTTCTGAAGCTGAGACACCCTTCTTTTCCTGCCCTTGGACATCAGTTCTCTGGCCTTTGGACTCTGAGACTTGTATCAGCAGCTTCCCTGGTTCTGAGGCTTTCAGACTTGGACTGAGTCATGCTACTGGTTCTCCAGCTTAACAGAAGGCCTATCATGGACTTTATCGATCGATCAATCTATCTATCTATCATCTATATCTATCTATCTGTCTACCTACCTACCTACTATTGGTCTGTCTGCCTGAAGAACCCTGACTGATACATGTTACAACACGGATGAACCTTGAAAATATTATTCTAAATGAAATAAGCCAGACACTACACAGAAGGACAAATATTACATGATTTCACATATATGAAATACCTAAAATAGGCAAATTCATAGAGGAAGAAAGTACATTAGAGGTTACCATAGGTTGGGTTGGGGAGAGAGAGAAATGCAGAGTTATTGTTTAATGAGTACAGAGTTTCTGTCTAACATGAAAAAGTTTTGGAAATAGAATGATAGTTGCACAACATTATGAATGTAATTAATGCCATTGAATTGTACAAAGAAAAGTAGTTACAATGGCAAATCTTAAGTTTTGTGTGTGTGTGTGTGTGTGTGTGTGTGTGTGTGTGTGTGTGTATGTTACTACAATAAGAAACACTTTTGGCCATGCACTGTGGCTCATGCCTGTAATCCCAGCAGTTTGGGAGGCCGAGGCGGGCGGATCACTTGAGGCTAGGAGTTTGAGACCAGCTTGGCCAAAATGACAACACTCCATCTCTACTAAAAATGCGAAAATTAGCCAGGCTAATTTTAATTAAAAAATCCCAGCTACTCGGGAGGCTGTGGTAGGAGAATTGATTGAACCCGGTAGGTGGAGGTTGTAGTGAGCCAAGACTGCGCCACTGCACTCTAGCCTGGGCGACAGAGCGAGACTCCATCTCAAAACAAAAACAAAACCACTTTTTAAAAGGAAAGAAAAGCAGAATGATTTATTCAAAAAACTTTTAAATTAGATTTTCTCAATGATATGTTGTAGATGTCTTTCTATATTAAATATATATTAACATAATCCTTTGTTAATGGATGATTTTAAAAAAACATTTTAGATTAGCAGGTACATGGGCATGTTTGCTACATGGCTGTGTTGTATAATGGTGGGGATTGGGCTTCTAGTGTACCCAACACCCAAATATAACGTAATCATTCTTACAGCTGTATATTATTTTACTCTATTAACTGCAACAAAATTTTTTTAAAAAGTCCATTGTTGGTTATTTCTAAAATAAACATGGAAGTTAAAACCTGTACATATATTTTTATATATTTGACTGATTATTTCCTCTAGGTATAGTCCTGTTTGCTGAACTGATAAGTGAGGTAGTATTTACATTTAAATTTCTGAAAAATGTTGCCAGGTCGCCCTCCTGAAAGGTTGAACCAATTTACACTTCTTGAGTCACGTGTGATCTCTCCCACCCCTGCCACTGGCCCTGGGCACTATCAGACTTTAAAATCTTTACCAACCTATTTGGTGGAAAGTGGTATCTAGTTGTTTTAATTTGTGTGAGTTGATTATATGTAAGCTGTACCTGTTTCCCTACGTTTATAGGTCATATATACTGCTTCTTTAGTGAACTGAGATGTAAGCAGCATGGTAGATTTGAAACATCACGGGATCCACATTCAGCCCTATTTGGACTATGAGATCCCACATTCCTGAACAGAGGTGACTGCATTAGGAGTAAGCACTTGATACAGACTGAGGTAAGCAGTTTCCCTTTTCCAAGAATTTGGAGTTGCGACCAAGGCAAAGGTGTCAGTCCTTGGAATGACCTAGAACTGCAATATGTCAATTTAGGAGCTGAGAGGAAAATGCATTTCATCATTGGACATAAGAAATGCAAACATCTGACTTGGGGAGGGAATGTTAAAGGAAAAATGGTAAGGCATACTATTCAGGGCCATCACTATAAGTGTAGGGACCACTGCAGGGGGTTCTGCAGTTGGGGAGAGAGATTGGGCTCAACTGAGAATTCAACAAGGAAAAGTGGGGATTTATAGCCAAAGAAAAGGGTAGAGGGTCAGTGGATGGAAACTTACTAAGAGGAAACATCAGGGGTAAGGAGGCATTCTTGCTGAACTGACTTAACAGGATTCTTGCTGAAGACAGGTCAGGGTGCTCACACATCACCTAGTGGGTGGTGGGGGATGAGGAGCCTGTTCAGATATAGAGGGTGGGGGATTCTGGTTAAAATGACTTAGCAGGACTCTTGCTAAAATTGGACAATGCAGAGATAAACACAGAAGCCTAAAATCAGGGCTTAGTTGAGAAGAGAGTTCAGGGAAGTCTGAGTAGAGTTTGGTCAAGGAGAGAAACTTAGTCGGGAGAGAGGGAAGGAGAGAAAGAGACAGAGAGTGAAGCTAAACATCCAGAAAGAGTTGGTACCAATGGTTTTTTCAGTGCTGATGTACATTTTGGCTCCTGGACAAATGATGACTTAGCTCCTGCATTCATATAATAAATTTCCTTTTTTGAATGGAGTGGTTGATGCTTTGTATTTAATGCTCCAGATCCAGGCTCCACTCCTCCCCTACGCTTTGTGGGAGTTGGCCTTTGTGGAGTGCTTTCCTATATTCCTTTGCCCTCATGCTTCTGGTTAGGATTGGCCACTGGAGATCTCTGTCAAGATTTCAATGAGCTGGAGAAGAATGAAGGAGGCCTGAATAACTCTGGCTCCCTCCTTGTGGCTCCTCTGGGGTTGGTTCTGGTCCTGAACCAAAGACTGGAGCACATGTTGGTGGTCTGCTCTTATAGCTAGGTTCTGGAAGCTACCCTCTTTCCTCGGCGCTTCAGGCTCCAGGTTGATAACTGCTCCTGTATTGCTAGCCTGGGGTACTGTACCATCTCTTCTTAGTTTACCATTATCTCATCTAGGTCCACCCCTAAGGTTGGTAGGCCCAAAGCAAGAGTATAAATGGAGGCTCCTAAGCCCTTGGCTTACCCACCTGCTCATTCCACTCCAGCTCCATCCTGCACCATGGGGGCTCACAGTCTGCACATTCTTTACAGACAGCATCCCTTGTCCATCCTCTGCCCTGGAGTCAGGGTGCAGGGGAGTCACACACTTGTGGTGCCCTCCACCCTCAGGAACCAGGGAATGAACCCTGGAGGTGGACAGGAAAGTTGAAGGCATGGGTGTTTGAAGCATGGTCTTTATCCCATTGACCCTATGACTTCTCGCTCTCAGTGAGGAAGGTAGCTAGAGTGGGACCCAGGTAATAGGCATGGTTTAAGGGTGGTTCTGATTTTCCCACACTTAAAAAAAAAAAAGTAATCCCTTGATTGCACTCTCCTTGGTTAATCCATGTGAGAGCAATCTGTTTCCCATTGGAAACTTGAGTGAGACAATTGTGCTCTGGCACACTTGACCCCAAGAATCCTGACTGACATATGAGGATTTTCCAGAACTCTTCAGATTTGTGATCTCCTTTGATTCCCTCAACACCTAAGGCTGGTGGCAGAAGGCTGGACCAGGTCTCCTGCATCCCTACTAGGTGCACAGCCTCAAAGAGGGGCCCATGCAGTGCAACCACAGGCTTTGCTGTAGAAACACGTGTCAGGCCTTGGCCAGAGTCAAGGATACTCTCAGGGCTGGAAGGAGCTTTTTCATGATGGAGCCGAATACTGAGAATGGGATCCAGAGAAAATAAATGAACAAGGAAAAGCTGTTATGCATTAATGTAATCAAACTGCATGATTTATTTGCTTAATGGCTGCTGAAAAGTCGTCTGGCATTTAACCATTCCCTTCTCAAATCCTGTGTGAATCCTTTAAAATTCAACCTATGAGATAATCTAACAGAGAATCCTTTTGATTTCCACTTTGTATTTTTCATGTAAAAATAAGTTGAGGAGTAGGTGTAGCACCAGTCACAAAAGACCACATATCGTATGATTCCATTTACATGAAAAGTCCAGAATCAGCAAATCCAGAGGGACAGAAAGTAGATTCATGCTTGCCAGGGGCTGGGGGTGGGAGAATGAGAAATGACATTTAATAGATATGGGTTTCTTTGGGGAGTGATCAAATTTTCTAAGATTAGATTATGGTGATGGTTGTACAACTCTGTAAATGCTAAGTGCAGTAAATGCTAAAAACAACTGAACTGTGCACTTTCAGCAAGTAAATTTTATGCTATGTAAATGATACCTCAACAAAACTCTTCTAAAAAACACAAAGCATAGGACTGTTCTAAAAAACCATTACTGTTCTCTATTTTGTAACTCTACCTTCTCATGTTAAGAGAAAACACAGATAACTCTTATTTAATATCAACAATGTGCCAGTCGTGACACTAACATCTTTACATGCATTATATTACAGTCAGCCCTCTGTATCTAAGGGTTCCACGTTGATGGATTCAATCCATTGCAGATGGAAATTATTTGAAAAATAAATAACAATACAACAATAAAAGTAATAGAAATAAAAGAAAAAACAGAATAACAACTATTTAGAGAGAATTTACATTGTATTAGGGGTTATAAATAATCTAGAGATGATTTGAAAGTATACAAGAGAATGCCCATAGGTGATATGAAAATACTACACCATTTTATATCAGGGACTCGGGCATCTATAGATCTTGGTATCCATGGGGTGGGGGTGGGGGAGCAGTCCTAGAACCAAACTCTTAAGGACACCGAAGGAGAACTGTATTTAATTCTCCCAACAATACTGTTATATAAGTGTTATTAATTATCTCATTCTACAGATGAAGAAACTGAGGCTCCAAGGCATTATAGCACTTGGTCAACATTACACAGCTACCTAGGAGGTTGTATTGCTGGGGATCAAATTCAGACCTATCTGATCCCAAAAGCTTGGGCTTAAAAACATGGCTAATTCTTTGACAATGTGTTAGTTATTGTATGTACAGTAAAGACTGCTTACTGAAAATAGAAATGTCTTGTTTTCTGAAATACATGTCTTGGTGAAGCAGTTATTCGTTGTGTCTGCTGCAACTACTTTATCAAAGGCTTTCCTTGTGGGTAACTAGAGACTAAGGGGATGGAATGATAAAACCCCCTTCCCCACCCCAATGCCTACCAGTTTTTAAAACTCAGTTCACTTGTCTAGTGTTTTCATCTGGAAGCCAGACTGCAGACTTGTGGGTCACCTGAGCTCATGGCTCTGGGTACCCAGTCTGGATAAAATTGTGTTCTAAGGCCTTTTTTAATTGAACACTTTGTCCAGCCTCTGCCTACATTGAAGACCCTCAGAGTTTTCTCCAGTACTTCAAAGACTAGCTGAATTGGAAATCACTGGAAAGTTTCCCCTGCAGTGTACATTTAAATGTACTGGTTCTTTTTTTTTTTTCTTTCATAATGGAGACTTGGATTTACAGAATGTAACAGATACTATTTGGCAGAAAGTAAAAACTGTCTTAACTCTCCCCATATTTGGCAATACAGTTCTCTCTCTCTCTCTCTCTCTCTCTCAGCAGATTTCCAATTACACTTCATAGACGGATCTCAGCTGGTCCTTTTTTCCTGTTACATAAACTTGACAATGACTATTTGGACTATGTTTCAACCATTCTTTCTTGAACTTCAACCACCAAACACATTTAAGGAGTGAAACCCCCTGCCAAAATGCACCAGAAACTCTTTAACCCTATATAGTTATTTGCCAGGGTTGAGAAACCCACTTGACCCTTTCAGCATCAGCATTTTCATTCCTCTGTGTGTTGATTTTCAGACATTTCGGTTTTTTGAGGACAAGCTCGTTTCCTGTGCATGCCTTCAGTCTTTCCTTGCCTCACTGCTGCCAGCAATAGCAATGTAGCATCCTCTGAGAGAGAGTGAGCTGAGCCAGGAGAAAAAATGGACTTGAACAGAGAAATTCAGGAGCTATCTTTTTTTTAAAGTATCTACCTTAGTGACCCAGAAGAGGGCAGAAAGACCCAGCCAGTGTCCACCAATAGGGAAGCCTCTCAGATGCAAGCCACTCACTAGTTACTGAATAAAGAAAGCTTATGGCCGGGCGTGGTGGCTCACGCCTATAATCTCAGCACTTTGGGAGGCTAAGGCGGGTGGATCACTTGAGGTCAGGAGTTCGAGACCAGCCTGACCAACATGGTGAAGCCCTGTCTCTACTAAAAATACAAAATTAGCCGGGCGTGGTGGCGCACCCCTGTAGTTCCAGCTACTGGGGAGGCTGAGGCTGGAGAATGGCTTGAACCCGGGAGGTGGAGGTTGCAGTGAGCCGAGATCACGCCATTGCACTCCAGCCTGGGCAACAAGAGGGAAACTCTGTCTCAAAAATAAATAATAAAAAAAAAAGTTTGTTGCAGCATAGTTGCTCAGCCAAAGATTTGAGGAGTGGCATCGGGGTGGGCGGGGGGTAGGGGAGGATGGGAGCTAGGAAGTTTGAAATATTTGATATCATTGAATAACAGCGCTCTCCGCCACTTGATGACAATCAGAAACTATTCAGTATAGTGGATCTTTCCAGAGAGACCATTCATACTTACACTTCATTACTTACTCTCTAGTATGTTTCCATGTGAGCATGACTTCTTGAAAACACTATAGATACTTAACATGTACCGTGTTGTTTATCCCCTGGGATTACATGTTTCAATGAGCTAAACGAAAGCTGCTTTCGATGTAGATAAATAGGCATAAGAATATAGACCCATGGCTCTTTCGGGAGTGAAATTATTTGCAAATCGACAGTGGAGGGATTCTGAGAACAGAGTGTTTCAAACAAACTTTCCACATGATTATGTTTCCATATCTTCTCCTGGCACTGAACAAACATTTTAAATTGCCACTTGTTCACTGAGGTTGACAATAAATCCAAACAGGAATATGTTTAATATCCATATAGAATTTTCATACGAATAGCTTTTCATTGTCTGCTATTCCCATAAAGCCAAGCAAATTGGCATTTTAATATTGTTTTCTTTTCTATCATAGAAACTAAAACAAGTACCAAATAAAAGATACCAGATGATAAATATAGGAAACTAGTGGAATTACAGAATGATACAGTGCTTTTTATTTTAGAGGTGAAGAAACTGCAACTAAGAAAAGTGAGGTGATTTGCCTAAGGTCGAAAAAATCAAGACTGGCCACAGAAGGGGGCATCATATTTCATTTGATTGTGTGATTGATCACCAAATTCCCACATGGAGTGAACGTGGCCTTTTTTTAAATGCCACCTAAAGTGGATCAACACTCAAGCCAATCAATACAGGCATCCACGCAGGGCCCTTGGATAATGAAGGAAGGAAATTTTGTTCAATGTTCACAGCAAGAAGTGGGGACCAAGAAAGAAGCCTTGGCAGCACCCTCAGAGTGGCAGAGAAGGAGTAAGGAGCAGGTCAGTAGATGTCAACAAGGTCTCTGAGATCCCACATATTGGCTGTCACTTAGTCTCAAAAGATGAGTTGGTAGAAAATATAAAAAGGTCAAAGAAGCATTTAAGTTAGTGGTTCTCAACCTTGGCAGCACTTTTAAAATTATTTTGGGAAGATTTAAAACACCTGAATGACCAGGCCACAGCCCAGGCTGATTTCCTCAGTGTGTTTTCAAGATGTTCCCAATATGTATGCAAAGTTGAGAACCATGGCTCTAGATAAACCTAGTATGGGCCCATTGAAAGAATGATAGACGTAGCCTATCCCCAGATTCTTAAGGCTGACCAGGCTTTTCTCTCTAAAGTTTCTTAGTGCTGCTGTCAAAAACAAGGCCTTGTCCCTTCTTGCACTGCTGATTCTCTTTGTTAGTATTTATACGCAGTAGTGCCATATTGGCCATGGACTGAGGTTGGGACATCTAAGTAATGACCACCTCTATTTTTGTCTCAATTAACTATTGCTACATAAGAAATTGCCCCAAAACTTAGTGGTTTAAAAAAATGACTATTATTTCTCATGATTCTGTGGTTTGGTTGGGTGATTCCTCTGCTGACTTTGCCTGGGTTCACTCACATGGTTGCATTCAGCTGGGCTTAAAGACACAAGACAGCCTCAGTCACACATCTACAGTTGGTGTTGGCTATTGGCTGGGTGGCCTCAATGCCTATCCACATGGCATGGCATCTTTAGCAGCTACACCAGCTTCCTTGAATGGCAGTTCAGGTGAGCATTCCAAGAGAAGAAAAGTGGAGCCATAAATTCTCTTAAGGACACACCTTGGAAATCATGTAACTTCACTTCTGCTGCATTTTGTTGATCAAAGCAAGTATGGTGGCCGATAGAATGCATCTCACAGACCTCCCACTACAGGACATGTAGTTGATTGAGGGTCCCAGCTACTGTGCTTTGAAGTTCATTCTTAAGTTTGTGCGGAGGCCACAGACTGGATACTGAGGTAGATCTTTTCCTGGGAGGCATGGGACTCCTTTTTTGGCCAATTTTGGCTCAAGGCTTCCCCAACGGTTTTGGTAAATTTTTCTTAGACACTTCTGCCCAACTTTCTTTTCCTTTCTCTCGCCTTCGCTCAGGATCAAACTTGCATCATGGCCTGATGAGTCTCCATTTTTTTCTTTTTCTTTGTGTTTTTTGTTTTTGTTTTTGTTTTTGTTTTTTTGTGACAGAGCCTCACTCTGTTATATAAGCTGGAGTGCAGTGGCGTGATCTCGGCTCACCGCAACCTCCACCTCCTGGGTTCAAGTGATTCTCCTACCTCAGCCTCCCCAGTAGCTGTGATTACAGGTGCACGCCAGGTAATTTTTGTATTTTTAGTAGAGACAGGGTTTTGCCATGTTGGCCAGGCTGGTCTCGAACTCCTGGCCTCAAGTGATCCACCTGCCTCAGCCTCCCAAAGTGCTGAGTGATCCACCTGCCTCAGCCTCCCAAAGTACTGGGATTCCAGGCATTAGCCACCGTGTGTAGCCTGGCTCTCACAAATTTGCCTCTTAGTTTCTTTCACACAGGGTCTAATAAAATCCTTGCACGTTTAGTCTTGCCTTGGCAACTGTTTCTCAGACAACCTGGATTAACCCAGCAACTTACAAGACCAGCCCAGATAAAAGGGGAGGGAAAATAAACTCTACCTTTGAATGGGAGGAGCAGCAAAGTCACATTGCAGGGGAGCTGGAGAGGAATATTTCCCCTTCATCTTTGAAAACAGTCTACCATCGCTTCCCCCAGGGAATGCCTCCTCCCTCACTCTCAGTCTTTGCGTTTCAAGTGGAGTTAATTCTACTTCCAGCTCTGTAGTGGGCATGTGATTCAGCCTTTGCCAGTCAGGTACCACATTACATTGGCCTATACCACTGGTTTACGGATGAGAATGTGACCGGATCAAAACCAGAGAGAAGCAGTGAGACTTTTACTGGGGGACTCTAGTGAGAGAGGAAGATTAACCTTTTCTATGGGCTTTAAAACTGGTAACATGTGAGGCTGTAGCCCCTGGAATCCATGTAGATTCTGTGTTTTGATTTATCTTAATTCCATCCCCATCTGTATTTGTTTTCTATTGCTGTGCAACAAATTACCACATACTAGTGCTTTAAGAGAACAGATTTATTAGCTCACGGTTTCTGGGGATCAGGACATTGCTTAATTGGGTCTTTTGCTTAGAGTCTTTTTGTCTGTTTGTTTGAGTTAGAGTTTCCCTCTTGTCGCCCAGGCTGGAGTGTAATGGAGCGACCTCGGCTCACTACAACCTCCGCCTCCTGAGCTCATGCAATTCTCCTGCTGCAGCCTCCCAAGTAACTGGGATTACAGGCACATGCCATCATGCCTGGCTAATTTTTTATTTCAGTAGACATGGGGTTTCACCACGTTGGCCGGGCTGGTCTCCAACTCCTGACCTCAGGTGATCTGCCTGCCTTGGCCTTCCAAAGTGTTGCTCAGAGGCTTATAAAGCTGAAAATCAAGGATGTCAGCAGGTCTGGTTCTCCTCTGGAGGCTTGATTAGGGGAAAAAAATCTGCTTTCAAGCTCATTCTGGAAAAAGTTTATTTCCTTGAAGCTATATGACTGTGGGCCCTGGCTTTTCACTTACTTTTGGATAGAGCCCGCTCTCAGTATCTAGAATCTGCTCATAATTCTTTGCCAGGTGGCCCACAATATGCCACTTAACTTCTTCAAAACCAGCAGAACAGTAACATAATCCTGGGAGTGACATCCCTTCACTCTTGCTATATTCTGTTGGTTAGAAGCAAGCCATGGGTTTTATCAGCATTTAAGGTAAGGGGGTTCTCCAAAGGTATGCCCAGTTGGGGGTCACCTTAAGGTGCATCCACCACTCCTCCCAAGGTTCAGGGTACACAAAGGAATGGTAGAGCAGGCAGCAGCTCATGGGTGCAGAGATTCTCTGGCTCTGCTCCTCTCTTCTCCCAGCAGATCATGCCAGTGCCTGTCTAACTGATGGCTACCTGAAATCTTCCTCTCTGGCAAGCCCTTTACAATGAGTAGACATTTACATAAAATGGTCACAATATTGAATTTGGCTTTGTCTTAAGACGTGCCTTTTGGATCAGCCCCAGAAATCCACCCACCAGATGATGGCTCTCTCTGCTTGTCCCCAAGTCTTAAGATATCTTACTCTGACTTGCATGCGGTAAGACAGAGCAAGTATTTCCTGGACTAGATTTTCTTCTAGTGATAGTGACAGAAATGATCACTAAGCAATGGCTGTTGGGTAAGGCAGGAGATTGGGAAACATGGGAAAATGTCACTTCCTCTGCCCTACTCTGAGTATATAATAAAATCTTAGCCAATATAGTCTTCATTGTGTGCCATGGCACCATTCCAAGTACTTTAATATATCAAGTCATTTAGTGCTCAGAACAACCTTATGAGGTAGTGCTATTATTATGCCCATTTTACAGATGAAGTTACTGAGGGAGAGAGACATTAAATAGCTTGCTAAGGCTGGGCATGGTGGCTCACGCCTGTAACCCCAGCAATTTGGGAGGCCGAGGCAGGTGGATCACCTGAGGTCAGGAGTTCGAGACCAGCCTGGCCAACATGATGAAACCCCACCTATACTAAAAATGGAAAAATCAGCTGGGTGTGGTGGTGGGGTGCCTGTAGTCCCAGCTACTTGGGAGGCTGAAGCAGGAGAATCATTTGAACCCAGGAGGCAGAGGTTGCAGTGAGCCGAGATCACGCTGTCACACTCCAGCCCGGGAGACAAGAGCAAAATTCAGTCTCTAAATAAATAAATAACTGGCCAAGATCGCAATGCCTGGAATCAAACCAAGGCATTTGGGCTGTAAAGTCCTTCTGTGGTCTTATCCACTATGTCACGTTATCTCCTAGAATTCTATGAAAGGAGTTCTTTTTCAGCAGTCTCTAAAGTAATGCATTGACACTCCACACAGTAGCTTAGACTATAATGAAAAGACATTAGAAGCAGCACTTTATCCTGAGGGTCAGTCTGTTAAATACGTGACTGATACATCAGGAGTCCATCCCTGACACTCAGAAAGACCGTAATCAAAGGTGGCAGCTCTTTTATGCACTTTGTCTGCTGAAGATAGGACCTGATGTACCACTGGATCAAAATGGTCAGGTTTGTGCAAGAGCCACCTTTGCCCTGGGCTCTAAGACAACTTCATGCCTCTGCAATTGGACAGCTATGAATCAGAGCAAGTGCTCTGTTCATCTCACCTCTATGCCAGCGAGCAGCACTTCCCTGCCTGGGAAAAGACATTTGAACAAATTCACAACTGTGGTTGCAGAAACATAGTCACTCTGGGGAGGCCGCTGCAACAAAAGGAGATCCTTGCCCTCTCCTATCAGATGGGGGCCACTGAAGAGAGCAAGCGTAATGGTACCTTTCCCTAGGTATCAAAAATCAAAATGATGGCTTTGAGGGTAAAGATGCCCCTTTATGAATTCTCTTACCCTGTGAAGGATTTAAAAAATCTTTTTGCCCAGTAATGAAGACCCACTGGATTTAGACCAGGGTGAAAAAAATAAATGTTCTTGGAAGATGTACTTAGTTTATAGGTTGAGTAATAATGCAACCCCCAGGCCACTGCTCCCACGGTAGAAATTCTGAGAGGAAAATTTAAGTCGAGGATGCCTGTTCTTCCTTAGACAGCTGAGATCCGTTTTTTTTCCTCCTTCCCACTCAAGCCCCCATGGCAAGGAGAAATATTTCTGGGGATTTTCCAGGTTCTATAACAGCTTGCTCTTTTGGCATCCTGATTTGCAGAGATGATGAAACTTCCCCATAACACAAATGCATCCCTTTAAGCTGCACTGCCCAACATAGTAACTACTAGCCACACTTCACATTTAGCTAGTCCAAATAGAGATGTGCAGCAAGTATAAAGTACACAGCAGATGTCGATGATTTTGTACGGCAAACAAAAAGTTGTTCTGGACTGCATGTTAGTATCCCGTCAAAATTCATATGTTGAATACTGTCCCATAATACCCATAATACCTCAAAAAGGAAGTGTGGCTTTTGGGAGGTGATTGGGTTTAGATGGTGGAGCCACCATGCTGGGATTAGTGTCCTTATAAGAAGAGAAAAAGACTAGAATGTGGTCGCTTTGCCGTGTGAAGGCACAGCAAGGAGCTGGCCTTCTGCAAACCAGGGAGAGAGCCCTCACCAGACACAGAATCTGCTGGCACCTTGATCTTGGACTTCTTAGCCTCCAGAAGTGTAAGAAATAAATGTTTGCTGTTTAAACCACCCAGTTTATGGTATTTTTGTTATACCACCCTGAGCTAAGACAGAATGTAAAATATCTCACTAATAATTTTTATACTGGTTTCATGTTGAGATAATTTTTTGGATATATTGGGCTAAACAGTATAATTATAATTTCACCTTTTTATTTTGACTTTGCTAGCTAGAAAGTATAAAGGTTCAATCTGTGACCATGTCTATTGGACAGCACTGCCTTGAATTATCAAGAGGCTCTCAAAAAAATCAGTATTTTTAATAAAATTTTTATTTTGAAATAATCAGATTCACCCACAGTTCTAAGAAATAAAGACGCCAAGCATGGTGGCTCATGCCTGTAATCCCAGCACTTTGGGAGGCCGAGGTGGCCGGGTCACCTGAGGTCAGGGGTTCGAGACCAGCCTGACCAACATAGTGAAACCTTGTCTCTACTAAAAATGCAAAACTTAGCCGGAGGTGGTAGTGCTTGCCTGTAATCCCAACTACTCAAGAGGCTGAGACAGGAGAATCGCTTGAACTCAGGAGGCAGAGGTTGCAGTGAGCCAAGATCACGCCACTGCACTCCAGTGTGGGCGACAGAGTGAGACTCCATTTCAAAAAAGAAAAAGAAAAAAGACTACAAATAAATCCCCTGTACCTTTTATGCAGTTTTCCCCAGTGGTAACTTCTTGCACATTTCTAGTACAATATCACAACCTGGATACTGACATTGACACAGTCTAGACACAGAATACATCCATCACCTTAAGGTTCCCTCATGTTGCCTTTCTAAGGTTACATCTGCTACCTGCCACTCCTACTCTCTTGGTAACCCCTGGCAATCACAAAGCTGTTCTCACAGAGAGCAGCATAAGTGGAATCATACCATATGTAACCTTTTGAGATTGGCTTTTTTCACTCAGCATAATTTTCAGGGGTTTCATCCAGTTTGTTGCATATATTAGCAGTTCATTCCTTCTTATTGCTGATTGATATCCCATGGTATGGTTATACCACAGTTTGTTTAACCATTCACTCATAAGAAGAGACATTGAGTTGTTTCCAGTTTGGGGCTTTTACAAATAAAGCTGCTATAAACATCTTATAAAGCATTCTAATAATATAAACCTACTATCAACACATTTTTGTGTGAACCTACATTTTCATTTCTCTAGGATAAATGCTCAGGAGTGCAATTTCTGGGTAGTATGGTAGTTACATGTTTAGTTTTCTAAGGAATTGCCAAACTGTCTTCCAGATTGGCTGCTGTACCATTTTACATTGCCACCAGCAATGTAGGAGTGTTCCAGTTCCTCCACATTTCCCCTAGCCTTCGGAGTTGGCAATTTTTTTTTTTTTTTTTTTTTTTTGAGACGGAGTCTCGCTCTGTCGCCCAGGCTGGAGTGCAGTGGCGGGATCTCGGCTCACTGCAAGCTCCGCCTCCCGGGTTCACGCCATTCTCCTGCCTCAGCCTCCCAAGTAGCTGGGACTACAGGCGCCCGCCACTACGCCCGGCTAATTTTTTGTATTTTTAGTAGAGACGGGGTTTCACCGTTTTAGTCGGGATGGTCTCGATCTCCTGACCTCGTGATCCGCCCGCCTCGGCCTCCCAAAGTGCTGGGATTACAGGCGTGAGCCACCGCGCCCGGCTGCAATTTTTTTATTTTAGCCATTCTAATGGCTGTAGAGTGCTGTCTCATTGTGATTTTAATTTGCATTTCCCTAATAGCTATTGAAGTTGAGCATCTTTTCACATGTTTATTTTGTGTCCTATAAATCTTCTTTGGTGAAATATCTCTTCATGTCTGTATTAGTCCATTTTCATACTGCTATGAACAAATTCCTGAGACTGCGTAATTTGTTAAGAAAAAGAGGTTTAGGCTGGGAATGGTGGCTCAGGCCTGTAATCCAGCAATTTGGGAGGCCGAGGCAGGTGGATCACGTGAGGTCAGGAGTTTAAGACCAGCCTGGCCAACATGGTGAAACCCCGTCTCTACTAAAAATACAAAAAAATTAGCTGGATGTGGGGACGGGCACCTGTAATCCCAGCTACTCAGGAGGCTGAGGCAGGAGAATTGCTTGAACCTGGGAGGCAAATGTGGCAGTGAGCTGAGATTGCACCATTGCACTCCAGCCTGGGCAACAAGAGCAAAACTCTGTCTCAAAAAAAAAAAAAACAACAAAAAAAGACAAAAACAAACAAAAAAAAAACCAGAAAAGAAATAGAAAAAGAAAAAGAGGTTTAACGGACTCACAGTTCCAGATGGCTTGAGAGGCCTCACAATCATGGCAGAAGGCAAGGAGGAGCAAAGGCACATCTTACATGGTGGCAGACCAGAGAGCGTGTGCAGGGGAACTGCCCTTTATAAAACCATCAGATCTCATGAGACTTATTAACTATCATGGGAACAGGACAGGAAAACCTGCCTGCATGATTCAATTACCTCCTATCAGGTTCCTCCCACGACACGTGGGTATTACGGGAGCTACAATTTAAGATGAGATTTGGGTGGCAATACAAACAAACCATAACAATGTCTTTTGGCCATTTGCTAATAGGATTTTTGTTTGCATTTTTACTGTTGAGTTTTGAGATTTTAAAAACATTCTAGATACTTTGTGAGATATGTTGCTTGTAAATATTTTCTCCCAGTCTTTTCATCTCCTTAACATAATCTTTCTGAAAGTGAAGACTTGATGAAGTCGAATTTATCAATTTTTTCTTTAATGGGTCATGTTTTTGGGTGTCAAGCTTAAGAAGTCTTTGTAGAGATCTTGCAGATTTTATCCTGTGTTATTTTTGAAACATTTCATAGTTTTACGTGTAAGTCTGTGGTTCATTTCGAGTTAATTTTAGTATAAGGTATGAGACTTATAGGTGGGGGTTTATTTTTTTGCCTATGGATAGCCAATTGCTTCAGCACCATTTGTTGAAAAGACTATCTTTCCTTCATTGAATTTCTTTTGCATCTTTGTAAAAAATTAGTGGTGTGCATTTGTGTGGGTCTATTTCTGGATTTTCTACTCTGTTCCATTGATCTATGTGTCTGTTCCTTCACGAATAACATGTAATCTTAATTACTGCAACTGTATGATAAGTCTTGAAATCTGGTAGACTGATTCTTTATTTTTATTTTTTCTTTTTCAAAATTATTTAAGCTATTTCATTTTCTTTGCCTTTTCTTTGCTATTTTGTCAATCCATATAGAATAATCTTTATATCTACCCAAAAAGTTTAACTAGAATTTTGATAGGAATTATGTTAAATCTGCATATCACTTTCAGAAGAATTGACATCTTTACTATGTTAAGTCTTCCAACTTATGAATGTTGTATGTCTCTCCGTTTATTTAGATCTTCTTTTATTTCTTTTACCAGAATTTTGTAGTTTCCTGCATATAAGTCCGGCACATTTTTTGTTAGGTTTACACCTAAATAGTTTTCTTTCTGTCTCTCAATTATAAGTGGTATTTTAAATGTTGGTGTCCATTGCTAGTATATAGAAATACTGTTGACTTTCTTTTTTTTTATTATACTTTAAGTTTTAGGGTACATGTGCACAACGTGCAGGTTTGTTACTTATGTATATATGTGCCATGTTGGTGTGCTGCACCCAGTAACTCGTCATTTAACATTAGGTATATCTCCTAATGCTATCCCTCCCCCCTCCCCCAACCCCACAACAGGCCCTGGTGTGTGATGTTCCCCTTCCTGTGTCCATGTGTTCTCACTGTTCAATTCCCACCTATGAGTGACAACATGCAGTGTTTCGTTTTTTGTCCTTGTGATAATTTGCTGAGAATGATGGTTTCCAGCTTCATCCATGCCCCTAAAAGGACAGGAACTCATCATTTTTTATGGCTGTATAGTATTCCATGGTGTATATGTGCCACATTTTCTTAATCCAGTCTATCATTTTTGGACATTTGGCTTCGTTCCAAGTCTTTGCTATTGTGAATAGTGCCACAATAAACATACGTGTGCATGTGTCTGTATGGCAGCATGATTTATAATCCTTTGGGTATATACCCAGTAATGGGATTGCTGGGTCAAATGGTATTTCTAGCTCTAGATCCCTGAGGAATCGCCACACTGACTTCCACAATGGTTGAACTAGTTTACAGTCCCACCAACAGTGTAAAAGTGTTCCTATTTCTCCACCTCCTCTCCAGCACCTGTTGTTTCCTGACTTTTTAATGATCGCCATTCTAACTGGTGTGAGATGGTATCTCATTGTGGTTTTGATTTGCATTTCTCTGATGGCCAGTGATGATGAGCATTTTTTCATATGTCTTTTGGCTGCATAAATGTCTTCTTTTGAGAAGTGTCTGTTCATATCCTTCACCCACTTTTTGATGGGGTTGTTTTTTTCTTGTAAATTTGTTGGAGTTCATTGTAGATTCTGGATATTAGCCCTTTGTCAGATGAGTAGATTGTAAAAATTTTCTCCCATTCTGTGGGCTGCCTGTTCACTCTGATGGTTGTTTCTTTTGCTGTGCAGAAGCTCTTTAGTTTAATTAGATCCCATTTGTCAATTTTGGCTTTTGTCGCCATTGCTTTTGGTGTTTTAGACATGAAGTCCTTGCCCATGCCTATGTCCTGAATGGTATTGCCTAGGTTTTCTTCTAGGGTTTTTATGGTTTTAGGTCTAACATGTAAGTCTTTAATCCATCTTGAATTACTTTTTGTGTAAGGTTTAAGGAAGGGATCCAGTTTCAGCTTTCTACATATGGCTAGCCAGTTTTCCCAGCACCATTTATTAAATAGGGAATCCTTTCCCCATTTCTTGTTTTTGTCAGGTTTGTCAAAGATCAGATGGTTGTAGATGTGTGGCATTATTTCTGAAGGCTCTATTCTGTTCCATTGCTCTATATCTGTGTTTTGGTACCAGTACCATGCTCTTTTGGTTACTGTAGCCTTGTAGTATAGTTTGAAGTCAGGTAGCATGATGCCTCCAGCTTTGTTCTTTTGGGTTAGGATTGACTTGGCAATATGGGATCTTTTTTGGTTCCATATGAACTTTAAAGTAGTTTTTTCCAATTCTGTGAAGAATGCCATTGGTAGCTTGATGGGGATGGCATTGAATCTATAAATCACCTTGGGCAGTATGGTTATTTTCATGATATTGATTCTTCCTACCCATGAGCATGGAACATTCTTCCATTTGTTTGTATCCTCTTTTATTTCATTGAGCAATGGTTTTTAGTTCTCCTTGAAGAGGTCCTTCACATCCCTTGTAAGTTGGATTCCTAGGTATTTTATTCTCTTTGAAGCAATTGTGAATGGAAGTTCACTCACAATTTGGCTCTCTGTTTGTCTGTTATTGGTGTATAAGAATGCTTGTGATTTTTGTACATTGATTTTGTATCCTGAGACTTTGCTGAAGTTGCCTATCAGCTTAAGGAGATTTTGGGCTAAGACGATGGGGTTTTCTAGATATACAATCATGTCATCTGCAAACAGGGACAATTTGACTTCCTCTTTTCCTAATTGAATACCCTTTATTTCCTTCTCCTGCCTGATTGCCCTGGCCAGAACTTCCAACACTATGTTGAATAGGAGTGGTGAGAGAGGGCATCCCTGTCTTGTGCCAGTTTTCAAAGGGAATGCTTCCAGTTTTTGCCCATTCGGTATGATATTGGCTGTGGGTTTGTCATAGATAGCTCTTATTATTTTGAGATACATCCCATCAATACCTTATTTAGAGTTTTTAGCATGAAGGGTTGTTGAATTTTGTCAAAGGACTTTTCTGCATCTATTGAGATAATCATATGGTTTTTGTCATTGGTTCTGTTTATATGCTGGATTATGTTTATTGATTTGCGTATGTTGAACCAGCCTTGCATCCCAGGGATGAAACCCACTTGATCATGGTGGATAAGCTTTTTGATGTGTTGCTGGATTCGGTTTGCCAGTATTTTATTGAGGATTTTTGCACTGATGTTCATCAGGGATATTAGTCTAAAATTCTCTTTTTTTGTTGTGTCTCTGCCAGGCTTTGGTATCAGGATGATGCTGGCCTCGTAAAATGAGTTAGAGAGGATTCCCTCTTTTTCTATTGATGGGAATAGTTTCAGAAGGAATGGTACCAGCTCCTCCTTATACCTCTGGTAGAATTCGGCTGTGAATCCATCTGGTCCTGGACTTTTTTTGGTTGGTAAGCTATTAATTATTGCCTCAATTTCAAAGCCTGTTATTGGTCTATTCAGAGATTCAACTTCTTCCTGGTTTAGTCTTGGGAGGGTGTATGTGTTGAGGAATTTATCCATTTCTTCTAGATTTTCTAGTTTATTTGCATAGAGGTGTTTATAGCATTCTCTGATGGTAGTTTGTATTTCTGTGGGATAGGTGGTGATATCCCCTTTATCATTTTTTATTGCATCTATTTGATTCTTCCCTCTTTTCTTCTTTATTAGTCTTGCTAGGCTACTTGGGGGTCAGGGACCCACTTGAGGAGGCAGTCTGTCCATTCTCAGATCTCCAGCTGCGTGCTGGGAGAACCACTACTCTCTTCAAAGCTGTCAGACAGAGACATTTAAGTCTGCAGAGGATTCTGCTGCCTTTTGTTTGGCAATGTCCTGCCCCCAGAGGTGGAGTCTACAGAGGCAGGCAGGTCTCCTTGAGCTGCGGTGGGCTCCACCCAGTTCGAGCTTCCCGGCTGCGGCTGCTTTGTTTACCTACTCAAGCCTCGGCAATGGCGGGCACCCCTCCCCCAACCTTGCTGCCACCTTGCAGTTTGATCTCAGACTGCTGTGCTAGCAGTGAGCGAGGCTCTGTGGTCATAGGACCCTCTGAGCCAGGCGTGGGATATAATCTCCTGATGTGCTGTTTGTAAGACTGTTGGAAAAGCGCAATATTAAGGTGGGAGTGACCCGATTTTCCAGGTTCTGTCTGTCACCCCTTTCTTTGACAAGGAAAGGGAATTCCCTGACCCCTTGCACTTCCTGGGTGAGGCAATGCCTTGCCCTGCTTCAGCTCACGCTCGGTGCGCTGCACCCACTGTCCTGCACCCACTTTCCGACACTCCCCAGTGAGATGAACCTGGTACCTCAGTTGGAAATGCATCGTCTTCTGCATCGCTCATGCTGGGAGCTGTAGACTGGAGCTGTTCCTATTCGGCCATCTTGGCTCCACCCCCCTGTTGACTTTCAAATACTGAGAATTCAGTGAACTAATTAGTTCTATGAGGTTTTTGGTAGATACTTTGGGATACATAGAAATGATATCATCTGCAAATATTGACAGTTTTCTTTTTTAATTTATTGTCTGTATACCTCTTTTTTACTTTATTGTCTATTTCCTTTTTGCAATGCATTGGTTAAAATTTCCAGTACTATGTTTTGTTTGAGACAGTGTCTACCTTTGTCACCCAGGCTGGAGTACAGTGGCGAGATCTCAGTTCACTGCAACTTCCACCTCCCAAGCTCAAACCACCTCCCACCTCAGCCTCCCAAGTAGCTGGGACTACAGGCGCAGGCCACCATGCCTGGCTAATTTTTATATTTTTTATAGAGATTGGTTTTTGCCATGTTGCCCAGGCTTATCTTGAACTCCTGAGCTCAAGCAATCTGCCCACTTTGGCCTTCCAAAGTGCTAATATGATAGGCAAGAGCCACCACACCCAGCTTCCAGGATATGTTGAGTAAAAGTGGTAAGAGTGGACATCTTTGCTTTTTTCCCAATGTTCGAGGGCAGGTAAAATATTAGCTGTAGGTTTTTACAGCTATTTTTTTTTTTAGATGGAGTCTTGCTCTGTTGCCAGGCTGGAGTGCAATGGCACGATTTTGGCTCACTGCAACCTATACCTCCCAGGTTCAAGTGATTCTCCTGCCTCAGCCTCCCGAGTAGCTGGGACTACAGGCGTGTGCCACCACGCCCAGCTAATTTTTGTATTTTTAGTAGAGACGGGGTTTCGGCATGTTGGCCAGGATGGTCTCAATCTCTTGACCTCGTGATCCACCCACCTCGGCCTCCCAAAGTGCTGGGATTACAGGTGTGAGCTACCGTGCCAGCCCTATAGCTACTTTTTATCAAGTTGAGGAAATTGTCCTCTCTTCTTATTTGTCTGAGAGCTGTTATCATGAGTGAATCCTCAATTTTGTCAAGTGCTTTTATTGAATTTATTGATATGAGCTGGTAATTTTTCTTTTTTAACCTATAAATAGGGTATATTAGACTGATTGACTTCTAAATAATGAATCTAGTTTGTGTCCCTGGAATAAACTGGGATCATTACTGGGTCATAATGAATGATTTTTTAAAATATTGCTGATTTCCATTTACCAGTATTTCATTAAGAATTTTTGCATTTATATTCATGAAGGTTATTGTTCTGTAGTTTTCTTTTTTGTGCTGTCTTTGATTTTAGTATCAAGGTAATAATACCTTCTTATATTGAATTGGGACATGCTCTTCTGTTTTCTGCAAGAGATTGTAAAGAATTGGGTTAATTCCTCCTTAAATATATGGAGAATTGCCCAGTGAAACAATCTGGGGTGAGATATTTTTTAGAGAGTTTTTAAATTATGAATTTCAATTTCCTTACTAGTTATAGAGCTATTTAAATTCTCTGTTTTGTATTGAATGAGTGGTGGTAATTTGTGGTTCTTGAGAAAGTGATCCATTTTATCTAAGAGGTCGAATTTATATGTGTAGCATTATTCAAAGTATTGCCTTATTTTATGTGTGTGTGTATGTTTAAATAATTTTTTTATTTTTAATTTTTGTGGGTATGTAGTAAGTGTATTTTATTAGTCCATTTTTACACTGCTGATAAAGACATACCTGAGACTGGGCAATTTAGAAAAGAGAGGTTTAATGGACTTATAGTTCCACATGGCTGGGGAGGCCTGACAATCATAGTGGAAGGCAAGGAGGAGGAAGTCATGTCTTACATGGATGGCAGCCAGCAAAGAGACAGCTTGTGCAGGGGAAACTCTCATTTCAGAAACCATCAGATCTTGTGGGACTTATTCACTATCATGAGAAAAGCATGGGAAAGACCCGCCTCCATGATTCAATTATCTCCCACTGGGTCCCTCCCACAACATGTGGGAATTGTATGGGAGCTACAAAATGAAACTTGGGTGTGGACACAGAGCCAAACCATATAATTCCACCCTTGGCCCCTCACAAATCACGTGTCTTCACATTTCAAAACCAATCATGCCTTTCTCACAGTCCCCCAGAGTCTTAACTCATTTCAGCATTAACTCAAAAGTCCACAGTCAAAAGTCTCATCTGAGACAAGGCAAGTCCCTTCCGCCTATGAGCCTGTAAAATCAAAAGCAAGTTAGTTACTTCCTACATACAATGAGCGTACAGGCATTGGATAAATACAGGCATTCCAAATGGGAGAAATTGGCCAAAACAAAGGGGCTACAAGGCCCCATGCAAGTCCAAAATCCAGCAGGGTAATCAAATCTTAAAGCTTCTAAATGATCTCCTTTGACTCCATGTCTCACATCCAGGTCATGCTGATGCAAGAGGTGGGCTCCCATGGTCTTGGGCAGCTCTGCCCCTGTGGCTTTGCAGGATACAGCCTCTTTCCTGGCTGCCTTTATGGACTGGTGTTGAGTGTCTGTGGCTTTTCTGGGCACATGGGGCAAGCTGTCAGCGGATCTACCATTCTGGGGTCTGGAGACGGTGGTCCTCTTCTCACAGCTCCACTAGGTGGTGCCCCAGTAGGGACTCTGTATGGGGGCTCAAATTCCACATTTCCCTCCTGCACTGCCCTAGCAGAGGTTCTCCATGAGGGCCCTTTCCCTGCAGCAAACCTCTGCCTGGGCATCCAGGCGTTTTCATACATCCTCTGAAATCTAGGTGTAGGTTCCCAAACCCCAGTTCTTGACTTCTGTGCATTCACAGGCTTAACACATGTGGAAGCTGCCAAGGCTTGGGGCTTGCACCCTCTGAAGCCATAGCCCAAGGTCTACATTGGCCCCTTTCAGCCACAGCTGGAGTGGCTGGGATGTAGGTCACCAAGTCCCTACACTGCACACAGCACGAGGACCCTGGACCTGGCCCATGAAATCTTTTTTTCCTTCTAGACTTTTGGGCCTGTGATGGGAGGGGCTACTGTGAAGACCTCTGACATGGCCCTGGAGACATTTTCCCCATTGTCTTGGGGATTAACATTCTACTCCTTATTACTTATGCAAATTTCTGCACACAGCTTGAATTTCTCCTCAGAAAATGGGATTTTCTTTTCTATCACATTGTCAGACTGCAAATTTTCTGAACGTTTATGCTCCACTTCCCTTATAAAACTGAATGCCTTTAAAAAGACTCAAGTTACCTCTTTTTTTTTTTATTTTTATTTTATTTATTTATTTTTTTTTTGAGACAGAGTCTCGCTCTGTTGCCCAGGCTGGAGTGCAGTGGCGTGATCTCAGCTCACTGCAAGCTCCACCTCCTGGGTTCACGCCATTCTCCTGCCTCAGCCTCCCGAGTAGCTGGGATTACGGACACCCACCACTGCGCCCGGCTAATTTTTTTGTGTGTGTTTTTTGTAGAGATGGGGTTTCACTGTGTTAGCCAGGATGGTCTCGATCTCCTGACCTCATGATCCTCCCACCTCGGCCTTCCAAAGTGCTGGGATTACACGTGTGAGCCACCATGCCTGGCCCCAAGTCACCTCTTGAATGCTTTGCTGCTTAGAAATTTCTTCCATCAGATACCGTAAATCATCTCTCTCAAGTTCAAAGTTCCACAAATCTCTAGGGCAGGGACAAAATGCTGCCAATCTCTTTGCTAAAACATAATAAGAGTCATCTTTGCTCCAGTTCCCAACAAGTTTCTCAATTCCATCTGAGACCACCTCAGCCTGGACCTTATTGTCCATATTGCTATCAGTATTTTGGGCAAAGCCATTCAACAAGTCTCTAGGAAGTTCCAAACTGTCCCACATTTTCTTTTCTTCTTCCAAGCCTCCAAACTCTTCCAACCCCTGCCTGTTACCCAGTTCCAAAATTGCTTTCACATCTTTGGGTATCCACAGCAGTGCCCCACTCTACTGCTACCGATTTACTGTATTAGTCCATTTTCATACTGCTGATAAAGACATCCCTTAGATTGGGCAATTTACAAAAGAAAGAGAGGTTTAATGGACTTAACAATTCCACATGGCTGAAGAGGCCTCACAACCATGGTGGAAGGCAAGGAGGAGCAAGTCAGCTCTTACATGGATGGCAGGAGGCAAAAAGAGAGCTCATGCAGGGAATTTCTTGTTTTTAAAACCATCAGATCTCATGAGACTTACTCACTATCACGAGAACAGATGGGAAACACCAACCCCTGTGATTCAATTATCTTCCACCAGGTCCCTCCTACAACCCATGGGAATTATGGGAGCTACAAGATGAGATTTGGATGGGGACACAGAGCCAAACCAAATATGATGTATATATGAGTTACATGAAATATTTTGATACAAGCATGCAATGCATAATAATCACATCAGGACTAATGGGGTATCCTTCACCTCAAGCATTTATCCTTATGTTACAAACAATCCAATTACGCTTCTTTAGTTATTTTGAAATAAACAATTAAATTATTTTTGACTATAGTCACTCTGTTGTGCTAGAAAATACTAGAACTTATTCAGTCTTTCTAACTGTTATTTTGTACCCATTAACCATCCCCACTTCCCTCCCACCCACCCCCACTACCCTTCCTAGACTATGGTAACCATCATTCTACTCTCTGTCTCCATGAGTTCAATTGTTTTAATTTTTAGCTTTCACAAGTAAGTGAGAATCAGTGAAGTTTGTTTTTCTGTGCCTGGCTTATTTTGCTTAACATGATAACTTCCAGTTCCAACCATGAGGTTGCAAATGACAGAATCTTATTCTTTTTTATGGCGGAATAGTACCCCGTTGTGTATATGTACTGCATTTTCTTTATCCATTCATCTATTGATGGGCACTTAGGTTGCTTCCAAATCTTAGTTATTGTGAATAGTGCTGCAATAAACATGGGAGTGCAGATCTCTTCCATATACTGATTTTCTTTCCTTTGGGTATATACCTAGGAGTAGAATTGCTGGATCATATGGTACCGTATTTTTAGTTTTTTGAGGAACCTCCAAACTGTTCTCCATGGTGGTTGTACTAATTTACATTCCTACCAACAGTGTATGAAGGTTCTCTTTTCTCCACATCCTTGTCAGCATTTATTATTGCCTATCTTTTGGATAAAAGACATTTGAACTGGGGTGAGATGCTGTCTCATTGTAGTTTTGACCTGATGATCAATGATGCTGAGCACCTTTCATATATCTGTTTGCCATTTGTATGTCTTCTTTTGAGAAATGTCTACTCACATTTTTTGCCCATTAAAAAAATGAGATTACTAGATTGTTTCCTATAGACTTGTTTGAGCTTCTTATATATTCTGGTTATTAATACCCTGGCAGACGGATAGTTTGCAAATATTTTCGCCCGTTCTGTGGGTTGTCTCTTCACTTTGTTGATTGTTTCCTTTGCTGTGCAGAAGCTTTTTAACTTGATGTGATCCCATTTTTCCATTTTTGCTTTGGTGACCTGTGCTTATGGGGTACTACTCAAGAAATCTTTGTCCACTCCAATGTCCTGAGGTTCCCCAGTGTTTTCATTTAGTAACTTCATAGTTTGAGGACTTAGATTTAAGTCTTTAATCTGTTTTGATTAGCTTTTTGTATATGATGAGAGATAGAGGTCTACTTTAATTCTTCTGCATATGGATACCCAGTTTTCCCAGCACCATTTGTTGAAGAAACTGCCCTTTATTCAATAAAAGGTGCTATGTTCTTAACACATTTGTCAAAAATGAGTGTATTGTAGATGTATGGGTTTATTTCTGGGTTATATCTTCTGTTCCACTGGTCTATGTACCTATTTTTATGCCAGTATCATGCTGTTTTGGTTACTACAGCCCAGTAGTGTAATTTAAAGTCAGGTAATATGATTCCTACAGTTTTGTTCTTTTTGCTTAGGAGGGCTTTGGTTCTTCTGGGTCTTTTGTGGTTCCACATAAATTTTACTGTTGTTTTTGTCTATTTCTGTGAAGAATGTCATTGGTACTTGAAATTGCATTGAATCTGTAGATTGGTTGAGTGGTATTGACATTTTAACAAAATTGATTCTTCCAATCCATGAATATGAAATATCTTTTCATTTTTTGTGTCTTCTTCAATTTTTTGCATCAATGTTTTATAGTTTTCATCGTAGAGATCTTTTGCTCCTTTGGTTAAGTTAATTCGTAGGTATTTTATTTGTAGCTAGTGTAAGTGGGATTACTTTCTTGATTTCTTTTTCAGATTGTTGCTATTGGCATATAAAAATGCTACTGATTTTTGTATGTTGATCCTGCAACTTTACTGAATTTTTTGATCAGTTCTAATAGTTTTTTGTGGAGTCTTTATATTTTTCCAACATAGTATCTTTGAACAAGGATAATCTTACTTCTTCCTTTCCAATTCTAATGTCCTTTATTTTTTTCTCTTGTCTGATTGCTTTAGCTAGAACTTCCAGCACTATGTTGAATAACATTGGTGAAAATGGACATCTTTATCTTAATACAAATCTTAGAGGTAAGCCTTTCAGTGTTGATCTCTCATTATGATGCTAGCTGTGGATGTGTCACATATGGCATTTATTATGTTGAGGTAATTTCTTCTATATTCAGTTTCTGACAGTGTTTTTTTATTATGAAAGGATGTTGAATTTTATCAAATGCTTTTTCAGTATCATTTGAGATGATCATAAGGTTTTTGTCCTTCATTTTGTTGAGATGATATATCAGATTGCTTTGCATATGTTGAATTGTCTTTGCATCCCAGGAATTAGTCCCACTTGGTCATGATGAATGATCTTTTTCATGTGTTGTGAATTTAGTTTGCTGATGTTTCATTGAGAATTTTTCATCAATATTCATCAGAGATATTGGCCTGTAGTTTTCTTTTTTAGATGTATCTTTTTCTGGTTTTGGTATCAGGATAATACTGGCCTCATAGAATGAGTTTGGGAGTATTCCCTCCCCCTATATTTTTCAGAATAGTTTGAGTAGAATTTGTGTTAGTTCTCATTTAAAGGTTTGGTAAATTCAGCTGTGAAGCCATTGGGTCTGGGGCTTTTCTTTACTGAAACTTCCAGTACTATGTTGAATAACAGCGGTGACAGTGTGCATCTTTGTCATGTTCTAGATCTTAGAGGAAAGGCTTTTCAGTCTTTAGCTGTAGTAACATTTGCTTTCTATATCTGGGTGCTCCAGTGTTGGGTACATATATATTTACAATTATATCCTCTTGCTGAATTGACCCCTTTATCATTATATGACCTTCTTTGTCTCTTCTTATAGTTTTTTTCTTGAAATCTATTTTGTCTCATATAACTACTCCTACTCTTTTTTTTGTTTCCATTGGCATTGAATAGCTTTTCTATCCCTTTACTTACAGTCTGTCGGTGTCATTATGAGTGCAGTGTGTTTCTTTTAGACAATAAATCACTGAGTCCTTTTAAAAAAAAAATCCATTCAGCAAATCTCTCTTTGATTGGAGAGTTTAGTCCATTTACATTCAATATTATTATCGAAAAGTAAGGGCTTACTTCTGCTATTTTGTTATTTATTTTCTGGTTGTTTCATGGTCTTCTCTTCCTTCTTTTCTTCCTTCCTGTCTTCCTTTTAGTGAAGGGGATTTTCTCTGGTGGTATGACTTAGTTTCTTGCTTTTTATTTTTTGTGTATCTATTGTATGTTTTTTGATTTGAGGTTACTATTAGGATTGCAAATACTATTTTATAACCCATTATTTTTAAGCTGATAAAAACTTAACACTGCTTGCATAAACAAACAAGCAAAAAGAAAATTGGTAAAAACTACACTTTAACTTCATCCCCCCTACTTTAGAAACTTTTTGTTGTTTTTAGTTATATCTTATTGCATCGTCTATGTCTTGAAAAGTTTTTGTAGTTATTATTTTTTATTGTTTCATCTTTTAGTCTTTCTACTTAAGATAACAGTAGTTTACACACCACAGTTACAGTATTATGATATTCTGTTTTTCTGTGTACTTACTATCACCAGTGAGTTTTATACCTTCAGATGATTTCCTATTGCTCTTAATGTCCTTTCCTTTTTGATTGAAGTACCTCCATTTGCATTTCTTGTAGGACTGGTATTGATGAAATCCCTCAGCTTCTGTTTGTCTAGGAAAGTCTTTATTTCTCCTTCATGTTTGATGGATATTTTTGCCAGATATACTATTCTAGGGTAAAAGTTTTCTTCTTTCAGAACTTTAAATATGTCATTCCATTCTCTCCTGGCCTGTGAGGTTTTCTCTAAAAAGTCTGCCGCCAGGCATATTGGAGCTCCATTGTATGTTATGTGCTTCTTTTCTCTTGATGCTTTTAGGATTCTTTCTTTATCTTTGACCTTTGGGAGTTTGATTATTAAATGCCTTGAGGTAGTCTTCTTTGGGTTAAATCTGCTTAGTGTAAAACTGTTTGTGCTTGGATATTGATATCTTTCTCTAGGTTTTGCAAGTTCTCCATTATTAATAAACTTTGTATTCCTATCTTTTTTTTCTACCTCACTTTAAGGCCAATAACTCTTAGATTTGCCCCCTTTTATGCTTTTTCGAAATCTTGCAGGCATGCTCCATTCTTTTCTATTCTTTATTCTTTTGTCTCCTCTCTCTATGTATTTTCAAATAGCCTGTCTTGAAGCTCACTTATTCTTTCTTCTGCTTGATCAATTATGCTACTAAGATATTCTGATGCATTTTTCAATATCTCTACTGCATTTTTCAAGTCCAGAATTTCTGCTTGATTCTTTTTAATAATGTCAGTTTCTTTGTTAAATTTATCTGATGGAATTCTGCATTTCTTCTCTGTGTGATCTTGAATTTCTTTCTCTGAGTTTCCTCAAAACGGCTATTTTGAATTCTGTGTCTGAAAGATCACATATCTCTGTTTCTCCAGGATTGGTCCCTGGTGACTTGTTTAGTTCATTTGGTGATGTCATGTTTTCCTGGATGATAGTGATGCTTGAGGATGTTTGTTGGTGTCTAGACATTGACAAGTTAGCTATTTATTGTAATCTTCACAGTCTGGGCTTGTTTGTATCCATCCTTCTTGGGAATGTTTGTCAGGTATTTGAAAGGACTTAGGTTTTGATGTAAGCTATATGTGTATTAAGGGGCACCTCAAGCCTAGTAACACTGTGGTTCTTGCAGACTTGTAGAGGCACTGTCTTTGTGGTCTTGGATAAGATCTGGAAGAATTCTCTGGATTACCAGGCAGAGACTCTTGTTCTCTTCCCTTACTTTCTCCCAAACAAATACAGTCTCTTTGTGCTGTGCTGCTTGGAGCTGGGGATGGGGTGAGAAAAGCACCCCATGGCCACCACCACTGGGAATGTGCTGGGTCAGACTTGAAGCCAGCACAGCACTGGGTCTTGCCCAAGGCCCACTAAAGCACTACCTGGCTACTGCCTAGGTTTGCTCAAGGCCCTAGGGCTCTACAGTCAGCAGGTGGTGAAGTCAGCCAGGCTTGTGTTCTTCCTTTCAGGGCAGCAAGTTCTCACAGGCCAACAGGCAGGTCCGGAGATGTTATCCAGGATCCAGGAACTGGAGTCAACAACCTTAGAAATCTACCTGCTATTCCATTCTACTGTGGCTGAGATGGCACTCAAACCATGAGATGCAGTCTTTCCCACTCTTTCCTCCCTTTTCTACAGGTAGAGGAGCCTCACCCTGTAGCCACCACCACCGTAGGCCCACAGGGAGTAGTACTGCCAAGCTACCAACAATGTTCAGTTAAACTCCCAAAGGCTCTTCAGTTAGCTTGTGGCGAATGCTGCCAGGCCTGGGACTTACTTTCAGGGCAGTGGGCTTCCCTCTGGCCCTGGGCAGGTCCAGAAATCATGTTCAAGAGCCAAGGCCTGGAATTGGAAACCTCCAAGAGCCCACTTGCTGCTCTACTTCCCTGTGGCTGACGTGGTAGCTAGAGTGCAAGACAAAGTCTCCTTTTCTTTCTCTCTGCTTTTCTCAAGCAGAAGGAGTCTCTCATCATAGCCACCACAACTGGGAATGCTCTGAATCTCACTTGAAGTCAGCATGTCTCAAGAGTCCCACCCAAGGCCCACGGTGTACTACCTGGGAATCACATCTCATGGTTTGAGTGCCATCTCAGCCACACCAGAATAGAACACCAGGTAGATTTCTCCAGGCCTAAGGGCTCTTTAGTCAGTAAGTGATGGATCCTTCTAGGACTGGGTCCTTCCCTTCAAGGCAGCAGGTTCCCTCTGGCCCTAGATATGTCTAGAAATGTCATCTGGGAGCTAGGGCCTGGAATGGGGTCTTCATTACTCTGCCTGGTGCCCTATCCTACTGTGGCTGAGCTGGTATCTATGATGCAAGACGAAGACCTCTTTGTCCCTCTTCTCTTCTCAAGCAGAAGGAAGGGGTCCATTTTAGAACCACAAGCTGTGCTGCCTGGGGCTGTGGGAGGAGTGGCACAAGCACTCCCTTAGCTGCCCCAGCTTGTGTCTCAGTAAATTGTATGGCCCTCCAAGTTCACTGTCTCCAAGCCCAACTCAGCACCAGCACTTGCCTAGGAGTTGCAGTACTCCTTAAAAGGCCTAAACTGCGTTTTAAGTTTATTTAGGGACCCAGAGCGCTTTAGCCCATGGTGGTGAGGCTTGCCGAAACTCAAGTTCCAACTGTTGGAGTGGGCAGTTCTCCTCTGGCTAGGGCTGGTGTAAATGCTCCCTCTGGGCGGGCATCAGCTGAGTTTAGCCTGATTTTGCTTTCCACTGTGACAGGGCAGCACTGAGTTCAATGCCAAGTCTCACAATTGCCATGCTCTCCCTCTCCCAAGTGCACAGATTCTCCATGCCACATGGCTGCTACCAGGGGGTAAGGGAGGAGTGACATTGGCAATTCAAGACTGTCTTTCCTCCCCCATTCAGTGCCTTTTTCAGTGATATGAAGTTAAAATCAGGTGATGTGAGTGCCCACCTGATTTTTTTGTTGTTGTTCTTAAGAAGGCTTTTTAAAAATGTAGATAGTTGTTAAATTTGGTGTTCTTGTGTAGAGGGATGATCAGTGGAGCCTTCTATTTGGCCATCTGGTTCCACCCCTCCTCTGCCTTATTATATTTTGATGTCTGTAGTGATATTCCCAGTCTCACCCCTGATATTGGTAATCTCTGTCTTCTCGTTCTCTCTCTCTCTCTTTTGTTTTGCTAGAGGTTTGATTTTTTTTTTTAAATTCTTATTTATTTATTTATGTCTAATATTACTGTCTAGCTTATCCTGGTTGCAGGTTTGTTGATTTTATTAGTCTTTTCAGGGAACCAGTTCTTTGTTTCGTTGATTTTTCTCTCTTGTGTTTCTATCTTCAATTTAATTTTTTTCTGCTTTTAATCATCATTATTTCCATCCTTCTGCTTACTTTGGGTTTCTTTGGCTCTTTTTTACTCCTCAGCACTTAAGGTGGAAGGTTAAATCATTGACTTGAGACTTTTCCTGTTTTCTAAGGTATGTGTTTAATGTTACGAATTTTACTTTCAGAACTCATGCATTTCGATAGGCTATATTTCTATTTTCACTCAATGCAATGTATTTTGAAATTTTCTTTGTGGCTTCCCCTTTGACCCATGGATTATTTAGAAGTACGCTCATTAATTTCCTAGAAGTTTTCCTGTTACTTTCTGTTATTGATTTCTATTTTGATTCCATTGCAGTTCAAGAATGCACTCTATGTGATTTTGGTTCTTTTAAATGTGTTGAGATTTGTTTTGTTGCCCAGAATATGGTCTATCTTGGTATATATTCTGTAGATACTTGGAAAAGAATGTGTTCTACTGTCATTGGGTGAAATATTCTATAAATGTTAAACTGTTAAGATCCTATTGTTGATAGGTATTGTTGATTTCTTATACATCTTAGCTGATTTTTTGTCTAGTTTTGTTTTTTTTTTTGTTTTGAGACAGAGTCTTGACGCTGCTCTGTTACCCAGGCTAGAGTGTAATGGCGCAATCTTGGCTCACCGCAACCTCTGCCTTCTGGATTAAGGTGATTTTCCTGTCTCAAAGCGATTCTCCTGCCTCAGCCTTCGAGAAGCTGGGATTGCAGGCACGCACCACCATGCCCAGCTAATTTTTGTATTTTCAGTGGAGACGGTTTCATTGTGTTGGCCAGGCTGGTCTTGAACTCCTGACCTCAAGTGACAGGCGTGAGCCACCATGCCCGGCCGATTTTCTGTCTAGTTTTTGTACCAATTGTTGAGAGAAGGTTTTTGATATCTCCAGTTATACTTGCAGATTTGCCCATTTCTCCTTTCAGTTCTGTTTTTGCCTCACATATTTTGCAGTTTGTTTGGTACATACACATTTAGGACTGCTATGTCTTCTTAGCGAACTGTGCCTTTATCATTATATTGTGTCCCTATATGTCTATAGTAATTTTCTTTGCTGTGAAGTCTACTTAGTCTAATGTTAATACAGTTACTCCTGCTTTCCTCTGATTAATGTTTGCATAGTGTATCTTTTTCCATCTTTTAACTTTTAACTTGTCTACATCATTATGTTTGAAATGTGTTTCTTGTAGAGAATATATGGTTGGGTCATGCTTTTTAATCCACTCTGCCAGTATCTGTTTTTTTCCTTGGTATATTTAGACTATTTACATTTAATATAATTATTGATATGTTAGGGTTTAAGTGTGCCATTTATTGTTTGTTTGTTTTCTGTTTATTCTCTTTGGTTTTTATTTCTCTGCATTCTTTTTTTTGATGGAGTCTCGCTTTGTCACCCAGGCTGGAGTGCAGTGGTGTGATCTCAGCTCACTGCAATCTCTGCCTCCCGGGTTCAATTGATTCCCCTGCCTCAGCCTCCCCAGTAGCTGGAATTTCAGGTGCCCATCACCATGCCTGGCTAATTTTTGTATTTTTAGTAGAGATGGGATTTCACCATGTTGGCCAGACTGGTGTCAAACTTGTGACCTCAAGTGATCTGCCTGCCTCAGCCTCCCAAAGTGCTGGGATTACAGGCATGAGCCACTGGACCTGGACTTTCCTTTGCATTCTTATGGATTACTTGAGCATGTTTTAGAATTACATTTTTATTTGTCTATAGTGTTTTTTAGTATATCTCTTTGAATAGCTTTTTCAGTGGTTGCTGTAGGTGGCACTGTTTGTGTGTGTGGATGTGTGTGTGTGTCTATGTGTGGATGTGTGTCTGTGTGTGTGTGTGTGTATGTGTGTGGGTGTGTGCGGGTGTGTGTGTATAATTTATCCCATTCTATTGATGTTGTCAGTTTACAGTTTGAATGAAGTATAGAAACCATACCTTCCATTATATCCCTTTACTCTTCCTCATTTAAAATACAGTTATCTTAAATATTTCCTCTAGATCCATTTAGAACCAAGATGAAACAATGTTATAATTTTTGCTTCACCATCAAAGAAACATTAAAAACCTGAAGTGGTGAAGAAAAGTATTTTATTTATTTCTATTTTTTGCTTACCATATTCTTTCTTTCTTCCTGATGTCCCAAGATTCCTTCTTTTAAACCTTCTCTTTGACATTCTTTCTGTCTAGACAACGTCCTTTATACATTATTTTCGGGCAGGTCTGTTGCTGATGGACACTCTTAGTGTTTCCTCATCTGAGAATGTCTGAATTTTGCCTTCATTCCTAAAGGATATTTTCACTGGATACAGGATTCTGAATTGACATTTACTTTGGCAATTGAAAAATAATGTGCTAATTCTCTCTGGCTTCCATGGTTTCTGATGAGAAATCCAGGGTCAATATAAGTGTTTTTCCCCTATAGGTAAGGTATCATTTTTCTTTGGCAGTTTTTTGTTTTTTTTTTTTTTTAGTATTTATTGATCATTCTTGGGTGTTTCTTGGAGAGGGGGATTTGGCAGGGTCATAGGACAATAGTGGAGGGAAGGTCAGAAGATAAACATGTGAACAAATGTCTCTGGTTTTCCTAGGCAGAGGGTCCTGCTGCCTTCCGCAGTGTTTGTGTACCTGGGTAGTTGAGATTAGGGAGTGGTGATGACTCTTAACCAGTATGCTGCCTTTAAGCATCTGTTTAACAAAGCACAACTTGCACCGCCCTTAATCCATTTAACCCTTAGTGGACGCAGCACATGTTTCAGAGAGCACGGGGTTGGGGGTAAGGTTATAGATTAACAGCATCCCAAGGCAGAAGAATTTTTCCTAGTACAGAACAAAATGGAGTCTCCTATGTCTACTTCTTTCTACACAGACACAATAACAATCTGATCTCTCTTTCTTTTCCCCACATTTCCCCCTTTTCTATTCGACAAAACTGCCATTGTCATCATGGCCCGTTCTCAGTGAGCAGCTGGGTACACCTCCCAGACGGGGTGGTGGCCGGGCAGAGGGCCTCCTCACTTCCCAGTCGGTGCTGCCGGGCAGAGGGGCCCCCCACCTCCCAGACGGGGTGGCAGCCGGGCAGAGGGGTTCCCCACTTCCCAGACCGGGCGGCAGGGCAGAGGCGCCCCCCACCTCCCAGATGGGGCGGCAGCCGGGTGGGGACTGCCCCCCAGCTCCCGGACGGGGCGGCTGGCCGGGCGGGGACTGCCCCCCAGCTCCCGGACGGGGCGGCTGGCCGGGCGGGGGCTGCCCCCAATCTCCCGGACGGGGTGGCTGCCGGGCGGAGACGCTCCTCACTTCCCAGACGGGGTGGCTGCCGGGCGGAGGGGCTCCTCACTTCTCAGATGGGATGGCCAGTCAGAGACGCTCCTCACCTCCCAGACGGGGTGGCGGCCAGGCAGAGACACTCCTAAGTTCCCAGACGGGGTCACGGCCGGGCAGAGGCACTCTTCACATCTCAGATGGGGTGGCGGGGCAGAGGTGCTCCCCACATCCCAGATGATGGGCGGCCGGGCAGAGACGCTCCTCACTTCCTAGATGGGATGACGGCCAGGAAGAGGCGCTCCTCACTTCCCAGACTGGGCGGCCAGGCAGAGGGGCTCCTCACATCCCAGACGATGGGCAGCCAGGCAGAGACCCTCCTCACTTCCTAGACTGGGTGGCGGCCGGGAAGAGGCGCTCCTCACTTCCCGGATTGGGCGGCCAGGCAGAGGGGCTCCTCACATCCCAGACGATGGGCGGCCAGGCAGAGACGCTCCTCACTTCCTATACGGGGTGGTGGCGGGCAGAGGCTGCAATCTCAGCACTTTCGGAGGCCAAGGCAGGTGGCTGGGAGGTGGAGGTTGTAGCGATCGGAGATCACGACACTGCACTCCAGCCTGGGCAACATTGAGCACTGAGTGAGCGAGACTCCATCTGCAATCCCGGCACCTCGGGAGGCCGAGGCTGGCAGACCACTCGCGGTCAGGAGCTGGAGACCAGCCCGGCCAACAAGGCGAAACCCCGTCTCCACCAAAAAATCAAAAGCCAGTCAGGTGTGGCGGCGCCCGCCTGCAATCCCAGGCACTCCGCAGGCTGAGGCAGGAGAATCAGGCAGGGAGGCTGCAGTGAGCCAAGATGGCGGCAGTACAGTCCAGTCTCGGCTAGGCATCAGAGGGAGACCGTGCAAAGGGGAGACGAGGACCGTGCAAAGTGAGGGAGAGGGAGAGGGAGACGGAGAGGGAGATGAGGGAGACGAGGGAGAGGGAGACGGGAGAGGGAGAGGGGAGGGGAGGGGGAGCTCTTTGGCTGTTTTCAAGATTTTCTCTGTCTTTAGTTTTTAGAAGTTTAGTTATGATGTGTCTTGGCATATGTTTCTTTGGGTTTGTCATTTTTGGGGTTCACTGAACTTCTTTAATCTGTATGATTATGTCTGTTTCCAAACATGGGAAGTTTTCACCCATTATTTCTTTGAATACTTTTTCAGTCCCACTCTCTTTCTCCTCTCCTTCTAGGACTTTAATGACATAAATGTTAGGTCTTTTGTATATCCCCATAGGCCCTTGAGGCTCTGTTCTTTTTTTTCCAGTCTGTCTTCTTTTTGTTGTTCAGATTGGTTATTACCATTGCTCTTTCTTCCAGTTCCTTTATTCTTTCCTCCACCCCTTTAATTCTGCTGTTGAGTTCGTCCATTACATTATTTAGTTCATTTCTCATAGTTTTCAGTTGTAAAATTTTTATTTGTTCCATATATTTTATATTTATTTACTAAGACATTTAATTTTATTCCTGAGACTTGATCTTTTCATTCGTTTCAAGCAGGTTCATAATTGCTCACTGAGCATTTTCGTTTTTATTGCTTTAAAATTTTAGTCAGACACATGGACACAGTGAGAGTAACAACACACACCGGGGCCTGTTGGAGGAGTAGGGGGAAGGAGAGCATCAGGA
The DNA here is from genome assembly GCF_000001405.40 of Homo sapiens. NCBI lineage: Eukaryota > Metazoa > Chordata > Mammalia > Primates > Hominidae > Homo > Homo sapiens. Next base: position 77,704,576 of record NC_000009.12, read on the forward strand.
TAAATAGCAAATGCATGCGAGGCTTAATACGTAGGTGATGGGTTGATAGGTGCAGCAAACCACCATGGCACACATTTACCTATGTAACAAACCTGCACATCCTGCACATGTGTCCTGGAACTTAAAATTTAAAACACATGAAAGCACCCCCCAAAAAATAGATAAAATAAAATTGTTGTCAGATGATCATAATATCTCTAGCATCTTGGTGTTCGCATTTTTTGATTGTTATTTTTTAATTATTTTGGTATCTTCCTAGTTCTTAGCATGATGAGTGCTTTTTTTTTTTAGTTCTTTTCTTGCTTTGACCATTTCTTTATTATTATTATTATTATTATTATTATACTTTAAGTTCTGGGATACATGTGGAGAACGTGCAGATTTTTTACATATGTATGTATGTGCCATGGTGGTTTGCTGCACCCATCAGCCTGTCATCTACATTAGGCATTTCTCCTAATGTTCTCCCTCCCCTAGCCCCCTAGCCCCCAACAGGCCCTGATGTGTGATGTTCCCCTCCCTGTGTCCATGTGTTCTTATTGTTCAACTCCCACTTATGAGTGAGACCATGCAGTGTTTGGTTTTCTGTTCCTGTGTTAGTTTGCTGAGAATGATGGTTTCCAGCTTCATCCATGTCCCTGCAAAGGACATGAACTGTGAATGATTTTTAAGTGTAATCTGGACAGGTTCATATTTTGCTAGGCAACTTTGGATCTTATCTAAATCAGTGTTAACTGGATCCCACACAACTCTGTCAGGGTAAGGAGGTACCATCTTCTCCTTCCAGGCGCAGGTAGAAGTCCAGGTTCTCTGCTGCTCCTTTGTTGACACCCAAGGATGCAGACTTCTCTTTACTGCTGGTCAAAAGTGGGAATTCTGACTCCCCATATGATCATAACTGACAATCTGTTGGGTGTATCCTCATTACTGTTGGACAACAATGAAAGTCCCGACTCTCCAGGGTTCCTCCTCTGATACCTCCTTTGCAGGGAGAGGGAGTGGCATTTTGTTACTCTGGGTGGAGATGGCGGTCTAAACCCACCATGTGCTTTCCACTGAACTTGTGAGGGTTGGAAAGGACTTATTACCAGCCAGCAAGGATAAGAGTCTTAGCTCCCTACTTGGCCTCTCTGATGCCACCTTACCAGGGATGTTGGGGCACCTCATCACAGCCTCATGAGGGTGGAAATCTGGGATTCCCACTTGACATCTGCTGGCATGAGTGGGAGCTGGGCCACAGTTTGTCTAGGGTGTTTGGCTGAAGTAGAGAAGTTACTGTCTAAAGTTTGCTAGCTTCCCCTTTCTTGGTCCTTTAGCTAGAGAGAACCAACTTTTGTTAGGGCTTTTAAAATCTGGGTTGGTGTTTCTGGGTTGCCAGCTTCTTTAGCTCCAAGCCTGGGTTATATGGAGCAAAAAGAAATTCAGGGAATTCAGCACTGCATCATTTCTCAGGGCCTGACGTCTAGGCAGTCTGCTTTCTCTCCACCTCTCAGATTCTTCTGTTTATTCTGTATATAAGGTGCAGTGTTTTTAGTTGTCCTTGTTGAGAATAGGGAAAAAGTTGGATATTCCATCTTCCCAGAAACAAATACCTAATTAAGTAGATTTTTATTAAACTTCAAGGATGTTTTATTTTATTATAATTGAGTTTATTTTTTGATAAGAAAAATAATACATTGAAGAAATTTTCTAACATTTCTATCATCTTAAAAAAGTTGTCTTGAGGATCATCTAAGTTTTTCTTAATAACCCTGATTCTCCTCATGGAAGCTGATTATCATCTTTTGTGCCAATACATTAATTACATCAGTGATCACAGGACTATGAGAGGATACTCCTGCAGTAATAAATGCCTCAGTCTGCTGTGGCCTTTTAGTTCTTTTATAATTTTTCTTCTCCATTTCTTTAGCTATAATAATAACTGGAAATATTTATTAAGCAATTACCATGGGCCACACACTGTACTAAACACGTCTTTTCTTATATCTCATTTGATCTTAAGATGTTGGCACCATGATCATCCCCATTTTACAGTTAAGTAGAGGTTTAGAGAGGCTGCACATACTTACCCTGGTTGGTGATTAATTAGAAGCAAAGCCAGGAATCCAATCTTGCATGGCGTGACAGCAGTCAAAGTTCTTCACCATGCAATTAGGCATGTTAGATTGTATGTAGAGTAAGAGTCAATAGGATTGAGAACCCTAAAAACTCAAGCTTTAGTGCATTTCCTTTGTGATTTGTCTTATGGCTTCAGTGATTTTTCTTTTAAATTTGAGACTGTGTTCTGTATAACTGAATTTGCCAGAAATGTGACTTCTTCCTGTTATCATGATGCAAAGTCATATGTAGGATTTGTACCAGCTTGGCTGGCAGAGAAAAGTGATATATGACATAAGGTCTGTTCCTAAAACTCACAAGAACCCTTGGTTCATCCCAGAGGGTCTATTCTGCTATCTGTGGACTCAAGGGATCACAGAGTTCCCTCAAGTTTTCTAAATGCCTCAGAATTGGTTATAAGAAACAATTTTAACCACAAACACATTTAATCTTCCTAAATTTTGCATTCACAAGAGGAGAGGATCATGCCTTTGAAGATATAATCTATGTGAAACAAATATGGGAAAAGATTTGTTTTGGACAGGAAACAAACATATCTACGTCTAGTTTCCAGGTTCCCCAGTGGTCTTTCTGCTTTCCACCCCCTAATTCCCCAGTGCTATGTAGGGGTTCTCTGTCTATGCTGGCTGGCTTTCTTTAGAAAACAGAGGAGTTAGGATGAAGAATGACCCCTTGCCATCACCGTAAGTATGTCCCAGGCTCCTTTTACCTTTTCCCCAACCTTCATATGCCCCCTAGATAGAACTCGGTTTGGGAAGTTGATATTTGAGTCGCATTTGTTGAACACATGTTCAGTGCAAAATTTGCAATCATAAAAATTCCAACTTTCTGCTCAGTAGGAAGTGGAGAAATTTGGAAAAATTTAGTTCACTGGGCTAAGATTTCCCTGCCAAAGAGTTAGATTGTTGGCTGTGTGAACTAGGGGAATGACTGAGGAACAAAATCTTTAATATTTGTATTCAGGATGACTGATTCCGAGAGACAATACAGGGTAGAAACAATATGTCCACGAAAGGAAGGTATTAATTTTGATATCCACTTGAGTATTATTTTACTGGATAATTGACATCAGGAAGGTTAGGGTTACAAGAGCAGCTTGCAGGCTTAGCTGAAAGCAAGGCCTGTGTCATGGTGGGGCAGGAAGCCAATAGGTAGAAGTCAGTGTGCACTTGGTCCATTTGGTGTTTCATCATCACTCGACTGCACTAATGCTTAAAGAATGTGCTTCGCATAGTTTGCTGTCCACATCATTTATTTTCTCAAAACACATCTATTTCTTGGAGAACTCATGATTTCAAGTATCTGCTTTTGAAAGTCTTGAGCTATTTATGAAACACAAGTCATTCTGCAGAAGATTCAGACTAAGGGACAATTATTGCTACTCTGTAGGTAACATCTTTTTTTTCCTCTAGATTCTTTCAAGATTTTTTCTTTACCTTTGATTTTTCACAGTTTGAATATCATATGTATATGTGTAGTTGTGGGGTGTTTTTTGGCATTCATCCTGCTTGGTGTTCTCTGAGCTTGTTAGATCTGTGGTTTGGTGTCTAACATTAATTTGCAGAAAATGGGGAAGTATCATTCATTACTTCAAAAACTTCTTCTATTTCTTTCTCTCTTTATTCTCCTTGTGGTATCCCCATTATACCTATTATAACTTTTGTAGTTGCCCCACAGTTCTAGGATATTCTGTTCTTTTTTTCTTAGTCTTTTTTTTTTCTTTTCAGTTTCAGAAGTTTCTATTGAGATATTCTCAAACTCTGCATCTTTTTCCTCGTCTATGTCTAGCCTACTACTCAAAGGCATTCTTTATTTCTGTTAAAGTGTTTTTTATCTCTATCATTTTCTTTTCATGCTTTCTTGGAATTTCAGTCTCTGTGCCTACATTTCCCATCTGTTCTCACACATTCTCTACTGTGTATCCACTAGAGCCCTTAGCATATTAGTCATAGTTGTTTTAAATTTCTACTCTGAAAATTCCAACATCCCTGACATATTTGAGTCTCATCTTGCTTGCTCTGTCACTTCATACTGTGTGTTTTTTTCCTTCTAGTATGCCTTGTAATTTTTTTCTTGATATCTGTTCATGATGCAGTAGATGAAAGGAACTGCTGCATAGAGGCCTTTAGTAACATGGGGGAAAAGGAGGCTTTTTATGTTCCTATGATTAAGTGTCAGTCTTACAGAGAGTCTGTACCTCTGGACTCTGAACTTTACACATGCTTCTCAATCTTCTTCCCGTCCTTCAGCAGGACAGGATGGCCAGTGTGTGCTGCAGTTAGGTATTTCCCTTTCTCCAGGTTGGTTAGACTCTGGTAAAATCTGAATAGTTTAGGCTCTGATAAAAAGTTTCTCTTGGTTGGGCGTGATGGCTCACACCTGTAATCCCAACACTTTGGGAGGCTGAGTTGGGTGGATCACGAGGTCAGGAGATCGAGACCATCCTGGCTAACACGGTGAAACCTTGCCTCTACTAAACATACACACACACACAAAAAATTAGCCGGGCATGGTGGTGGGTGCCTGTAGTCCCAGCTACTCAGGAGGCTGAGGCAGGAGAATGGCGTGAACCTGGGAGGCGGAGCTTGCAGTAAGCCGAGATCGCGCCACTGCACTCCAGCCTGGGTGACAGAGCAAGACTTCGTCTCAAAAAAAAAAAAAAAGTTTCTCTTGAGGACAGGCCTTGTTAAGACAAACAGGATGGTCTGGCATATTTCAAAATGCTTCATTTCCCCCTCCTTCTACCAGAAGCATGAGGGGATTTTCCCCTGATAATCACTGTGAGAGCCTGCTTGAGCTCCTGGAATTAAAACTCGCCAAAGTATGAGTGTCTCCCATGACTGGGTAGTCTGGAGTTTCAACTCTCAGAGTTGTACACATTGAACCTTCCAAAATGCATCAATTACTGTTTAGGTTTTTGCATCCTGGCACTGGTTTTGGTAGAGGCTTTTTCTCCTGGGTTTCTGCTTCCATAAGTAGTGATTCTCTGTATTTGCCTGTCTCTCCAGTTTGAGGACAATGGTTTACCCTGTGACTTCACTTCTCTGAGGGATCTAAGAAGAGTTATTGGTTTTTCAGTTTGTTCCGCTTTTTAGTTCTTCTTAGGGTGGAGTTGTAACTGCCAAGCTCCTTATATGCCAGACCAGAAAGCAGAAGTCACTACTATCTGAGTTTAAGGATTTTTATCACCCCAAAATGAAACCCTTTGTTTTGTTTTTTAGTGTTTTTTTTTTTTTTCTTCTCTCTCTGCTTTTCAGTTTTGGAAGTTTCTACTGACATATCTTCAGGCTTAAAGATTCTTTCCTCAGCCATGTCCAGTCTACTAACGAAGCCATCAAAGGCATACTTAATTTCTATTACAGTGTTTTTGATTTCTATTATTCCTTTTCTTTTTTCTTAGAATTTCTTCCTTTATGCTTTCATTGCCCATTTGTTCTTGCAGGTTGTCTACTTTTTCCATTAGAGCCCTTAGCATATTAATAATAAATGTTTTAAATTCCTGCTGTAAGAATTCCAGCATCCCTGCCATATATGATTCTGGATCTGATGCTTGCTATGTCTCTTCAAACTGCGTTTTTTTTGTTTGTTTGTTTTGTTTTGCCTTTTAGTATGCCTTGTAATTTTTAAAGCTGGATATGATGTAGTGGATGAAGAGAAATCCAGTAAATAGGCCTTCAGTAATTAGTGGTAAGGTCTGAGGGAGGGAAAATATTCTACAGTCCTGTGATTAAGCCTCAGTCTTGTAATGAGCCTGTGCCCCTGGGCTGTGAATTTCACAAGTGGCTCTCAGTTTTTTCCTGCCTTACATGGGACAAGACGGCTGGAGGAGACTGGTATTTGGTATTTCCCTTCTCCCATGGGGAAAGCTAGAGAGAGCTGCAGTTGGGTATTTCCTTTCCCATAGGTTGATTAGGCTCTGATAAAATCCCAATAGGTTAGGATCTAGGAAAATAGTTTCTCTCGAGGGCAGCATTTGGGTTTGAATACAATTTTATTTAGTTGTGGACCATCTCAAAATATGCAAACATGCAATCCCCACTCAAAAAGTCATTCCTTCACCATCTAGTCAAAGAACTTAGTTAATAAATTAGACAGTTAAATACAATTTCAGTACATTCCAGCATATTTTAGAACAATATATTCAGACATTAGTACTAACAAAATAGTGTCCTAATAGTTTTTTTTTGCATTGGCAGAGAGCTTCTCATTCTAAAGAGCTGTTTCTAAAGTCTCGTTTCATGAAGCTTTGCAACATAGTCTCCTTATTTTTCCTAAGGACATCTTTTACCAGCCATAAAAAATTGGAGAAAGTTTTTCTTCTTCCTTCTTCTCCCTCCTCCTCCTCCTCCCTCTCCCCTCCCCCTCCTCCTTCCCCTCCCCATCCCCCCTCCTCCTCCCTGTCCCCCTTGTTCCCCTCCCCTTCCTTCTCCCCCTCCTACTCTTTCTCCTCCCCCTCCTCCTTCCCCTTCCCCTCCTCTCCCTTCCCCTTCCCCTCCTCCCCTCCCCCTCCTTCTCTGAAGGCAGATGCTCTTTCTCAGAACATGGCCCAGAAAATGCTCCTTTACTTTTGTGATAGTTTTAAATATATGTTCTCTCTTCTCTGATTTTCTCCCAATGATTAAATGTCACCATATGTGCCAATTCTCTGATGGAAGATTCTTTCCTCTTTCCTTTCTGCCTCTATGTCAGCACCATCCTCTGGCCTGAGGAGCAAGAACAAAAGTCCATGGGTGTCTCCCAGGAGGCAGCCGATCTGAGCATCTGGAATCAATTACTCAGGGCTGGTGTGGATGCTCATCCTGGGAGTCAATAGACAGTGCTGGGCAGGTGGAGGAAGGGAGTACAGGGTCCCTCTTAACAGATGAAAGTAAAATAAAAATGTCTAAGTCACTTTTCTTCAACAATTAAAAGTTACTATTAGTTGGGTGAGGTGGTGCATGCCTGTAGTCCCAGCTACTGGGGAGACCAAGTTCCTGGGGAGATCGCTTGAGGCCAGGAGTTCAAGACCAGCCTAGGCAACATGGTAAGACCCCCATCTCTACCTCTAAAATAATGATTATTAACTATTAACTTATCTCTTTAAAATGCTGTAGAAGTAACTTTTTTTCTTTTCTTTTTTTTTTTTTGAGAGAGTCTTACTCTGTCGCCCAAGCTGGAGTGGAGTGCAGTGGAGTGATCTTGGCTTAATGCAACCTCTGCCTCGCGGGTTCAGGCAATTCTCCTACTTTAGCCTCCCTAGTAGCTGGGATTACAGGTGTGAGCCACCACGCCCGGCTAATTTTGTATTTTTAGTAGAGACAAAGTTTCATCATGTTGGCCAGGCTCATCTCGAACTCCTGACCTCAAATGATCCACCTGCCTTGGCCTCCCAAAGTGCTGGGATTACAGGCATGAGTCACCATGCCCGGTCTCTACATGTAACTTCTAAGAAACATAAATTTTTTCATAAGTATATTATTGTATAAATTTGTATTGAATAAGTTGTGTCATATTGTATAGATTATATTAGTACAGGTGTGTGTCTGTGTATCTACATATCTCTCACCACAGAATCTCCCACTGTGGGCCTTTGTGGCAAATTCATGTTATGCTAGGGTTCCAGGTACTAATCTTGAACCTTAACCATCAGCTGCAGCTGGTAGTCCATTCAAGGCAAAGTGTTTACTAGTCTCAGTTATGGCCTGTTGATTATTCCATTGTCTTTGACAATGAAAGCCATCCGTTGATCCTGTCTTAGTTGAGATTTCCCCCAGAGTAGGTCCTGTGTTAGGAGTTTGGGTGCAATGAATTTGAGAAGTGATGTCATAAAGAACCACAAGAGAGTGCACAAGCAAGACCACCAGGAGAGAGAAGCCAATAAAGGGTACATTCGCGAGCAAGTTTCACTGATAACAGCTGGGGCTGAGTCCTGCTCTGGGGGCCCTAGAGAGACCTGTAGGATGAAACTCAGGTTTATCTACTGAGGGCCAACAGCAGAAGCGTGTATCCACGGACTCCTGTCCCCCACTGGTCGTGTCACTCCTGAGGCATCAACTCCTGGTTTTTGGCTGGTGGCCAGGGAATGCTAGAAGGGTGCAGGGGGCTCCTGCCCTGAACTGCCTGCAGCAACCCCCTGGGTGGACTAGTGGGTATGGAACGTGCAGCGAGGCACCTCCAGCAGGTTGAAGAATAATTATAGAAGAACACAGTCCCCAAACTGTCTGTTCTGAGTCTGTAGTTCTGTACAAGCTGTGTGGTATGTGCCTGGTGTTCTGGCAATTCATCATCTGTAGTAGGAAGTGAGCAATCTACACAGAGAAGACTTAACTCAGGAATGGAAACGATAACATCTACAGGAATGTGCATCTAAAGTGTGGCTTTCGTAATGAGACAGACATTTCATCCAGTTTTTGTACCTGGTCTGAGACTCTTCCTGTCTGCTGGAAATACATCCCCTCATTGCCCAGAGACAGAGAAACCCCAGTCTAAGTTCAACTCTCCTAAAACAATTTAAAAAAAAAAAAAGTGCAATAATTAGGTATTCTTTCCTAGATTAAGGCAGAGTTTTGAAAAGAGCGGTGAGAGAACAGTTTTTTAAAAAAGAAAACGTGAGCTGTGGATTTTATGATACTTTTAGTCTCAATCATGTCAATATGAAGAATTACCTTCCATGAGATAAAATGCTTATAACCATAGGGATAAGCAAGCCTCACTGTATAGATGTGCGGATATTTGTACACGTGTATCTGTGTACACAGCGTCAAGATAAAACCATTTTGAGATTTTACATGTGTACCCACGTATGTGTAGAGACTATGTTTTTAAAAATATTAGGATTGATTTTACCCAATTGACATAAACATTTGTGTGGGGTTTTCCTCTTTATTCAGCAATGATTGAGTTGGTTGGAGATGCTGAGACATTAAACACACACACACACACACGCACACGCACACACACGTATTAGTTAAATTTGCTACCCAAACTGATTCCTTTTGAGTTTAAATATTTTGTATTTCCAGCAGAGCCGCCACTTGTCAGAGCCCATCATGGGTATGGGGCCAGTTTGCTTTTTGGTCATTGGGTCTGAGTCACAGGGGAGGGAATGCATATGTTTCTGGTGCAGTAAGCCAGGGTGGTCTTTCCTGCTGACACTCTCCAGGTTTACAGAAAGGCATCACCTAAAGCACCTGAGGATGGCATGCAGGGCACTTTGAGAGCCAGGTGTCAGCATCTCTTCTCAACTCCAAGTTCAGTGACAAAAGCAAGCTGGTCCCTTTTGCTAAGACTGCTCAGATTCCTAGAATATAACCATTGATGCTATAACCCCTGACATGGCACCTGTACTTCAGGCATGACTGGCTGGTGCCCTGACTGGACAGTAGGTTGGCAGGCAGTGCCAGGATTCCTAACAGATATGCCCTCCTAGGTGAGGTCTGCCTCAGGGCAGACACAGTCTTAGCAGCAGCTACGTTAGCGTCCTGGCAGCTGGACACAGTGTGGAATCTCCATTTGCAGACCTTGTCTCTTCCTGGTCCTTTTAAGATGCTTTTAAGACCCAACATAAAAGCACACGGAGCAAACTGGAAACAGATGGAGAGTCCCCAGGGCCCTTTAAGCAGTCTATCTCTGTGGGACAGGCCTAGTCTCCTGAGTTGCAAAAACATCTCTAGGGCTACGAAAGGGCTGAAACCTGGGAGCCCTGCCTTCCAGCTCTCTGTTAGTATGGTTCAGTGTGATTACTCTTAATTAAAGAGGGTAAGTTGCCTTATTTTATCCACAGGCTTATGAGACAGAAAAATATTCTGGCCTTTGCATTCTTGAGGAAAACAGGAAGAGAGAAAAATCAACAGAGATCAAATTCCAATAGTCTTGAGGCATAAGAATTCAAAGGGAAAATAATCTTTTCAGTACTCTCTATGCATCTTAGATTTTAAAGAGACCTACATTTTATAACCAGGGTCTTGTTTTGCAGGAATCTACGGGACTCCCTTAAAACAGACTGGATATAGCTCCTTGTAATAGCTGGATCCATGTTTTAGTCAGCCATGACAATGAAACAAAAAAAAATAACGATAATGCGTAATTTAAAACAAATCAGCCAGAAAGCCACTTCTAACCACTGCCTTTCACTCTCCACCCCTGATCAAATTTCAATAAGAGCTTCAAATATGGAGAAACTCATGAGTATGATAATCATTTGAAATTAGACAAAAAAGCAAGAAACTGGCTAGTTTACCATCTGAAATTGCTCTGCACACATTATGCAGTGTACCTGGTTGTTCCTTAGCATCAAGTTCCACCTTTTTGCTATGGCTTAATTGTCTCTCAAGAGGCAGGACTCAGGGCATCACAACCTGAGAGAAAAATGTGAGAAGGCAGGAAAGATGGGGAGTAAAGCAGAGAAGCTTTCAAGCCAACTGTTTTGTTACCATTTCCAGAAAGACAGGACAGAAGACAATCTGATGGCATAGGCTTGCTCTATGAGCCAAAAGGTCAAGTTAAATATTTGGCCCAATGACTGTTTAGTGAGTTTGTGTTTTTTCCTCTGGGTGGGGGTCTTTGGAATGATGGTACAAATAGATCATGGTCCTAAAGGGGTCAAACTCAGGTTAGAAGGCCAAAGAGAGGGGAGTGCTCCTGTATAGCTTAACACTCCAGTGTCTCTGCAGAACTAGGGTGTGGGAACCATCACTCCAGGCCTGTGCTAGATGACAGTCAGTGCCACGCCATTCCTTGAACAGTTAAGACAGAGAGAGAGAATACCATCTACTGGAAATGGTCTCTAAATCACACAAGGAGAGCTGAAGGCCTTTAAGCAAAAATGACACTCTCATCTCTTAGTATTTAGAGGGGACATATTCTGAAAAACAAAAATCCATAAGCAAGGGCTGGCTGCCAGTTGGAGTAACAGGAACAGGTTTTGCTTTTGCTGTGGCTTAAAGTCCCCACAAAAGTACCTATTTTCCAGAAAGCCACTTGCCACCATCACCTCCACTTAATAAAACTCCCAGGAGCAGCTGATTTTTAGCTGACCTCAAAAGCCTGGATGTGTTTCTAAAACTCAGAGAGGACACCTGTGACATGTCATTTTTCCCATGTGGAGTCTACCTATTCACTGCCAGTGTTGAAATGGGCAAAACTCTTAAGCCAGCCATTGGCCTGAGTCCAGTGTGCTACCCAGTAAACCAGGGCAGATGTGTGGATTCTTTTTACTGATTGGGAGACTGCCTCAGGTTGAAGATTGCTGGCTCCTTTCTTTATTGGATAGGTATTTACTTTTTTTTTTAACCAGTTAATTATAACCTAAATTAAGGCAAGTTTTTTCAAAGAGCAAATTTGATAAATGCTACCAATATGTGTATTTCCACTACAGGAGACTCTTATTTCTGATTATACACAGAAGGGAAAAGGTTTTTTGGTGTTTTTTTTTTTTTGAAACCATTAAACTTGTTTATTTTGGAAAATGCAATATGCACAAGGTGTGTTAAGGAAGGAAAGATGTATTTCAGTACTCCTACTAATACAAAACATTCTGAGAGGGGCTCGGGCAACTTTAATGGAAGCAAAACTCAACAATGAAGAATACTATAGTACAAAATTATGGCCAAAAATACTGTATTTTTAACCAGCAAGATCATTGGGGCATTATTATACAACATTAGGTGTTTTTTGCAAAACTAGTTCCCATCCCCAAACAATAGACAGTACATGCATTTGAATGACATTTTAGGAACAGTAAATATTCTTTTAAATACTGCAAGTTAAAAATGTTTTCTGACAAAACTCCCTAAATACATAGGTCTAGTAAGGGTTTCCAACAGGATGATGGGTGAGGAATCCAGCAAGGAGTTGCATTTAGAGAGTTCTTTGAGGAAAAGAAATCCACCAAAAACGTGTTTCAGTCAAAGTAACCTGGACAAAGTTACGTAGTATTATTCCAGCTTTCTTTCCTGAACTTAAAAATGTTCTACCAACGAATACCTTTCTGTTTTTTCTGTCTACCAAAAGCTTATATAAAAGTCAGAATTTCTTTATCCAAGATCTGATTTTACCCAATAGATGTTTTCATAACATGTAAATGTCATTTGCTATATTGGGTTGGAATCATACGGGGAAATGGAGGACACAGGGTAGATAAGGAAGGCAAGGAGGAAATTAATATTTGAGCACCTACTATGTGCTAGGTGTGTATTCATACTTTGAACATATGATTCTAGAGGCAAGAGTGTTATTGAAAGGGCAGTGATCATTGGGAAGACAGCAGGAAATGGCTATTCTGTGAGAAAAACAAATGACAAGTTTAGGGTCTGTACTAAGTTATCTACTAAACAGCAGGTGTCTGGCTCCAAAAATCTCTAGCTAATCATATACAACTAAGCCATTTCTTTTCCTAATTTGATGGAACCAAAATGAAATCCCAAAGACACAGTTACCAGGACAGATCTATTAACGCTACATATGCTGGAAATATGTAGAGATAGATAAACATACAATATTACTAGTTTTATTTTTTTGTGTTTCTAACCAAAGATATATCTTTGGAAGAAAATATTAATGTATACCAAGCACACCTTATTTGTATCAATTGAGATGTTGATTACCAATTAAGTGGTTTTAAACCCTTATTTAATTTGAAGAAGAGCAGCAATATACATTACAATATTTGGGTACACTTTATTTTTATATGGGTTAACATTCTGCTATATTTCATTTCATTCGTTTTGAGAAACTGAAAACAAAGGGAAATCAAGGGTAATCGGTAGGTGATTTGAGGGAAATTTCCAACCAATATGTGAGTCTTGCAGTATTTCATTATACAGCCCTTTCTTCCCATTATTTATTTTTTTGCAAATAAGTCATTTTGACCCAAATCCAGCATAAATAGCTTTTCACCAATTCCTAACTTAAGACAACTAAAATTTACAATCATGTGGCAGTATAAATTTTAAAATTACAGTTCGTACACTTTGACAATCAAGATAGTCTGAAGTACAAAAAAGTAAATTGCCCTTTAGCTGAATTACCTTTTTAAAATAGGCCTGCTAGTTAATCTACCAAAAAAAAAAAAATACAAGTTTTACGTGTTCTTCAGATTCCTTTTGTAGTTGTCATCTGCTAGTAAACAACATATGCAGGTTCTTAAAATTTTTTTTTCCAGTCTATTCATGACATTCAACAGAGCTCTTTATATGGAAATGTTAAAAACAAAAACTTCTAGGAGATTTATTTACTTTTGAATGGGTGTGTTATTTCCCTTTGTTTCAGATATGAGGCACAAACTTCTGAATTTAAGCTCTGTAAGGCATAGTAGAAACTTCCAATTTACAAATAAGGAATTCTCTGGGGGTTAGAACTGCCATGTCACGCAAAAAGGGAAAAATCATCTGTAAACTGGTACACTGCAATGTGTTAAGTGAGTCATGAAATGGCTGCTTGCCTTGGTATGCTGAAGAAAGGTTTCTGTGTTTTATGTTTTTGTTTTTGAATAAGACATGCCCAAGTCACCATAAAACTCACCACAGGCCTCCATTACCTAAGCATCAACAATAGGAGGCCAGTGGCACACGCTTATAACGCTTGCAATCACAATATAATATAAAGCATGAGTAAACTTTGTTTTTATACAAAACTGAAAAGAATCCCGTCCCGCCCCTAGCCCCTTCAATAAAACCCCGAAGAAACAAAAAAGAAAATCCTTTAGCTTCGATTGACTGGTGTGGCTAAAATTAGGTTTCTATGCATCACTGCTGCTAGGGTGATCAATTTTTTCCTTTCTCAAGAGAAGGGATCTTGTCATGCACCCTACAGGAACAGCGAAGCCACAAACCTCAATTCTGCATAGCAAATTCCATCCCAATTTCATAAAGACAAATATAACAATCTTTCCCTGTTTTGCTCAGCTTCTTCAAGCTTTGAGATCAGGTTTAATTGACTACATTTACTATAGCTCTATTAAATAGAATATCTTGATTCCCTAAAACTGTAACACTTATGATCTTGTGATGAGGTTTTCTCTATACACACTGTAGGCCTTCAAATGTTGTTGTTTAATTTTTTTTTTTTTTTTTTTTTTTTTTGCTGCACCAAATTTAAGAACGCCCTTTCAGGCAAGCAGTGGTCTCTAGCTGTTAAAACATTTCCTTAGTGGATCACAATAGCTTCTAAAACTGCCTTTCTAGTAAAGGCCATCAGAGAGGTAATACTAAACTGTGCATTTGCCAAATAAGAATATGAATTGTATAAAAGCTCATATTCCAATCCTAGATCAAATGGCAAAAGTTCTACAAAGTTGGTTTCCATGTTTGTATAAAAGCTCCGACTGATTTTATGTATTTTGCTATGAAATTACCTTTGGGTCTTATAATCAGTATACCTCTACTCAGGAATGTGCAAATGATTTTATACAGCACGACGCTAGTACCGCTCTGTATGACAGTAAGGTTTTTTTTTTTTCTTCTTTTCTAAATGGAAAGAAAATATCCCTAGTCAGAAATAAACTGACAAATTTACATTCTCCTCTCTTAAAAAAGTAAATAAAATAACATTATTCAAAACGTGAATTAGCTATAGACATACAATACAATTACATAGATACATATCAATACAGCACATTCAATCTGCCAAAAAATTAATGATTACAAAGCCAGTATGGATGCTGCAATATCAAGAGAGATGTATGTACAATGATTAGAGCATTTGTAATTGCACTATACCTACAGGCAGTCTGTTTGTTAAATTACAGGTACTTTCTGAGCAAGGGAAAAAAAAAGTAAGCTGTGTTGTTTGAGGCTGGGAGAATCAAGGATGAGAACATCTCATTACTGTTGGGCGGCTTTGGTACTCATTTAACAGGCCGTGATTTTTCTCCCTCCCCCTTTGTTGTTCCAAAAGAGTGATTTATATGGAAGTTTACACTAGTGCCAAATACCACTGTAGTTAAAATGAGACCAGTATCATGGCCTAATTCTAACGTCCCAGCAGCTTTGAACAATCATGATTTATTTTCTTAAATCAAATTTCAACTCAAGCTGCTTGACAGAAGCTTGTCAATACATGTGCTGTATTTTTTTTGCATTTGTTGAAAAATTGCACATATAGAATTCCAAACATTTCTCCTGGTAGGTTCAGTTACACAAATACATGTTCTATAGAACACTGAGAGGTTACTTTTGAGTTAAGTCCACAAATCTTCCATAAGTTCAACCTAATCAGTTACCAGTTCAAGAAGATCATGAAGGTGGTAAACTAGCAGGAACTTCAGATTTTGGAAATTAAAGGTGTCGGAATAATACTACCAACCAATGTTCCTGGCAGACTTCATTGAACTTAAAGAACCACTGAGAGTAAAACTGGTTTCAAATAAAGAGACATAAACAGATTTCCTGTTAAACCACACAGGATACTTTTTACATTGCCGGTTTGGACACTGAACATGGGACGTGAACACTAACAATGTCATCTTAAGGACAAAGAAAAGAATGGACCGTGAGAATCAAATTTCTAGTTACAACTGTTTGGCAAATGGCATTTCTGGTTCATTCTCAGCCAGTCATTTTAGGCTTCACAGTCTTACTCTCTTACATTTTAAGATACCAGCTTTTATTTTTTAAGTTCGTATTCATTTTATTTGACAAAAAGCCAGCTTTGGCAACACATACCCATAATAAAAGTCATTTTAAAATCGTGGCCCAAACACCAAGAAAAAAAAGAAAGGAAAAGCTTGAACAACAACAACAAAAAAATTAAGAACAACCTATAAAAAGGTTCTGGGTAGCAGCCATTAGGGTAATGTAGTGTCTGTTGGCATCTTTTTTGGCATCTGCAATTGAAAGAGAGGGTAAGAAAAAGAAGCAAAGAAGGGAGGAAAGACAATGGCACGTGGCATTTCAAAAGAAAGGACTCCTGTGTGTCTTTGATCCTGCCTTCTGCATATTTCTCTGAGCAATCAAGCTATGGCTGAAGGTAAACATCTAAAAGAAATGACACTTAACTTTTAGATGGGCATCCACTGTCCCAGTCCAAAGTGAGACAAGACAGTATATTCTATTAAAAAAGAAACTATGTGTGTATCCAAAGCAACACATTTAAAACCGTAAGTATTAATACATATAATCCTTCAGCAAAAACTACAAACTTAAATTAAGCTGATGATGGCTTAAATCGAACGATGTGTCCTGACTGTATCATTTGAGAGAAAAACTTGACCAAGAATGGAACTAGGATAAAGGCCATTGTAACCTGGGAAAAACATCAGGAGGGAGGTATGAATTAGCGGGGGAAGAAAAAAGGGAAATCAGCTTTGTTTTGCTCCATAGAAAAGAAAAAGAGAGAGAGACAGAAAGAAACAAGTCTTATCTTTGTGAGTGCATGACTGAGAATTTAAAATACACTGAGTCACAAGGTTTTGCCTAAAAAAAAGATAGAGAGGAAATGTGCTGGGACTGTACTTCAGCATCCTCTGTTTTTCCTCTGAATAGTTTAAATAAAATCATAATATTTACTACAAACTCTGTGGACACGCTCACACAGAGTCCAGGACGGCAATAAATTAGTATTATGCAAATTGTTTTCCACAGAAATACAGTCCCTCTTGTGTATCTTCAATAGCCCACCAGGGAAGGGCAGGGCGGGTGTCTAGGAGGCACAATTAGACCAGATTGTACTCCTTCAGGTTCAACTGGAGGATGGTGTCCTTGACGGCAGCAAAGACAAAGCGGATATTCTCGGTGTCTGTGGCGCACGTGAAGTGGGAGTAGATAATTTTGTCACTGTCTGGGTTCAGGTCCACGAACATCTTCAGAATGAATTCTCGGGCTGCCTGGGCATCTCTCTGGGGTCCTTTCGGCCAAGAGACAAGAGGGACACTTTGTTACCTAATCTGCTAATGTATTCAATCATCATTGGTTCAATAAATACTGTGTCATTGCTCATGAAGCCTACATCTGCACTGCAGATTTGATCTGTTATAATCATTTTCCCTAACACTGCTATGTCTGACCATCCATCCACCCACCCAGGCACCCACCCATTCACAAAATGTGGATAGGTGAAAGCAGACAGATGACTTGAAAGCCAAGGCTAAGTTTATTTCTTAGCTTGGCCTTCACTCTGATTCCCTGAGTGATTGGGAGCCACTGTAGGCTCTTCATCAGGGGAGTGATAGCTTACTTCTGTTCAACTGAGTTAAGTATGCTTGTTTCAGCTATATAATAAGTGTGCACAAAGATACAGCTGCCTCGGGCTCTCCTGTCAATCTGTCCTCCAAACGACCCAATATTATGGATCATTTTACATCTTCCAGACTGACATCTCTCTTAGAACACCTGTTTGTAAGGTCAGGTCTATCTACAATGGGCCTCTGTAACAGTCTCACTTCCATAGATTTCTGGTATTTCTGAGCACACTACATTTGTGTAGCATTCAGTTCATGTGTGATGATAAAACAATTGGTTTATATTTTCTTTTCTTTTTTTTTTTTTGAGATGGAGTCTCATTCTGTTGCCCAGGTAAGAGTGCAGTGATAAGATCTCAGCTCACTGCAACCTCTGCCTCCCAGGTTCAAGCGATTCTCTTGCCTCAGCCTCCTGAGCAGCTGGGATTACTGGTGCCTGCCATCATGCTTGGCTAATTTTTATATTTTTAGTAGAGACAAGGTTTTGCCATGTTGGCCAGGCTGTTCTCAAACTCCTAATCTCAGGTGATCCACCCGCCTTGGCCTCCCAAAGTGCTGGGATTACAGGTGTGAGCCACTGTGCCCAACCTATATTTTCTTACATTGATTTAAGAAGGAGTCTCTTATGTACCAAGAATTCTCCTAGATGCTTTGAAAAAGGATTGTGACATATCTAGCAAGATAAACTAAAAATGTAATTTTGCAATGGATTCTTAGATATGACACCACAGCACAGGTCATATTTTTCACAAAAGAAAAAATAAATTGGACTTCATCAAAATTAAAAACTTTATGTATCTAAGGACTTTTTTTTTTTTTTTTTTTTTGAGACAGGGTCTTGCTCTGCTACCCAGGCTACAGTGTAGTGGAATGATCATGGCTCACTGCAGCCTCAACCTTCTGGGTTCAAGTGATCCTCTTGCCTCAGCCTCCTGAATAGCTGAAACTATAGGTGCCACCAAGCCTGGCTAATTTTTAAACTTTTTGTAAAGATGGGGGTATCACTATGTTGTCTTGAACTTCTGGCCTCAAGCAGTCCTCCCACTTCAGCCTCCCAAAGTGCTGGGATTATAAGCATGAGCTACCACACCTGGCCAAGGCCATTATTAAGAAAGTGAAAAGCCAATCTATAGAATGGGAGAAAATATTTACAAATCATGTCATCTGATAGGCGTTTAGTGTCCAGAATATATAAAGAGCTCCTACAATTCAATAACAAAAAACCCAATTAAAAAATAGGCAAAAGACTTGAACAGACATTTTTCTAAAGAAGATATACAAATGGTCAATAAGCACAGGAAAAGATGCTCAATAATGGTAATCATTTAGAAAAATGCATATCAAAACCACAGTGACAGACCTCTCCACATCTACTAGCATGGCTATAAAATTAACAAGGGTTTGGGAAAATATGGAGAGATTTGTACTCTTGTGCACTGTTGGGAATGTACAAAGGTGCAGCTGCTGTGAAAACAGTTTGGTGGTTCCTCAAAAAGCTAAACATAGAATAACCATATGACCGACCCTGCTAGTCTACTCCAATGTATATATCTAAAGGAATTGAGAGCAGGGGCTCTGATAGACACTTGATCTTAGTCAAAAGGGCAAGAAGCAATGTACATCAATTTTAATAGCAGCATTGTTAACAACAGCTAAAAGGCGAAAACAATCCAAGTGTCCATCAACAGATACATGGAGAAACAAAACCAAACCAAACAGAATATCAGAATATCAGAAACAAAAAGAATATTATTCAGCCATAAAAAAGAGTAAAGCTCTGACAGATGCTGTAATATGCATGAACTGTGAGAACATTATAATAAATAAACCCAACATAAAATAACAAATATTGTATGCTTGCACACATATGACGTACTTAGAATTGGTAAACTCATAAAGACAGAAAGTAGATTAGAGGTTTCCAAGGGTTAGGGGGAGGAAGGAAATGGGGTGTTGCTGCTTAATTGGGGTGGTGAAAATATTTTGAAAATACTGGTGATGGCTGCACAGTATTGTGAGTGTAATTAATGCCTTTTATGAATTGTGCACTTAAAAATGTTAAAATGGCAAATTTTATAATTAAAAAAAGTACTATATCAAAACCCACTGAATTGTACACTTTAAATAAGTGAATTACATGGTATATAAATAATCTCAATAAAGCTGTTTTAAAAGTGTATTTAATAGGTACCGATAGATATATTAACTTAAAACTTACTGTAAATAACATCAAAACACCATCACCTTTCAAGTATTGGATACGTATCATATATCTGTCTTTGTGTTGCTTTATATATGCATTTCCTCCTATTTTTTCAAGTTAGTTCTATACCAAGCAATAAGAAACTTTTTTTTTTCCTTGAGACAGAGTTTCACTGTGTTGCCCAGGCTGGAGTGCAGTGCCATGATCTTGGCTCACTGCAACCTCCACCTCCTGGGTTCAAGCGAAATCTCCTGCCTCAGCCTCGTGGGTAGCTGGGACTACAGGCGTGCACCACCATGCCCAGCTAATTTTTGTATTTTTAGAAGAGAAGAGACAGGGTTTTGCCATGTTGACCAGGCTGGTCTTCAACTCCTGGCCTCAAGGGATCCGCCCACCTTGGCCTCCCAAAGTGCTGAGATTACAGGCGTGAGCCACCACACCCAGCAGGTTTTTTTCTATCATCAATATTCTTGTTACCTACTAGTAGGGATAAAGAGATCTTGCAGAACTCTATTGAGGGCTTGACCACCATTTCTAACAAAATGCACCCTGAGCTTCAGACAGCTGACTTGAATTATTCTCAAACCAACCTTTTTATAAATTGGAGATTACTCCAATAAACTTATATCTGATAATGCCAGAAGATGGGAGGAAAGAATTATAAAAACAAATAGACTATCCTCATTTGTACAATTTAAAAAAGTAATGTTGAATTTTTGATGTAGGTGCCCAGAATTCAATTTTTTTAATGACTAAGAGGGCTGGCATCATATTTAATAGATAAAAAGTACAATTAAAAACAATATGTAAAGTATATATACAAGCAAATATATATATAATTAATGTTCCATCTTTTTCAATGTACTATTAACTCCAGAGAAGTAATAAAAACTATTCAAAACCAGAAAGTAACAGATTACCAGAGCTGGAGAAGTCTCTCATTTCATAAAAAGAACATTATATTTCTGGCTTCTGAATGAACTTCTGTATGATTTTGTACTTACTCTATTTGGGAAGGAAGGGACTATACCTTTTTTTTTTCTTTTTTATTTACCCTACAGAATATAAGAACTAGATCCAAGTTCACTGAAGTGTACTTGAAAAGTGTTATGTTTTTAAGCATAAATTGTTATCTGAATAAACATACACTACAAAGAACTCATTACAGCCATCACAGCAGGAGCAGAATTCCACAGTCTCTATGAACAATCTTGCAATTCAAGTCCATGTGGAAAGGGTAATTTCCTTTCTTGAAGAGAAATACAGAAATGGCATTCATTATGATTAAGACCTTGTAAGTATAGAAATGTGGAAGTGTGAAATTTATAATACTATAAACATGCTTATTACAAAAACATCACTGCAGAGTGGGCCTCAATTTTTTCAGTGTTTGCTCATCTTACAAGGGCTTGGAGTTTCACGTAATGACTGCTGCGCTGGCTTTGTAATAACAAAATCAATGTCTTTTTTCTTTTTCTGTGGCCAAGTTTCCTCTGTGCATTATATGTATACTGGGGTAAGGTAACAGTAAAAAAAAAAAAAAAAAAAAAAAAAAGTCTTCAGATTTCAGAATATTCACAATGGGCACATGCTGGAAGGAAAATGCTTGTAGTGGTGGGGAATCTGGGGAAATTATTGGAGAAAGGAGGTACGTGAAGAGATTAGGAAGATGGTGCAGAGATCAAAAAACAGCACTGCAAGCACTGATCACAAACTAAGTCTTTTATTGCGGAAAAATCAGCAACTGTGAAGTGTGGCTAGGTATGCTGCATCTGAGAAGTTTGAATGAACCCCTCAGAAGGGTTCACCTCCGTGGGCACCATGCTCTATCTGTTCTGCATCCTCCCTTATGCAAGCACATCATGAAAACGTGCCAGCCCACAAGATGGGGTGTTGTGTATGGTGTGGCAATTTCTCACACGCTGATTCTTACCAAGTTCCAAGAAAAATTAAGAAGAACCTCGAGTGTGTGTGTGTGTGTGGCAGGCAAGCGTGTTTAGATCTAAGCCAGATGTTTCATGCCTACTGTATTCAGGTAGATGTGTTTGAAGCTTGAGGTGGGAAAGCAAGTTAACTACCCACACAGTCACTTCCTTCCATAGTTTTCTGAGCAACACTGAGAAGTGCAGTCTCAGGCATTGATGATTTGTTTCCGGGCTAGTGCAAATTAAAAGGAGTGAAAGAGAAAACACTGTTTAGACTGAGAAAGTGTTTTTCAAAGAACAGCAAAGCACAAAGGAAAATGTACTTGAAGAGAGGATATGAACACAATGCTAACAAAAGGTACCATTTCTAACATCTGGTGACATCCACAAATGTTTATATTTTCAATTCACCAACCTTCAGGATCTTACATGTATTTGAGAAGGGAACTTCAATTCATTTAACATGTAACATTTCCCTTTCATGAGCCAGGACTGTACCACATTCCATGTGGGATGAAAAGATGACTAAACCTCCATCCCTGATGTGTTTGTATCATCATAGAAAGCTATGAAGCTAAATTTAATCTTGGTTTTTAAAGTAATTACTTTTCTGAGGAAGCTTTTAGTAAGTACAAAAACACTGTGGAATGATATCCATCCTGGATATCATATGTTGACAATGTAATTTTAAAAATAGTCTCTTCTCTTGTTGTTATATCACCTCTATGGTAGATACTTTTGGGTTTCTGCTATGTGATATATGTATGATTCCATTCAATTCTTTCTTGCCCAGGGATAAACTGAGTAGCTAAATAAATTTGTCTGAGGCAACACAGACAGTGAGTGGCAAAGTGGAACTTTTCAGAGCTTGTGCTCTTAACTATCTAGACCACGGCTTGGCAAACTTTCTCTGTAAAGGGCCACAGAGTAATTGAGGCTTTGCAAACAATTCTATCTCTGTCACAATTATCCAATTCTGCTGTTATGGTGTGAAAGCAGCCATAGACAGTGTATAATGAATGGGTGTGGCTATGTCTCAATAAAACTTTATTCATAAAACCAGGTGGTGGGCCATAAGGGAGAGATGTGATTATCTTGCCAAATAAATAAACTTTTTTTTTTTTTTTTTTGAGACAGGGTCTCCCATCACCCAGGCAGGAGTATAGTGGCAGGATCATGGCTCATTGCAGTCTTGACCTCTTGCCAACTCCTGCCTCATTTTTTATAGATAGAGGTCTCGTTACATTGCCCAGGCTGGGCTTGAACTCCTGTGCTCAAGTGATCCTCTCACCTCAGTCTCCCAAAGTGCTGGGATTACAGGTGTGAATCACCACACCTGGCCACATAGACTCTTATAGGGCAGCAGTCGTGACTCTCACTTGTTTTACATAGTGGCTACATGTGGATGCATTTTGTTACCAATCACCAAGTGTTCAAGTGTTTCTCAGAATGGGTTGGGTGTCTAGTTGTCCAGGATTTCACAGTCTAGTTGGGGAGGGTAAGATCCTTTTCTAAGAACAAAGCAAATAATGCAGAGCCATAGGAGTAGTGAAGTGGATGCTATAGATTCTAAGTGCTGCACAAAGAGCTTAACACTGGGTTACTATTAGTAATGGTGGTGGGACTTCATTGGGCTATGAAGTTTCAAAAAAGGAAGTATTTCCTGAGTATTCATAAGTGTCCTACGTGTCAGGCATCATGCTAAACGTACACATATGTTATATACTACAGTGCACAAAACAATCCTATGAGTTTGGTCGTAAGGCCCAGAAAAATCAAGTGACTTGATGGTAGTTCTACAAATAGGAAGTGTCAGAACTGGGATCTCAACCTTGATAGACTGATTTCAGTGGTGGGCTCTTAACTTCAAAATTGTGTTCCTCCCCAGAGAGAGGAGAGGCAGAGGTGGACGGTAACCAAATGAAAGGGAGACACAGAGGGGACTATAAGAGTTAATACACAATTGGTCAAAACTACTGGATTGTTCCTTTTTCTGATCTGCTATTTCAAAGCAGATGAGTTTCTTTTCTTTTTTTTTTAGACAGAGTCTTGCTCTGTTGCCAGGCTGGAGTGCAGTGGCGCGATCTTGGCTCACTGCAACCTCCGCCTCCCGGGTTCAAGCAATTCTCCTGCCTCAGCCTCCCGAGAAGCTGGGACTACAGGTGCCTGCCACCACGCCCAGCTAATTTTTATATTTTTAGTAGAAACGGGGTTTCACCATGTTGACCAGGATGGTCTCGATCGCTTGACCTCGTGATCCGCCTGCCTCGGCCTCCCAAAGTGCTGGGATTACAGGCGCTCGCCACTGTGCCCAGCCATGAGTTTCTTTTTCTATGACTTTTAGCATTGTTAAGGAATGCAATGTTTTGTGTCACTAAAAGACAGGGCAAACAAGAATTCCTACTGTATCAGTTTCAACACGCAGGCTGCACAGGGCAAGGGCAGCAATGGTGCACTGTAGTGCGTTAACTCCCACACTGGGGTTTGGAGACAAAACCTATTCACAGCTACTGAGCTGTGGTATGAGTGCTGACTTACCATCATATTCTGGGAAGTAGTCGACTAGATGGGAATACATGATTTTCTCCTCTAGAAGATCTTTCTTGTTTAAGAACAGAATAACCGAGGAGTTCTGGAACCAGGGGTATGTGATAATTGTTCTAAAGAGAGCCTTGCTTTCCTCCATTCGGTTCTGGAAAAAAAAAAAAAATCAGAAAAAACAAGGAGTGAATTACATGATTACTTAATTTGTGAATTGTGTTTATTTTATAAGTCCAACCCATCTTTTGTATACGACCAGTTTTTGTAGCCCTGTGTTGGATTTGTCAGGATTTATATGCAAATGATTCATGACACACATTGGCTGTTTTCATTATGCAAACTCTCAGGCTGACAAGCAGAAGAGAGTAATAATAATAAAAATCAGCTAAAATAGCTCTTACGGTTGAAAGAGAAAATAATTGAAAGCCTAGAGAATCATGTTGTGAATCTGGAACACTGTCATAAATTCCCATCAAAAATCATTCATTAATGACTAAATATTTGAGATCTGAACTAAGGACTAGATATGGCTTCATTTTGTATTTCTTAAGCTATATTTATTTGGGGCCTCACAATTAACTCTATTCTAAGCAATCAAAACAGTTACTTCTTTGTCAAAAGCATATCTATATTTCTAGATGTTTTCTAGAGTTATTACTCTACACACACACATACACACACCCTTTATAAACACATGGAAAATGTTGTAAGATCAAACATTTCCTGTTCATGAGTGCATGCTTTCTCCCTATGTTTCACTATACTATTAATATAGAATTGTGAAGACACACATAGTAATTATGTGGAGATAAAAATGTAATATTTCTCACTTTCAGCATCTGTGAGTAAGTGTTCTCACCTGAAGCTACACTTTCAAGCCTACCTTGGTAACAGAAACCCTAAATGGATTCTGAAGAAAATTAGTCAGCTTGCTACTATAAATGAAGATGCTATTTGAGGCTGTTCCTGAGTTAAATCATTCCTCTGAAAAAAAAAACATATCAGCCAAAAACTAGAGGGCCTCAGAGCTTCTTTCGTCTCTCCTTACCATTCTTTCTCCCATAGACTCACCTCTCTAAATCATTCCTACACTTGGGTTACAGATGAAGGCAGCAGATTTGGGAATTCTCCTTCCCATGAGGAGATAAAAGCCAGGATGTATGGGCATGCTTCATCCTGCACACACTTTCCAACCTCCCTTCTTAGTTCTCCATGTTATGACTGGGTTTGTGGCAATGGAAAGGGCTGCCTGGGATTGTGCCCACCTCTGCTGCTACGGGGTGGTTTGGTGGCGTACACCAGAGCATCCTAGTTTCCTGCCATGTGAGCTGGCTTGGGGCTGGGCTCTGATCCAGGCCCCAAATCACCTGGAGCTTCCCTTCCCTCATTTATGGTAATTAGTTTAGCCAAGCAATTCAACTAGGCCAATTAACTTGAGCACTTTTGCTGGGAACTCTGGAACAGAGAACCTTGCTTTCATGCAGAGTGTGGAAAAGGAATCATGGAGCTTTTAGCAGCCATCTTGAAAAGTGAGTGAAAAACAAATTGGGTCCTGCTCACCTGGTTTTTAACCTCTTGCTCCAACCAGGGCTAAGCTTGGTCATGCCTTTAGATTTGTCAGGAACATCAGTCAAAAGAACCTTTTGTTTTTTCAACTAGTTGGGGCTGTACTTTTCTGGTTTTTATTATACAAAATACTCTCAGTTGGTAAACCTGGATATATCCTCCCTCCAAACTTATACAAGGAAGTGAATGAGAATGACTGAATAGACTGGCTATGAACACCTTCTGCTCAGCTTTTGCCTGCCTGCGGTAGGATGCTCCTGGAATTTCACAGTGAAGAGTTACAAAGGCCATGTATTGCTCCTCTGCATAACCCTTAACTGGTGTTCTGGAAACCTCCAGGGAACTCAGCTTTTACCAAGTACAATAATCTGGATCCTGAATATGTCTTCTTTTTTTCTTCTGTAAAGTGTGCCAATTCAAATCAAGTCATAAGGCACACTTTTCCAAAGCAGATCTTTGCCAAATCAGCCAAAAGTCCATTGTCCCCAATCTCTTCAACCTGTTAATTTTGTGCCAACAATTGCATAGATAATTAAAATTAATAAAATATGCGGGCTGATATAATGAAAGATAACTTCATAGCTCAAAAGACAGTGTTTATCTCACTGCATACATTTCTCTTTTATATAAATGACAGCACAGACTTTAACATACCTTTATTGTCTATAGGCCTTTTACTAGTTCTCATAGCCAGTGATAAGATTTTAAGCCCTGGAAATAACACTGAGAAATGATATCTTGTAGCTTGAGATTTTATAGGCTGAATGTTTCAGGACTGAAGACAAAGGCTTTAATAAGAACTGAAATAATTAAAAAAAAATTTAAAGAAAGTTAATTAGATAGTGACATCCCTGATGGGAGAGTGGTGTTTTTCTTTTTAACCCCTTACTTATAACTAGAGAAATTCTAGAAAGTCATGCTGTGGTCTTCAGAGGAGCCCCATCTAAAGAGGTATGTTCACCTGGGCATCAACCCAGCAAGTCTCTATTAGAAAGCCTTATTATATTTAGCATTCTTGAGAAGGGGCGTGATGGGCTCCAAGGGAAGGGGTCCTAGTAGAGCCTTTTCTGGCTGGAGACTTTCAAGGGGAAGTGACTAGACTATGTGCAGAGACAGGGAGGGGAAGTGACTAGACTATGCGCAGAGACAGGGAGGGTGAGCCTGACTTTGCATTGATATAGAAGAAGGTGTACCA
Organism: Homo sapiens; assembly: GCF_000001405.40. Classification (NCBI taxonomy): domain Eukaryota; kingdom Metazoa; phylum Chordata; class Mammalia; order Primates; family Hominidae; genus Homo; species Homo sapiens. Next base: position 77,731,278 of record NC_000009.12, read on the forward strand.
TGTCTCTCTGATTAACAATTTCCAGACTGGACTGGAGCCCGACTGAGCCCAGCATTGTGTTCCAGAGACAACTTGCCCAGGGTGCTGCCCATCTGCACCCAGTACTGCTGCACTGGGGCTGCTCTGGAGGCAGGTCCTGCTGAAGCTCACCCATGCATGCAGTCTGGGGCTGCTCAAGGACATACCTCCATTCACCAGGTGCCATGTGGACTGAAGCCTGCGCTTCTAGCTCAGGGGAAAGCTAAAATGGGCAGATGACTGGCAGATGAGATCAACTTTCAACCAGGCCTGCCAAATTGAATCTCTGAGGGGACACTCCAGGAATCTGCTTCTTACAAGCCCTCCAGGTGATTTGAATGCACACTCAACTTTGTGAAGCACTGTTAGTGTAGCTATGAATCACATGGGGTCGTCTTAAAACAAGGCTTCTACTTCAGCATGGGGTGGAGCCCGAGGGTCTGCATTTCTAACAAGACCGCATTGAGCTGGAAGGTACAGAAAGCTTGCCAAGCCCAGGACAACAAGGGAGGTGATGCTCTATCCCATTTTCATGATAAGAAGTGCAAGTCAAAACATACAGCCGAGAGTTTGATTCTGTGCAGACTTCTTTTTTTCCCCCCAATTAAGATTCTTTATGCTATGCTATATGATGTTTTCCATAGTAAAAATTCCTTATGCCTTTATTTTTCCTTTATGGAAGAACAGTTACAAACCGACATGCTCTGTTATCAAGCCCCGGACTAAATCCTAAATGGACTAAATGAGATTTTCACAATGACTCATAAGGTAGTGGAACGTGCAGAGTGTGAGGCATAATCCACTTTGCTCAGTAAAAATTGAAATCTATGAGGGAACAGCACGTCCCAGGAGACTTTGTGGCACCTGCTTTGCAGTAATCTGCCAGAGCATGACGTTTCAAGAGGGATCAATGTACGAGCCACGTGTATGACCCATAATATAAAACAAGGAGGTTTTGTTTACTCTGAAGACAGGTTTAAAGGCAGTCTGGGGGGTGGTGGTAATCACGCCCTCTTTTTGGGGTTTTGACCAGTTGGGAAATGTACAAAGAGGATACTAGTAAAGGTCCCCCTCCCTGCCCACCCCCACCGAGATGGTGTCTCACTCTTGCCCAGGCTGGAGTGCAGTTGCGTGATCTCAGCTCACTGCAACCTCTGCCTCCTGAGTTCAAGCGATTCTCCTGCCTCAGCCTCCCTAGTGGCTGGGACTACAGGTGTCCGCCACCACACCTGGCTAATTTTTGTATTTTTAGTAGAGACAGTGTTTCACCATGTTGGCCAGGCTGGTAATGAACTCCTGACCTCAAGTGATCTGCCTGCCTTGGCCTCCCAAAGTGCTGGGATTACAGGCGTGAGCCACCGCACCCGGCAGGATACTAGTAAAGGTTTTACTACCCCTAACACAGGGCTCCTTGTTAACAGGTTGGGCCTAGACTCTGTGTGAGGCTCTAGGAGGCTTCCAACTGCCAGTTGTCCTCACCCACCACTTCTCCTGAGCTGGAAACAACTGTCCCTCTCAATGAAGGGTGGCTTTGGTGCAGGTGAGAGAGCTGGATCAGGGAGAGCAGGGACAGGGTGGGCTGCCAGAAGTAGGTCCTGCCTGGGCTCCACTTCCACAGAGAAGGGAGGACCAAAGAGGCCACAAAGGCTGAGGACAGGCTGTAAGCTAGTGACCATGGTGTGTGTCCTGGTTGGTCTCTGCTTCAGGTACATGAAGCCATGGAAATGTCAGACTCGCCTAGACCACACTGATAGGTAAGTCATTCCTTCTATGGGCTGGAACCAGCCAAAGGGTAGAACACTAAACTGGGAAACATTCACTCCAATCCTTGGCCCTGAGGGAGAAAGATGGGTACCTGCTCCCTGCTTTGTAATTGCAAGCAGGATGGTGTGATCCCTGAGTGTTCTACCCTGACCAGTTATCTGTGAAAGCCCTGTTTGAGCCATCAGCAAAGGGTCTTATACCTCTAATATTTATTTAACATCTCAAATCAATTCTCAAGATCTCCGATATCCTGAACACATTGCTTTTTAATGCATTTCCCTGTTAACATGTAATTGACTAAGGCTGCCTACAGGGTGAAGCTACAAATTCTGGCCTGGCATTCACAGCTTGGCACTGTCTTTAATCTGAGCCCCTACACAAATGGTCTTTTTTCCTGATAAACAGATTCCATGTCACCACTGCCACATGACTGCATGTTCCTGACTTGTGGCCCACAATGCTGTCCCCACTTCTTATCCTTCAATATCCAGGTCAACCCAACTTCCCCAAGCAGTTCTTTCCCAAGCCCCATTGGACTTGCTCCTTCCTCCCATCCCCAGCACAGGATGTCCTATCCCTAGTTTGCCAACGGTTCAGTGGACACATAAGAGAGCTTCTGAGATGCTGGGCATGAGCATGCTGCAGACACAGCCCTTGTCCTGGAAGACTGAAGAAGACAAGCATGCAATGCATCATCACAGGCCCACATGGTAGGCCCAAAGCAGTGATAAGTAGGAGATGCTGGGGTGACACAGAAGGAAAGGTTTGCTGTGCAGTAGATCAGGGAAGGTTTAAAAGGAAAGGTAGTTTCAAACTGAAATCTTTATAGATGAATCAGAGCTTGCAAGGAGGAAAAGAGAGCAAACATTCCTCTGATTAAGGAGAAGGCTGGATCCAGTGGACATGGCCCAAGACCCCAGCTGGAAGCTAGCTTTCTTCAGGCTACTGTCTGGCACAAATCTCCGCATAACAATTACCAAAGGGCCTAAAGGGACAATATTTCGTGTCTACACTTTGCATCCCTGCTGTCATCGAAGTCAACATTTACTCAGCAGGCTGGCTTTCCTTATCCCCCTCCACCATATTGGTGCTTCCCTCTGTCAAAAGTCAGCATTAAACTAGAGATTTGAGTATCCATTTTAATAACTTTTGCAACTCCTCATTATCTTGCCTCATTATCATTATCTTGCCAATAAGAACATATTCTCACAAAACGCACTTCTTTTCTTAGCAAAGACAAATTTAGACTAAGATCCTCAATTCTTTTACCTGATACAAGTTATCCACCTGTCTCTCCCGGGTGGTATTTTTTTCTCCCATCAATACATTGATAAACCATATTGAATTACATTTCCCATAAAGTCTAAAATACATCCTTAAATGCAAACAAGACAGTTAAGAAATAAATAAGCATGCAGAATGTCATGAGGGCATTCATAACAATCATCACTGAGGGCCTGACAGTCATCTATGCATCTATGAGCTGTTCTCAGCTGACCTGAGGTAGGATGGACCCCAGAGAAACTGTGATAAAACTTTCCAGGGTGCAGATGCTCTTGAGTCTCAGGGAGACACAGAAGGTGTTGAGTGACCTTGAGTGATCTACAGACTCACTAATTGATGCCAGGAGCCAGTCAGGTGACTGTGATTCTGTGATGATAATTTCTGTGTTCACGATTCTGGGATTCTGTGTCCCCTAAGCTTTCTGCTAAAAAAGAAGGCCAGAGCCATCATGCCCTTTACTTAAATGAGTGAAGTCCAGATATACAGACACAGAATGAATACATGAGCATGTCTATAAAGTCGACTGCTCAGTAAAAGGGGAAAACACACAGTTTATGTTGCTTTATGATATTTTTAACACAGATCTTCAAAGTTACAGGTTAAGACAACATCTGCTGGGTACACCTACCCTCTAAATTTTTATACCAAGTAGCTCACAGGGCCTCATTCCATACACTGTACATGACGAAACACGCTGATACCAGGTACCATTTTTATTGGCACCACTTCTGCTTATGAAATTGATAAGAAAAAAAGACTGTCAGAATATAGGAATTTTATGCTCCAGAATTCATACAAGACCGTTTTAAATAACACTCTTCACTCTCTTTTTTAAATAAGACATTCCAAACCTATACTCTTCACTTTTAATTGCTATAACAGCTTCACTATTTCTTCTAAGACATAACTCACTAAAGAACACCTTACAGATTACTTTATTAAAGGTCATTATTACTTTTAAAAAGCAAGACCAGTTGATTTACTTTCTATGTAATGACCCATAATGTAAAATTTGAATCAATATTATCATTTGTAGCTTACCAAATGTTGAAGAATTTGAAAAATCTGAACATACTCTCTCAGGTATTTATCTCATTTGTCTGTGTCTACTGGGTAAATAAATGCAACAACCCAGAAGACAAATAACTCCAAAGCTGTATGAAAAAAAATTTGCAAGCCTAGTCTTCTGCATATTTCTTTCCTCCCTTGATTGTTTAGGGAAAAGCTTGCTGTGTCTGACTTTGTATCTCCAGCAGGATCACATTGTTATGTGTCCTATCTGATGTCAACGCTTTGAGAATTCAAAACACATTCTGGGCCAAACTCCTGTTGTTGGGGCGGGAGGTGGGAAGAGGAAAAAAGTACAGGAATTCACATGAATCTGCTGTATGGAAATGTGCTCCAGACGATCTGGCAGGGAGAGTACGCTGACATGGCAATGTGGCCCAGTGGTGACAGGCCAGGGCTGTGAGCTAGGGACCTCAGTGGAAACATGGCTCTGTTTCAAATACTCTCCGTGTCCTTGGGCAAGTGGCTAAATATCTCTGAGCCTTGGTCTCCTCATGTATCTCCCATGGTTTGTGAGGATAGATGAGACAATGCATCCAAGCCCCTAGCTGTGGCCTGAGCACACAGTAGCCTTCTATCACTGATGGCAAAATTGCTACATAAGAACCTCCTGGTTAGGCAATTTGCTCCTCTCAAATCTCTGACCAAACTAAACCCAGTGAAATATTTCCGTTCCCTGGAACTGCACCTAGTTAATTTATCCACGTTATCAAATCCAGGCACATCTGATTTATAGAAAACTGGAAAGTCATCCAGGTTTCTGCCAATTTTCCTTACGTAGAGAATGTTTCTTCCTAAGATTCTCCACCCGTTAAAGGGGAGGATCTTCAAAATCTCTAAAGATGCTCAATACGCTCAACCCCAGAGCAAACCAAGAAAACAACAGATACAATATACAAATGGAGTAGGTGGAGTGAGAAATAATTAAAGACAGGTTCCTAGCCATTGCACTTTTGCTATCCAAATCACACAGCCGGGATAGAAATAAGAACGTCAAACTCAGCTGAATAGATATTATTTCCTTGATAATTTTCTTAGTCTAGGCAAATCTTTGCAAGCAATTATTTGAGATCAAATTTGGCGAAGGTTTTAATGTTATAGTTTCTGCATATGCATCAATGTATTCTACCTGCATAGGATGTTTAGAGAAGAAAAGAAATAGAACATATTTGCCTATTACCTCCAGGTCTAAGGTTACTAAGCAATAAGTCGCGGTCACATGTCAGGCCCTTGTAAAGTGAACTGCTGCAAATCAGAGTGTGTTGTAGGAGAAAAGTGTAGGAGGAAAAAAGGAAGACAGAATGAGAGACTGGGGATCAAGGAGAGACAAAGGAGAGTAGAGAGCCAGAACGTGAGTGACAGGTAACAGGACAAATGTGTAACCCTTTCCGATGTGGAAGCCCACAGTCCTAGAACTTACAGAGGTAGGACTAACAGAGATGAACGGATTAATATTTCCTAGTATTTCAGTTAAGTGACCAACCACCTCCTTTCAAAGTCTACTGCACAGCACACTGATCTATTTACCAATTATCCTATGTGCCATACTTTACGCTTATTTTTTTACTTTATGCTTAGATGTCAGGGATCCGAAGTCTATCCTTAACTTACATGCAGTCTATCCTTAACTCTTTCCTTTCCTTTTCTCATAAGGGTTACTTACTGAGCTGAGAGTCAGGTATTTAACGGTTTGTGTATTCATGACACTGACTTTTCAATTCACTGAACTTTCCTCCTTCCAGTACTCTCTCTACACCCATTATTCTGTGCTATCATCTCGTGGCAGTGCCACTAACAGCTCAAGAGAGATCACCTTCTCGTTGCTCTCTGATGTAATGTCTGATGGCCAAAGCAACTGCCACCACTGCCTTTTAAAAACTGCTCTATTGCACTGCAAACTCAAATCCTATGTGTTGTCACTGTCATTGTAAGTGATGTTGTAAGTGACGTTTCCCTCTACTAAGTATCTAGGAGATGGGTAATTGCCATTAGCTGGTGTAACAGGCATTCCTTCCAGCCTGAATCTCATGATGATCAATGCTTCCTACTTTACAAACTTGTCTAAGTTGATGGCTATAATTTGTTTCCCACAAGCTATTGGAAAAGACATTCCTTTTTTTTGCATAATTAGGATACAGATTTACCTTCACACTTTAGTCAGAACAATAACTTATTCAGCATCCCAACGTATTCCAACTCCTTGGGTTATGTCCCCATTCACATAAAACAATATTTCAGCAATAATCAACAGAGCAGCCTTGGGATATTGCACCAAACCAGTCATCAAAAGAGCCAAGGAGACAACTAGACAGACCTATAGTAAGTGGCTACTTGAATGGGTGGACTCTAATTTTGAACTTCAATGGACCCATTAGCACTGTGTCAAGAGCACAAAGGTACAACTTGGCTGAACAGGCATCTGTTCCCATTGCATCCTAGGTCATTTGCTTATAGAAATAGCTCATTTGCTCAGGTCCGCTTAGTATCTCTTTGCCAGATTTAGCCAGAAGCAGACACAAATGAACTTATAACAGACAACACAGATTATTCCTGTAGACAGTAGTGACTCTTCTTTTTTTTGAGTATCACTAGTGAGGCACAGTGAGCATTTAATGTTGGCTCCAGGGCACAAGTGAAGGCCAAAAGAATGCATTTGTAACCTATCTGTTTGGAATTGTGAAGAACAGTAAACAGAGGACGTGGTGGTGTGGTCATTTTAAATTTAATGTAAATATACCATAGTCAGTTTTTATTCAATTTGTAACATGTAGAATGTATTTGCATGTATACACGGTTGTGTGCAAACACCTGCAAGAGTGCTTTCCAATTCAATAGTGCTCCACTCCCTAAGAATGTGAGTTTCTGAAGTTCTGATACTACTTGAATGTTAATAGCACGCTACAAACCACACACACACACACACTCAACTATGGAGAGTAAATTTTAATTGGCTTTTCCCAAGCTATACTTGTATTCATTTCTACATTAAAAAATTATTTGAAATAATTCAATTTTTTTCTATCATAAAATTAATATGTGGTCATGATAGAACACTTTAAAAATAACAGTAGGAAAAGAAAAAAGTTCCCATAGTTGAATTGCCCACATAAAACTATTGTATTTTTGTTAATTTTTGTTTTCTTCCAGTCTTTGAGCTATGCATAATTTTGGAGGTTATTTTATGGCAGTATATCCAAAATAACTTTGAGATAATGAAAAGCCATTTTTGTACCATTGTTGTCTCACTCAGAAGCCACTAGCTACATGTGGCTACTGAGCACTTAAAATGTGGCTAATGCAACTGAAAAAATGAGTTTTAAATTTATTTAACTTCAACTAACTAAAACTAAAATTTAAAGTTACATGGGGTCTGCAGCTACTATATTAGTGCAGTTTTAAAGGACTGTGAACCCTAGATGTAAAATCTTATGTTCTATATTTTGCTCTCAACATTCTAGTCTAAGCATTTTTTTTTTGTCAAATTCTTAAGTTATAGTGGGCTTAACTGTACTTCTACTGTGAAATACTTAGTTTTTTTGTGTACTATTATAAATAACACTACAATTTATAACCTTGTACACAGGAATTTTCATGGTTGAAATTTTCTATGTAACAGCCTATGAAAGCATATTGCAAATTTTAAGGCTCTTGGTTACAGGCTACCAAATAACTTTCCGCAGGGGGTGAACAAACTTATTCATCTCGTAGTGATGTGTGAACTTACTCGTTTGATTGTTTCCTCTTAAGCGGGAGAGCTACCCTTTTAGAATCTTTTTCATATCAAATTACATGTGGCATGAAATGACACATCAAGGTGAAAAAATGATAGCTTGCTGTCTTGGTTGGAATTTCTTTGAACAGCAGTGAGGCTGAAGATTTTCCAACAGATTACTTACTAACATGTAGTATTTTCTCTTTTCGAGAATTGTCTGCTCCTGTCTTTTTGTCCATGAAAATCAGTCTGCTCAGGTTTTTTTGCTCTTAATGTTTTGTTATAAATTTGTATGCAGTCTTTATATACTGAAGTCATTAACCATGATTTTAATGTTTCTTACTAACTTGTCATTTTGAATTTTGAGTGTTTCAAAGAAGTTATTAAGAGAATGTTTGAAATAAGATTAAAACAGCTTTGATATTTCTAAGATTGACCTTTCCTAACTTAGAAAACAGTTCTACTTTTACAAAAATCAAATGTCAGTTTCCCAATGGGTGTTTTCCTTAAAGTCAGCTCAGTTTATGGCACCACCTAACTTGCTGAATATAAGCCACTGCCCATCCTGAAATAGCATTTTGCAAACTGTAGGAGAGTTGTTCGCAGGAGCAAAGTGTGTTTGGATGTCAGCTTCCTTTATTGCACTTGTCCACTTTCTGATCTTACAGTTGATGAACAGTGACTTGGCCAAATTACAGGAGATTTTGGATAAAGAGAAATGGAACTACACTGTGAGGATGCAGAGGTAAGAGACTAAACAGAAAGCAGGCTTAGATGACACAACTGAGCTAAGAAACACTAAATACCTTGGTAATGTCCCAGGAAGATTTGATCTAGCTAATAAACCAACAAAGCACACATCAGCGCATCAGACAGAATCTGAACAAATTCTCAGTGTGTTAGGCCAGGAAAATCTACATTTGGGGGAAATAGGATGAAATAAATAACCCAAAACAATTCAGTAAAATATTTCCTTCATTGTCTCAAAATATTTTTATGGATGGGTCAGTCTGGCCCAGAAACACACGTGGCCGCCTGATTCTTTGGCCAACATGATAGGGTGGTATCAGTGGATAAGAATTTGGTCTGCCTTGTGTCCAAAGAGATAAGTTCAAAGGACCTGTATGACACCTGAGCCCTGCTCAGTGAGGTGCCAGTGTCCTGATGTGCCCATGACTATGTCCACACTGAAGTTCTTTTCTTTATCTTTTGGTTTCTAAGTTTTCTCTCTTCCCTTTGTCTACCCACCAAAGACTGTAAGCATATGGTGAGCATTTCCATTAAGAAAAATCAGACAGTAGGTAAAAATAGAGAAATAACATAGGCAATCAGAGTAAGTTTGGAACTGAAGGACAGTAATAAGCAGATACATTGATCAAATGATAAGAAAGCAGGTGTAACTTATTGGCTTAAAAGTTTTTGCATACAAAATACATAAAATATTCTGAATACAAGTCCTTTTAAAATGAGCTTAGCGCATTATATTTCTAAGGCCATGTTATATTATTTTTAAATAATAATGAATTTGTTATATAATTAATAGTTGGTTTTCTTTTTAGTCTTTTCATTTTCAGGAACAATACAGGATGAAATTTTTTAGACTCTGATATGTATTTTTGGCTATATGAATGTTATTACTTTTTATGAAGCTTAATATTAATGATAACTAGCATTGTTTAGTACAAATATACACTAGACAATGCTAAGAGCATTTTAGTGTGTAAAAGGCACTGGCAAGCATTTCTATAAAGGGTCAGATAGTAAATATTCCAGTTTGTTGGCCACACTGTCTGTCATAACTAGTCAACTCTGCCCATGTACCAGGAAAGCACCTCTAGACAATATACAACAAATGAGTGTGGCTGGGTTCCAATAAAACTTTGTTTGGATGCTGAACTTTAAATTTCAAGTAATTTTCATGTGTCATAAAAATTCTTACTTTGATTTTTTTCAACCATTTTAAAATGTAAAAGCCAATTTTAGTTGGCTAAGTGTACAATAACAGACAGTGGGCTGGATCTGGCCTGTGGGCCATAGAGTTTACTGACTCTTGGTGTAAAACAGCATTGAATACTCATATGGCATGAGAAGACTGATAAAAAGGAAGTTGAGTAACACATGTAGAAGGAAGGTAAATAATTATCACAGCCACCTGAATTATTAGTAACATTCCAATTTTATATGTTTTAAAAGTCTGAGCATATTTACTTATAATTTATGTTTGTACAATTTATTATGTACAACAAAGCACATATATGGAAATAAAAGCAAAAGTAAGGTCTCCCCCGATAAATCTGTCATTATATCTTTGAGCCTTAATTTTGTCCTTGTCTTTTTTTCTTCATAGTTCTTGGTTAGATATTAGGTTTCTTACTTTCCTTTTTATTTCCCCAAAAAGCATCCATTTTCTTTCTTCCCACGGCACAGAGGATGCAACACAGGAAAGGCAATCAGTGTTTTAATTCATTCACTTAACTTTTAGTGTCAGGGCAGTATATTTAGCCAGATGTTGCACACATGTAAAAAATGCCTTTCCAGATGTTCTAATGCCATATATCTGGCATTTTAAACCAGTAAAATTACTGTAAAACAGTGCTCATTTGAAGACACAGGTAAACTTTTCATAATACTTTAAGCAGCTTAAAAAAATTCTGTAAACATTCTTTGTTAATGAGAGACTAATAATAGTCTGCATATGGATTTACTCCATCCCTGCTTTTCCTCTTGATTCTTCCAGGAGAATGACTGACAAGTTAAGGAGGGCAGGGACAATAAACCTCTCAGCTTTGGTTTCTGTATCTACTAAAAGGTATGGTTATGAGATTTTTTGGGCAAACTCTTGGCTAAAATCCTGTTACATATTGTATATATTATCTGTAGACTTCAGTGATTTATTTTGTCCATGTTCTATTACCAGTGCTTTTGACAGTGCACACCAGAGCAAGGCCCTGGCACCTTTAAAAGCAATGTTTACTGTCTGCTTGAAAAATCAGTGTCACTACGTTGACTTACTTGTAGGTACAACAAATTCACTCAAATACATGTGGGTTTACTGAAAAGGACCCCCTTCCCTGCAAACTGTAAAGTGCTTGATCAGCTTTGCACTAACAAGCTTTGAGAAAAAAATGGGCTTTTTCTCTGTACCTCCTTTTTAAACGCAGCATTCCATATAATGCACATGTGACTAACTAATATAGAAGGCAAAAATGGTATAGAATTTAGGAAGAACTACGCATTTTTTGACAAAAAGTATTAATTACACCCATGAAAAACTGAGAAATGGCTGTAAAGTGTTAAGGTTGAAGGTTTCAATATTTTGCCCCAAATAAGAGTTTTCTTCTTCTCTTTACTCTTTTAAGAAAAGTTTGCAGAATAATTTTTCAACATTTTAAATAAAGTGTTTTAAAAAAGTTTGCATTATGACCTATTACTAAGTTACGCAGTCAGAAGACAAAAAAGAAAAAAAAAAACCAATGTTCCACTAGGTAAGAAAATTGTACTGTGTTAGGAAGTTAAAAGATCTCTTCCAGTAGCTATTAAACAAGTGCGATGGGTGATAGATCCAACACAAAAACACACCTTTAAATACAACTAACAGAAACATACAAATCAGACACAATCAGCTCCTTCTATAGTGAAGGACTGTGGGGTGGGATGGAAGATCATTCAAGCATCATGAAGAAAGCAGACAACGTTGAAAGACCTGAGGGAAAACCTGGAGAGATGAATACATGGACAAATGCCAGTGATTCTGTTGGGAAAAAATGCTGGGTAAAAGATGAGGGAGAGTTGTCCCACAGTCACCAGTACAGAATCATAGACTATAGCAGGTGCTACTAGAAAGATCAGCAGGAGGCTGGGCGCCGTGGCTCACGCCTGTAATCCCAGCACTTTGGGAGGCCAAGGTGGGTGGATCACAAGGTCAAGAGATTGAGACCACCCTGGCTAACACGGTGAAACCCCGTCTCTACTAAAAATACAAAAATTAGCCGGGCGTAGGGGCATGAGCCTGTAGTCCCAGCTACTCAGGAGGCTGAGGCAGGAGAATAGCTTGAACCCGGGAGGCGGAGGTTGCAGTGAGCCAAGATCATGCCACTGCACTCCAGCCTCATGACAGAGTGAGACTCCATCTCAAACAAAAAACAAAAAACAAACAAACAAACAAAAAAAACAAACAACATCAGCAGGAGAGGGTCCACAGTCGGCACAGAGCCATGAAAGAGTGTATCACACTTAAAACCTCTGGGGTGAAGTAACTCTTCAGGTATCCAGAGAATGGAAATAGGTGGGAAAATTTTTGAACTTACAAGTGTCTTGAAGAGTGGAGTATTTAAATAAGGATTAAGGGAGAAGGGATCAGAACCAATTCTATTGCTGAAATAGACCAGATGAGGGAAATGAGCACTGAAGATCTCAAAGCTGCCACAGAGGCAGAGTGAGGCAGTAAGAGTTCAACTATTCAGGAACAATGTGTGTTATGAGCTGGCTGACATTCAGTTTATGGCTAATATCCATTTGGATTGGCTGATCTTTTTTTTTTAAACTGACTGATAGCTATGCCATACTTGTTAAATAGTACATTTCTGAGGTTTTGTGAGTTTATAAGCTGTACGGTTTTATTCAACTACAAAAACATCTGAAATTCCCCAAACTGTTTCTGCCACCCTCCACCAATATCTTCCTTAAGGTTTGAATAAGTGATTAAGGAACTGCTGCTCCTGGTCTAACTCTCAGCTTCCCACTGGAAGTCAGAAACTCAAAGTAGAAGGAATTCTGGCAGTGACCATGTGCTCATAACAGCTGGCATAAAATAAAAGGTACACAGATTTATATATTTCCTCTGACTTTAGGAATGTAATAGCAATTCGGATCAGAGTGCAAGGAAGAAATCATACATAGTCTAAATTACCCTTAAAAGTACATTTTGAATGCACCCCATGGTGACCATGAGACCATCTTGCCATTCCATATTTCGGATACAGACTGCCATTCTCTTAGTGGTAGGAAAGTTATAGTTACTGTAGTGAAGGATGAAGTTTGGTTTTGTCTTGTGTTTGCAGTTAGTGGCCTTGCTGAACAAGAATTAGTGTCACTGAACTAGGCTCGCACTTTGCACTGAGAAGTGCTCACACTACATGAGGCATCCAGGAACCAGGACTAACTGTGGGAAGAATGGATCCGACTTCTCCATCACATTATTTGACTGCATGCCTTCATTTGATGAAGGCAGCCCAGAGCCTTTTGGATAATTTACTCCCTCTTAATTCTCCCCCAACCCCTTTTTCCTGGGCACTTATAACTATATTCTTACAAATACGCAATGTGACTCTACTGTGTAATTACATAGCCATGTGTCTCTAAAAGTAACACCAGCCGTAAAAGATTTAGACAGTCTGAAAGAGATTATTTGGTTTGCTTAATCCAATGCATTCTGATGAAGGTGAAAGGGAATTTCCAAAATCATTGGGCTAGCTTTCCAATGATTTAAACTTTTAAAAGGACAAAATGGGGTGGGTAGAGGATTATGAAGAAAATTACATAATCAAGGATAATTAGGTAATATAATGACTTGTAAGAATTACCATCTTGCTGTATGCTACTATTAGTAGGTACTCAAAACTTGTTAAATAACTAAAGGTAAAAACTGAAAATGACTCAACACTTCTGAAAAATGCCCAGGGCAACTTGGATTTAAATAAAATCTCCAGGAACTTCCAGGAAAAAACTATTTACTTCATTCTGTTCCCCGAGACCCCAAGAAAATGAAACAACAATAACAACAACAAAACCTAATGAAGAAACTGGGAAATAATTCAAGCCACAGATGTGGAAGGATGTCTGCCAAATATATGGTATCGGCAGTGAACCCAGAAAGGATGCTGAAAACTATTAATCACCTTTCCATATTTCAATCAGGCTGAGATTTGTGTGAGTAAATGATAGGCTCTGGAAACATTCAAGTGATAATGTTTACTAACACAGAGGAGTGGAGGACTGAACTGGTTCAGTTCTGCGAGAGGCAGGGAAAAGTCGAGTAGGCACCTAGTTCTGTAACTGGGCTGAACAAGAGGCAGGACAGATGGGAGAAACAGCTGGGTTCTGCCATCTTTACACTCTCCAACACCCAGACTCCTAACCCAGGAAACTGCCTGGAGAGGAGGCAGGGAGGAAAGCTGTTTAGTGCTTCAGTGCTGTAAAACACCTAGGAATACCAAACCTTTGAAGAAAATCTCCAGCAGAAAATACTGAGACCTAAGCAAACGCACCGCAGTGAGTAGGGAAGGGGAAGAAGTAAACAGAGATCACTGTAAAGAGATCAATGCAAAAACTTAAAATACTTTAAAGTGGAAAAAAAAAATCCTCAGATCTTTCTGAAAGAAAAATAGGATACTGATACTGACTTAAGAAAGAAAATGTTTGGAGAATAAAAAGATCTCTTAGGATTTCAAAAAAAAAATCTTATGATTCAGCAGGTCATGCACACACACAAAAAAAAAATCTATGAAAGCCAAAAAACAAAGAAAGATAATTTGAAAGATAATTCTAGAAAATTTCTCAGGAAGTAGAAAAAGCAATAGAAAACTGGAGAGAAAAATAAAAAAATTTTAAAAAATATTTAAAAAATTTCAGAAAAATAAAAAAAGAATTAGTCAAAGTAGTTTCCTCTTCAGCTAAAAGACGTTATAGTAACAGAACACAGAGAAAATGGAGAGGAGGAAACTTTCAAATGAATACTAAATGAGCATTTCTTGGAATCAAATCTCTAGGTTAAAGGGCCCCAGAAGGGCTGGGGGTGGAAGAAGAAGAAAGAATACCTATACCAAAAGAGATCCTTCCTTAAATTTCAGAATTATCTTAGATAAATAAAAGATTCTAAAAACTTTTCATAGAAAATAGGTCACATATAAAGAATAAGGAAGCCGAAGAGCCATGGATTTTTTGAAAGGGATCATTGGAAGACTATGAAATAGTGTTTTCAGAATGATTTATATCTGAGTCTATACCCAGCCAAAATATCAATTAAGTTAGAGGGCAGAATAGGGATATTTTTAGACATGAATGGAATTTAAAAATTATTCCAAGGGTTCCTTGGATCCTTACTCAGAAAGCTACAGAAGGATATGTCCTAGTAAAACAAGGAAATAAGCCAAGGAAGAAAACAACATAGGATCTAGAAACAGGGAACTCAACACAAGAAAGATGTAAATGAACTCCTGGGGCAGCAGTGAAGCAAGGTCCCAGGATGACAAATGTATAAAATGCAACGGAACAACCAGTCCTGATTAGAAAAGACAAAGCCAAAAGGGAGATCTCTGATTTAAAATGAACAAAATGGAACTGATATATTATCTTATATGTTGACCGTGTTTTGAAAGATTTCATAGATCTGTCAGTGAATTAGAAAAGAATCAGCTAGAGATATACACACACAAAGAAACAAAGAAAATTAAAATGTAAGGCAATTAACTCGTGGGAAAAAAAGTTGACCAAAAAAATAAACGAAATTACAGCTGCTCATCAATGAACAATATTTACATTGTTAAATAGTGTAAACAGTGAATTATCAAAAAATTGGGTTATATAACTGTTGAAAGGATGGGAGAAAAATGATGTGGGAATGTTAAGACAGCATGATTTTTACCTACCATAATAGAAGATAATACAATCGACAAATCAAGAAAAAAAGAGTAAAAGCACACCATTTTGAGACACGAAGACAATAACAGAAACTAAGAGTTAGGAGTTAAGGGCAGTCCCCCTGGCTATCAGGAGGTGGTGGTGATGGTGACTGAGAAAGTGCTCTTTAAAAAATTTTGTCTTTTTTAGTTGTTTGGCTTTGTAAACCATTATTTGATAAAAATACAAACTGATTGATTTTTAAACTTAAAAAAAGATATACTGGTTCAGGTGTAAAATACAGTTCTGGGAAGAAGATACATATGAAACAGCTGGTGGTAGTTACCCAAATTTTAAAATGGGGGAGGTAGAGTGGAAACACAGGAGAGTTTTCACTCTCTTCTGTAGCCTTCTATGTATGTGGAATTTTAAATAATGAACATATATTACCTTAGTTATTAAAATAATAAATATATTCTAAGAAAATAATACATTTATTTTATATTTTAAATGTAACAGAAACATCAAAAGGCAAGACAACAAAGCAGCAGACAAGCTCATTGCTGGGAGTGACTCATGGTGCAGAGTTTGATAAATGTCACAGAGAAAACCAGAACCTTTTAACTCCTACTTTTGATCCTGAATACCCTGTTATGAAGAAGACTTTTCATACTGAAAAAGGTAGAGGAGATCAGTAAAAAGTAAGACTGGGAAGACTACTCTAATGAGATCAAGTATCTTTAACTGAAGACTTGACATTCTAAGACATTATCTAGCTTTAGTTATTACCATTTTCATAAACATCAGTTTATAAGATTAGCAAAGCCAGCAGGAATGGTCCAAAGACCCTTAATTTAAATGAAAAACAGGCACAGAATGGGATGATGCATGGAATGAAGTTTGACATACACTGTATTGAGAAAACTTTAGGTATTCTGAGGGCAGCCTGAAGACTCCATGCACCCACCCATAGCACCAGCTAGACAACAGGAAGAGAAGGCGAGAAAGAATTAGTGACAAACTTTCCTACCTTTAGAATGTGTCTTCAGGTTGTAATTCCCGTGTGGGACCTAATTTCTTGAACATCTGCTCTGCGCTAGGTGCTTCACATGCTACCTCAATTAGTTCATGCAACCTTGTGAGATAAAGACTTAAGTTTGAATTTCCCTGGCTACAAGTCCATGGTTTTTCTATTAAGCCATGTTGGATGGTGTCAATTGGTGACATCATCCATGTGAACATTCCTCATGTTTAGATCTAGCAGGACAATGTGGCATAGAGAGGGGTGGTCAGGAGAACTGAGTTCTTAGCCTGGTCCCAAGGCCACCTCTTGGGAAGTCCTTTCACCACTCTGGGGTCCAGTTTCCAAATCCAGAGTCTCCTCTATCTAACATTTTCAGATGAAATAAAATCCAGTGAAAGACATAATAACGGAATAAATATTTTCAGCTATTATCTTAAATGGATTACTTCAATATTCATCTTTTGTTTAAATCTACATCTCATTTCTCTTTAGGTAGTATCTTTTTGAAAAGCTGTCATTTCAAAG
This sequence comes from Homo sapiens, assembly GCF_000001405.40. Taxonomy (NCBI): domain Eukaryota; kingdom Metazoa; phylum Chordata; class Mammalia; order Primates; family Hominidae; genus Homo; species Homo sapiens. Next base: position 77,748,290 of record NC_000009.12, read on the forward strand.
TACTGAAAACCTAAAATCTAGGCAATGAAAGTAGAGTAAATGACTGAGGTTTTCCTAAAATTACCCTGGAAAGATGAGAGGATTCAACTACTGTTCTGGGAAATGGAAATAGCTGTTCCCAGCACTCACTCCTCCCCTGATGCTCCCAATTAACTTTTAAGGACAAGCATGAAGCTTTGTAGAGCTTGATGCCTTCTGCAAGCACTACAGTAAATGTGGGGCATAAATTGCCTCCCATTAAGACAACTGTGGAGGATGACAGAAGTAGGTCAGTTTCAAACAACAGCCTAGCTTAGTAGCCTAAGTGGTATCTGTAATTCTAGGGTTGGGGCATCTTTGAAAGCACTGGCTAAAGGAAAAGTTATTTAACCCTTCTTTGCTGAATTTTCCAGCTCTCTCCACTTCTTGAGAGAAAATGTCAACTGTTATTGTCAGATAGAATATGAAAATAGGTAGCACAGCAAGAACATGACAAATGTTTAATAAATTACAAAGTAAATATAAATGACAAGTGTTTAATAATTGGATTTTGGCCCACAAGTGAGGTATGATCCAGGTACTGGAGCCAGTCCAGATGTTGTATCGGACTGGTCCTGTTATAAGCCAGATTCCACCAGTATAAAAAAGTTGAACACAGGGATGGAATGACTCCTCAGGGTAAGAAAGGGAAAGGGGGAGTTCTGAAGGAAGGCCATATTTCTGGCTGGGACACTGGCTTCTGACAGATTTCCAGTGGTTGACTGCATCCAACACTTCAGGCTTCAAGCTTTGGCTCTAGACCTACCTCCCTGCCCCATGTTCTCGACCTTAGCATTTGGGAAGGCTGTGGGGTCTTCACTCTTCACTGCCGCCAGGTTCTCAATCCTTTCCATAGTTTTGGCATTTTCTCTCTCCCCCTGGCTGCCATGGACCCATTCTTGCTTTGGGTCTAAGTCAAAACATCCCACTCAAACCAATACCTTGTGAGGAATGAGGCTCCACTGTACAGAAGCAACGAGCTGATGCCAGTTAAGACCTTATAAAGTGAGGGGTCTTGGGCATTTCACCCCCGTGTACTCCTTACTATAAATAAACACCCTTAACCAGGTGGTAGAATGTTATTCAGGAAAACAGGCAGAAGGCTTTAAATATGTTAGCAGATCCTTCTATCCTTCCTTTTCTCTTTGTTTAGGTTTCCCAGGAATGTCTTGTACAGGAACAAGTTTTTGCTGAGAACTGAGGACTTCAGAAACATTTATTTCCATAAATAATATACTAAATGCATATAATTTTTCTCTAGTTGCTAATACTGGGACTTGGATGGGTCTTCCAGGACAATAGGTGAAGGGTTAATTCCACATACTATACACAAATTGGTATTTCTCTAAAATAATGTTTTCAAACTAATGATAACAATCCACAGTAAGAAATACAGTTTACACAGCAATCCAGTATATTCACACACAGAAACACAGACATATAAAACTAACATTTCATGAAACCATACTTTTCCTTACAACATGCAATGTACTCTATTCTCAATTCCATCCCATCCTCCCTATAAAAAAATGCTAACAAGACCTATTAAATTGATTTTACGACCCAGTAAATGGGTTTTGATGTGATGAAAAAAATATTGTGTATATTTTTTTCATACATTGTAATTGTTCATATTCTGTATTTCTTCACTAATTTAGACTGTTTTATTCTCAATTATACTACAATAGCAAATATTTTGCAAGATTGGGCTAAAAAGTCTCTGTGGCCAAATGAATATATAGTTTTGAAATCTGGCTGCAGATGTGCTGATTGGCAAAGAACATTTAATTAGTCACATAAGGTACATCTTTAAAAAATATTATTTCCACTGAAAATCAGCTATAAACATATTTTCTTTTATAAATACCAAATTAATATTAAAGAAGAAATCTTGCAAAATTCTTTCTACCAATACCAAAAGATTTCTAATGCATGGACTAAAAACTCTGTTATAGGATTATCAGAAACAGATGTTTTTGATATTCAATCTTTCTTAAATGTAAAATATGAAAACCAAGCAAACAAAGCATTCTGCCTCTTCCATGCAGTTTTAATCATAATACAGTTTTACTTAATTAGCAAATACAGATGGGGCCTTAATAAGAACATTTTAAATGTAAGAGGTTTTTGTGATAATATAATCCCACTAGTAATGATCATGTTATCATCATTATGTAATTTAGAAAATTTATGAGTCAGTGAAAGTCATTTTCAAGATGGTATACAGAAGTCGACCTCATAACCTCCATTCCAGCCAAATGGCACAGCTCAAACTTCCTGAATATGCTTACATATTTTTTGTTTTATTACCTTTATTTCTAACTCTTTCTTGAAGTCTTCCCAGTCATCAAGCTGGAAAAAAAAATCCCTCCCTCCCCTGAAATCACGTATGGCTTGTTAAGAACACTTGCTATATTAACCTCCCTGGGCTTTTCTTTGTAATTGGTCATGTAAATATTATACCAACCCTGACTGACTGAGCTTCTTGGAGCTCAACTCTGTATCATACTTATTTCTATACACTCCCCCAACACCCAAACAACACCTTGCTGTGGCAGGTGATCAATAAATTTTTGTTGGTTAAAATGAACATTTTGAACAACAGTGAAAATAGGCATTTATCTAACCTGTGAAGATGGTGCTACTGTACAGTGCTGTAAATACATACCAACTCATGAGTCTAATAAGTGGAGACCCAGCACTGCTTGGCCTTTTCAAGTTTTTCCCTTTTGGTGTATTCCTTTACAAATCTTTCCCCGCTTTATAGACTAAATAGCATCCATCATGTTAAGTCAGTGAATCCCATTTAGCAATTAAAGGTGATTACAAGAGCTATCAGGCATCTGCTTTCAATATTATTCCAGGCATGGGAAATTAGTAATGGCCTGCCTTTTCCCTCAAACCACTGCCTAATGCCTTGATTTTTGGAAGATTTTGCCAAACCTGCTTTGTGGTCTTGCCTTGCTAAGATCTGGAAGAATTTCATATTTTCTCTGAAAGTATTGCTAAAAAGAATAAAAATATCCTAGAATGGGTTGGGTGGTTTCCCTAATTGAATACATGGGCCTGAAACACTCCTGTATTGAAACTAACTCTATATACATGGCATGTAACCAGTAAAATGAAAAGCAGATGCTGTAATTTTCACGTAATAAATTCATATGCAATCTCTTAAGATAGTTGAGTGTACTTCAGAAAGCCCAGTAGAGAAAAGACATGAATAAGTGCGGTTAGCCTAGAAGCGGACAGAAATTTTATAATGGGGTGGGTAGGTGGGCTGGGGATGGACAGAGACGTGGAAAGAGCTACAACCTCACTTAAAGCAATGCTGCCCCCATGTGGATACCAAAAATTAGAATCTGTAACTCAGTCAACAGCTCTTTATTCTCCTTAGTAATAAGACCTTCCACTTCCTGTAATTTCAATTTGATGGCTGTTGCTAGGACAACTAGGAAACGAGGCAAGGAACAGACAGACCTCCAAAAAACAAACAAACAAACAAACAAACAAAAAAAACAAACGAAAAAAACAGGTCACTGAAGTGAAGTTACTATATTAATTCTAACTTCTAACAGGAACACAGGAACAGTGGCCCTGCCAAGGGAAATGCGAAACTGAATCTAAAATGAGGTGCCACTGTCCTGAAAAATGATGGTTGAGGTACACAGTGCTCATGTTCAGGCTGTGTGATAGACTCATCTATCAAAGAGTGCTTGTAAATGCTTCCCTTGGAATTGGATGACAAAACAACTTTATCTCAGTATGCACGCAGTGGGAAGGAAAAATTCATTTTTTAAAACCTGTAGTCACTTTAAGTTAATCACTCTGACAAGTATTTCTGTTTGCAGTTGAATTGTCAAACAGATAATAAAACAAAATAAACATGGTGTAGAGAGGTCTCTAGGCAAAACTGCAGTTAATGTACCTCGGTAAAAATGGCAGGAGTATTCCAAAGTATTACAGAAATGTGAAAACTTGAAAAGCTGAAAAAGGTTAAGATGAGTTCTAATGTTTCATTTAGATCCTTATTAGGAAGTGACTACTCTATCTGAGTCTATACTGACTAAAAAGTGTCTTGTTCACGTGCTGCAATAACTTGCACCGGGAGGTAGAGTAGGTACTGAATGTGTGCTTCACACTTCCCCTCAAGGACTCAGAAATGAAGCTAGAAGGGAATATGGAGTTCATTCACATCCAATCTCCTCTTTTTACAGCTGATCTAACTGCAACCTGCAGAGGTTAAGTAACTTGCTCCCAAACCCACAAAGTTATTTCTGGTGAAGCCAAGACTAGAACTCGGTTTTCTCAACCTTCATTCCAAGGCTCTTTTGTCTCCTTGTGTTCTTAGATGGAAATGCCTGTGTCTGTTATTACACCTCAACACTGAAGTATGTGTGCAAAGTCACTGGGTTTCTACAGATGTTATTCTGCATGTAAATTTTATCTTATTTCTCCCCAAGTGACTTTAAATTTGGAGCAATTTCAAAATTAGCATTCTTTTGGATAAAGATTTAGTTGGCTTCAATCCCAGCACTCTGGGAGGCCAAGGCAGGCAGATCATGAAGTCAGGAGATTGAGGCCATGCTGGCTAACATGGTGAAATCCTGTCTCTACTAAAAATACAAAAAAAGTAGCAGGGTGTGGTGGCAGGCGCCTGTAGTTCCAGCTACTCGGGAGGCTGAGGCAGGAGAATGGCGTGAACCCGGGAGGCGGAGCTTGCAGTGAGCCGAGATCGCGCCACTGCACTCCAGCCTGGGAGACAGAGCAAGACTCTGTCTCAAAAAAAAAAAAAAAAAAAAGAAAAAGGAAAAAAAGAAGATTTAGTTGGCTTCACTGATAATCTTTTTTCATAAATGGGATATAAGTCCAATTTTGAAGACACATGGCTCAGACACATACCCGAGGCACATGTTCTTCAGTATGATCATCGGGAGGTGGTATACTCATTCACAAACACACATACACATGCGCGTGCGCACGCGCACACACACACACCCCCACCCACCCCCTGAAGAAAAAGGTTCAGGGTAAGATATGAAATAGCTGCAGAAGGCACATCTTAGCATTTACGTCTATCAGCATCTAACATGTTTTCTGAGGTTTAAGATGATAAACAGTCCTTTTGTGAAGTAGTCATGCTTACTTTCCTTCTAGATAACTCTATGGATACCACTGCCTTTGGAATGATGAAGAGTAAGACTAAGAGCTTCTTTTTAGTTAGTGAACGAATAACCTTTCACAGAGTCAAGGATGTCTGAAATTAGGCCCATAAACATATTCCTAAGAATCCTTAGGCATGTGTTGATATGATTGAGGGTGACAGAAAGAGGAAGTATAGCATGATAATTTAAAAAACATGATGTAAAAAACATTCCTCCGTTTTCCCTAGAGAGGTCTCGAAATACTAATTTGGTATCTACCTGTGGATCATGAGTATTATTCTCCAGCATGCTACCTAAGCCCATTATTGTACAATATGAATAACAGAAAAGGCACTGTATAGTCGCCCTTGAAAAACCCATATACTTGAATTAATTAAAAAGCTCATAAGACAGTGGGATATTTAACAACATTAAATTACCCTGTGTACTTGCTTGCCTGTCAGGAAGTCATCTTTAAAATCACTTTCTCTTGTTTGTGTGTTGGGATAAAGTTGAGGGAAAAAACTTCTCTTGAAAGCAAAATCTGAGTCTTTTCCCTGTAAGCTTTGATGATGGGACTGTTGAAAGTGATGCTGGAGAAGTGTAAAGAAACCAAATTAAAAGGAGCACTCAAGGCCTCTCTGAGTTAGCCTCAGCGTGGATGGCACCCTGGAGTCTCTGCTGCTTCTGTTAGGCATCACATAGGCAGGCCTTCCTCAGGACTGGTTCTCTCCCAAGACAGGTTTGGTGCCTTTTGTTTCTGTCCCCACAGCACCTGTACTTAACTGCTATGAAAATGCTTTCCTGCCACACTGCATTCTGACTGCCATTTTAGTGTCTCCCTGAGTGGGCCAGGGGCTTCTTAAGAACAGGGGCAATACCCTGTTCACTAGCATCCCAAGCATCTAACATAGTTCCTGGGACACTCCATCTGTACTTCTTGACAAAATAAGTAGGTGTTTTATATGTATTATCTCATTTAACACTCATAACAAGTTCCCACATCATAACAGCTGTTTCTTTTAATTATTCCAGTAAACAGAGCAAAAAGGCATTTATGAGCTGCAGATTCCCTTGTTCTGTCATAATCACACTCTTCCTTAGGTGTATTAACAGAATATCAATGGCAGATATAATGTGATCCTGTCATGACCAGGTAAGTGATGTATTTTGTTATGTAAGTGTTCTGCACAGGAGCTGGGGATCAAGAGGAGTCATTAATAGGAAAGATGGTTCCAAGACCTGCCAAGTACATCAACTTAAGAGACCCAGACAGACAATAACAAATGCTGGCGAGGATGTGGAGAACCCTCATGCGTTATTGGTAGGAATGTAAATTAGCACAGCCACTATGGAGATATAACCAGTATGGAGGTTCCTCAAAAAACTAAAAATAGAGCTACCATATGATCCAGCAATGCAACTCCTAGGTATATACCCAAAAGAAGGAAAATCAGTGTATCAAAAAGATATCTTCACTTCCATGTTTACTGCAGCACTATTCACAACAGCCAAGATGTGGAAGCAACTTAAGTCTCTCTTAACAGACAAATGGATAAAGAAAATGTGATACATATACACAATGGAGTACTACTGTGCCTTAAAAAAGAATGAGATCCTGTCATTTGCAACAACATGGATGGAACTGGAGGACATTATATTAACTAAAATAAGCCAGGCATAGAAAGACAAACTTTGCATATTCTCATTCATTTGTAAGAGCTAAAAATTGAAACAAATTCATGCAGATAGAGAGCAGAATGATGGCTATTAGAGGCTGGAAAGGGTAGTGGGGCTGGGGGAAGTGGTTAATGGGTACAAAAATATAGTTAGATAAAACGAATAAGATCTAGTATTTGATAGCACATCAGGGTAATTACAGTTAAGTTTATTGTACATTTTAAGATAACTAAAGGTATAATTGGAATCTTTGAAAATCATTAAATGCTTGAGGTGGATATCCCACTTACCCTGATGTGATTATTACACACTGCATGCCTCTATCAAAATGTGTCATGTACCCTATAAATATATATGCCATGTACTCATAATTTTTTTAAAAAAAGAAACTTCAAGGACATATGTCATGAATATTTCCTCCTTATTTTGGTAAGAACATGTTTGTGCATGTATACACCTGTACTAAGAAATTATCTTCATTTTATTTCCTTTTTCCTTTATCATGTGACATAAGATTTATTGACTTCATAACAGCATTTAAGTATCGTTAACTTTATGTAACAGCATTTGGGTTGAGGATTGGTGCATTTCCGGTTGTATGAAGGAGAGTTGTATTATGTTAGGCATAATTATGACCTTATTATTGTCTTTATTTGAAGATTATGTATGATTTCAGGAGATGTGTATGGGTTCAAGTTGACAAGGGGTGGATTTGTGACGGTTAATACTGTCAACTTGATTGGATTGAAGGATGCAAAGTACTGTTCTTGGGTGTGTCTGTGATGGTGTTGCCAAAGGAGATGAACATTTGAGTCAGCGGAACGGGAAAGGCAGACCCTTCCTCAGTCTGGGTGACTGAGGCACAATCTAATCAACTGCCAGTGCAGCCGGAATCAAAGCAGGCAGAAGAACATGGAAAGACTAGACTGGCTTAGCCTCCGAGCCTACATCTTTCTCCTGTGCTGGATGCTTCCTGCCCTTGAACATCAGACTCCAAATTCTTCAGCTTTGGAACTCGGACTGGCTTCCTTGCTCCTCAGCTTGCAGGTGGCCTACTGTAGGACCTCACCTTGTGACTGTGTTAATACTCCTTAATAAACTCCCCGTTATGTATACATCTATCCTATTAATTCTGTCCCTCTAGAGAACCCTACTACAACATATTACAAGCTGGGTGGGAACCACGTGGTATGGTTGTGGATTTCTGAAAAGCCATAACTGCAGACAGCAACCTGACTGAAAGTCTGGTCTGCCCCTATGGCACAGACTATTCACTGTCCATCCAGATGTGTTTCTCCTTTGTCCTCTAGGAGAATTATAGCCAGAGAAATGACTTCCAGCAAGACTCCACGTGGAAGCATTCTTTGAAGTTATAGGTGGGCAGGTTAGTAAGTTCTTACAAATGGAATATGAGCAAAGTGATAACCATGGCCTAGGGAATGCTGGCACAATGACTTGAGAGAACCTGGGTTCCTGACTGGCCATGAGGGGCAGAGTTGCTCTACTGAACTGGATTGCTTCCTTAACAGAGAAATGCACATCTGCATTCTTGAAACCACTGTATTTTCAGGACTCTTTGTTATAGCAGCTGAGTTGTCCCCTGACTAATACACTCTTTAAGCAAACATTTTACTTAGAAGGATATGGTAGCCTCATTTCTCCATGTTTCTGAACTTCAGGTTTCCTTATCTGTAAAATGAGAAGGGTAACTAAAATCCTTTCTGGCTCTAAAATGCTATGATTCATTGTTATTCTTGTTCCCATGAGACCTATCCAATCCCACCCTAATAAGCACTCTGTTTCTTCAGGTTTGCTTTCATTGTGCCTTCTCAAAGCCTGCTCCATAGCTTCCATTCACACTGATAACAGCTTGTTATCTCTACTTGGAGCCTTTGGCATTTACTAGGGATCAAATCCTTAAATTAAAGGATTGAGTTCATATTTGAAAGTTCAGGTGCCTACCTGAGTTGATGAGATTATGGAAAGGCAAAGATGTCTTATGAAATTATTCCTGTGAAATAGAACTTTCGAGTTAAGCCCTGCTTGTATTAAAACATAAACTGCTGAAAATCTGTTATAACTGTCTTCCAAATAGATAAGAATCTATCCCCATAAGCACGACAAACAAGCCCCAACTTTTTTTCTAAATCGGCAAGGCAACCATCCTTAAAAACCTATGATGACTATACTCATTTATCTCACTTTCAGCTAGCCTCATATCTACCCTTCACCAGATCTGCAAATAATCATTAACTTTCTACTAGCTTAAAAATCTCCACATGTATTTCCACCATTACGCTCAAATTGACTAAGTCATTCGCTCTCTCCCCTCCTTCTTCCCCCTAGCTTATTAATGCTTCCTGTTAGAAAGAAAACTACAAATATATCCTTCACATCTGTATCTCTTAGAGCCCAGCGTCTGCTTTTACTGGCTCAGGTCTCCAATTCGTGCCAACATAAAAAATACCCACTATAACATGCTTTTACTATTATTAATGTTACCAAACCATCAGCTATCACGATAGTGCTCCCAATAAGTCTTGCCTATCAACTCTGTAAGAACCACATCTACCATAACTTTCTGGCTTCCAATAGCTATGTAAGTCCATTAATGACATAAATGTTCTTCAATTTCACTGACTGTACACAAACCTCCCATTGGTATATCAATTGGTCTTTCAATTTTCAGCAGTCCAATATCTAGTTCTAGTAACACGGAAAGTCCTTCTTTAGTTTCTCCCAATTGAGAGAATTTAACTCCTCCCTAACATATGAATATCATGCACATTTTAACTGCTTTGAAATTTTAAAGCCTGCTAAATCCAGATATGCTCCTACGAGCAAAAAGAAAATTCTAACAGGTACATCAGTCATCCCAACTATTAATATAATGCTTCTTGATTAAACACTAAAGTCTAAAAATATTATATGAATTTAAGCTAAGTCGAAGTCAGAAAAAAGTTTATCTGGAAACCTCAAGTACAAAGGATTGCTTTCTCCAGTGGTGGGACCATCTTTAATTCTCTGTGTGCTGCGCCACGCAAAGACATTTGTCTTACATTTGCTTTCAGTTTTATTTTTACCCATTTTCAAATTAGTCTTTCCTCAAATTAACCTTCTAATACAGGCTGCCTGTGTTTTTGACATGATTTTCCTCAAGGTTACTCAACACAGGCATCAACATATAAGGGTTGAAACAACAACTAAATTGAAAGCCTTGTACAACATCACAAATATTCTAAAACATCATCAAATAATACACTGACACAGTATTAATAAGAAAAACTAGATGTATATTTAAATGGCACAAATGATATAGATGACATACTTGTGTTTTAGTGGTTACTAATTTCTAAACTAAATTGCTAATTTTAAAAATGAAAAATGCATGTATATAGCAGAAAATTTCAACATCAAAATATATACAAAGTAGGAATACCTTCTACCTCAGATCCATGTTTCCTATTTTCTCCTGTATCATTTCAGAAAAATTTAATTTACAAATAAACATATGTACTTATGTATATATAATTTTAGATAAATGGTAGCACATGTATTGCCTATACTTTGCTTTTTTCAATTAACATGCTTTTAAAACTGTTCTATGTCAGCACATGTAAAGGTAGCTTATGTATTTTTAAAGAGCTTGAGTAATTTTCTGCTTGATGTTCATTTTGTTTTTTCTAGTCTTTTCCATCTCTGCACGTAAGTTTTTGTACAAATGTACACAAATAAGTACAAATGCAAAGGCAAATAACATATATATTTAAAAATTTGAAAGATAATCCAAACTTATTCTCAAGAGTCTGCTGTATGTTTAAAAAAAATCATCCTGTTTATAAAAATTAAAAGCAGCCTATTAAACTAAACATATAGATAAGAATAAACAAATGAACTCAATAGAGTATTCTTAGGATATTAAACAATTTGAATATGTACGAGTCTCTAAAGACACAGTTTCTTAGCAGAATTTCTGTAGATTCATGTGAAAAGAAATATTTCTGATTTCACAGATTACCATAAGCAATGTAAAAATGGCATTCCAAACCATCCTGGCAAATTGTGACTATCAATATTGTTAACCTGAACTGAATGCCATTATAATACTACCCAATGCAAAAATAACGTTACAGTTCTCTAATATCCTTAAACATTTTAGCAAACTATTATTTTTTGGTCTTTCATTTAAGAATTAGAAAACAGCTGGATGTTAAATGAACATGACAAATCCAAAATCTTTATGTTTCTGCTAAATTCAATCATATCAAAATGACTTTTCATAAGGCATTTTTTTTCTGGAAACAAAAATGGGATAATCCTTTGCCAAGCAGAATTCTGAGATAATATGCTTTTCTACTTATATGCGAAACACTTAAAAACCAATGTTCAGTTTCCTTCATCAACAACTACAGCACGTGACTCTAAGTACTGCTCCCTCTACTGTGGACCATGTGGCAGGTCTATGGAACAGTGTAGAGTTTGGACTGACTTATGCTCTCCTCCTTCAATACGTAACTTAGGAAACCATGCCCTACACCCTAGATAACTTGTGAAAAGGCCAGACAAGAACAGAGATATTCTGTTGATATCTGGAAGAATAAAAACAAAGGAAAAGGTGTTCTAGCCAGTGATGTGATTTTGGGAAGGTCTCTCCATCTCCAAAAGGCTCAGTTTTCTGAGCCTTTTAGATCTATTAAATCACTGGAGTAGACTACAGTATATAATGTTCTTAGTCCCTATTTCTTCTACCTTTTTCTCTCTCTTTTTTTCTTTCTTTCTTTTTTTTCTTTTCCTTTTTCTTTTTCTTTTTTTTTTGAGACAGGGTTTTGCTATGTTGCCCAGGCTGGTCTCAAACCCCTGGGCACAAAGTGATCCTCCTACCTTGGCTTTCCAAAGCGCTGCAATTACAGGCATGAGCCACCATGCCTGGCCTTTTTCTAATTTTTTTTTTAATTGAGGTGAAATTCACCAAATATAAAATTAATTATTTTAAAGTTTACAATTCGGGGTATTTAGTTAATTCATAATGTTATACCCACCTCTATCTAGTTCGAAAACATTTTCATCACCACAAAAGAAAATCCTGGACTTCCCTCTCCCTCTCCCCACGGTCTCCCTCTGATGCCGAGCCGAAGCTGGACTGTACTGCTGCCATCTCGGCTCACTGCAACCTCCCTGCCTGATTCTCCTGCCTCAGCCTGCTGAGTGCCTGCGAGTGCAGGCGCGCGCCGCCACGCCTGACTGGTTTTCGTATTTTTTTGGTGGAGACGGGGTTTCGCTGTGTTGGCCGGGCTGGCCTCCAGCTCCTAACCGCGAGTGATCCGCCAGCCTCGGCCTCTGGAGGTGCCGGGATTGCAGACAGTGTCTGGTTCACTCAGTGCTCAATGGTGCCCAAGATGGAGTGCAGTGGCGTGATCTCGGCTCGCTACAACTTCCACCTCCCAGCCGCCTGCCTTGGCCTCCCAAAGTGCCCAGAGTGCAGCCTCTGCCCGGCCGCCACCCCGTCTAGGAAGTGAGGAGCGTCTCTGCCTGGCCACCCATCATCTGGGATGTTAGGAGCCCCTCTGCCTGGCTGCCCAGTCTGGAAAGTGAGGAGCGTCTCTGCCCGGCCGCCATCCCATCTAGGAAGTGAGGAGCGCCTCTTCCCGGCCGCCATCCCATCTAGGAAGTGAGGAGCGTCTCTGCCCAGCCGCCCATCGTCTGAGATGTGGGGAGTGCCTTTGCGCCACCGCCCCGTCTGGGATGTGAGGAGTGCCTCTGCCCGGTCGCGACCCCGTCTGGGAGGTGAGGAGCATCTCTGCCCAGCCGCCCCATCTGAGAAGGGAGGAGACCCTCCGCCTGGCAACCGCCCCGTCTGAGAAGTGAGGAGACCCTCCGCCCGGCAGCCGCCCCATCTGAGAAGTGAGGAGCCCCTCCGCCCGGCAGCCACCCCATCTGGGAAGTGAGGAGCGTCTCTGCCCGGCAGCCGCCCTGTCCAGGAGGGAGGTGGGGGGTCAGCCCCCCGCCCGGCCAGCCGCCCCGTCCGGGAGGGAGGTGGGGGGGTCAGCCTCCCGCCCGGCCAGTGAGGGGCGCCTCTGCCCAGCTGCCCCTACTGGGAAGTGAGGAGCCCCTCTGCCCGGCCAGCCACCCTGTCCGGGAGGGAGGTGGGGGGGTCAGCCCCCCGCCTGGCCAGCCGCCCCATCCGGGAGGGAGGTGGGGGGTCAGCCCCCCGCCCGGCCAGCCGCCCCGTCCGGGAGGTGAGGGGCGCCTCTGCCCGGCCGCCCCTACTGGGAAGTGAGGAGCCCCTCTGCCCGGCCAGCCGCCCCTTCCGGGAGGGAGGTTGGGGGGTCAGCCCCCCGCCTGGCCAGTCGCCCAGTCCGGGAGGGAGGTGGGGAGGTCAGCCCCCCGCCCGGCCAGCCGCCCCGTCCGGGAGGGAGGTGGGGGGGTCAGCCCCCCGCCCGGCCAGCTGCCTCGCCCGGGAGGTGAGGGGCGCCTCTGCCCGGCTGCCCCTACTGGGAAGTGAGGAGCCCCTCTGCCCGGCCAGCCGCCCCGTCCGGGAGGGAGGTGGGGGGTCAGCCCCCCACCCGGCCAGCCGACCCGTCTGGGAGGGAGGTGGGGGGGTCAGCCCCCCGCCCGGCCAGCCGCCCCGTCCGGGAGGTGAGGGGCGCCTCTGCCCAGCTGCCCCTACTGGGAAGTGAGGAGCCCCTCTGCCCGGCCAGCCGCCCCGTCCGGGAGGGAGGTGGGGGGGGTCAGCCCCCCGCCTGGCCAGCCGCCCCATCCGGGAGGGAGGTGGGGGGTCAGCCCCCCGCCCGGCCAGCCGCCCCGTCCGGGAGGGAGGTGCGGGGGTCAGCCCCCCGCCCGGCCAGCCGCCCCGTCCGGGAGGTGAGGGGCGCCTCTGCCCGGCCGCCCCTCCTGGGAAGTGAGGAGCCCCTCTGCCCGGCCAGCCGCCCCGTCCGGGAGGGAGGTGGGGGGGTCAGCCCCCCGCCTGGCCAGCCGCCCCATCCGGGAGGGAGGTGGGGGGTCAGCCCCCTGCCCGGCCAGCCGCCCCGTCCGGGAGGTGAGGGGCGCCTCTGCCCGGCCACCCCTACTGGGAAGTGAGGAGCCCCTCTGCCCGGCCAGCCGCCCCTTCCGGGAGGGAGGTTGGGGGGTCAGCCCCCCGCCTGGCCAGCCGCCCCGTCCGGGAGGGAGGTGGGGGGGTCAGCCCCCCGCCCGGCCAGCCGCCCCACCTGGGAGGTGAGGGGCGCCTCTGCCCGGCCGCCCCTACTGGGAAGTGAGGAGCCCCTCTGCCTGGCCAGCCACCCCATCCGGGAGGGAGGTGGGGGGGTCAGCCCCCCGCCTGGCCAGCCGCCCCATCCGGGAGGGAGGTGGGGGGGTCAGCCCCCCGCCTGGCCAGCCGCCCCACCTGGGAGGTGAGGGGCGCCTCTGCCCGGCCGCCCCTACTGGGAAGTGAGGAGCCCCTCTGCCCGGCCACCACCCCATCTGGGAGGTGTGACCAACAGCCCATTGAGAACGGGCCATGATGACAATGGTGGTTTTGTGGAATAGAAAGCGGGGAAAGGTGGGGAAAAGATTGAGAAATCGGATGGTTGCCGTGTCTGTGTGGAAAGAAGTAGACATGGGAGACTTTTCATTTTGTTCTGTACTAAGAAAGATTCTTCTGCCTTGGGATCCTGTTGATCTGTGACCTTAACCCCCAACCCTGTGCTCTCTGAAACATGTGCTGTGTCCACTCAGGGTTAAATGGATTAAGGGCGGTGCAAGATGTGCTTTGTTAAACAGATGCTTGAAGGCAGCATGCTCGTTAAGAGTCATCACCACTCCCTAATCTCAAGTACCCAGGGACACAAACACTGCGGAAGGCCGCAGGGTCCTCTGCCTAGGAAAACCAGAGACCTTTGTTCACTTGTTTATCTGCTGACCTTCCCTCCACTATTGTCCTATGACCCTGCCAAATCCCTCTCTGTGAGAAACACCCAAGAATGATCAATAAAAATAAAATTAAAAAAAAACAAAAAAATAAACAAACAAACAAACAAAAAAAAAAAAAACAAAGGAAAAGGTAAGTGCCAGAGGCCCAGGAACTGGCTGGAAAAATTTTAAAGGATATGATCTATAAAACATCTCAAGATTGCAATGTGTGTAGTATTAAGGTAACCCATGAAAAGGGAGCAGGATTTTAACATCGCTTTGCCTTCCACAACTATTATATGTTGTGATGATAATATTTTTTGTGTAAAGCTAGGTGTGGTGGCTCATGCCTGTAATCCCAGCACTTTGGGAGATCAAGACTGGAGGATCACTTGCGGCCAGGAATTCAAGACCAGCTGGGCAACATGGCAAGACCCCCATCTCCACAAAAATAATTAATACTGTATGTGTGAAGCCTTTTCAATTGTCCTCACCCCACCCCTGTTTTCTGTGAGACAAAGATCTTGCCATTTGCGATTTTGCTAACTGCTGTACTTTTCAGGAAGATAACTATGAATTTGGTGAGGGATTATTGTATTGCGATGGATCAAGTGTGAAGAGATATTATTTACATTCATTACAAGGGTAAATAAAAACTGTTACTGTGAATACGACTGAGCTGTACAAACACAAAGTCAAAAATGTCCTGTCTGCTGGGATGATTCTGTAAACAAACATGGAGTAAGAAGCAAAGCACACTGGTAATGCAGAGGCAGTTTACTCAGGGAGAAGACAGGTGAGAAACAGTTTGTGAAAGTCTGTAAATGATTAGCATGGCAAGCTGCTCTAGGAAGCCTATATAAATATCCCACAAAAGAGCTTTTCTTGTTCTTTCGGCAATACATGGCTACAAAATAGTTGTGTTTTGTTAGTTGTTTTGTTTTCTTCGAAGGCTTGGATTTTGGGGAATGTTTAGTACTAACAATAGTGAAATAAGAGTTGCAAAAAGTTTCAAAGCAGTGAGCTGGTACATAGATTTTATCCCTTGCCATGAGAAAAGGTTAATAGGAACTTCCATTCATTTTATGATCAAAAACCAAATACAAACCTATACTCCTAAACAAGAAAGTGAGATTGAGTCAGGTGAATTTCAGGCTTCTAGTCTCAGAGTTGAAGGACTGAATTTCTATATGATACTATGAAACTCAGGGATCATCTCTGAATGCAATCTCTTAATTTAAAGATAAAGGCACCAAATCACAGATATTAAATTATTTCCCTAAGGTCAATGGGTAGATTAGTGGAATTTTGTTTTCCTAATCTGTAATCCAAAGATCTTTCACAAGGGCAATATAATACCTTGCCTACATCTGCAGTTTCCTGTATTGTGGATAAAGCTATACTAAGCTGGACTCTAGCATACTCTATGATTCTCTGAAAATACTTTTTTTTTTTTTTGAGATGGAGTCTCTCTCTGTCACCCAGGCTGGAATGCAGTGGCGCGATCTCAGCTCACTGCAAGCTCTGCCTCCCGGGTTCACGCTATTCTCCTGCCTCAGCCTCCCGAGTAACTGGGACTACAGGTGCCCGCCACCATGCCCGGCTAATTTTTTGTATTTTTAGTAGAGACGGGGTTTCACCGTGTTAGCCAGGATGGTCTTGATCTCCTGACCTCGTGATCCGCCAGCCTTGGCCTCCTAAAGTGCTGGGATTACAGGTGTGAGCCACCGCGCCCAGCCGAAAAGACTTGCTAATAGTTAAGCAGTGGCAACATGCAAATCAAGAACCACATGAGGAATAAAACCCCTGCATCAAATCCTGGCTTCAACAAGAACCAGTGTGTGATCTTGGGGAAGTCATTTGCCCTCACTGGATCACAGTTTTCTCATTTTACAAGGAGAAGGTTGAAACCAACAGACTCTTCCGTGTTAACATTCTATAAATGTGATTAGTTTTTTCAAATTAACATACATCTCATATTTTTGTGAAGTAAAATCCTGTCGGGATAACCTGGGAATTTGTCTTCGGTTTTATGCAAGTACTTCATGCCATAGTGAGAGTACCACCTAGTGGACATTTGGCTAACTTGAGCAGTTAAGAGCAGTACAAAAATTCAGTTTACAGAAGTGCTGTAAAGAACTTATTTAAAAAAAAAATCAGAACTGAAAGGAAAGCTAAAGGACATTCTCCATGCATTGAGGAAGGGACAAAAAATAGCTATTATCAACATATGAGAATCTATCTTCTTATTAAGACTGAATGCCATTACTTGGTAAACTAAAGAAAATAATAATTTAAAAACGGATATCACCTATGGAATGAAATAAAATATCTGAAAGTTACATATCTGATAAGGGTTTAATATCCAGAATATATAAAGACTCCTACAACTCAATAACAAGAGCAACAACAAAAAACTACCTGAATCAAAAATGGGCAAAGGACATGAATAGACATTTCTTCAAGGAAGTTATATAAACGGCCAACGAACACATGAAAAGCCGTTCGACAAAACTAATCATTAGGGAAAATCAAACCACGATGAGATACCACATTCATTAGAATAACTATTTTTAAAAGAAAAACAGGAAATAAGTGTTGGCAAGGATGTAGAGAAACTGGAACTCTTGTACACTGCTGGTGGGAACATAAAAAGATACAGCTGCTATGAAAAACAGTATGGCAATTCATCAAAAAGTAAAAAATACAATCACCATATGCTCCAGCAATTCCACTTCTGGGTGTATACCCAACAGAACGGAAAGTAGGAATTTGAGTAGCACAATTCACGACAGCCAAAAGGTGGAAGGAACCCAAGTGTCCATTGGTGGATGACTGGATAAACAAAATGTGGTTTACACATACAATGGAATATTATTCAACCCTGAAAAGGAATGAAATCTTGACACATGCATGCTACATGAATAAATCTTGATGACATTATGCTAAGTAAAATAAGCCAGTCAAAAAAAGAACAAATACTGTATGATTCCAGTTATATGAGGTACACAGAGTAGTCAAATTCATAGAGATAGAATGGTGGTTGTGGGGGATGGACAGAATTACTGTGTAATGGGTATGGAGTTTCAGTTTGAGAAGATGAAAGTTCTGACGATCCATGTAGTGATACCTGCACAATAATGTGAATGTTTTTAGTATCACTGAACTGTATCTAACACAAAAATTAAATAGTAAATTTTATATATGTATATTTTACAATAAAAATTTTTTATCAGTGTGAAGTGTAAAATGAAGTCTGTTTTTAGAAAAAGCTCTTTGTTTCATCAACATTCTGTTTCAACGTTTCCTTGTTATTTTTCAGTGATTTACAGTTCACATGTAATAATTAGCTTGTAAAGTACATATTAGAAAGTGAATTGTTCTTGATAACTTCTGAAATACTTTCAGATGGGGAATATGTACTTTTAAGAATCCAGGAGAAAGAAAATAAACTCCTTTGTCCCTTGTGATTTTTGACTAAAAAATAATGCTCATTTGATGAGACTTCTGGGTGTCTCTGATTTTCTTTGAGTTTGATCCAGAAGAGAAATGAGCTTATTTTAAGTGAAGATGTTTGCTGTGTTCCAGGCTGGGCTCAACACCGGGGCAGGAGGAGTGTGGTGGGGGTGTAGGGTGGGAGGCTGGGGATGTCAGACAATAGTGTTCAGATGCCTGGGTTGCTGTTATGCACCGTTTTTTGCTACCACAGTCTGCAGTCCAAGTGTGGGTGTTTAACTAGTGACAACTGGAGCTGCCTTTGCCAGAAGGGAAGGACAGTCTATAAGGAAAGACTGGTTCTGAGTGAATGCCCTTTGCTCTTGTTTTGAACAAGGTGGCTATGTGGGACCTCTCTGGGGGTTACGAAAGGTATGGCTGTCCTTAGCAGAAATTAATTAACTTTAGGTTTTAATAAGCCCTGTCCAGTGCTTTTTTCCCTTCTGAAATACTCTCTGACTTCATGTTCTTAATCTCTATAAAACCTACATTTGGAAAGAGATTTTGGACAAACTAAATTACCCTAACACATAAATGTCAGGGAACGTTTAGTGTGTACTGGCACTTTAAAAGGGTCTGTCATAAACCAAATAAATGAACCTCTAACTTCATAATTCTTGATGTCAATGAGTTGGCAAGGGGAAGGGTTGGGAGAAAGGTATGGCGGCCCTCTAGGTTCCCCCAAAGCAGGGTTTTTCAACCTCGACACTACTGACATTTGGGCTGGATGATTATGTGTTGTGAGGGGCTGTCCTGTGTGCCGCAAGAGGTTCAGCAGCATCCCTGACCTCTCCTACTAGATGCCAGTAGCACCCCCTAATTGTGAGAACCCAAATGTCTCCACACATTGAGGGGCAGGATGGGGGGACAAATTAGCCTCCCCCTAACTCTGCTGAGAACCACTGCTCTGAACATACCATGTGGGTGGGCAGTCAGCTGCTCTGGTAGTATGCATCACTAGCTACTCTTGTCAAGGAGCTTATAATCTCACTAAGGCACTCAGATCTACACTGAAATTATCAGCAAGTAATACAAGCCAGGGTATAAGACTAAGCACTTGAAAGTGCAAACAATGAGTGTAACTTTTTAGATTTCTACAAGAAGCTCCTAGTGCAATTCGATAAAATGGGATGAGACTATTGATACCTGAAGAAAAGCCTCTTGTAAAAAAACTCTTAAAAGGTGATAAAACTACTTAAAGAATAATTTAGATCCCAATTTGGTCTGTCTTCGTAGGATTTTATATGCACATCCTCCCCCACCTTTATGTCCTCTCAGCCCATCCTGACACTTAACACAGGTAAATCTTGAAGTCATGGTGCCCACCTACAACCTGCCCCTTCTGCAAGAGTACCCTAATATACTCTCCAAATACAAGGAGTTTATTGAGTTTTAATGTTTTGAGGTTTTAGTGTTCACGGTCTGAGCCCCAAATAAGTAGCAAATTATCAAAGGAAATTATATTTAGACTTTTAGATTAGAAATCATTATATTATTAAAATAATCATGCATTTACTATATGTCAGGGACTGTGCTAAATATTTCACATATATTGTTACTGAATCTTTACAATAACCCAAAGACAGGTGATAAAACTAAGGCGCTGAGAGCCTCAAGGTCAAACAGCTAGACAGTGGCAGGTCTGGGATTTGAATCCACGCAGTCTGGCTATAGAGTCTGAGCTCTTAACCACCACACAAAACTGCCTTTTAGAAGAATTCTATGCACTTTTTGCTAAAACTGCTAATGGGAAGTTAACTCTGAATAACCCCAAATACTCTAATCTCTTTGGGCCTCAATTCTCTCAACTGTAAAAGATGACTGAACTAGATGATTTATTAAGACCCTTTCTGTGCCTAGATCATGATAAATGCTCAATAAATATTTAGCCCTGGAATTTTCTGCCATGTGATATTCAACTCAGAGACAGGAATGTCTCCACCTAAGCTTGATGTTCAAGTGAAATACTGTGGAAGAAACACTGAGCTTGGGACTTGAAAGCATGGGTTCAAAGGCTTTCCCCTTCTTGCCACAAGATGCACTACCATCTTGAGTTTCACTCTAAGACAATGGACTGGTTAACTTTAACGGCAAGCAGAAAAGCAGTTGAAGCATCCCTTTATTTTGAGAGGTGTTTTCTGAAGAAATCTGTCTTGGGACTTTTGTTTAAGAACTAGTTCTTCTACAGGTTCTACTTCAACACTGCTAAACCACTCAGGAGTCCTAAAGCAACCTGGTGGATTTTGAAGCTTGGAGAGACCTCTCGGTTAGCAGTAGTCTTAGACTGGGCTACTGAAGATGTTCCAGGGCACTCTTGGTGTTGGCATCATAAAGATTTCTCCTGTAACATTATTTATGACTCCAAAATGTTCTGAGTGGAGTTTCTGACTGAGTAGTAAATTCTGAATAAACTCACTCTGATAACAAAGTAGAATGAGATGGCTAGCACTGAGAATTCCTTAATTCTGCCAGTGATATGCAGACACCAATAAAAAGGAGGAACTGTGTTGCCTGGGAAGACAGAGGGCAAGGTAAACCTTTGCTCCTTGAACCCCACTGAAGTAGCACCTCATGTTAGACAGCTAAACAACTGTTAGAAAAACAAATCGGCCTGGTGCGGTGACTGCTGCCTGTAATTCCAGCACTTTGGGAGGTTAAGATGGGTGGATTACTTGAGGTCAGGAGTTTGAGACAAGCCTGGCCAACATGGTGAATCCCCATCTCTACCAAAACATAAAAATATTAGCCAGGGGTGGTGGCATGCGCCTGTAATCCCAACTACTTGGGAGGCTGAGGTGGGAGGATCACTTGAACCTGGGAAATGGAGGTTGCAGTGAGCTGAGAGATTGCGCCACTGCACTCCAGCCTGGGTGACAGCACAAGACTACCTTAAAAAAAAAAAAAAGGAAGAAGAACTAATCTGCCAAACATTATTGAAAGGGTGGGCACAGCTGCTGGAGGAAGGAAATGGGAACTGCAAACTCCATTCAATATTCACATAATTCTGTAACACAGGCAGGAAGAAGGTGAGGTAAGAATGCACGTGTTTCTTATCTACTGAGACTATGCTACTCGGTTGAAAAGAAAACGAATGCAGACTGTAATAATTCCAACAAGAATGACCCTTTTCTTTAGTAGAAAAAGACAAGAACTCTTTTTTTTTTTTTTTTTTGGGATGGAGTCTCGCTCTGTCACCCAGGCTGGAGTGCAGTGGCGCGATCTCCGCTCACTGCAAGCTCTGCCTCCTGGGTTCATGCCATTCTCCTGCCTCAGCCTCCCAAGTAGCTGCGACTACACGCGCCCGCCACAATGTCTGGCTAATTCTTTTTGTATTTTTAGTAGAGACAGGGTTTCACTGTGTTAGCCAGGATGGTCTCGATCTCCTGACCTCGTGATCTGCCCGCCTCTGCCTCCCAAAGTGCTGGGATTACAGACGTGAGCCACCGCGCCTGGCCAAGACAAGAACTCTTAGTGGGGATTGTGTATTTGGGTAATGAAATAACAACAAGTAGCAGCTTTTCCTCATAATGATGCACACTAGTGAATGGT
The DNA here is from genome assembly GCF_000001405.40 of Homo sapiens. NCBI lineage: Eukaryota > Metazoa > Chordata > Mammalia > Primates > Hominidae > Homo > Homo sapiens. The sequence continues at coordinate 77,770,060 of NC_000009.12, forward strand.
ACTGAATAATTAGTGAAATGATTGGTATAACTTGAGAAATTTCAGGTTTGAGAATTTAGCATATGGTCTAGGATATTAAGAATTCTAAATGAATTTCAGGGTTTCGAGGGTTATATGTATGTGTATATAATTCAACAAAGTTAGGTTTACAATTATAGGGTTTTTTCTCTGTGGATAAGAGGAGAAAGAACACAACATGTAATGATGAACATTTATTCAGTCTGATAATCAACAGAAATTGTATCCAATTAGATGCTGGTTAGTTTATAATGTGCCCAGTGCTTGCAGGATTTGTGGAAAGACAGGTAAAGGCTTCACTTCCCATCCCAAGACCCCAAAAAACACAATCTTAGCTGAAACCAGAAAACTCGAGGCCAGTGCCTGCCAGAATAAAAAACAACAACAAAACACAGGGAGCTTATTATTAGTGTCAACAACAGGCCTTTGTCGGAAAAGATCCTCCCACTAGTGTTTTCTCGTTACTGTCTTTCCCTTCGGAAGCAGCTCTACTTCTATGTGAACTAGCATCTGAAATTCCAACCTGTGAATCATTTAGTCAGATGGCTCGGACTGCCCTAAATTACCTCAAACATTTTATAAGCTTTTCCTCTTGGCTTAACCAGTCCCAGAGCAAGAACTCGGGCAAGAACTTGCTATTCAGTGGGAGGAAAATTGAACATCATGGACCTCTGGTCACTTTAGTGAGTGCTGAATTAAAACAAAACAAAAAGATTGTATATGTTTTGTATCTGTGCCACAGGAATTCTTAATGAGCACCAGGCGATTTGGAAATTTAATCACAAAGCAAAGATAACACTGCTTAAGATTTTTATTTTTCAGATCATGAAAAATAAAACATTTTTCATTTTCTGAAAAAAATAAAACATTTTTCATTTTCTGAAAAATATTTTCAGATCATGAAAAATAAAACATTTCACCCAGTTCTTACATAGTTTTTAGTAAGTCGGTTTTTGGAGGTTAAGTGGGTCTATCCATTATCCCAGTTCAATGGGCAACCCTAAGATGAGAAGAGGAGGAATCACTGGTATCACTAACACCTACTTTAGAAACTCAGTTTAATGAACACATAACCTGAATGCAAGCTCTTTTAAATTCTATGCTATCTCTTTCCTTTTAGTAAGTTGACAGTCTATTTAAGGGATGTGGGGGCCATAAGGGGATGGGAGAAGTGGGGCATATATTAAACTATAAGTTTGGGCTGCCATGGATTCAATGATTAGTTCTGAATGCCCTCATTGGGCACATCAGCCTGGTACCACTGGGGAAGTGAGGCAGGAAATCAGCTGCTAATTAGAGTATATATTAACATGCTGCAAATTAATCAGGAAGAGCACGTTTAGTGTCATTTTCTAAAAGAGAATTAAAATTAAGAGGCATCAGGTGAAACTAAATTTAACAGAAAATGAGAGATATATTCCTCCTGTTAAGTATCACGTGCTCTGTGAGCACAGGCGAAGACAAGGATGTCTGCAGCTCTCTGGGTATGGGAAAAAAATGATTCTGGACTACCAATCTCTCATTTTAGTGTTTAGTGGACAGGACTGGCTACAGAATCTGCAGGTCCCAGTGCAAAATAAAAATGTGGGGTCCTTGTTTAAGATGGCCACAGACAGAAGAGTATTAAACCAAGTGCAGGGCCCTGTGGAACTGCATGAGGTTGCATGTCTGTGAAGCTGGCCCTGTTAGTGGAAGAAATGTTGCATACTGAAACATACAAATTGAGCTGAATTTATGGCTATGGTTGTTTCTGAAAATTACTTTACCTTAAATTGTGTCACAGAAAGGGGGAAAAACAGCAACCACCCACCTGGACTCTCCAATCAAAAACAACAAAAAAAAACCCACCCTGGAAGGCTGAGGAGCCAGCTAATTCCCATCTGCTGCTGTGTGCCACTCTGCATTCACCCTTCCGCCCAATGCCTGGACTGGAGTGAAGAATAAGATCCTAGTAGCAAGCAGATTACCTTCCCATTGACAACAGTAGTTTACAATTGAAGAGCACTGTACGGTGTAGACCTGTAAACTTTAAAAATTATGACCCATATTAACAACTATGTTTTATATTGTACCTAGTCCCCCAACCCACACACATGTAAATATAATGGAAACGAAAGTTTCATGAAACAATAATTCACCTGACTGTGATATCCTTTAACATTTTCTATTCAATTTCATTTAAATGTATTTATTTCACTTTTTTAAAGATGCTGCTCATGACCCCATCATATGGAATTCACTGCCCAATAATGGTCCCAATTCACTGCTGTGCGGAAACTCCCAGGTTGGAAAAGATTGGTACCTGGCCATTGTTTTTCTCCACCAAGTGTGCTCTGCTCCCTGCCCCCAATCTTCCTGGAATACATTCTGCCTCTGACCACTGGGGTCAATATTAATTTACACTGAGACAAACCTAGTACTACATCCCCTTTCGGTGGGATTTTCCATTTTGGAGTGGAATAGAAACTCCCTTTTCTCTTGGGTTGCAAGGCTGAGCAGGTACAATTCAGGACTGTTTGAGGAGAAACAAAACAAAAATCAGAAGAGAGAAAGAGATTCCCAACCAAACTCCTGGTTCAAGGTACTAATAAAGCATCTTCACCCTGGTTCTTCCTGGTTACGTCAGCTAGTCTGTGAGAATTTTTGTCTTTTTTCAACAACAAAGCCATGACTAATACAAACACTGTAATAGAACATGTAAACAGATAACAAATATATGTTATAGATCAAGGGTGTCCAATCTCTTGACTTCCCTGGGCCACAATGGAAGAGAAGGAACTGTCTTGGGCCACATGTAAAATACGCTAATGCTAAAGATAGCTGATGAGCTAAACAAAAACAAAAAAACCACAGAAACACGCCAAAAAAAATCTCATGTTTTAAGAAAGTTTACAAATTTGTGTTGGGCTGCATTCAAAGCCGTCCTGGGCCACGTGAGGCCCACAGGCTATGGGTTGGACAAGCTTGTTATAAATATTAGTAGCTGTATCTTAAAAATATTGTTTTCAGTCCCTTTTTTTGGGCATGTTAAACCTTTTCATTCTCTTATTGTAAAAGAAATTTTCTTAAACCAAAGCTTCTTTATTTTTCAGCACTTACACAAATAATACTTTTCCCCATATTTTAATCTTATTTAACAAATAATGATTAAGCTTATGACTCTGGCTGTGAGGCATAAATGTCAAATCAAAGAGTTCTCTTAAGACAGAATTAGCCATAGATGATAATGTTTCCAAATGAAAGTTATAACACTAACTTAGCACCAACAGTAATAACAGTACCTTAAAATTGATAGTATGAACTATAATTTACTGAACATCTGTGTGTTCCAGGAAGTTTGTATGTTATCTATTTTAATAATCCTCACAGCGCTTTAAGAGTAATGATATCCTCATTCTTCACATTATGAGGGAGGCACAGTGATATTAACTTGTGCAAGATTAACCAGCCTGAAATGAGTGAAGCTGTGATTTAATCCAAGATAGTCTGATTCTATTTCCCTGTTGTCTCTTCAGGGACTGCCTTGGATTTGTACCTCACAGTTGACTAATGTTCCACAAAAGACACTACACTTTTTTCTTGTTCCCATTTTAAAGTGACGATTCACATTATATTCATTGGCAATTCAAAAATATGCTGCTTTTCTTCATAGGTTCCCGTGTGAAAACATGTTAGAGATGTTACTGTAGGAGATTTAACTGAGGCAGAATAAGACCTGAAGAATGGCACATATATTATACTGCCCCTGGATCTTAATCTAGGCTCTCTGAAGAACATTTCACGAAATCCAGACCCTTTATTAATTATTGAGCTTGGTGTCCCAACCAAAGTGATATTATAGAATAACAAAGCCACAGCAAATGATTTAAAGTTTTATAAAATGTAGGTTCCCTGCTAAAAGACAAATTCTTCTTCTTCTTTTTTTTTTTTAAAAAGGAAGACTCAGATGGTACTCAAGAAAGACCTCAGCTGGTTAAATTTGGCCACCAAAGTGGTCCACATTCCTCTGGCTTTGAGACCACAGCATTTTCATTTGATTATCTACATTGTAGAGCATATAGTTATTTTAAGCTTTACACTCTCTGCATTTGTTCCATCTAAGATGAAGGAACAAGTGTGGAGATAAATCTTGGTGTCATAAAACTATCTCCTTTATTTCAATGAACTCTTTAATTTGTATTACTTCTAAAAGATGTATCAGTTTTGAAGATATTTTCAATAAATTGACAGAAAATGGATGTTAGAACTAATACTGCTACGTTTGCTAAGCTTCTCGGACCAGACATTTGTACTTAATTTCTCCATTTGCTTGTAACTGCATCTTATCTTTCTGAAACCAATCAGAAAAAGAGAAAGCTGCCTAAAATGCCTTTTAAAAAAATAAAAGAAAAGAAAAAATAGAGAGACAGGTTCTTGCTCTGTCACCCAGGCTGGAGTGTAGTGGCACAATCATAGCTCACTGCAGCCTCAAACTCCTGGGCTCAAGTGACCCTCTGGCTTTGGCCTCCCTAGTAGCTAAGACTACAGGTGTGTACCACATGCCCAGCAAATTTCTTTATATTTTTTGTAGAGACAGGGTCTCACTCTGTTGTCCAGGTTGGACTCCAACTCCTAGCCTGAAGTCATCTTTCTGCCTTGGCCTCCAAAAGTGCTGGCATTACAGGTTTGAGCCACCATGCCCAGCTCAGCTTACTTTTATTTTATTAGATTTTAATCTTTAAGATTTCTTATCTTTTAAGATAATCATTATTTCTTTAATCCATGTAAAATGGATTGTTCATGTAAAAATTTAAAAATGCAGGTAAGTAAAATAAATAAAACATAAAAACAAAATGACCTTTACCCCAACTATTCAGAAATAATCCCTGCTAACAGTCTGAATTAATCTTCCAGGCATATATGTATGCACCTATAATAAATATCTGTATTATATGTCTTTAAAAATCAGATGCATGCTGTACGTGCTGTTTTGAAATTATTTACATCAATATATCATGAGCGACTTTCTGTCCAATATTAATTATACATCTATATTACCATTTTTAGCATCTGCATAGTATTTTATTTTTTAGGTGTACTCTGAATTTGTTAATCGATTTCCTACAATTGGATAATTTAATTATTTTCATTGTTAACAACTTTGAGCAATGTTGTCTTTGGGACATGTAACCTACTAACTACAATTAGCAATAACATTTCTACCAGTGGCATTACTGGATCAAAGGGTATAAACACCTCAAAAGATTTTATATATTGTCATACTACTGGCAGATTGTACCAATTTATCCTCCTATTAACAGTATCTAAGAATGTTCACTTCTCCTCATCTCTCTTTTTTTTTTTTTTTTTTGAGACAGAGTCTCGCTCTATCACCCAGGCTGGAGTACAGTGGCGTGATATCAGCTCACTGCAAGCTCTGCCTCCCGGGTTCACGCCATTCTCCTGCCTCAGCCTCCCGAGTAGCTGGGACTATAGGCGCCCGCCACCACGCCCAGCTAAATTTTTTTTTGTATTTTTAGTAGAGACGGGGTTTCACCATGGTCTCGATCTCTTGACGTGATCAGCCTGCCTCGGCCTCCCAAAGTGCTGGGATTACAGGCATGAGCCACCACGCCCAGCCTCCTCATCTCTCTTTTTATCTTTGCCATTCTAGCAAGTAAAAAGGCACTTTCACTCATCAATTGTGTTTCCGTAATTATGGCATGCTGAGATTTACTTTTAAAATTCAGTTTAGATACTTGGGGCGCTGAGGCACAAGAATCACTTGAACCCAGCAGATGGAACCTGCAGTGAGCCGAGAATGTGCCACTGCACTCCAACCTGGGTGACAGAGCACGACTCTGTATCAAACAAATAAAAAATAAAAGAAAAGAAAAAGAAAAAAATTCAATTTAGAGACAAACTTATGGAATGGTGGAATAAGGACCTCTAAAAATCTATCTTTCCACAAAAGTGGCAAAAATTGTCAATATCAACTTTTTCAGATATCTGGAAATTAACCACAGGCTTGCAACAACATAACATTTATTCAAGAAAAACAGCTGAATCTAGGTGACAATAGCTTGTTTTGTGCAACTTGTGTTCCTCCCATCTCCCTTTTCCAGCTCTGCAATAGCCTAGAAAACCAACAGCTTCTCAGCCACAGTAGCTGTGAAAACCAAAAGTAACATATTAAATGTAAATGAACTAAATACGTTAGTCAATAGACAGAGATAGGCAAAATGAATTAGAAAATGACCAAACTACATGCTGGCTACAAGAGACACAATTTAGATTAAAAGACACATTGAAAGAAAAAGGACAGAAGATGACGTACCATGCAAACAGTAACCAAAAGAGAGCTAGACTAATATCAGACAAAACAGACTTCAGGGTAAAAATTATTACTAGAGACAAATAAGTACATATAATAAAGGTTAAGTCAATCAAGTAGGCATAACAATTGTATGCTTATGTGCAATAATAGTGCAATAACAATTTGTGCACTGAACAATAGAGCCCCAAAACACATGAAGCAAAAATTGACAAAACTGAAAGAAGAAACAGACAATTCAACAACAGTTTGAGACTTCAAGATTCACTTTCAATAATGTATAGAACAAAAAGGCAGAATATCCACAAACAAAAACACAATGAAAAATACTGTAATCCAACTACAGCTAACATATATCAATAGAACATGCTACTGAACAACAGCAGAATATACATCTTCTCGCATGTTCAGGTGGCAGTATTCCCCAAACTGATCTACATAGTCAACATCATCCCTATCAAATCCCAGGTGCCTTTTTTTTTTTTTTTGGCAGAAACTCACAAGCTGATCTTAAAATTTATGTGGAAATGTAAAGGACTCAAATAGTCAAAACAATCTTAAAGAAGAATATAGGTGAAGGACCCATACTTTCTAATTTCAAAGCTTACTACAAAAGACAGTGTGGTATTGACTTAAAAAAAGACATGTGCATCAGTGTAATAGAACTGAGAATTCAGAAATAAAACTTTATGTTCACGATCACCTGGTTTTCAACATGGGGGCCAAGACAATCCAATGTGGAAAGAACAGTCTTATAGTAAATGGTTCTGGGACAACTGGAAAACCACATGCAAAAGAATAAAGTTGGGCCTTTTCTTATACCATATAAAGATGGTCCTAACTTACAATGGTTCAATTTAAGATTTTTCAACATTATGATAGTGCAAATGCAATATATATTCATTAGAAACTGTAATACCATTGTAAATCAAGAGCATCTGTATAAAAACCAACTCAAAATGAACAATATACTAAAATGTAAGAGCTGAAACTACCAAAACTATTGGGAGAAAACATAGGTGTAAATCTTTGTCACCCTGGATTAGGCAAGTTTCTTAGATATAACACCTAAAGCACAAGAACCAAATAAAAAATAGACAACCTGAACTTCACCAAAATTAAAAGCCTTTGTGCTTCAAAGGACACTATAAAGAAAGTGAAATCCCTACAGAATATAATGTATTTGCAAATCATATTTCTGATAAAAGTCTAGTCTCCTTTATATAAAGGACTCTGACAACTCAACAATAAAAACACAAGTCTATTAAAAATAGGCAGAGGATCTAAATAGACATTTCTCCAAAGAAGAGATACAAATGCCTAATAAACACCTGAAAACCCCATTAGCCTTTAGGGAAATAAAAATCACAATGAGATACCATCTTATAACCACTAGGATGGCTAAAATAAAAAAGAAAAACAATAACAAGTGTTGGCTAGCATAAGGAGAAACTGGAACGCTAACACATTGCTGGTAGGACTGTAAAATGGTATAGCCACATTAAGAACAGTTTGGTATGTCCTGAAAATGTTAATCATAGAACTACCAAATGATCCAGGAATTCTACTCCCAGGAATACACCCAAGAGAAGAGAAAACCATTTGAATAATTTGAATTGTATGTTCACAGAAAAAATTGTACATGAATGTTCACAGCAACATTATTTGTAATAGCCAAAAAGTATAATCAACTCAAGTATCCATCAATAAGTGAAGGTAAATAAAAACTTTTATTTTTCTTACTTATTTGATCTAACAGATAACAGCTCTAATAGCAAGTGTTCAATTATGTATGTTTTTATATATACATAGTTTTACACGTTTACACACACACACACACACACACACACACGTATTCCTCTATATAAGGGAAATGAATGACAGTAATACAAGGGATGGAAAGAAGGAATTAAAAGTATTTTGTTATTACAAGGTACTTGTGCTACCCATGAAGCAGTATAGTATTCTTTGAGTGTGGACCTGGGTTAGTTGTAAATGTACATTGCAAACTCAAGGGCAACGACTAAAATAAAAGAAGTATAACGAATATGCTAAGACAGCAGAGAAAATGAAATATAAAATGGTCAGTTAAAACCATAAGAGGCAGAAAGAGAGTGGAAGACAAAAATAGGAATAAAGAACAAGGGCAAACTAGAAAACAATAATGATCATGGTAGATATTATTGCAATATATCACTAAACACTTTAAATGTGAACGGTCTACATACACCAATTAAAAGACAGAGATGGCCAGAATGGATAAAAAAAACCACAACCACATACATTGTCTATAATAAACCCACTTTAACATAAAGATATAAATAGAATAAAAAACAAATGAATGAATATATATGATGCTAACACTAATGAAAAGACAAGTAGCTATACCCAAGTAGCTGTATTAATTTCAGACAAAGCAGGCTTCAAAGTAAGGAAAGTTATTAGGCCTTACATAATGATAACGGGGTCAATTCTCCAAAAAACTCTAACAATCCTTAATGTGTATATCCCTAACAAAAGAGCATCACAAAACATGAGGCAAAAACTGATAGAAGGAAAACAGATAAACCCGCTATTACAGTTAGAAACTTCAACATCCATCTATCAGAAATGAACAGATCCAGCATGCAGAAAATCAAGAACATAGCTGTATTCAACAATGCCATCAATCAATTAGATATAATGGCCAGCTGTTGATTACTTTATCCAGCAACAGCAGAATGCACATTCTTCTCAAGCTCACACATAACAGTCACCAAGACAGACCACATTATGGGCCATAAAAGACACCTTAACAAATTTAAAAGAATGAAAATCATACAACGTCTGTTTTCATACCACAATGAAATGAAACTAGAAACAAATAACCAAAAGATAACTGGGAAATCCCCAAATACATGGAAATTAAACAATACAGTTCTACATAACACATGGGTAGTCAAAGAAGTTAAGAAGTGTTTTGAACTAAACGAAAAATTAAAATACAACTTATCAAAATTTGTGGAATACAACAAAATCCATGCTTAGAGACAAATTTATAGTATTAAATGCAAATATTAGAAAAGAAGAAAGATCTAAAATCGATATCTAAATTTCCACCTCAGGAAACTAGAAATAGAAGAGCAAAGTAAATCCGAAGTATGCAGAAGAAAATAAGTAATAAAATTTAGAGCAGAAATCTATGAAATTGAAAACAGGAAATCAACAGAAGAAAATGAAACCAAAGCTGATTCTTCGAAAAGATCAATAAAACAAATACGCCTTTAGCCAGGTTAACTAAAAAACAAAACAAAAAAAAAAAAAAAAAAAAAGAGAAGGCACAAATTACTAGTATCAGAAATCAAAGAGTGATCACTATAGATCACACGGACGTTAAAAGGACAATCAAGGAACACTAGAAAAACTCTATGCCCAAAATTTGACAACCTAGATAAAACAGACCAATTCTTTGAAACACAATTTGCCAAAACTCCTATAAAATAAAACAGACAATCTGAATAGGCCTATATTCAGTAACCGAAATGGAACAACAATTAACCTTCCCGAACAGTAAACAGGCCCAGATGGAATCACTGGTGATCTCTTTTTTTCTATAAAACAATGTTTTAAAATTGGCACATAATAATCATACATATTTATGGGTACATAGTAATATAGCAATATGTATAATGCATAGTGATCAGATGAGAGTAATCAGCATATCCATCATCTCAAATGTATATCATTTCTTTGTGTTGGGAACATGCAATATCCTCCTTCTAGGTATTTCAAAATATATAACATTTTATTGTGAACTACATTAAAATAGTGCTACAGGACATTAGAACTTATTCCACCTATTTACCTGTAATTTTGTATCATTTAACAAATCTCTCCCTCCCCATACCCTTCTCAGCCTTTAGTACCCTCTGTTCCACTTTTTACTTCTATGAGATCTACAGTTTTTTTTCACATATAAGCATATGCAGTGTTTAACTTTCTGTTTCTGGCTTATTCCACTTAATGTAATATCCTCCAATTCTATCCATGTTGCTGCAAATGATAGGATTTCATTTTTTTTTTTTTTATGGCTGGACGGTACTCCACTGTGTACATACATACTACATTTTCTTTATCTATTCATCTGTTGATAGGCACCTAGACTGATACATTGGCTACTGTGAACAGTGCTGCAGTCAACATGGGGGTGCAGATCTCTCTGATATAATAACTTCTCTTTGCTTTGGATAAAGGCCCTATAGTGAGACTACTGGACTATATTGTGGTTCTATTTGTAGTTTTTTGAGGAACCTTTGTACTGTTCTCCACAGCAGCTATATTAGTTTACGTTCTCACCAATAGTGTACAAAAGTTCCTTTTTTTCCACATCCTCACCAGCATTTGCTATTTTTTGTCTTTTTGATAATGGCCTTCCTAAGTGGGGTGAGATGATACTTTATTGTGGTTTTAATTTGCATTTGCCTGATGATTAGTAATGTTGAGTACCTTTTCATGTATTTGTTGACTGTGTGTCTTCCTTTGAGAAATGTCTCTTCAGATCATTTGCTCATGTATTAATTGGATTTTTTTTTTTTTTTTTGCTGTTGAGATGTTTGAATTCCTTGTATATTCTAGATATATATTAACCCCCTGTTGGATGAATACGGATATTTTCTCCTATCCAGTAGGTTCTTTCTACTCTGTTGTTTCCATTGCTGCACAGAAACTCTTCAGTTTGATATAATCTCATTTATTTTTGCTTTTGTTGCCTGTGGTTTTGAAATCTTATTCAAAAAATCTTTTCCCAGACCTATGTCCTGATGTTTCCCCTATGTTTTCCTCTAGCAGTTTTGTGTCTTATATTTAGGTCTTTGATCCACTTTGCGTTGATTTTCGTAAAGGGTGGGACGTGGGGGTCTAGTTTCATTCTTTTGCATGTGGATATCTAGCTTTTCACAACACCATTTATTGAAAAGACTGTCCTTTCCCCAATGTATGTTCTTGGAACTTTGTCAAAAATCAGTTGGCTATAGATATAGGGGTTACTGTCACTTCTGTCAAAGATTTAAGAAAGAAATCTTAGCAATTATCTACAATTCCTTTAAGAAGATAGAAGCAGAAGGAGGGAATACCTCCTAACTCATTATGAGGCCAGCATTAACTTAATACCAAAACCAGACAAAGTCATTCCGAGAAAGCTACAGACCAGTATCTCTGATAAACACAGATATAAAATTCCCAACAAAATATTAGCAAATCACATCTAACAATGTATAAAAATAATTATACACCACAGCCAAGTGGGATTTATCCTAGGTATGCAATGGGATACCTAGGTACAACATTTGGAAATCAATTAATGAAATCCACAGGTCAATAGGCTAAGAAAAAAATCATAGGGTCATATCAACAGATGCAGAAGAAATGTTTGACAAAATCCAACACCCATTCATGATAAAAACTTGCATGAAATTAGGAATAGAAGAGAACTTCCTCAACTTCATAAAGAACATCTATTAAAAAATCTACAGCTAATATCATATTTAATGGTGAGAAACTAGAAGCTTTCTCTCTAAGATCAGGAACAAGGTGAGGATGTCTCCTCTCAACACTCCTTTTCAGCACTGAACTGGAAGTCCTAGCAAATGTAATAAAATAAGAAAAGGAAATAAAAGGTACACAGATTGAGAAGGAAGAAAACTGTCTCTGTTCTCATCTGAAAAAAACTAACTTAAAATCTCCTGGCACATGTATACATATGTAACTAACCTGCACAATGTGCACATGTACCCTAAAACTTAAAGTATAATAATAAAAGAAAAGCTTAAAAAAAAAATCTCCTGGAAATATTAAGTGATTATAGCCAGATTATTATTCAAAACATACAAAGAACTTTTAAAATGTAACAATTAAAAAATGAACAACTCAATTAAAAATGCTCCAAAATTTTCTAATGTGCCAAAGACTTGTACATCTGTTCACTTCACTAAAGTAGATACATAGAAGGCAAATAAATATAAAAAGATGTTCTGTATCATAAGTCATTAGGGAAATGCAAATAAAAACCACAATGAAGTACTACTACACACCTATTAGAATGGCCAAAATCCCAAACACTGACCACATCAGATGCTGGTGGCCATGTAGAGCAGTAGAACTCTCATTCATCACTGGTGGGAATGAAAACTGGTACAGCCATTTTGGAAGACAGTTTGGCAGTTTCCCTTAAAAAAACTAAACATACTCTTACCATATAATCCAGCAATCATGCTCCTTGGTATTTAACCAAAGGAGCTGAAAACATGCCCACATAAAAACATGCACATAAATGTTTATAGCTTCATTCATAAAACTGCCAAAACTTGGAAGCAACCAAGATGTCCTTCAGCAAGTGAATGGATAAATTGTATTACATCTAGACAATGAACTATTTCAGTACCAAAAAGTAATGATGAGGCCATGAAAAGACATGGAGGAACTTCAAATACTTATCAGGAGAAGCTAGATGGAAGAAGCCAATCTGAAAAGGCTACAAACTGTATGATTCTAACTACTGGCATTCTAGAAAAGGGAAAACTATGAAGACAGCAGAAAGATTAGTGGTTGCCAAATGGCAGGGGGAAGGGAGAAATAAATAGGCAGAGTACAGAGCATTTTTAGGGCAGTGAAACCATTTTGTACAACACTATAATGGTGAATATATAACATTTTACATTTGTCAAAACCCATCAATCATACAACCTAAAGGGTAAATCCAAATGTAAACTGGGTGATAATGATGTATATATGTAGTTTCATGAATTGTAACAAATTTGTCACTCTGGTTCCAGATGCTGATAGTGGGGAAGGCTATTCCTGCATGTGGGGTAGAAGATACAGGGGAAAATCTCTGTACTTTCTGTTCAATCTTGCTGTGAACCTAAAATTCCTCTACAACACAAAGTATGTGTGTGTATAAAAAATTAAATAGTGGTAATGACTGTACATTTCTGTGAACACAGTAAAGTCACTGAATTGTTCATTTTAAAATGGTACTTTTTGGGTATATGAATATATCTCAATAAGCCGTTATTTTTTAAAACTCAATTTAATATTTTCTACTTCCTTTATAGCTGGCTCTTCTGTCTCTACAGACTCTGCTTCTTTCATATCATCTTTCCTTCTCACGTTGGTCCCAACCTCTTCAAGTCACTGCCTGCCTGTGCGGGCTCCCACTGCTGCTCTGACCTTGCTGCTGCCACCACCTACCTTCCCACTGCTCAGTTATTACTACTTAGGAAAACATGGATCTTGTTCTGTCTTCTAACCTAGGGCTGAGAGGCAGGATACTAGCACTTCTAGTTTGCTTCCTGTATAACCGCATTATTTTGGCACAGAGCACTTCTGACTTTAAAAAAGAATTATTTTTGAGCCAGATATGGTGGCTCATGGCTGTAGTCCCAGCTCCCAGCTACTTGGAGGCTGAAGAGAGAGGATCACTGGAGCCTAGGAGTTTAAGGACAATGTGGGCAACATAGCAAGACCCTGTCTCTTAAAAAAAATTCTTGATGACAAAAGGAATAAATTATCAGAAATATAAAAAATTTCACACTAATAACACACATAATAATGAAGCCTCAAAAATAGAGAAGTATGGAATTAAAAGAAGAAATACGTAAGTTTACAATCACAGTGGGAGATATAAAAATAAGTCATTGAGGGGAAAACAAATGCACATTTTGTTTTTCCTCTGAAATTTTTGTTTTTTTTTCCTACAAAAAAGTGAGTGGATGGTTCTTCCTTTTTTCCCCTGCCAGAGATCCATTTTGGTATATTTTTATGAGCCAACCAAGCTATACAAAATACTTTTATGACACTAGATTGGTAAGGTAATTTGATAATATATCACACAGTGTATACAATTTATATTTTACATGTATTTTTATTTTATTCTATTTAAGATAAATGTGTACCTTAAAATAAAAGTTTAATATATTTCAATTTTCCCCAGAATTCCCAAATTACATAAACGGGTTATTCCTACCCAAGTGATCTCAGTGTTGACAAAAAATTTTATGTCCGTGGTTAGGTACAAATGTTTATGATGTTAAAATGTTGGTATTATTTTTTCAGTGTATTCAGAATTGACAAACTTTATAAAACGTGAAACTATGCAGATAATATAATTGAAAAACAAAAAATCTGCATGCTAAAATATCCACTTATAAAATATAAATGTTATACACTACAATTGGGGGGAAAGATTCCTTAAGGAGGACATGATAAAAGACAAATTTTAAAAGATTGATAAATTCAATGTAGTGAAAAGGCAAGTCATGAAGCAGCAGAAGTTATTTGAAAACAGTGAACTTAACAACGGACGTGCATCACTGATTTATAAAGAATTCCTCTATATTAATAATAAAAAGGGCAGATCAACAGAAAACTGACATAGAATTAAATAAGCACTTCAAAAATATTTCCCATGGCAAAGTACTCAATCTGATTTTAATTAGGGAAAAACAAATTCACACCACAATGATATGCTACTATACACCCACCTGAATGTCTGAAATTTAAAAGCTGATCTACGCTGTCTAAGGTATGGATCAAATAGAACACATACACACTGTTGGTGGGAGTGCCAACTCTTCCAATGTTTAAACTGTTTGGCAGTGTCATTGGGCTGAATAGTGACTCTGAGAAAGGTATGTCTATGCCCTAACCCCAGAACTTGTGAATGCAATCTTATTTATCAAGAGGGTCTTTGCTGTAAGGATCTTGAGATGAAATCATCTTAGATTATGTGGGTGGGCCTTAAATCTCACCCACACTTGTAGGACAAGTCCTTAGAAGACACAGAAGAGGAGAAGGTGGATACAGAGGAGAAGGCCATGTGAAGACAGAGTCAGAGATAGGAGTTGTGCAGCCACAAGGAATGCCAACAGTCACCAGAAGCTGGAAGAGAAAAAGAAGAGATTCTCCCCTAGAGCCTTCGGAGGAATTTTAGCCCTGCCAACACCTTGATTTCAGACTTCTAACCTCCAGAACCGGGGAGAATAAGTTTCTGTTGTAACCCACAGTGTTTCTGGTGCTTTGTTTCAAGAGTCCTAGGAAGCTAATACAGGCAGTATCTACCACAGTTGAACATATGTATTCCCTGTGAACCATCAGAGGGAGCTGCTGATAATATCTATTTATTGTGGCAGATGGTGACTACATGGATGTGTTCACTTTGTGACAATTCATCAAGCTGAATACTTATAATCTGTATACTTTTCTATACATGTATATGCCAATAAAAACATTATTAAAAACAATAACAATACTGTCAGTATCTGACAGTTCCTGTCAGTTAACTGATCATGCAGACAATAAATTAAAATTTAAATCATTCAATTAGATAGTTTGTTATAAAAGACATAATACAGAATTTTGTACCCCAAAATATGAAATCACAATTTGAAGCAATTGTGAAGTACTTATTTGACGGGCTGATCTTAAAATTCAAATAGAAGAGTAAAGGACAGACAATAACCAAGAAAACTCCAAAGAACTAGATGGACAGATTTCATCTACTAGATATTAAGATTATTGTAACTAGTGATTTGATAACTTTTATACTGGTATAGCAGAAGCAGATCAACCAAATAGCCCAGAGAAAGACTCGTGCATATAATAAAACTTGATACATGTCACATGTGTCATTAATATCAATGGGAAGGAGCACAATTAGAAGAGTTAACAAGCCAGGCGCGGTGGCTCACGCCTGTAATCCCAGCACTTTGGGAGGCTGAGGCGGGCAGATCGCGAGGTCATGAGATCGAGACCATCCTGGCTAACACGGTGAAACCCAGTCTCTACTAAAAATACAAAAAAATTAGCTGGGCGTGGTGGCGGGTGCCTGTAGTCCCAGCTACTTGGCAAGCTGAGGCAGGAGAATGGCGTGAACCCGGAAGGCAGAGCTTGCAGCGAGCCGAGATGGTGACAGAGTGAGACTCTGTCTCAAAAAAAAAAAAAAAAAGAAGAGTTAACAAATTAAAAAATACATCTGCTTAAAGGCCTCAGAGAACTAAGAGGTAGTGAAGAATTACCAGGCCAAGGTTTGGGAAAGAACAGGTCTAGAGAAGTGGGCCCAGTATTCGGGGTCAATTTTCCCACGGAGATATTTGCTGATTCTGGAAGCAGCAGCTGAGAGGCTGAAGGGATGGGACTCCAGTGAAGCATCTTTGCATTGCACTATAGCTATTCACCAGGAAGATATGCCTGAGTAAAAAGGCACAGCTCAGCTACCTAGTCACCAGAAGGCTAAAATGGAACAGACGGATAATGCCAAGGGTTGACAAAGATGTGAAATGAGAGGAACTTTCAGACATTGCTGAGAGGGTAAATTTGCTCATTTATTGTGGAAAAATACTTTGGTTTTATCTATTAAATCTGAAGGTATGCTTACTCTATGTGCTTGTAATACTACTACTAGGTACATATACACCAGATATGTACACCTATGTGCAACAAGAGACACACAACTGAGTATTCACATCAGCATTATTTGTAATAGCCCCAAATTGGAAACACATCCAGAAAGTCCATAAATAGTAAAATGGGTAAGTAAATTGTGGAATTTTCATGCAACAGAATACTACACGACAGTATAAATGAGTGAATTACATAGAATGCATATACCTTACAGACATAATATTGAGCAAAAGAATCTAGACACAAAAGAAAATACACTCTTTGCTATTCTTTATAAAAAAGTTTAAAATAACATACTGTCTACGCAAGGTTAAAAAAATACACTACTTGATTCTCTTTGTATAAAAGTTAAACACAAGTTAAAACTAAACAATGGTATTTAGGGAAGCATATTTAAGTGTTAAAACTGAAAAGAACGGGGAGGGGAAAAAACTAACAAGAAAAGGAAAATAATTACCTGAGTGAATAGTGGCTACCTGGTAGGAGAGGGCACTTGCAGGCATCAATGGTCTTGGCAAAGTTCTGTTTCTTGACAGGGGTGTTAAACAGATGTTTGCTTTTGTGATAAACCACTGCTGTATATTTTTTGTGTACTCTTCTTTATGTGTGTGTATTTCACAATTAAAAAGGTAAAAATAGTGGAGAAAAGATGGATGAACTTACCATTCAATAAATGGTATTGGCACAACTGATAGAAGAATAGCAAGGAAATATTAAATCCTTACTTCCTACCATGCACAAAATCAATTATATGTATGCAGGAAGCCTATGAAAAGCAAAACCTTATAAATTTTACTAGAAAATAAGAGATTATATCTTCATATTCTTAGGGAAGAAAAAGAATTCTTGAAGAAAACACAGAAATATAACCAATAAAAGAAATGAGTGAGTTGATCACATTAAATTAAAACGCTTCTGCTGGCCAGGCATGGTGGCTCACGCCTGTTATCCCAGCACTTTGGGAGGCCGAGGCAGGTGGATGACCTGAGGTCAGGTGTTCAAGACCAGCCTGGCCAACATGGTGAAACCCCACCTCTACTAAAAATACAAAAATTAGCCGGGCATGGTGGCGCGTGCCTGTAATCCCAGCTACTTGGGAGGCTGAGACAGGAGAGTCGCTCGAACCCGGGAGGCAGAGGCTGCAAGTGAGACAAGATCATGCCACCGCACTCCAGCCTGGGCAACAAGAGTGAAACTCTGTCTCAAAAAACAAAACAAGACAAAACAAAACACACCCAAAACCCTTCTGCAAAATAAACAAAATGAAAACGACAAACCATGTAGTGACAGATAATTTCCATATGTGTAACAGTATTTCCAGAAGACATTTTCAATTGTGTATATATCAAAAACAAAAAGAAAACTCCTTAGGGGTTGGGGTGAGAGGGAGACCAAGCAAGACTAGGAAAAGGTAATGTGCATTACAAACAACCCAACTGGCTAAGGAGCATGTGAAACACAGCAGGGAACAGTCACGTAATAGAGTGACATGGTAGTTTAAATAAATGAAACAGAGTCATGTGTAGCAACATGAAAAAAAATCTCAACAACAATGCTAAGTGAAAAAAGACCAAATTGCAAAATGAAACCATTTTAATAAAATGTATAATCATGCATAATATTTAGAATCCAGTATTGCTCAGTGACACATACACATGTAGTAAAAGAGTGAAAAACTATGCCTAGGAATGATAAATGCCAACATGAGGCCAGTGGCTTCTGGGGAAGGAGAGAAATGAATCAGGGAGGGCTACACATAGTCTTTAATTTTATCTGTATCATTTTACTTGTGTGAAAAATGAAAATTGGAAGCAGGTAGGTCATTATTTTAAGTTCTCTATAATTATATACTCTTTTCTCTCACTCAAACAGTTTATAGAAATAGAAGTAAACAAAACCCATTTTCCAAGCTATTCTAAGTTTTATTCTTGTTTCAAACTGTGTATTTAGACCACACGGTATAAGCCTATCACACGCTTTTATGTTATGGCACTGTCACTGAGGGAAGCTAAAGAAACAGCCCTTATGAATTCTAACACTTGGTTCCCTCGAGGGATATTATCATGAATCTGATTTACTTCCTTCCATGGCATCTCCTTCTCAAGCTGCAGGAGAAGTCACTTGGGGCTCAGTACCTGAAGAAGCTAATTTGAGTAACTATTTCTTTTTTATGTTAAGGACACAGTGACTCTTGCAATAGGCCGTGATTATCTCCTTTCATTGGTTGCTAAGAGATGCTTGATTAAATCTGTGGCCTACCATTAGGAAAGGTACACAATTGTATGGTTCTTATTTTAATTCTTAATCTCACCATCCAATCCTTACTGTCCTTTCATCCAGATTTTTCATGTGATTTATTTTATCCCACTGGGCATGGAATATATGGCTACACACAAAATAACATATAACCATAAAAATAAATTTTGACAAATTTAATTACATTAAAACTTATAACTTCAGTTCATCAAAAGATACCATGAGGAGAATAAATGGCAAGCTACAAAGTGGAAGAAGATATTTGTATACATATACAAAAGGCTCACATCCAAAGAAAATAAGAAACCCCTATAAATTAGTAAGAAAAAGATAACCCAAAGGAAAAATGGACAAAGTTGGTAAATGGTAGAGCTAAAATTCTCAAACTGAAGGCTTATTTTATTTTACCTTAAAAAAAGTATCATTTAAATTATTATTTCTAATGCTATTACCTAGTGACAATGACAATCACTGTTTACACCTTAGCCTTGGTAGAAAATCTTCCAAATTCTTTTCTTTTTTGCAGAGGGGTGAATAACCATCCAAATAATAATTTTATATTCATAATTAGTTGTAATTACAAATATTGCATTATATTAAATACACTATTCCACAATCGGCCTTTTTCACATAATTCATCTTTTAAAAAAGCTATTGCATAGATTATACTGTATAAATTCAATGTAAATTCTTTAAAACCTTTCCAATTTATATGCATACAAAAAGTGTTCATGTGTGTCTGCTTCCCTATACCCGGATCAGCACTAACTCCAGGTCTCTGGTTCAAACTCATAATTGGGTAATCAGAAAACTTCCTTCTAGCGTAAGGGAAGCAAGGAGAACAAAGAGATGAAGAAGGAGTACAATAATGAGGGAAGAAAAAAAAGCCAAAGAATGAAAGGTGAGAGAAGGAGTTTAAAAAAGGGACAAGTGACTGAAAATGAACAAAGTAATGAGGAAAGAGGAAAGAGGTTAAATATTAAAATGCTAGGCATCTTTCAGGAATAGCCTTATGAATCAGGTCATGAATCCAAGCCAAGTGTACCAAAGGCCTAATTTGATTAAGATTCGATAAAGGCGGGCTTGATTCAATTCAATTAACGATCAGAGACCAGATATCTTAACCTAAGCTTTTACTTTTAACTACTTATAAATGTTCTTTAGGTCTTTCCTTTGCGATTTGAGTTTTTTTCTCCTCAATTTTTAGTCAGGTTTTCCCCGCAAAGCTGAATGTTATCTGAAGAAAATTCCCAAAAGCTCACTCAACAATTTTTAGAGCAGAACAAAGTACATGTTTCACACTTTTAAAGAAAATGTTCAAATTTTGATTGCAGCTGAGTAACTTCAAAATGGCTTCATTTTAAAACCTACCAGAAGAGACGGATCCAAAGGAAATGCATATTTTAGACTAATTGTTTAAAGATAGTTCAAAATCAAATGAGCAATACAGGAACTCTAAATGACTGGTAAAGGATCTCTGGCTGGTCTACTACTACCAATTGGTGTAAGAAGAGCTTAGAGGTAGAGGAGAGTTATTTCAACTCCTTCATGAAAGGGCAGGATTTTCATTCTACTTCCACCCTCTTTGCTGCCTTATAGCTCCTCTTGCTTTTTCTTTAAGTTTGTCTCTAACATCTAGAAGACACTATGAGGGAAGGGAAAGAAAGCTGGTCTGGAAGGGCAGGGGACCTGGCCTTCAGTGACCTTGGCCACAGGCCTTCATCTCTTCATTCCTGTAACCTCATCGTTATGACGCACACCAGCAAACCTGATCTGTCCCCGCCACGGTGAGGTCAGCTGGTAGATTCTGATGAGTAGCAGCTTCAGCAAGTTTTGGGTATAAAGTGCTAAGGTATTATAAACGTCTATGCTTTCCTTTTATCAATTGAGCAACTTCAAAAATCAGGTTTGAAGGATGAATACATGTTTATGGAAACCAAGGTCAGGGAATCCACCTTGATCAAGGAGGGCCTAGGGTAGGGAGAACTATCTTGACGTTTTAATAAAATGATAACATAATTCCTCATGACCATTTCAAGATGATTAATAAATTCAAAGCTCACATTCAAAGAGGACATGGAGGAGAAAAAGGTCTCAGTCTTTGAGATTCTATAAAGAGCTTAGCCTGGAAGACAGTCATTGAGACAATGTCTGAGAAAACATCTTTGTAGTAGTGCTCAGATATTCATGAAACAGAAAATCAGAAAAATAAAGATTAAAAGGCAGTGTTTGGATACACACTGATAAACTAAAATATGTTATAAGCATGTCTTATTGTGTGCTTTGGGCTTTCAGGAGCACTGAAATAACATACCCATGAAAGGATTACAGCAGAATAGTGGATTCCATGCTGGTGTGTTATCACAGGGAAAATAAGACAGCAAAGGGAATACACACATCAATAAGACAGTAAAGGGAATACGCAAATCAACACAGCTCTACCACCCTGGGTATTCTAGCCACTATTTGATAATGTATTTCCTTCTTTGAAGGAAAAAAGAAATTCATTCCCCAAACAATAGAAAGGCTGAGAATCTAGGCAGACAAAAGCAGACCTACATAAAATTATGAAGATTTATAAGGTTTTAGAAATATTAAAAAGCAAAAGCAATAATCTAAAATGCTTCCCTTAGCTGCTTTTGTCTGTGGTCTGCAATGCATTTTCCACAGTTTCCTGGGATAGAAAGAAAAGCTGTCAGAATCCATTCCTAGGTTTTTCTCACAAATATATACCAAGGGAGGGAGGCACAACAAAGTCTGCTTTGGATTAAAGTTATGAACATCAGACTTCTAAACCAAGAACAAAATGTTTCTGGAGTTTATTTCAGTTTTGTCTCACCAAAACCAAAAAATCTGGGGAAACTAGAATTCTGTAGTTCTGAATTTTCTTAATGATTAAGGAAGCTGAGAGGCAATGACATTATCATACATTAGTACAACTGGGGAAAAAAAGGGGTAATGAGACTACATCCCAACATTAAAAAATATTTTTTTGACAGTACTTCCTAATTACAGACAGTGATAGCTGTGGCTAATATGGATGAAGGAATTAATGAACAGCACTTTTCTCATGATCCCATACTATCATCAGGCTTGACTAGAGGTCTCAGAAAGGAACACCGTACAAGTTGACTTTCATCTTATAGAATTACCTAGACTTTCAAAAGATTCACAAGTGATTAGGGAGTCCTAATGAAAAAATGATAGCTTTATTATTTTAATTTGTAATTATTTAAAAGTAGCATAAGACATCACCACAGGAATCAAAGGAACTGGGACAATATTTTTAGACGTTCTTAGTACCTGTACATTGAATGTCAAGTTACTGTGGGAACTTTAATTATGACACATGATAATAAAAACGATGCCATTTTATTCTAATTAACATAATATACTTTTATATAAAAATCTAGTCACTATTAGCTATGTCTGAGGAAAAATGGAATAAATGATCTGTAATGTTCAGATAACTGAAGAACCAGATTCAATTCGGTTGAACTGAATTAGCTGATGAGTTGCCAAAGGATTCTACTTTCTTTTCTATTTTGATAATTTTGAAGTGGTAAATTGATAAGTATTACATCATGACATATACTTCTTCATATATATATAATGCATTTATCTTGTGGAAAATGTGTATTGATAAACACTTGTCCTCCTCTAGCTATAATGTAAACATCAGAAATAAATTCACATTTGCTTCTTACATCTCTTGTGTAATTGATAAATGCAAATTTTATTTTACTGGATGGCAAATTAAAGAAGAGAAATGACAACCTACATAACAAAGGCTTACCTTTCCCCCTATGGCTTATTCTGACCAAAAGCATATCTTGTTTATAAGGTCTTCTAGGGCAGAGTTGATTTTTTTCCCCATTTTTGTGTCTTTTTAGATACTCTGGTACCCAGCATATAGTAGGGAAGCCCTCAAAATATTTTTTTGTCTTGACACAACATTCAAAAAAATCAGAAGTGTTAGAATAGATCTGCTCCCAAAATATGCAGTATGTTTAAAATACTACATCCAGGGATTATGTAACAAACAAGCACAGACATAAAGATATACAGATAAAGATATCATAGCTAAAATTCTGACAGTAACTGCCTTGTATCTTGGTAACTTACTGTCATATATTGTAGCATGCTTTTAGGCACTTTGCTTTAGAGTTATTGGGGGCAACTGATTGATAAACAAGCCTCATTCTTAAACAGAAGTTATTTGGTTAACTCCAAAGCCAATATACTTGTAACTCAGGAATGATTCCGAAATGCATGAACAGGTGACTCTCGGTTCTATATAGACATTGGTTCACGGAAACTTTATCAATCCTATACATAAAAGAAATACTATAGGAGCTTGGATATGTATTTTAATGGAGATATTAATACTGGCAGAAAAATATTTAAAAGAACCAGTCAGGAATTCTTGTGTACCTAAAAAATGTACTGTATTAAAAGCATAATATGCTAGATCCTATTTTAGTCAGCAAACGGGGATCTCTCACTTCCTTCTTTTTTGCTACCCTATTATTGGGATATTTAATATTTATTATTAACCTACCACACTGCAATCTCTGCCTCTAACAGGATATCAATGGTGTCTTCCCCGTTCCCCCAACACACACATACACATGCACACAACTACAGCTCAGAAGTACAGATTTCTACATCCCTTAATATATTCCATAATCGATTCATCGTCAGGTCTTTACCATCCTGAAAATCCACATTTACACCTATTAAGTTTCCCTGTAACAGGGAGGAGATAACAATACTGAAATTGTTCTCCAGACAGGCATATTAAGGATACTTCTTCAACTGCTCACTGCTTAATAGAGACAAAATTATGCAACAGCCTAGAGAATTCTATAAGAGCAGAAAGGCCGCATCACCAAGATATTCCATGGTTCATAATGAACTGATTTAGAGCCCAGCTGCGAAGTCATTCACATTTGCCAAGAGAGATTTTGAGTACTCTTTGGGACACACCCATCACACAAACAATGATTTAAACAAAATGAAAACAAAACAAAACAGGATGACTCACTCCAACACTCCCAGTTCTATCCTGTAGGAGGAAGACTATAAAATGATCTGATGATTAGCCTAGGATTTCCATGTTATTTTCATTTTCAGAACCTCTGCATAGTGTTAAAAAGTATCAAATAGGCTCTAATTAGATTTGAACACAAAGACCTGCTCACACATCTGACAGAAGAGCTTACCACAGGATTATTTTTGGTTATTTTAAAAGTCCTAAAATCAAATTTCAAGAAAGCAAAGAAGTAAGTTCACTCCATTCCCCACACCCTACTTTCTATCATTTACTTGTATCAGATAATAAAATGATAATCCATTGCCTGTCTAAAGAACACTTACCTCATTGTCTGACTCCACGAGAACTTGATCATATTCACTAAGCGCTACTAGAAACATGATAGAGGTGACATTTTCAAAGCAGTGTATCCATTTTCTTCTCTCTGACCTTTGGCCCCCTACATCGACCATTCTGCAAGGTTAACAATACTCATATTAATAACATATAAAGTAAAACTAAAAAGTCAACATAAATATAGCACTACTTACAAACTTAGGGAAAATATTCTCTTGAATGACGATGATCATCCAAGTCAATTCAATTAATACTTATTGAATAATTACTAATTTCTTATTACCTAATATTCAAAGTTAAAACATTCTGGGTAACACATCATGATGGTTTTAAGAAAGTTACCAGTGTGTACGAAAACTGTAACACTGTAAAAAACATCCTTATCTGTGCCAAGCAAAATGGTATTTTATTTAATGAAGCGCTGAAGAGTCCAAAACTGAATGAGTTTTGTGTTAAGCCCTACTGGCAAATACTGAACTTCAGTTTCTTTTCCTATAAAATCGGAAAAAAGATCCTCATGTATTTCTTATGGATGCTAGATATGACTACAAGTATACTTAAAATATGTGAGATGCTATACAATTCAATATGGGTGGTATGATGCTTCCACTAAATGCAGATACGACCCCACTCATCCTTTATCAGCAGGGTCGGCATGTTGGGCATTTTTTTCTTCCCAATATTGATAAGAATTTGGCACAGGTCCAGTCATGTCAGGTCACTTACTTGAAATAAAGTGTGAGTGAATGAAGATACTACAAGGTACAAGACGGAGGCCATCATGTGAACCATTTCAATCATTTGTTTTTAACACATCAATTCTGTGCTGAATTACTGCTCAGAAACCAACACTGACATCAATTAATTTGAGTGACAATGTATGTCTGAAAATATCTAGCAATGCTTGGCACTGAGTCAAAGTTTCTCCAAATTGTTGAATCCGTATCTTGAATGAAATGTATACAATGTTCACAGGAAAAAAATAGTCTCAGAGAATGAGCGGTTTAGGTACAAAAATTTGAAAGTAGGGCTCTTTAAACATTTGTTTAAAATTGCAGTTGCTCCTGGTGTTTTCCTGCCTCCTGACATTAAACCTAAACAAGAACTAAGATCTTCTAAGTCACTACTCGTAAGCCTAGTAAGGCACAGGAGAGAGATCTAAGGGGCAAAACAATGCATTCAGGGAGATCCACGTACTATGGACATCAAAGCCAGAATTCTTAGATCTTCGGAAGTATTAAAATGCTGGCTCTTCCCTAATGCCAAGGTGTGAATAATACGCTACTAATTTACGTGAAATCCTCATTCCATGAAACTCTGTCACACTGGGCCGTAAAAGATGCTTCTGATGGTGGTGGAAAATTATACTTCTAAGTCATTACTTTTACTGTAGTGGCAAAAAATGTACTTCAAAAGCCAGTGTACAAAACGTGGAAAAAACAACATGTAATTGTAATCTGGTTTCAGAATCCACTAATTGCGAAGCAATAAGGAGATGAAAATCCCCATGAAATGCTATGTTTTCTAAAAATATTTTGTAACATGGAGGAAGGAAATCTGGGTGTCTCAAATTAAAGATTTCTAAATACCATAGACTTAAAACGTAAGTAATATAGAATGCTGGAGCTACAAGGAACCCTGAGGATCATCTAATGCAATACAACCATTTTATAGATTAAAAAACTGAGGCTCAGAAATAGTTTCAAAATGCCACCTACTTTGTGGCAATATCTATTAGAACAATGTATGGCAGCCAGATTTGACCTCAGGTACAGAGGCCGATTAGAAGAAAACACAGTGTCACGGCAAGGAATGAAGGTGGGCCTGCTAATCAGAATCACTTGGCAGAGTGACACAGGAGATAATAACTTCTGCTTCATAACCAATATTGCACACATCCATCTTCAATGGGGTGGGCGCTCCTAGAAAATCAACTCTCCACACTCCAAGACACATTCTCATTTCTCAAAGCACCATGTAGTTTGTATTCTAACTAAAAGTACAACTGAGTGATTGCATAATAAGAGATTGAATGAAAGTACATCAGTATTGTTTATTTTTTCTCATCCTAAAAACAAAACAACAGAATGCTTCTGCTGAAGTATTATCCAGACAGAACACCAGCAGTGAGAGATGAGGTAATAAATTTTCATTCTATTTTGCTAGGTAAATACAGACTAGGTTAATTAACCCATTTTCAAAATCATGTATTTCAAAATTTTTCAAGCAACATATTTTATGAATACAAAACATCACATATTTTTCTTGCTACTGAAAAATTTTGCATTGGTACCAGAGGACGTGGGGAAAACACCAGCATGAAAACTTCTGACACTACTTAATTTCTGTGATTGACAGCATCATATGATCATTCATAGCTTACATAATTCTAAAAACATATCCATTGTCCTTACAGTTAAAATGATTGCCCAAAAAATTACAGTTAAGACCAATGGTTTACTAACCGATTTTACTCAACCACAAGCAAAACTAAGATTTTATTGATTTCTTAGTGATTTAAATTGAAATGCCAAATGTTCTAGTACAAGTACATCTCTCTCTTTTGTTTTTTTTTGAGATGGAGTCTCGCTTCGTAACCCAGGCTGGAGTGCAGTGGCGCAATCTCGTCTCATTGCAACCTTCGCCTCCTGGGTTCAAGTGATTCTCTCACCTCAGCCTCCCAAGCAGCTGGGATTACAGGTGCCCGCCAGCATGCCCGGCTAATTTTTGTATTTTTAGTAAAGAAGGGGTTTCACCATGTTGGCCTGGCTGTTCTCAAACTCCTGACTTCAGGTAATCCATCCACCTTATCCTCCCAAAGTGCTGGGATAACAGGCGTGAGCCACCGCGCCCGGCCTCCAGTACATCTTTCTGTTATTTCCTCCCTCAGGGATATGTCATTTTATTTGTATAACTAATGATAATAATTGGTATAAAGCCTATCTTGTTTTGAAGCCTACACATGATTCCAGTATTTATAGAGTTTACCAAATGTACTCAAGGCATAAAAGCTGGGAAATAGGTTTCATGGACTCAGTTACTACCTGAAAATGACACTTTGTAAGTCAAAGGGGTATTCGATGATCCCTGTGGTGGGGACTCGAACTCTAAGCACATCTTGTTGCGTAGGCAGGTAGGCAGGGTCAGCTACGCGGTCCAAGTCATTAAGATAGCTAGAGGAGGGAAGACACAATGAGAATGTCAGTGACACCATCACACCAAAGCTGTCTACGGAAAGGGAAGGACAAAAATGAGTCCTAACAGAGAAGTAAAGAAGAGAAAGAAAAATATCAGAAAGTGGTAGAGGAGTCTGTGGAAAAGAAAGATAAAGTCAACCTTCCATTACTGGAAGGTTATCCATCTATGGATTACATACACACCATAGTTCTCATTTCTTCTCTTATTATCAATTAGAACTCATACTCCCCAGAGGCAAGGGGTGGGAGAAAAAGAAATTCAAATTAGTTTCCTATTCTCTACTTGTTTAGTAGGTTTGGTTGTCAAAGCAGGAGTTTAAAACAAATAGTGTTTAAGACAACAGAGAGTTGCACATAAGGTCAGAATGCCTTTTTTTTCTTTTTCTTTTTTCTCTTTTTTGCAGAACATCAGAGTCTTCCTGGAATGAATTTCACTATTCTCCTAAGAGAAGACAGCAGGCTACAGTGTCCTAAATTCTGTCCAGAGCCTAAGTCATTCATGATTAATGTGAAGCCATGACATTTCTAGTTACTGCAGTAATAATGTGTCTAAGGTCAGATATTCCCAATGTTTGGAGTCACCACACCTTAACTTTATATTTATCTAGTTATATGATACTTGATACTTTTCCCTTCCCTTAAAAGAATTTTTCTTTTGAAATAACTTTAGACTCACAAGAAGTTGCAAAAATATTACAGAACATTTCCCTGTACCCTTTACCCAGCTTCCCCAAACAATAACATCTTACATAATCATAGTACATGATCAAAACCAGGGAAATGACACTGACACAAATACTATTAACAAAACTACAGACCTTACTGAATTTTATCCGTTGTTATATACTCATATGCTATATATTGTATGTATGTATACAGTCATCCCTCAGTATCTGTGAGCGACTGGATCCAGGACCTCCTGCACATACCAAAATCCCTGGATGCTCAAGTCCTCCATATAAAATGGAACAGTATTTGCATATAATGTATGCATAGTCCTCTCCTATAGTTTAAATCAACCCTAGGTTACTTAACAATGTAAATGCTATGTGAATAGCTGTTATACTGTAGTGTGTAGGGAATAATGACAAGAAAAGTCTGTACATGTTCAGTAAAGATACAATTTTTCTCTGAATATTTTTGATCCATAAGTTGTTGAGTTCACAAATGCAGAACCCATAGATACAGAGGGCTGACTGTATTATGGGGGGGTATCTAGTTCTATGAGATTTTATATGTAGAGATTTGTGTAATAACACCACAATCAGGACACAGAATTGTTCTATCACTACCTGTGTTATCCCTGGCAGTCACACATATGTTCTTCATCAATGTAATTCTGCCATGTCAAGAATCTTTTATTCCATTCATGTTTCATTTTCTCAAAGTGTAAAAAATAATCTGAAATGTTGAGAATGACATAATATGATAGAATTGAGTGGTATCTTCATGATTTCAAAGAGTAACTGTGTTCTCCTTTGTCCTGGAAAGGATGGGGCACAGACATGGCTTCAAAACACACAACTACAAAGTATATGCACAAAGTAACTAACTTATGAGCCAGATTAAAGAAAAGGTGGGACCCTTAATAGAAATGGAAGGGGTTAGATCTTCAACTCTGTATACCCACAAACAAGAGGTGAGTTCTAAGATACATAACAAGGAATGCCTTGTGCATAGCATGTTATAATTGAACAATAACAAATACTCAGTGGACATGACCTACCCAGGGTAGGGACTCTGACACACTCATCTTTATTTCTGCCTTAGTACCTAAAAGAATGCCAGACAAATAGAACTTAATGAATATGTGTTGGATGGATTGATGGATTTCCTATGCTGAGATTTAGTTTTAGCATTATTTAAATAGCATTCTTACCAGTGGTATTTCTGTATGAATGATACCCTTAAATTTGAAACTGAATGTAAAAAAAATGTTAAATCTACAAGATTCCTGGAATCATAAAGTAGGAGGATTAAATCTGAGTTTAACAAAGAGTTAAGTCTGACTTTAACAAAGAAATAAAATTACTGCTTCTTTGGAGGTGTGTTATCAATTCTTTAAGACAAAAAAAGTATCAGCCCAGAAATTCCTATTGCATATCAATTAATTAGTATTCCAGGGGCCTTATCCCTGATACATTGATGATTCTCTAGCTGGCAATCAGCTCTCTGTTGAGTAACAGGAACCAGCCTGATAGCTCCAATTATTATAAAACTGGCTGGAAGACAAATAGAGGGAGGCTGGGAGAATACTGGTGTGAAACACAGAAAGGAAACGTAAAAATGGACTAGACCCAGAATTTTAGTAAATATCTTGCCATGATCACGGAGTCCTCTGATAAGAGTTAGACGAGCCCATGTTCTGGGAAGGGATCTGTATTTCACTCTACTGATAAACCAGCTCATCACATCATAAATAAAAAATAGGAACACTTTTACACTGTTGGTGGGACTGTAAACTAGTTCAACCATTGTGGAAGTCAGTGTGGCGATTCCTCAGGGATCTAGAACTAGAAATACCATTTGACCCAGCCATCCCATTACTGGGTATATACCCAAAGGACTATAAATCATGCTGCTATAAAGACACATGCACACGTATGTTTATTGCGGCATTATTCACAATAGCGAAGACTTGGAACCAACCCAAATGTCCAACAATGATAGACTGGATTAAGAAAATGTGGCACATATACACCATGGAATACTATGCACCCATAAAAAATGATGAGTTCATGTCCTTTGTAGGGACATGGATGAAATTGGAAATCATCATTCTCAGTAAACTATCGCAAGAACAAAAAACCAAACACCGCATATTCTCACTCATAGGTGGGAATTCAACAATGAGAACACATGGACACAGGAAGGGGAACATCACACTCTGGGGACTGCTGTGGGGGGAGGGATAGCATTGGGAGATACACCTAATGCTAGATGACGAGTTAGTGGGTGCAGCGCACCAGCATGGCACATGTATACATATGTAACTAACCTGCACATTGTGCACATGTACCCTAAAACTTAAAGTATAATAATAAATAAATTTAAAAAAGAAAAAATAAATAAATCAAGTAATTCAAAACAACAACAACAAAAATCAGATAGCTACTCTGTATGGATGGGGTTTTCTAATTTATCAGCTTCTTGATTTGAAAAACCTGAATGTACATTTCGAAATCCACAAGTTCACCATTTAACTACTGTATACAAAAACTTATTTCAGAGGAATCAAATAACTTTAAATTTCCACTGGCAAGGCTGCTCAGAAATATATTGCCTGATAAACCATCTCTACTCGCTTAATGCCGTACACAGAGGTCAGAACAGAGGGCTGTTAATTCTTGTAATGGAAGGTGCTGTGGTGTTCCTGAGGTAAAGGGAAAGTGTGGTTTTCTGTTTTCTGGAGATGAACCTAACAGATTACTCATTGCCACTCCATAGTAAAGCACAGATGAGTGTTAGCACAGGAGAATTTAAAGAACCAGCACATGAAGTGGGAAATTACCTGTCACATTGCTTGGATAAGATGGAATCAGGCACATACCTGCCACTAGAAAACTTTCCACTTACAAGGGGTTAGAGGATACCCTAAAAAAATTGTCAGTGGTATCACTCCTAAGTTCAGGGTACTGAAATGAATATCCAAGACACTCATACTTGCAAGAATACTTTTTCCTCTTCATCTTTTCAATGGCAGTATAGATCACAGAGAATGACAACAACAGCATAACAACAAATAACACTGAGCACCTGATGCCTGCCAGGCTCTGTTCTGTCTGTTCATTGCCCAGGTATCAACACAGTTCACAGCAATGAAATGGCCATTAAAGACGCTTCATAAATTTCTGGTTAACTTAAAAGGAAGCTGCAGTTTTTGCTTGCCATTCTTTTTGCTTTGCCTCAGTTGAATAATAGAGAGAAAGGCTCACTTTGCTTGGGGTGAAAGAGTTAAATTAATCTAGCTTAACAAAAGACAAGACTAAGAGGAACTGTATCTAGCTCTGCTAGTTCCAACATACATCATCTAGAACCAAAAACCAAACCAAACAAAAACCCAAAACAAGGCAAAGAAAAACAACAAAACCTCCAACTAAACAAAAGACATACAAACTATTTGCTCCTAGAGTAAAATCTGGGAAGCTACCCAGGATTGAAGATATGTTACAGACAATTTGTGAAGCAGGTAAAATTTATAGACCACGAACGACATTTTTGGCTGGGCGCAGTGGCTCACACCTATAATCCTAGCACTTTGGGAAGCCCAGATCACTTGAGGCCAGGAGTTTGAGACCAGCCTGGACAACATGGTGAAACCCCATCTCTACTAAAAATACAAAAATTAACTGGGTGTGGTGATGCATACCTGAAATGTCAGCTACATCGGAGGCTTAGGCATGAGAATCGCTTGAACCTGGCAGGTAGAGGTTGCAGTGAGCCACCATTGCACCACTGCACTCCAGCCTGGGCAACAGAGTGAGACTCTGTCTCAAAAAAACAAAAACAAAACAAAAAACAAAAAAACCCTGCATTTTTCATTGCCAAGAAGGGATCAAAGAGCTGCTGCCCGCATAACCCCCAATCCCATGCAACCCCCCTCACTCTGGGCTCACAGGACTCAGAGGAGGGATTCAGCACACTCTGTATTTCACATCTGCCAGGGAAAAAGGGAACTTTGTTCCCCTAGAAATGGAGTTCTAGCATGGTAAGAGTAGAACATCATCATTTGATGGTCCTCGTCACATACTGAGAAAAGGTAATAAAATAATCTCTTAACTGAATTGTACTTTCCATTGAAGCATTTTCTATTCTAAAAAAAAAATTGGTGGAATATGAGGGACAGGTTCATGTTAAATTATTCCATTCATTCGACCTTTTAAAAAAAAAACCACACCGAGGTCTGAACAAATTTATACTGTAAATTCAGAGTTAATTATAGCCATAATTTGTTTTGTAGGAATGATTCTGAGTGGCTGTTGAGGTCATTCTCAAGGGTGTTGCCATGGTGCCAGGCACAGGTACATTTCCAAGGCAATGTATGTGTAACAAGTATCTGGTAGTGACTCTCTCCTGATGTCAGGGAGAGGAAGCTCCCATGTTTTACATAAGGCTTGTTAAGTGTCTAGGAGACAAGCTATTCATGTTAGAAAATGGGAGATTTAGCTGCTTAAACCCACCTTACTCCAATCCCTCCATGGGGATTTAATGACTTTTCACTGTGCTGAGACATTATAAATTATTAATTTATAATTTTTTTTAAAAAAAGAAACCCCGAGCTCAATATTCTTCCACATGTTTGCCCAGTTAGCTATGGCCCTCACACTCGGTGGTCAGGGCCCACAAGTGCCTTTGTCCACGGCTATATCAACAACACTTAGCCAAGGGCCTGGAGCACAGCAGGTGCTCAGCATGGACCCAAATTAAAACTATTTTATGGGAAGTGCTGTAGTGGTTAGAAAGGCAAAAACACAGGAGAGGGGAGGTTGTTAGCTATCCATCCTTACGAAATTACTTCTCTCGGCTATTACTGGCCTGCATCATGTAATAACCAAGTTCTGAATAAAAATGTCTCTGACAAAGACAACACAGAAAGAGAAAGCATTATTTGTTTAACTTCATTTAGTAGATTTGCTTCCTGCTATTCTTTAGGTCCTGGCTAGAGAATGACAAAATGTTTATGTCCATTTTATACCTGTTTCAAGCTTTCAGGCCTTAGCATTCTGTCTAACACAGTGCAAACTGAGGAGGTGGGACTTTATCAACAAGACATTTCTGACACAATCTTCTTGATGGAAAAAAGGTTTTTGATGGTTTTCTGTGAAAAGTGAGGGAACACAGACACTTGCATATTAATGTTTCAGTGATTCCTTTCTGACCATAAGCAAAATGCAGAGTCATCTGGAATTAAACAACATATTTTGGCCATGACATTATGGTAGATGCTACAGATAGGAAGATTCATTGGATATGATCCTTACCTGCAAGGAGTTTATCAATTTGTGGGGAAATAAGGGTTACATAAAAACAAGAATGGTGAGATTTATAGAGATGAAATGAACCTTTGTATATTTTGGATACAGTCACTTTCTGGGAACCTGTTCGAACAATCTCTAGCCCTTGGTGATAATCCTCAAAACATTCTTCTGTGTAGTATGGCTGCACTGCATGAAAGACTTAACAGAAATCATGCCCATTAGTTTACACCTTGTAACAGATAAATTCTTTACACGCTGAATGTCAGGATAATCTCTGGCTGAAGAAAAATAAATTCAGAAACAGGACATAATCCACTACTTTAAATGATTAAAATATATGACAGAAGCTTCAACTTCTCTAAAATAATATGCCCAAATCAATATTACATACAACACTTTCTCTCTTATGTTTTAAAAAGAGATTCCAATTGTTCCTTAATTTTGACACTTTATCAATAACAGTTTTGAGGTGACCTTCAAATTAATTTATGCTCCCATTTGACATGAATGCAAACTGATTTTTAAAAGTCTCTTTTTAAGATTAAAAAGAACCACCCCTCCCCCCACCTATGACTGGAAGAGTAACTGAAATCTAGACCAAGAATAGCACAGAAATTAAAAATTCAAGTGCTTTGTTTTCTCTTAAATGAAGGAAACAAAAAATTAAAATTTAGAGATATGAGCTGGCAGGTAAAACATATCACATTATAGCTAGGGTTAATAAATTTTATAAGCCAGGTGTGGCGGCATGTGCCTACAGTCCCAGCTACTTGGAAGGCTGTGAGGCAGAAAGATTGCTTGAACCCAGGAGTTTCAGGGTGTAACCACTGCACTCCAGCTTGGGCAACACAGTAAGACCCTGACTCTAAATACATATATTAAAGTTAGAGGCATACAACCCTCAGTAATCACACCAAAAGGCAAAAAGTACCTGTGGATAGTTAAGTAGGAACAGAAATCTCTGAAATTTCATGCAAATCCAACCAGACACAATAGGATAAATGAAATCGCATCTTGGGGCTTTCAATGTAGCATGACACGGGGTGTGTGTTGGAGGTTGGGGAGCTCTTTGACCCCTATGTAAGGGCCTCCTATAGAGAGGCTGCATTTATAACAAATTTGCAGTTCACGTCAAATATTAAGATGAAGTTATGGCACAGAAAATGATTCTGGGTAGGTCTTCACATTTTTAATTATTGAAAAGAAGGTTAGAAAAACGAGGTCGACTTCATTTAAAAAAATTAAGAAGACCTCATTGTGAGAGGAACAGTCTTTGGGGAGTTGAAAGCTAGATCATGCCATGAGACGGTGTCTGACACTATCAAAAGCACTGGAAGCTAAAGAGAAATCAGAAACACACAGTTATCGTGCAGTTGCTATATGACCACAAAAGTCCAAAGGAAAAAAGTGAAAAAAAAATTGTAAAGTGACCTGCAAAAACAAATGAAGAAGTAACAGTTCTGCAAAACTGGTATCTTGAGGGGAGAGTCAAGGAGAGGTTTTGGTAGCATAACCTACTCTAGTCCCTTCCTCATCTGGCAAATCCTGTGGCTGACAGGAGCCTGGCTGGTAATCTGGTTAGGATGGTTAGTGGCACAAGATTGCTCACTCCACAAACACTTCCATCTCCTAAAAAGCTCATTTTGCAGAGAGCAAATCAACTTTCCTTTTTCCTTTTTGATACCTGACATACGTGTTAGAGTTCAAGGATGTGCAGCATTTATTAACAGGCATTTTGTTCATAAGAAGCTTACTTTTTTTCTTTTTTTTTTGAGATGGAGTCTCGCTCTGTCGCCCAGGCTGGAGTGCAATGGCATGATCTTGGCTCACTGCAACCTCTGCCTCCTGGGTTCAAGCGATTCTCCTGCCTCAGCCTCCCGAGTAGCTGGGATTACATGCGCGCAGCACCAGGCCTGGCTAATTTTTTGTATTTTTAGTAGAGATGGGGTTTCACCTTGTTGGTCAGGCTGGTCTCGAACTCCTGACCTCGTCATCTGCCAACCTCAGCCTCCCAAAGTGCTGGGATTACAGGCATGAGCCACCGCACCCGGCCAAAAAGTTTGCTTTTAATACAAAGTGGCAGGTTCAAAACAAAGATCACTCGGTAGCAGGTGGGTTATAATCCTACCATTTATGAATGCTGTTCAAGGGAGACTATTCTGGAGGATAAAAGAGAAGGCTTCGAAATTATGCATTTCAATTTCCCTCTACCAAAGAACTAACCCAATCTAGAAAAGATTTTTAAAACTAAATTAAATATCTCCTAAAAAGATTCTATCACTGCATTTGGTAAATAGTTTCATTATCTTATGAATCTGAAAGTCTGACATAAAGAGAGCACTAGTGCCAAATAGGAAAAGGGCCAGGCAACTAAGTGTCTGCCAGACAGATGCCAGGGCTGGGCTCACAGCAATAGATTCTCAGGTGTAGTGCTCCAAAAAATAAATCAACTTTGTAATTGAAAACGAAAACAAAACAACAATAGCAATGAGAGAGAAAGAGAGAAAAGAAAGAAGGAAGTCTTTTTCAATTTGCCTATTTGGCTTTGTTAATTTATTCATCTTTTATATATGATAACTTTCCAAGCTATTGGTTAATTTTGACACAATTCTAAAACATATCAAGAAATAGCTGAAGATTACTTTTTAATTCTGGTCTGCCTGCCTTGAAACTGGATGGCGATGCTTAATTCAGTTAATTTACACATATTTATTGGGAATCTGTTATACATTAATTTCTAATGCAGTGTGTTAGATGGAGGGAGATTGGCACAGAGAACTGGCACAATATATGTTAAAATACCTTCTTTGCCTTTAGGGATTTCAGGCTACCTGTGAAGCAAAGAGAGCACCGATGAATCAATTAAGAAACAATTAAGTGCCAGATTGTGAGCTGCTAATGATGAATGCAATAGGAAGGGAGAGATGATTATGAACTGTAGTCACTGGAGAATAGTGTGCAGTAGAGGTGGGGATGGGTTACTCTGTGCAGACAGAATGGGATTTGAACAGGCAGAATAGGACAGATGACAGATGAGAAGAAATTAGGAAAGGTACAGAACTTCCTTTTTCCTCTATCACTCATTCATTCAACAACTTTTACGGAAAGTCTACAGTAAGCTAGGCACTAGGCTTAGGCTGAGCGTGAACTACAAAGAAAAAAGGACACAAATCATGTCCTCAAGGAGATTATAGTCTGGCAATGAAGAAAAACGTGTTATAAATAACCGTAATACAATGCAGATGTAATATGGGTCAAAAGAGAGCTTCCAGTGATTGCAGCCAAGAGCAATGAGCAATAAATAGGTCATACTGATTTAAGTGGGTCTCCCATGGTCATGTCAGTTATGTCACCTTAATTTGGATATTGCTTCTGTGAGATTAGAACTTTCATTTTGACAAGGATGATCAGGTCTGGAGAGCTGGTCATGCTAACATGAGTTAACGTAAACTAATTATAAATCAAAATTCAATTCATTATTTTCAACTGAAAAGACTTTAACCTGATAATGAACTCAAGAATACCAGAGTCAGCAAGGCTTCTTGGGAAGTGGGGAGTCAAAAAAGGTGCTGAATGACCTTATGGGTTACATAAAGACAGCAAGATTCTTTGGCTCTCCTGTGACTGGAAGTGGGATGGGGTTGTCTTATAATCATGTGCATGTTCTATTAGCCCTCTTACAAAAGACTGTCACTCCTATCTCTGCTTCAATTGATTGCTAAATCCTATGAAACCCTCTCATCAGCTGCAACATACTACCATACCATACCAGACACTATGAGTCAAGCTCACATGACACATAATCCTTGCACTCAGAAGCCAAATCAACTCAATGAACATTTCTGGTCATTCATGCCATTTTTATGCCAGACATTCTTTGTGTGGCATTTAGTGGTACGTCCAGGAAATATGATCTAGAACTTTCTGTTGCTCACTTCCTACCAAACGTTTCATTGTGCAAAGCAGTATCTCTAGAGGACTGCTGAAGGAATGCAGGCCATTGCTTCACTCAGTACTCTAAAAGATATCTCTGGGTTAATTCAGAGCATCAGAGTCTTAAACTAGGTTTTATCTAAATAGCATAAGCAGAATGCTACTGTGTTTTAATAGTTAT
The DNA here is from genome assembly GCF_000001405.40 of Homo sapiens. Taxonomy (NCBI): domain Eukaryota; kingdom Metazoa; phylum Chordata; class Mammalia; order Primates; family Hominidae; genus Homo; species Homo sapiens. The sequence continues at coordinate 77,807,765 of NC_000009.12, forward strand.
TCTTCACCTCTAAGAGGGGTTTGAATTTGTGTGTGTGTGAGAATGAAAATCAGATAGTAAATATAAATATTTTAGGACTTTTGGACCATATGATCTCTGTTACAACTATCTGACTCTCCCGTTGGGTCCAAAGCAGCTATACACAATACATAAACAAACGAACATGGCTATGTTCCAACCAAACTTTATTTATAAAAATAGGCAGCAGGCCAAATTTGGCCTGCAGGTTTGCTAATCCCTGTTCTACGGTAATAGGCTTTAGCTAGGCACATCATCATCCTGAGTAAAGACTGTGGAAAGGCCTACAAAGAAGAGGCCAAACTACTCAAAGTCCAAATAAACGTCCTGATAAAATGTGAGCAAACAGCAAACTGACTTGCCCACATCCACCCTGCCCTTTAGGCAGAGTGAAAAAATGATAAACTGGGGCTAAACCCAGCCCTTTTTCCTGTTCCTTCTCTGTAATGAAGGTTAGAGTAGAGTTAAGCATACCTAAGCCTTATCTTTTTATCTTTAAGAGCTTTCTGAAAGGGGAATAATAAAGACCACATCTTAGAATCATCAGCATTCACCGAGGAAGACAAATGCAGGGCTTTTTGTTTGTTGTTTTACCAAAGATTGGAAAATGTGGCCCACTAGATAACAAAACAGGAAGAGAATTAAATATGTCACTCAAGTGAAAAGAATGACACTTTGTGTTATTATTGACACTCTGAAGAAGAGCAAACATATGCAAGATCAATGTCCTCTTCTGAGCTGGTTAAAGATAGCATTTTTAGTAATTTAATCATGTAGAGAATAATTTCTCTGTTCATTACATTTCCAGGTAAATTTTAAGGTGCCAGGTTTTCATTTGACTGCATAGGATAATGACTTCTCAGATAAAGGGAGTCAACTCCAACAGAATCAAAGGACTTCAGAATTTAGGAGGAGAATTTAAGGATTATGTATCACATATAATCTATGTCTGAGGAAAGTGACGCTTAGTCAATGCCCCCGAGGTAGTGAGTAGCAGAGGGAATTCCAGCTGGACCTTGACCTAATATTTTCACCATACAACGGTCTTATCTGCCTTCAAAAGCCTGGAGTAGGCTTAAACTTAAAAAAAACAAAACAAAACAAAACAAAACAAAAAAAACTATCAGAGGAAAGTGAGGATGGATACAATGGCCAAACCAATATACCCTGGAGTACAAGTATTTGACTCATCAGTCAGCAACTTCTTAGCAAGGTACTTCCTCTTCAAGAAGGACTGGCCCTAAGTTAGCTGGATGTGTTACCCTATCTCTGAAATGCCTTTTGTTAAATTCAACATGGCACATAATATATTGGTGCTAGTTCATCATCAGACTCAAAAAATGTAAGCATGCGTTTAGAAAGTCAAACTCCAATGTTGACTTATGCCAAAAAGCCAATCTACTCATGTTCTTTACGGGCTCCGGATCATGTGGAAATTTCAAGAAGGTGTCTGATTTACCCAGCTCCCTGGAGGGGAATTCGGTGAAGTAAGATTAGAAATTATTTGGTCTCTTAAGGCAAACACAGCTACAGTAGACTAGCCAAAGCCTGCAGATGAGGCCTTTTCTCACTATACGCCAATGTGATTGAGACTTGTGTCTTCTGGCTAATGTCAGGGAGCTTTTGGTACTGTAGGCAGTGAACTCATTTGACCTGATTTCTCAGTATATTAAAGCAGGTGGTGAAATCTAGGGGAAAAAAAGTGAACCTACAACCATCTGTTTTTTGTGCTCTTTAATCATTTTCAGAGCCTTCAGGCTTTTTATCAATAACGAAAAAGTTAATAAAGTAATCTACACAACTCCCTAGGATCTTAGAATGCTTTTTATTCTTTCATTAAATAGAATTGGAAGAATTCACCAAATTAAGGCCAATTGCAAATGTATCCACAACTGCTTATCCATTATCTGGAATTTCCTACCTCTGTGGTTCTATCATTGCTGCCTGTCCTTTGAGTCATCTGATTACTTACTATGATAGGCAAGTTGGCTAATCAAAGTAGAAGGGAAGCTCAAATCATTTTATGGTGTCCTTCTTACTGGTTCCAGTAAAAAGTGATTGTCTGGATTTTGGGGGAGAGGGGTTGAGAGATAAAGACTGTAGGTTAAAACAAAGAAATAACATTCCTGAATTATCTGTAACTTAGAACATCTTTCATGTTAGTATGGATAATTGCTGCTTAGCTAAACATGGCTAAGTTTTCATAATGATAACCAAAAACCTATTGGGTTTGTTTTCCAGTCAATTTTATATAATTTTCCTTCTTGACTTTATAAATATGAAACTGTCTGTAGACAATGTTGGTAAAGATTAATAATTTGTTCTTCATGGTAAGTGATTTATAAAACACCTAATCATAGGTATTTATCTACTGATTCATCTATCTACCTATCTATCCATCTATCTTATCTAAAAACTGTCAATCATCTATCTATCTATCTATCTATCTATCTATCTATCTATCTATCTATCTATCTATCTATCTGTCATGCATCCATCCATCCTGTGTGAGGCTGTATTTCAGTGGTTAAAAGCTTGGGCTCTGGAATAAGCAAATTTGAATTCAACTCCTCCTCCATTCACTTACTAAGTATGTGGCCTTGAACAAATTATTCAGTCTGAATCCTAGTTTCCTCTTATGTTAGACGGGGATGCTAATAACTATGTACCATTGTAGGTGACTTTGAGGATTAAATGAAATAACACATGTAAATGACCAAGCACAGAATCTAACATATATTAAATATTCAGTAAATAGCAGCTATTATTGTCTTTGATAAGGCTTTTCATATCCCAGACCTTCAACAACAGCAGGAAAAAAGACTTGAATGCCTTCGGCTCTAAAGCTTCATAATATTTAACAGCCAAAGAGAGACTGGTGCTTATACCATGGTCATTAAAATAGTAGAAATTACCCATCTATTATTTCGTGAAACAATCACTTCTATTATTTCATGAAACAATCACTTGTGAAAGTCAAACATGAGCACTGCTGTCAGGAACAGAGGGTAGAGGGGAGAGGCACTGTAGTAAATGTGATGACGGAAATAAAAGAGATATGTACACAGTGTTAAGATAGAAGACATAGTGACTTACTGTTACTGGTGTTGGGCAAGGCTTTCAGAAAGGGTGACTCTTGAGTCGGGTCTTAAAGGATGAATAGGAGTTCATCAGAGAGAAAAGAAGACAGGCATGCTTGGCCTCTGCTCCCAGTATTTTTTTAAGTCGCTTGCACTGAATCTCACAACCACTAGAGTTGTGGAGAGAACTGCTACTACACTACAACCTTTAAGTAGGTGTGTGTGGCAGGGAGATTCTCCTAATACCAGAAATGTAGATGTTAAGTATTCCCTAAATCTACTCTGAAGACCTACCACTAGAGACAGGCAGCACCAAAAGAAGTTGGTCCTAAGCTCAGAAATATTTCTGTAAGATGAATATTTCTGTAAGGTGATAATGAATAAGAAATTAGGTCCAGAATAACAATGAAGTATGTTTCAATTATAAAGATAGGAACAATTATAAAGATATGAAGATATCTTTATAAAGATATATTATATATAAAGATATAAAAATATAAAGATATGAAAAAAAGGAGGCAATATAACATACTGAAGATGCACTAGGGGAATATACACAAAAAAGTCAGAAAGGAAAAGGGCTAACAATTATCTCAAACACAGAGAAAGGAATTATTCTGAGTTATTTGTGAACATGATTTTTAGTACTGGGAAATCAGCGATGTTTAACATATGGGACCTACATCTTTGCCAGTGCTGTCGTATTTGCCAGTTCCTGGAGCATCTGCAGTGATTACACTGGAGAAACATGTGGAACACAGCAGCAAATGAGTGACTCTATGATGCCCAGGTCCTATTTCTGTTGAGAGGTTTACCTGGCTAAGGAAAATGTAAAGTGCTCACTACTAAGACGGTGAAGAATAAAGTAAGTAACACTCGGGCCTCCTGGCACAGTGGGATTAAGGCAAGCCAGGCAGGCTGCTTGGGCACTGATGTATAGGTGGTGCCAAAACATCCCTGGAGGAGACCTGAAATGTGGGTCCAGTTAACTCTGGTTTATACACACAACCCCTTACATAACTGGCAGGAATAAACTGATTCTACTCCCTTTGAAGTAAAGAGAGTATTCTACAAAAAATGAAGGAAACAAACCTCCCTCCCTCAGTTTCACTTAGCTAAGGTGACCAAAGGTGACAGGTCCCTGCCTGTCCTGGAGAGTCGCTGTTTCACCATAATTATTAATACAGCCTCCTCTTTCTCAATGTGTCCTGGTTCAGATGATTAATCAAATAGCTGAAGAGATAAAATCTTCTATGCAGAAGAATGCCAATGTAGACCAACTGATAAAAGAGGAAAATAATTATTTTACAAATCCCAATGGAATTATTAAATCTGGCAAAAATTATCAGTTGGAAATAAAACTATCAGAGGAAGAGCTGATGAAGAACTAGAGACTGCTCAATGACAAACTAACACAACAAGAGACAAGTAAAATACAACTTTATAATGGAGGGTGCCACTACCCTAACGCCATGGTAAATCTTACCTTCATCCACCATGGGTAAACAAGTGTACAACATCACTTATAATACATTCTAGTCACAACGTTTAACTTGAATCTAATAAAGACTTTAAATGTAACTTCTAGTTTAGAGTAAATCAATGAGATCCAGGAGCAAGCTAAATCATACTATGAGAAGCAATCAGGCAAATCTAGGCCAATCTCTTGAATGTGCCAGTGAAATGCAAAATGGGTCTCTACTAGATTAAAAGAACCTTATGGGACACAACAACCAGATGCAATGTGAAGTCCTGAAATCAACCACCTCTAGAGGACATTTTGGAAGAATTTGGGAAATCTGAATATGAACTGGGTATAGAATGATAAAAAGAACTTAATTAATTTTAGGTATAATAATGTATTATTATTTAGGTAGGAAAATGTCCTACTTTTTTAAAAAAGATACATATTGATGTCTAAGGATGTAAGTACATGTTGTTAGAATTCACTTTATTACTTCAGCATAAAATGTGATTAAAAAAGATTTAGGTGACGTATGTCTACATATATATACATATATATAAGAATAATTTATTTTTATTTTTTATTTTTTTTTGGAGATGGAGTCTTCCTCTGTCACCCAGGCTGGAGTGCAGGGGCATGATTGATCTCGATCTTGGCTCACCGCAACCTCTGCCTCCCGGGTTCAACCAATTCTCCTGTTTCAGCCTCCTGAGTAGCTAGGACTACAGGCGCACCCCACCACGCCTGGCTACTTTTTTGGTATTTTTAGTAGAGACAGGGTTTCACCTGTCTATTGGTCAGGCTGGTCTCGAACTCCTGACCTCAAGTGATCCACCCACCTCAGCCTCCCAAAGTGCTGGGATTACAGGCGTAAGCCACCATACCTGGCCCACATATATATAATTTAGAAAATCAATTTATCCTCATTCCCACTAGGGAAATGTAGAACTATTTAAAGAATAATCATTTGAAGGAGTTTAGATCAGCCTGTGCTAGAGGGCCCCACGTTTTGGTCTTGCTTTATCGTAAGGAGTGTGCCCGTTTCTATGGCAGACTAAGCCTGCACTGACAGAACTCTAAGATAGCAGCTTTTCCCAGGATCACAGCACTGACAGGTCTAGAGAAACTGTCTGGGAGAGCTCTTGCCCTAAGCAAGTTAGATATGGCAGCATCCAATCCTCATACTAACTAATGGGTCCATGTCTAGAAATCTGCAAATCTAAACTGAGGGTATGTCATCAGAGATATGATGAAGTCTTGTCTCAAGAACATATCCATAGTCCAATACAGGTGTCCTAGGTGCAAAGAGGACTCTCTCAGAGGGTCTATCCCAGGAGGAGGAGGCAAACCCTAAGGGGGAGACGTAACCCTAGTAAGCACATAATTACTAGATAATGGGGGCCTCTGACTACCCAGTAGCAGGACTCTCCGTAGGGAGAACAGTTACAGTTGACAGGTAAAGAGTAGACCAGGTAGGGAGGGGAGGAGATAAGACTGAAACTAAAAGTTAAAAGATAGAGGTTAGAAGAAAAATGATGCAAGGTGAAGAATTTATCAGTAAATGTAACTTTATAATGGAGGATGAGTTAGTTTTAAAGGCTAGGGCAAGACATCACAGTAGCAAAGTGAGAAGCAGAGAGGAGTTAAGAGAGAGCCAGAGAGATTCAAAACTGAGGGTGGAGGGTAAATAAGCAGACAGGAGAGACATAATGAATGGGAACAGGGAATGATGGATGAGACAGCAGCAACATGGGGAGATAGATGGAATCTGAAATGGCAAAAGAAACAGAAGGACAGAGGGGGCAGGAGTAAAAAAGACAGCTGGTCAAAGGTTGAGGGGGCAGAATTTAGAACATGCAAGAGCTGAATGCATCTTTTTCATCTCTGTACTCACAGAAACTTATACAGTGGGAGCCCAGGAGGAAGGAACAAAGGGACGAAGGACAGAGGGAGGGAGAATGGCAGAATGGAAGGCAGGCATGCAGGACAGCAGAAGAGAAAGACCAGAAATGAGAAGAACTATATGAAGGTATGGAAGAAGGATGATGAAAGGAAGAATGAAGAAAGCACACATTTCAGAGGCACACAAGGGGGTTAATGCTAGTTAAAATATTAAATACTACAAAAATGGTGCTCATGAGCACTGTGTCACATTTCAGAATGGCATAATTCAAATTTACCATAAGAATACAAGAAATAGTTTGATCAGGCAACATTTCTGTGGCTGATGTGAATCATATCTTATACAAATGCCTAGAATTAGAGTAAAAGCATGACAATTTTACTGAAAAAACAGAGTCATATAGCTCTTAGATATTCCATGCACTTTTGAGTGATGTCAAGCAGCCTATCAGGGCCTCTTATTTTCCCCAAGGGCCCACTCTCATCCAGTGGATCACTTTATCATATGAACTGGCATAAGGTTACTGATTATTTTCCACCCATTCTTCTGTCTGCCCAGATCCAAAACAAGAGGCAGATGCTGTATTAATATAACTAATGTACACAGAAACCTGGCTAAATACCACCAAAAGAAAACTCACTATTCAGGTGCCTGGTTATCTACATTGCTGACTACATTGATCACATTAATCCAATGATTGCCAAATCTTTACTTCCTTTCTGTTAGGTGAGATTTAATTCTAGAGAAGTAATAGATTTCTAGGATGTAAATCTTTCCCAGGACATGAGTCTGACTGACAGCTCACAAAATAATTCTGGAATGTATGCAAAATTAGACTCACATGAAATTTTCACGCAAAGGAAAACCTATCCATCAACATAATAGTGGCTCTCAGAAAGCAGTCAAGTTCTGGGTCTGAAAACTGGAAACCAGGAAGTCTGATGTTTTAAGAAGCCATAATCAAACATATTTTTTGTTTGCAGTTTCTAATGTGTGTAGGTGTTTTCTAGCACATGAATAAGATTGGATTTTCTATCAAAAATTATTATTACAAGATTTCAAATCACAATGGCATATGTGAGAATTGCTAGTTTGCAATTTGGGGGAGGAGACAGGTTGGTGAAATCAGATTCCTAGAGTCTTCAGTTTGTTTTTCAAACAGAAAACAGTAAAAGAAATATTCTCCCTGACTCATGATACCAGTCCTTTATAACCTAATTTAGATTTATGAGGTTGGCATAAGTTCAATATCTATATTCCCTAACTTTTAAAGTTTTAATCATATATGACATATACAGGACAGAATAAAGAAGTTATGATAATCATAAAACCTCCACATGGAAGTAAAGAGAAAAATCCATAGGGCCACCTGGAAAGATACTCACTATTTGGTAGAGTCAGATAATTGATATTCTCGTCGTCTATCATAGCATTCCTGGATTCCAGGATCATTCCATAAACTCTTTATTGCATCTACATATGGATTCTCAAAAGCAGACACCTTCTCCACATCAACTTCTCGAACTAATTGTGCATGAGCCTGTTTAAATAAAAAAAGGCAGTTTTAATACCCTATTACTTTCCAAATTTTCTTTGCTTTGCATATTACATTATATACAATTCAGGTAACACCTTCCTTCATATACTGGTCTTTACACTGGTTTACAATAAAGTCATGTTTCATATTTTTTGTTTTTCTTAGAGAGAACTCAGTCCCAAATCTTTCCCTCTAGAGTAAACCTTGATGCTACTTAGAATTGATTAGAGGAAACTAGAGGAAGGTGGCGTATTCAGCTCTCCCATCAAAACAATAAGAATGTTATGCTTACACATACCACTATTTTCACATATTATCATAATCCTAAAATGTTATTATTAAAAGAAAAGGAGGCAGGAGTAATTATCCCCTCTATGTTTATAGTTTATTATAATCAAACATATAATATAGCCAGCTTATGGGTGTTGTATGTCTAAGCAGAAACTCAATCAGAATCCTCAACTAATCAGGATTAGCTTCTCTAGTTCACTTTTAGGACAGGGCGTAAAACCATTAGAAGAACAATTAATAGTAATAATTTAATCTGGACAACAATGACAATTACCCCTCCACTCTTATGCACCCAAACTTTCAAAATATTTGTTTTGTATCTGCCTTATCTATATTACCAGATTGAGTACGCCCTATTCAATTTTTTAACAATGTAAAATAACTTGGCTATATTCATTTAGCAGGAAAGAGATAAAGAGATTAAAATGTTTTAAAAATAAGATTGCAATGAAAATATTTTATGGTCAACCCTCAAATTAGCCGGAATACACGACTGCCTAACAATCCAAATCAAACTAAGGTTTATGGAATGCAATATATATATATACACACACATATATATATACACACACAAAGTATATATACATAAATATGCAACTAAGCACAAATAACTAATTGTGTTGGACACTGGAGGCAGATGGCTGATAATTACTGAAACAATCCTGATTTTGTATAGAAATACAAACTTCTAAACAAGGTTAGGGAATGGCTATCATGATGACATCATGGCCAAACTATTCATTTCACAAGAGTATTAAGCAGATAGAATTTTAATAAATGTGATCCATGTTAGGCCTTTACCTTCCTTCCTTTCTCTTGTGTGAGAAGGGCCCCATGCCAATAGACTAATCTTGACTTAAGGTTTTAGGAAGCTCAACACACTAAGACTGAAGAAATCACCTTTCTTATTTGTTCTGTTCTGACTGTGACAATCGGATCTAGTAACTGAGAAGCCCTAGCTCTTGCTGGTATTCTGATTTTGGAAAATGAATCCCTGTAGCTGCTTTCTGTACTGAGTCCCTGTGTAGGCAATCTTCCGTGTTCTCCCACCCACAATCTTACCAGCCTGGAGTCCTGTTCCTGAATCCCACGCCAGGTGGGGCCCACCTCAATCATCGTTCCCCTCTGAGACTCGCCCTTTGAAAACAGAGCATCACTGGCTCCTCAATGAATCCCCACTGCTGTGCTCTGCCTCTTAGGCAGTGTAATATTTGTTGTCTTTCTCTCTAATCATGGTTTAAGTTCCAAGTTCCAAGATAGGCTCAACACCGCATAATCAGGGCCTAGCAAGGTGCCTGGCAAGTGGTAGATGTTCAATAAATATTTGTTGGTTGGTTGGAAGGAACAAAGGAAAGAAGGAAGGAAGGGAAGGAGGGAGGGAGGGAGGGAGGAACTGAACTACACTAGAAATTAGGCATTCTAACTTCTAATTCTGGCTTTACCCATAACACTGGTCATAACCTTTAGGAGAAACTACTTTTCCTCTTTATAACTTAATTTTCTGTGTTCATAAGAAAAGGCAATTAAACCAAATCACCAAAGAGCTCATCTAGCCATAAGCTGTATGATTGTAAATATATAATGAATACATCTACAACGCACAGAGCACCAAAATGTTAAGACACTGTCCCTCTGGGAGCACCCAGTACCACTGAGCAAAACAAGAACTTACTATGTCACACAATAACTGAGAATATAGAACAGAATGCAGTTACATACGCACATGAGCGATGCTGCATGGGGATGGTGTTAAGTGCAACTGTGTACGGACCAAGGAGGTCAAACGAGGTGTCAGAGAGAAGGTGGGATTTAGCTGGCGGGTGAAGATGAAGATGAATGATCCCTCCAAGGAAAAGCAGCATGGACAAAATAAACATGGCACTTTTTAAAAACTGTGACTGCTGTTCACAGTTAAAAGAAGCTACTTTCTTTTGACTGCAAAAAACAAAAAAAACAAAAACAAAAACAAAACAAAAAAAAACTGTCTTGTGAGAAAGTTTCATGTTGACTCTGAATTCAAATTAACCTCTACAGTGTAAGTTATATTTGTCTCTGCTATAAACCCGTTACTCAGAAGTCAACCTCCATCAAAACTGAGAGAGAATATTGCCCTCAAAAACAGAGCAATCACCATGTTGCCTTCACCTAGGTTGGAATTTCTAAGTCACTTTTACTGCCTCCTAAGCTTTGTTGTTTCATTCCATCCTTGCTGTTTTGGAAAATGACATTCAAATATAATCAACCATAATTTGCATTTATGTAAGAGCTTTCATCTCAGATTCTCTAAGTTATTTAAAAGTATGACAGCATTTTACAAAATATATACAGATTTTTAAAATTGTGCATATAAACGTTCCCAATGGAAATGCAATACTCTCAATTTTTTGTAAAAAAAAAAAAAAAAAGTTCTGTATGTGGAAACAATATTTTCTAGTATGTTAGAGTAGGAAGATAAATTAGATACTTTTTTTCTATTTGTCCAAATGTCGAATGTGAAATAGTAGTAAAAATTATAAGTAGTTAAGCTAAATTAAACAATTATTAATGAAAAAGACAATGATGAAAAGGAAAAAACTCACCTCAAATATTACAAGTAACAAGTCAATTACAACAGACTATCTTGTTTATTTTGAACATTGTGCACAGAAAAGCAAGGGAGGGCCAGCCATGCTGGCTCATGCCTGTAATCCTAGCACTTTGGGAGGCAGAGGCAGAAGGATCACTTGAGGCCAGGAGTTCAAGACCAGCCTGGGCAACATGGCAAGACCCCATCTCTATAAAAAACAGAAAAATTAGCTGAGCGTGGTGGTATGTGCCTGTAGTCCCAGCTACTTGGGAAGCTAAGGCAGCAGGATCACTTGAGCCCAGGAGTTCAAGGTTACAGTGAGCTATGATAGCACCACGGCATTCCAGCCTAGGTAACAGAGAGAAATACCATCTCTCCAAAAAAAAAAAAAAAAAAAAAAAAAAACACCCAAAAATACCTAGTATGATTTAATGAATCACATAAACAAAATGTAAAATATAATTCTATTTCATTTTAAGTTACAGTTAAAATATACTGGGTGGAAATAATGATGAATGCTAGCTTTCAGAATTCTTAGCAAGCTGGTGGCAAGGCTTAGAGGGAACATTGTGAGAACTAAGTAGCTACTCTCAGGAACTCTGGCAGAATTCTAGGGAAAGACCACATGGAAACCGCAAGATGTGCCAATGTGGTAATGTCTTGTTTTCAGATTCAGTCGTCATAAAATTCAGGTAAATCTTCGATGTGTTGATGTTTCCATGTTTGCTTCTGCAAAGGGAAGGAGGAACTGAGGTCCTACCAAAGTGGGTCTTACCCAGCCCACAGCAGGCCAAGCCTTTAGGTGAAATGAAAAAGACCTCATAGTCACTTTGGAAGGATTTTCAAAATCTCATTAACAGCTGAAGGCGGCTTTAGACTGGAATGTCACACCTACCCAGAAGTAGAAAGCCAAATGGTAACTTCCACATTTGTGGAAGCTCTTAGACACAAATATCCAGCTTATTAGGCCTGCTCTGTCTGAAGGGATGCCCAACACACACAGAAGACCTCAAAATCAGAAAAAGTGCAAGCCAGCATCAGACTTCATCTCAATTCTGAACTGCAGCACACATCTTCCTACTTTTTTTCTAAGTGCTTATTTCCTTTTGGCACTTGACTCTAAAGAAAAAAATCACCAACTCCTAAATGGACTGTGGAAAAAAAAAAAAAACCCTCAGCCTTTTTGGTTTTGTTTTCTTCTGCTCAAAGGAAGTACAGAGTGAAATGATGGATGCTGAGACAAGACTGCTGGTGTTGTAATTCCACTTCCACCCAGTACTAGCTGACTGTCATCTTGTACAAGCTATTTAACATCCTCAACCTCTGCTTCCTAATTACCTCCCTCTCATAATCCATTAAATGGAGGTAATCATAGCACTTATTTTAGAGGGATAAATTACAGAATGCATATAAAATACTCGAAGAAGAGCCAGACACTTAAGGCTACTAGTTATTTAAAATGCAAAAAAAAAAAAAAAAAAAGGAAAAATAGTACAAAAAATATAAACCATGGTACAAATACCTACTAGATTCTTGTGACATTGGGAAAGTCACTGAAGCCTAAATTTGCTCAAATGTGAAATTACAGTCTGGAGGCCCTGACTGGATAATAGATCTCTGAGTTCTCAAATTTGCAAATACTGCTTAGCATAAAATCTCCTGCAGAAAACTTGGACGTGAACTGTATTTATCAGACTGTTTCACGTTTTCTGACTTCATTAGAACCTGAACCCTGACCTTTCAGGTGCATTATATGCAGAGTGACAGTTGTTGTTTTATCTTTTTCTGAGCATTACTGCATAAATGACAAAGAACAGCAAAGTCATACTGAACTGCTGCTGGCTGGGTTCTCATTGTGAGTGATTCACTCCCATAAAACAGCCTCTCCACACTTATGATTCAACATGTGGCTCAGCAAAATTAGAAATTACTACATGACACAGCCTTTTGAAGCCCCTCATGAAAACGAAAGATCTTCTGTGTGGAGTCTTTAAGTGGTAAGGATCTACTGATTCTCCTTTACTAAGCTTCCATGTCCTTCTTAAACTTGGCATTAGATGGAGACTACTGAATCTCAAATTAGTAATTCTGGGAACCACAGTAGCAAAGAGGAAGAACTTGAACAGCCTGAGACCAAATCAGGTATCAATAATAACTCTGTCATGTACCAGCCCTGTGTCTTTAGACAAGTCACTCAACCTTCCTGAACCTCAGTTTCTTCATCTATAAGATGGAACAATTTGTTGTAGGGCTGTTAGGAAAAGTAAAAGAGATGTTTCTAAAATGCCTAGTACAAAATATTATAATTACTATGAAATCTTGTGGTATCTCAAAAGTACCATTAATAATTATTTCAACAAATATTTATCGCTCATGTGTTAGACAATACACAAGACAATGATGAAAAGGAAAAATAGAGAATGTATGTTAAATACAATGTTCTAGATTACAATGTTAGAGAAGAAAGTTTATTAAACTGCCACATATCCTTTCATTAAGACTTCACAAACTGATTTATTAACTCATTATTAAGTTTGTTCTTCTATCATTAGATTTTTATTTTTAATCTCCATTATGGTCACCAAGATAATCAATGACTATAGTTATACTGTCTTTCCCAAAAAACATTTGCTGGAACTACAATTCTCCTCTTGGTTTTGCTGGCCTATAGGCTTTATTTGCTCATTCTAACATAGAATGGGGATTCCTTCTTGGGTAAAGGAAATACCCCTCCTTTATTGTTTAAAATATATTTTTTTTTCTTTTCAGAGAACTCAATCTCTTTCTTGGCCCTACCACTACCATTTTCCATGTAAATATTCTTCTATTTGGTTCTTTGCTTAACATTTTCCTTTTTCATGTTTGTCTGTAATGTCATAATTATCAGTATCAATGACATTGTAGGTCAGATGCTTGATGCAGCATGGCAAAACCTACATCAAACACTTCCAGAGTATGTTGATTGATATAATTACATAATTCCATTACAAAGAACACTGCCTTCAGGTCTATAAAATCTTGGGGTACAATTTAAAATTTTGCACTCTCTGAAGTTCTACTATTATCTTCATAATTATGATGTTGTACTATCCTAGTATGGGTGTGTGTGTGTGTGTGTGTGTGTGTGTGTGTGTATGTATGTATGCATTATTAATACCACCAAAAAAACTAGTTTATCTTCAGAGAGTTTATACAAAGTCACAGTTGATTTAAAAAAATTGAAAAGAGAGATTAAAGATATGCATATTCATTAAAATTCAAAACAATTAGGGTATGGTCTGTATGACTACTTTCAAAGAATATCTGAGGAACATTAATTAATGGAAAATTAAGTTAATGGAAAACTAAGTTAATTGGAATGTTAATAGGTATTTGACAAATGGATTCTGAAGTCCAAGTAAGAGAATGGGGAGAATAATGGTTATAAATAGTCAAACAGAGGTCTGTGCTGCAGAACACAGAAGTTATAAAAAGGCAATGGCCCTTACCTAGAAAGGTGCTATAAATCCATGAGCCTAGCATTGGGGATATTATTGAATTTTCCAAACTTGTTTGACCATGGAAGCTTTTTTTGCCTCCAGATCTGTTGACGAGACTGTTGGTGAATTAAATCATGTTTTGAAAACACTGACTAGAGACTGAGACCCCTAACAACCAACTGTAGGTTGATTTTATACCAACAAAACAACTCATTGACTGATTTCTCCCCACCCTGGCATAATAGGTAAATGCCTGCTTTATAGATTCATATCATCTTCATTTCTGAGATCACATAATGTTATGTGGTTCATTTCCTGATATTATACCTCAGAAAAAGCCTAATCATTTTAGTCCTTTGTAATGTCTGTGCTCCTACAATCTCATTAACCAGAGGAGTATGTTGCTGCTGGTTTGGAATTTTATTTTATTTGACAACAGGAAAAACAGATAAAGAAGATTTCCCTGTTCAGTTGGTAGAATTCAGACAGGCGAAAAAATAAAAAGAACAAGCTTTTTGATTAAAAAAAAAAAAAAAAGGCCCAAATGCTCCCAAGAATTTCAGAGTCTTACATAGGGAATATCATCTTTCTGGAACATCCCATGTGAAATCTGACCACTGAAGCTTCAGACATTCAAGAAATTGTGTTAGGAAAAACTGAAAGTAAAAGGCTCACTTTCCTAGAATCTTGGGGAAGGAATAGAGCTTTTAGAATACCTTGCTTAAATGCCCCTTTAACAGAGCCAGAAACTGTTCCATTAATAAAAATAAAGAAACAAAAACAATACCTCTTTATCCTATGAAAAACGGTAATGAAGCATTTAGAAGTTGTTTTTTTTTTTTTCTTTGAGAAGGAGTCTTGGTCTGTCACCCAGGCTGGCAGGCTGGAGTGCAGTGGCAAATCTCGGCTCACTGCAAGCTCCGCCTCCCGGGTTCATGCCATTCTCCTGCCTCAGCCTCCTGAGTAGCTGGGACTACAGGCGTCTGCCACAACGCCCGGCTAATTTTTTGTATTTTTAGTAGAGATGGGGTTTCACCGTGTTAGCCAGGATGGTCTCAATCTCCTGACCTCATGATCTGCCCATCTCAGCCTCCCAAAGTGCTGGGATTACAGGCGTGAGCCACCACGCCTGGCCTAGAATTTAAGTAGGAAGAAGGGAAGGAAAATAACTCACATCCTACAAGGCCTGGTTTTTTTGTAGTAAGTTATATAATTTGTCACTTTAAATAAAGACCCAAATTTTGAAAATATTATAGATAAGAAGTGTAAAAAGTTACCTGGACCACTGCTGAGAAACTGTTAACTTTCCACTGAGAGTATAATAATATAGTTATAGTCTACTAACACTTTTGAGTATTAAAAAGGCTACCAAAACAGTTAATGTTTGTATTAACCTGTTCTCACACTGCTATAAAGAACTACCTGAGACTGGATAATTTATGAAGAAAAGAGGTTAACTGACTCACGGTTCTGCAGGCTGTATAGGAAGCATGAATGGGAGGCCTCAGGAAACTTACAATCATGGTGGAAGGTGAAGGGGAAGCAAGCACGTCTTACCGTGGTAGAGCAGGAGAGACAGAGAAGCGGGAGGTGCCACACACTTTTAAACGATCAGATCTCATGAGAACTCACTCACTATCATGAGAACAGCAAAGGGGAAATCTGTCCCCACGATTCAATCACCTCCCATGAGGCCCTTCCCCCAACAAGTGGGGATTACAATTTAAGATGAGGTTTGGGTGGGGACACAGAGCCAAACCATATCAATGTTGTATGTCTTTAAAGTATTTATTGACCAGCAAATCTATTTTATTACATTGATATTATTCAAGGAAGTGTGCACATTAAAAAATTTTTCAAAATATAAAATCTTCCTAAAATATAAACTTTTGATAAATCAATGTAGATTTTAAAGTAAAAAATGAGCAGAAATACTTTTCTTGGTACCTTCATGTACTTTAGTCATGTTCTTAGCCATATCTCTTTCTAACATCATGTCCCTAACATCCTTCAGAGAACTATATTTTTTCAATATTGACATATTATGTATTTAACTATTTCATAGAATTGTTTGTAACATTCTTAAAAATTGCCTTAACTATTTTAGGTCAATAAATTTGAAACTGTTAACATTTTCAACCATGCTCTTCTTGGTAGACCTTAATAGTTTTAATTCAGAAACGGCCTCTCTTGTTGGTTCAGATACTTGGTAAGCTTAGAACAAGGTCTGCTGAATGGTAAGTAATCTCACTCTATTATGTTTTTCAAATGGAAAGACATAAATATCTCAGTTCAAATATTTTCATAGAACTATCTTTCGGTATTAGTTCAGAATAGTATTATTTCACAAATATGTTTAGGAGATGAAACTCATAAATAGATTATTGCAGCTTGTTTGGATACAACTGTGATTTATGTGTGAGCCATAACTATTCTAAGAATATTTCTGGTCCACTAGTTTATTAATTTAATACATACAGTATTTTACCATGACACTATGCTCCATGAAAAATTATACTCGTATCATTACCACAAAATACATTACTTTGAACAATGACTTTTAAAATTTTTTAAAGAAGCAAAAGCATTTACTGTAGCAATCAAAACCATGTTGGATATTTCACTTTATCAGCATGAACTTCTAAAAGCTTCATCTCGATTCCATGAATTAATGAAGAAAAAACAAACCATCAATTACCTGCAAAGTTTTTCTTCTGCTAAGAGAATTAACAGATTAATTGCTATTGCTTCATTTTTTTGTACATGCATAAGAAAACCTGGAATAAAAATGAGCTAAATTAACTCGGAAAGAAAGTCATTTGATCTAAACAAAAAGTCATGCTTCACAGAGTGATATAAAAATGCATTCTCTGCTGCTGCACATGCTAAAATGTCATCTTTGGGCACAGTCTTCTGAAAATAACAGCGAACTCTTGAAGCAGAAGATTTGTGTCTTTCGTATTTTGTGTGGTTGATTATATTCATGGCTACAATGGTGAATGTTAAGTACTGATAAATAATTTTATATGAATTACACATTATCAACTTTCTTTAGAAACAAAAATACAGTAC
This sequence comes from Homo sapiens, assembly GCF_000001405.40. Classification (NCBI taxonomy): domain Eukaryota; kingdom Metazoa; phylum Chordata; class Mammalia; order Primates; family Hominidae; genus Homo; species Homo sapiens. Next base: position 77,825,176 of record NC_000009.12, read on the forward strand.
TTAATTTTTTGTTAAACATGCATTTTCAAGTTTCTAAAAAAACTTATTATGGCCAAAAAGATCTGCTGCAAAATAAAAGCATTATCAAACAATACAACAGATTTATACCAAACAATAAATGATAAAGCAAAATCTTTCATACCTCCACAGTAAGACTGCTTCAGCCTTCATTTTCCACACACATTTCACATACACCTAGCAACTGCCCACTGACCCTACTCACAGAAGTGTGGTGTCTTCGTGGACCTGGCAGCCTACACGCCAGACCATAGCATGACTAGCTGATTCAAGCAGACGGTAAAGGCAGCAGCACCACATGCTTCTCCACCATCTTTCAGACTGGAAGAGTTTGGCTGCCCCTAGTCACTTTTGTCCCAGCTTACTCCATATTAGCAGGAATGCCCACACGCTGTCTTTGAAAGAGAGATGCAGTTAACAATGCATCTGGGAAGGGATATCAGACTCAACCAAGTGTAAAGTGAGAAGTCTGTTTAACTGCAAAGGCAGAATCTAGAAATACAAAGTGAATGTCTGTTAAAAACATCCTGGATTATTTTAATGCAGCTATTAATAAGAATGCTTCATTAAAAAAATAAAAAAACTGGAATAAATGCTAAACAGGCGGGAGGCTGGGACAACAGGTGCAAACACAAGTATCTCAGGCAAACTAGGACTTATGATCAACCTATGCATGGGGAAGACTTGGGTTAGATATAAGAGGCCTAAATGTGAGATAACAGTCTGCACATCTACCTGATACAGCAAAATTTTATAAAGGGGTCAATATCTAAAATTAAGAGCTTTAGCATTAAAAACAACAAAAACAAAAAACACACCCCAAAAACAGATGTCCTAATTCTCTTGACAAATTAGAAGTCCCAGCAACACTGCATCCATATTCCAAGAGGACAACAGGCTGTAGCTAAGAAGGCTGCCAATAGCTTCCCACTATTGTCAAGAATAATGAGAGAGTACATATATTTTTATGAAAGTGAAAAATATTCTGTGTTCTATAATGCAAAAACAAACAATGCTATGGCAAAGAATAGAACCTGGCCAGCTTCTCATTACCTGCCTGACCCTGAAATAATCTGAGTTTGCACCCTACCCCCAGGCCCAACTCCCCATAACGCTGGTGTCCTTGTTGTGTGCTTTGTGTGATAAGGAAGCTTGTGAACTCTCCACAGAACTGAGAATTATGTTGAATCTGACTCCTACCAGTGGGCATTTTCTCAGCTTCCTGGCTAGAATCCATTAAAAAACGTGCACCTGGGATCTTCTGATGTTCTTTCCCCATTATCCCTTTAATTTATGCCCTAGATGCTTGTGTTATGAGTTCCAACACACACAAGTCTAAACAAGGGAACTGAGGCACGCCTTAAGTGCCAAATGGTACCACATGGTTTGGGTTGTCAGGGGTGGTCATATGCACAGTGTTATAAGGGCCTACGGCTTTGGAGTCAAACACATTGAATCAAACCATGTTCCCATTTACTTGCTTTGGGATCTCTCCAAGCCTCAATTTCCTTATCCCTCCAATGAGGTAATGATAACTATGTCACAGCACCGTTATAAAGTTTAAATGTAATAATATATACAAAACAGTATAGTAATAGGCACACATTAACGGGTCAGTAAACAGAAACAATCCTTGGTTTGTACTTCAGATATGACTCAGGAGGAATGATAGTGAAATGTCCTTACACAACCCTTTTTTTGTATTCAGTAAAACAACGCTTTTGGGTGTAAGATCTTTGGGGATCTGTTACAAAAACAATCATTTCTACGGTTCTTACCAACATGCTGTAGCACTATCAGTTTTATATCTTAAGAAAATGCCATTTTAAATTCTCAAGATATGGGTTACATGTAATAATTATAGTGATTATTTTATAGCCATAACTGTTTTGCAACTGGAAGCATGTTGACTTAAAGTGACATAGAAAAGGTTTTTTTTTCTCTCTAGAAAAGGCCGAATTTCATTATATTGCATTAATCTCAATGTTGAGTTTTTAAAACAGGCAAAGACCACAACCTGAATAAAACCTTGTCTAAGATATGGAAATACATGTGCGTGAAGACTTTACCAGACAGCATATCCACGCATGCTCTTCTGCTTGAATTCTGATGAGCTTCCCATGAAAAGCTAAAGTGATTGGTGATGTAGCAATGGTCATGAAATCAAACCAAATCCATGTTTAAATAACTAAAAAAAAAAAAAAAAAACTGAGCAACTTGCATTGCTTTTTCAAGGAGATAAAAATGCATATTGCCTCTTTTATGTGTTCTTAGCTATATATTTATTTTTGAAACGCTTTCATGTAATTTCTAAATTTAGCCCCTACTTCCTTTTTACTGTGTCATCTGAGCTACAGCCAGTGTCTGATAACATTCTGATCTTCACTCGGAGGAACCTATACAGAAACTGCCTTTCAGAGCAAAGATAACCTCTTACTAACCTCTTCTGTGTTTGCAAACAAGGAGTGTACTGGATAGTATATAATGACCGCTTCATTCTTCTCTCTCATTTCTAGGGGCACCACTTACATACATTTTAAATATTTAAAAATTCCCTTTACTTGTTGGTAGAAATATCAATCTTTCTAGAGCATCAACATTTTTTATTAAACCAATCTCTTGTTAAAAAATATATGAGTTAGAGGAAGAAATTCATCTCTTTTAACCTAAGGCAGGAGAAAGAAAACAAACCCCGTCTCTACTAAAAATACAAAAAATTAGCCGGGCATGGTGGCAGGCACCTGTAGTCCCAGCTACTTGGGAGGCTGAGGCAGGAGAATGGCGTGAACCCGGGAGGCAGAGCTTGCAGTGAGCCGAGATCGTGCCACTGCACTCCAGCCTGGGCGACAGAGTGAGACTCCTCCTCAAAAAAAAAAAAAAAAAAAAAAAAAAAAAAAAAAGAAGGGGCAGTGAAAACAGAGCTGGTATGGTGGTATGAGGTGACAAACCACTGCAGTTATAGACAGAAACTTCTGAATCCTTTACCTGGGTTAATTATCATTTCATGAAAATGTTCTTCTCTTTTATTTTCTATTCATTAATAGCAGATTTAAGATAGATGAATTATATAGCAATTAAAATTTTTTTTTGTAAAAATGGACAATTTCAAACAAATGTATTCAAAATTTTAATCAGAAACAATCTGAGTGTGTTGCCAGTAGACACTGCACAGGAGGTGCTAACCTATAGATCTGGTGAAGAATGGATGTGTATGTAGTAGGGCCTCAGACTTTCCAGAATCCTACCCATCCTCCTGTAATTAAGCCTTTCCTAATTACTTTTTTCTTTTGGGCCATTCACAGTCTTCACAGCACAATTGTTGGGCACCAAGCTGTATCGTGCCTGTCACTGCTATTTAACTGATCATGTTTTGTACATAAAGAATTTCCAACAATGCAGTAAATTACTTTAGGTCAGAGACTAATATTTCTTGCAGTCTAGCACAATTTTCATGTTAGATCAATAAATATTTCTACAATGGGGCTGAGCTGTCTTGCCTTCTTATATATTTGTCCTGAAATGTGATCTAACAAGACTGAGGAAAAGATGATACAATGACCAGTACAGGACAGAAAAAGTAGTTGGAAGGCCTGGGGGAGCCTCTGTTATGGTCTAGGACCAGTCTCTTAACCTTTATATGTTAAGGGTTGACTTCTATAACTGGAATATTGGATTAGATAATGGCTGAGACACCTTGCCCTTATGATTACACATTCAAACATGGCTAAAGTGAAATTAAAATATTTAACCAGTGGTATGGCATGGGCACCAGCCAAACAGAACAGAGCAAGGCCCTGGACTTTCCTCGTCATGCCTCACATCAGCCTTTTAGGTGCTGGATCACAAAAAGGCCAGGATGTCCTGGGGTGGGACAAGAGCTGCTGGGGCCATTCATGGAACTTGGGGAAGCAGCTATAATATTATACTTTTTCAGACATTTTAACACAGGTATGGTGTTATCAATAGTAGGGGCTGAATACTAACCCAACATATAAGAAACACCTTAGAGTCCTAAGTATTACTTTATTTGAAGGTTTTTATTCTTACATGAAAGCTACGAATGCTTACAGATCTGAAAATAAAAACAAATTCCCACCAATGCTATCAATAATCTTTTTTATTGTTCTTCTTCACATCCTTATAATTCAACATTTTTTGAGGCAGCCAAGTAATAATTCCTGGCTTCTCCATAGTAGTGTTAAGCTCATCTTGCAATGAGGAGCCCAAAACCATACTATGTTCCCTGCTTTCTTCAATAAATAAAGTGGAAAAGCCAAGGACACATCTGACTACTATCCTGCTTTTACAGATGAGAAAAGTGTTATTTAGTGTTCACAATAAAATTCCCTGTGACATGAAGCAGCAATGACTGCGGCTTGAAGCTCCTCTCGACACAGCTGCAGCTTTGTGGCCCACCCGCAGCCTTGAGAGCCCAAGAGAATGAATCAGAGAACAGAGGGGAGGGCTGATGTAGCTCTTGGACTCAAAGTGGTCCACCCACAAGCAGCTTCTGCATCGCCTTAGAGCTTATAAGAAATGCAGACCTCTAGGCCTCTCCACAGATCCACTGTATAGGGATCTCCAGGTTAACAATATCCCCAGGTGATCTGTGTGCACATTAAAGTTTGGAAAGTGCTGATCAGTGCTTCTCAAACTGGGCTGAACATCAGCATCACCTGGGGAGCTTAAAAAAAAGACTCTGATGTCTAGATCCCACCATTGAACATTGTGATTTAATTGGTCTGAGACATGACCAATTTTTTTTTTCTTTTTTTGAGACAGGGTCTTACTCTTTTGCCAGGCTGAAGTGAGTACAGGGCACGATCATAGCTCACTACAGCCTTGATCTCCAGGGTTCAGGTGATGTTCCCATCTTAGCCTTTCAAGTAGCTGGGACTACAAGCATGCGCCACCATGGCTGACTAATTTCTGAATTTTTTTGTTGAGACAAGATCTCCCTAGATTCCCAGGCTGGTCGTGAATTCCCATGCTCAAGCCATCCTTCTATCTTGGTCTCTCAAAGTGCTGGGATTACAGGTGTGAGCCACTGTGGTTGGCCTGGCCAAGGTTTTCTAATGCCCCCCCAAGTGGTCTACACTGGTAGAGACCTTGGTATCTGAAGTATGGGGCACACATCATCCATGGGGCACAGAGAGAAAATATCAAAACCTATGCATATAACCTGAGGAAGACAAAGATAGTAAGTTTTGTCATATTTAATGCATGGAGTAACAATGGCGCCAGGACTTGTCTGATGTCCCTGTGTGGTGACCAGGAGTTCTAAGGAGTCGTTACTAAGTATCTTTGTTAAAACACAAGCGGTTTCTTATGTTTTGAAAGACCTGAATAACTTAAAGATAACTTAAAAACACGTTTTTCTTTTACAAAATGTTAGTCTTCCAAATATGCTGACCTTTTTTGTTGTTGTCATCACAAGGGGCTGAAGTGGCAGCCTATCTGGCAGATATTTTTGTATGAACATATTTCATCTATCCCTTCAAGGCCAAAGAGCATTTCAACAATGAGTGTGAAAGCAACTGCTAGAAAACTTGTGCTGCAAAAAAAGCATTTTGAAAATGGATATTTGGATATGTTTCCATTGTGGTATGATTTTGCTGTCAAAACCACTGTTAAGGTGTTATACCACACACACACACACACACACACACAATCAATGTGTGAACTTGTAAAACTTGAGAAAAAGTCCTTTAAAGAAAGAGTTTCAGTGGAGTTTTTAACCCATTTGTTAAACATGAATAATGCAACATCTTTCAGTTAGTTTGAAAGAACAGCTGACATCAGTGAAGATGGACACTTACTAGCAAAATTTCAATTAAAACCCTTTGCATAATTGGTGAATAAGATTGAGAAAGAATCATGATGTAAGCACAGCTAGTAACATTCCTTCCATTTATAACTACATATCTTATGTGGTTTTCTTTTATTTATGAGACATTAAAAGTAAGTAGTGACTTAAGCAGAACTTACTACCAGACCACTGGATTAATGTGTCACAAATTAATCATTTTTTAAAAAAGAATTAAAATGTTTTATATCACAAAGGATTAAAAATTTTCATCACATAGAATTTTAAGAAAAGCCAAAATAACTTTTAATGATGGAGTGCATGATTTTAAAAATTAGGACCATATGCAGTTTAAAAGGCAGTCTACACTGGGCATTCAGTAGTATCCCACACCAAAATCAGGAGGATCAATTTCCACCCATGCAATTTAAAACCATCATTCATATCATTGATAATGTGTTCTAGTATCTACGATGGCCACCCACCAGAAGTGGAAAAATTATTAATTGGTATGACTGTATTTATAAAAAGCCTCTGTTAAATATAATACAGTGGAAAACTACTAGACAGCATTCTGAGGACCAGATGACATACGCTTTCAATGTGACAGAATTATCTGTTTCATACTCTGTGTATTAATATTTGGTTTTGTTGCTAGAATCACTAAACATCTTGACCTTAATATTACTGTGCCTGTAAAAATGCCCACGTGATATAATGGACACTGCTATATAGAGAATACATCTTATCTGATCACAGAAATACTGTTCATGATTTTGTGAAATTGTACCCTTAAATGAAAATCTTTAAAGAAAATGGATGAGCTGCAAGTAATAAGTATTCATGAACACTTTTATGTATCTATATACCTGCCTTCAGTTTTCTAAGACTATCAGAGTCTCATGTGACCTAAACTAGTTGTATGTAATTGCCCTCGCCAGCTCCTTCTCATAATGCATTAACCAGCAGAAGAATCCTCCACTGGCTCAGTGTCATGTGCTCTTCTCACCTGAGGTGCCTCTGCTCTGGGTAACTCTCAGGATATAGCACATGTAGGTCAAAGACATCCTTTGGAGAGATTAGAGCACTTTTTTTTTTTTTGGCTTTTCCAACACTTTTTTTAATGTTCTCCATACTGTACCCATCACATACAACTCTTCTACACAATGTACTGGAAATGACTTGCTCCCTGCTTGCTAACTGATAATGGAGGGGAGCTGGAAAATGAAAAAAGTAAATCCAGGCTAAGTTTCATCTACAAGGACACTGTATTTTTCCTTAAATCCAGATGTCCAGTAACAAAGTTCTTGCTTCAATTATTCACAAAGTGGTCTGGTTTGAATGTTATGATACAAAGTAGATATCCGGCTCTGCAGAGCCACATGTACTATGCTGAGCTCCTACACTACAGGGTGGGAACAAACTGATGTGGTGCACTTGGAAGAGGATGGAGGAAGGAGATGCTTGGAGTCAAAGTGTATGGCAGCATAATATTTTATCTGGGTGAGAAACCACAGCATCCATAAAGTTAACATTAAATTGTGTATTTAGAAAAGCACCAAAGAAAACCCTAAAAACATGACCTTGGTAGTACTCAAAACTATAACAAGTAAGTATCATCTGTCCCCCTTCTCATTAAGGTTAACTGAATGCATATTTCCCAGTGTATATACCAGGGATCTATGCGAATCCTTCTGGGAGCAATTCACATGTCCATCTGAACACTTAAACCTACGATGCCTCGGAGAAGGAAGCTGGGTTAGTGTGGTTACGTTGTACGGTTGTCAGATTATTCACTGCACAAGGCCCTAATCCAAGAGGAGAGGGGGGAGCTACACCCCCAGCTGTAGGCCACTGGCCAGACACACACAAGCTGCGTCCACTCACAGGTTGGCCTTTTCAATTTCACAGGAAGACACTGCTCAGACTAACTGCAGGCCTGAAGGAAAGGCACTTTATTTTTTATTTTTATTTTATTTTTTATTGAGATGGATTCTCGCTCTATCTCCCAGGCTGGAATGCAAAGGCACGATCTCGGCTCACTGCAACCTCTGCCTCCCGGGTTCAAGCAATTCTCCTGCCTCAGGCTCCCAAGTAGTTGGGACTACAGGCATGCACCACCACACCTGGCTAATTTTTGTATTTTTTTGTAGAGACGGGGATTCACCATGTTGGCCAGGCTGGTCTCAAACTCCTGACCTCAAGTGATCCACCTGCCTCAGCCTCCCAAAGTGCTGGGATTACAGGCGTGAGCCACCCCGCACCTGGCCTATTTTAGTTTTTAAAATATCATCTACTAGCTAGACTTTCCCCAAAGGGTAGTAGCACCTCTCTCCCTTGGGCAGTCGAATTCCCTAAAGGGACTCCCTTAGCTAGTTCTGAATGCCTGTGTTTCAGGTACCAGTGTGGCTCCAAAGTACAAAGTAAGCAACTGGTAAGTTGGCACTCAGTCACTTTAGGATAATGACAAGTCCCCAGGGTAAGTGGGAAAAGCTTCTTGTTGCTTTCTAGGGTTGTCCAGTTCATATCTTTGCCTTTGGCTATGTGTAGACACTAAACCATTCTTGAAAAGACAAATGTATCCTAGGCTTAAAGTTTAGTTTCCATTTGTTCAGATGCTTGTGCTGAAGATAAAGTGAGAACTGACAAGTTTTCCTGTAAAATATCTTGCATATGATATAAGAGTGGCCTTGGAGAGCAAGGAAGCAAGCATGCTCCACTTCCTCTCTAGGAAATTAGTCTGGTCATATACACACCTTTTTTTATTCTTATACTTGTTTTATGTAAATCTTACAGTTGCCACCCTTTCTTTCGTAGAAATACACACCCTACACAAGAAGAAGCTGATCCAATAGTTAAAGTATGAAAGACTTGGCTATTCTGGAAAAAATATTTTCTTCCAACATGTAGGCAAAGACAGTTTCCAAAATTCCCACAGTCTGATAAAATTAAAACCACATGGAAAATGGTGGGTTTTTTTTAACATAGAGAAAAAATGTTTTAAATATGTAATCATACAGCTAGAAATTGGGTATTGTGTACCAATAAATAGTATGAGTTTTAGAAATTCAATGTCTAAATTTCTCAGTATTAAAATAGGAAATAAGTAATAATAATTACACAACAATGATTTAGTGTCACACTACAAATATGTATTTGTGAATGCTGAAATACAGCAGTTTGAGATTTTAGTCTTGACCCAGCAGGTGGGCTTTGATGGAGGGAGCTCAGTTACAATATTTTGCACTTCCTCATCTTTGTTCTCTTGTAGTTTACAACCATTTTCAAGAAGCCCTGGCTACTGAGAGATTAATTATGACAAACAACATGAACTGTTAAATGAAGTAGCATATTGCTTTTTTACTCATTTGTTTAAGGTTTGTGAGTCTTGAGTAAATATGATTTTATATCTTTAGGCCAACCTGAATTGAGATTCTATGGCTTGAATGGTTTTTGTTAAAGAATTTTTAAAATTGGGGACTGTTCTTTCAAATACACTATTCTTTCTTTTTTTTTAACAGAATACTTCAGAGTTCTATGTAATTAGCCAAATTTAATGTATCATATTCTATAAACCTGATTGATTTTAGAAGGAACTGCAAGCTTTACTTGAGGACAAAGCCTTGCCTGCAGTTGTTTAAAATGTCCTGAAACAATCAGATTCCCAGCCTGGATGCTGGTGGGAGCAAGAGCTGCCTGTAGGTACCAGAAAGGTAGTGACTTCTGACATTTCCATAAGATTATCAAGAACTTTCTTCCTGTGTACATGGCAGTAAGAACAGTTCTCCAAAGAGACAAAACCCTATGCCCCACTCCCAATCTGTCTTTTAAAAAAATTTATGGAAAGGAAAATAGTGAAGATCTACTTTCAGGTCTCTGAATTCAATGAGTTTCAAGTGAACTACATAGCCAAGGGCTGTCACCATACTGGTTGAGTTTTCAACTTTTGATCAGCACAACATATTACAGTACTTCCCTCCTTACCTGAGGGAGATGCATTTCAAGGCCCCCAGTGGATGCCTGAAACCACAGACAGTACTGAATCCTAGTATACATTTTTTCCTATACATACGTAACTGTGCAGCATGGACACACTAGGCAAAGGGCTGATTCACACCCTGGGCAGGGTGAGGTGGGATAGGGCAAGACTTTATCACAATACACAGAACAGCATGCAATTTAAAACTTATAAACCGTTTATTTCTGGATTTCTCCATTTAATATGTTTGATCATGAGTAACTGAAATAATGGAGAGAGAAACCACAGATAAGGCCCTACTAGATAAGGGATCTACTGTTCGGGGTGATGGTATTTCTTTTTCAAGTTAAGCAATGGCTAAACTTCAACCAAGACAAAAAATAATGACCTTATATTTATGCAGCTGCTACTAACTCTTCAGACTAGAAGGGAGAGGCTAGTGAGGAAAGGAAATCTAATACTTTAAATCTAACGATTTAAAAATACTTGGCTAAGAATATAACTTTCATAGGGCTATCTTGAACCAAGTAGAGAAAAATTTTATGCAGCATAAAATCATATATGTAAAATCATATATAGTAAAGACAGAAAAAAATAGCTATCTTTGATTGAGCATGGACTGTGCACCAGGCAGGCACCATTCTAAGCAGTTAACACAGAGTATGCATTTAATCTATACAGCCCCCATTTAAGGTAGGTAATACTATTAGACCCATTTATAGCTCAGAAAACTGAAGTGGGGCATAGGAGGACTGATAAATAACTTGCCTACGAATTGCAGAGCCAAGATTTAACCCAGTAAGGCTGGTCCACAGTGCCTATCTCATAACAATACAACAATAATGGAGATACAGCAGAAGTTATTTGTGTGTGTGCCTAGACTCTTCTCTTGCCTGTCTTTTATTTATTTATTTTGTATTAAAAAGCTGAAGATAGCAATTCTAGGTTATTGGTACAGTGGGAATGTTTCCAAAAGTGACTGCAAAATAGGCTTTCTAGTAAGATGATTTTAAGATATTGAGAAAAACGAAGAAGAAAGAAAAAAAATCTGAAATTTGAACATTCACTATTCACTGAATATGCACTAAACTTATGGCCAAAATAACCAATCCAGACAAGTATACTTAAGAAACTATGACTGAAGACATGGACTGGATGGAAGTCAGCGGGTATAGTAAATTAGGCCTGCAAGCCTTCTCCTATTTTTTTTTTCCTCAAAATACCCTTATTTCCAACTCCCTATGATTAAAAGCCCCCCCCGGATCTGTCCAAGCTCTCTCCTCCAATTCCAAGAAAACCCAATATCCTTTCAGGTATTCCCTAACTGTGCTACTTAGTCAATGCCCAGCAGGAGTAAGAAAGTTGTAGGATTTCTTTCCTTAGCAGTGAACTTTCCCATCTGAAAATGTAGATATGCTTGCAAAAGATTCTTTAGAGCAGAAAAAACACCACTGTTTAGGTAATCTTATTCGGTTTGAAATAATCTATTTCTTCTTTTAAATTATACACCAAACCTCTAGGCATAAAAGCAAACCAGGTTCTAGGGAAGAAAAATCTTATTGCCCCTCGTCTTCTAATTACCAATGCTGGAAGACACTGGAGTACAAGTAAGGACGGAACTCAGCAAAGATTCTCAACAGGCAAGAAGGCATCAACCATTCTTAAAACAACAAAAACAAAACCACAAGATGTTTAAAAATGGAGAAAAGAATAGTACTAAATCCTGTATCTGCTGAATCTAGTAGTATCCAAACTATCATATATTTATATCACAGGTAATTATTACTATTAAACTATACCCATTTAAATTAGTATTAAATCCTATATCTATACATCTAAAATTGTGAAAATTATGTTTAAATAGTTGACAGTGTAAAAAAATATAACCATCATATACTGAAGAACAGGTGGAGTAGAGATAGGACATAAAAGTTTTCTATTTTTCTTTCATGGCAGTGAGTAAAGAAATGAGTCTTCAGCTGAAATGTACAGTTTAAAGAAATAACTTCAAAATTATGATGTTCTCTATAATCTTGTAGGAGGAACTTTTAGGAATTAATTTCCTGTGAGAATAAATGGACATATGAAATTCAGTGGCTCTTCTTCAGGGTCTCCTGAATTTCTTTCTACTACTTCTTAGTTCAAGTAAAATTAAGTAACATATATATATTTACATGGAAAGACATATGTTAATCAGTCTTTCTCTCTATTCATCTAGAATGATATTAGCCTAATATTGATGACAGCTGTTTCTCAGAAGTGGAATTCTGAGTGACTTTTAAAAGTTGTTTCTGGCAGGCTGGTGGCTCATGCCTCTAATCTCAGCACTTTGGGAGGCCGAGGCAGGCGGATCGCCTGAGGTCAGGAGTTCAAGACCAGGCTGGCCAACATGGTGAGACCCCCGTCTCTACTAGAAACAAAAAAAATTAGCCGGGTGAGGTGGTGCTCACCTGTAATCCCAGCTACTCGGGTGGCTGAAGCAGGAGAATCGCCCGAATCCGGGAGGTGGAGGTTGCAGTGAGCTGAGATTATGCCACTGCACTCTAGCCTGGGTGACAGAGTGAGACTCTGTCTCAAAAATAAATAGATTTTTTTTAAAAAAGCTGTTTCATCATATGATTGATTTTTTAAAAAAACAACAGTGTACCATTTTCCAAAAAGGGAATAAAATTATTCTAAAAAAAAAATCAAAATGACTTCTAAATATATTGGCATGAAAAGATGCTAAAATGAACACTGGAACTAAAAAGTAGATTGTAAAATAGTAAAACACCTCTTTTATTTTTAAATCTATGTGCATAAATTCCTAAAAGAAATACAGCAAAATATTAAGAATGATTATACCCAGTGAGATACTGAGTGATTTAAATTTTTTTTTTTTTTTTTTTGAGATGGAGTCTTGCTCTGTTGCCTGGGCTGGAGTGCAGTGGTGTGATCTCGGCTCACTGCAACCACTGCAACCTCTGCCTCCCAAGTTCAAGTGATCCTCCTGCCTCAGCCTCCTGAGTAGCTGGAACTACAGGTATGCGCCACCACGCCCAGCTAATTTTTAGTAGAGACAGGGTTTCACCATGTTGGTCAGGCTGGTCTTGAACTCCTGACCTCAGGTGATCCACCAACCTCGGCCTTGCAAAGTCCTGGGATTACAGGCATTAATGATTTTTTTTTTTTTTTTTTTTTTTGAGAAGGAGTCTCACTCTTGTTGCCCAAGCTGGAGTGCAATGGCGCAATCTTGAGTCACCGCAACCTCCACCTCCTGGGTTCAAGTGTTTCTTCTGCCTCAGCCTTCCGAGTAGCTGGGATTATAGGCACGCACCACCACGCCCAGCTAATTTTGCATTTTTAGTAGAGATGGGGTTTCTCCACGTTGGTCAGGCTGGTCTCGAACTCCCGACCTCAGGTGATCCGCCCACCTTGCCTCCCAAAGTGCTGGGATTACAGGCATGAGCCACCACGCCCAGCCAAGATCCTTAAAGTAAAACGTTGTTGCTCACGTATTTTCAGTTTTGTGTTATGAAATCTGTGTGCCCAAACAATCCAAAATATATAATTCGTTTTCTGGGTGGGAAGCAACTATATTTCTGCCTCATGATGGGAAATAGAACCCAAGTAGAAATGGGGTAGAATTGGGGTTTCACCATGTTAGCTAGGCTGGTCTCAAACTCCTGACCTCAGGTGATCCACCCACCTCGGCCTTGCAAAGTGCTGGGATTACAGGGGTGAGCCACCGTGCCCGGCCACAAGAATTTTTAAATTGATACTTGCTGCAGCATTTTCTGATTTGTCTACAAAGAGCTACATTACTTGTACAATTTAATATATATATATAAATGTATACATTAAAAAGAGAACCCTAACAGTTTTCACTTGGATGCTGCTGAGATTTTTAGTGGCAATTCTGAAGAGAAGATGATTTCTAGATAGTCTTTGTGACTCTGATGAGGAAAAAAAAAATCTACTGTAAAAAAACTCCCAAAACTTTAGTTTCTGAGACCTGACTCTTCATTAAGAGAAGAGTAGTCATATGGTACCCTCTTCACCATCTTCTTCTTTGGGGTCCATACTGGCTGGGTTGGGAACTGCCTCTTTCCCTTCCCTGATGCCTCCAGTAGAACCCTTCACTTCTAGTTCTCAGACTCCATCTCTCTTATTCCCCCAGGCCTCGTGGTGAACAGCAATATGTTGTTAGCTGCTACAGCAGCTGGTGAATAATCAAAGTTCTTACTGAATCATTGGTTAATCAAAACTAGAAGTTAGACTTGACTGATCAAGAGCTTCAATTTTTACAGTAAAATGGGATGGCCATTCAAAAACTACTTTATTTCAGACAACCCTTCATTAGCTTGTTTGAGACTAAGATAATTAAAGTAGGGTTGATATGACAATTTCCACTATCCATAAATCATTACATCTCTCAACTTTATCCAGAGACTGGTACCAGGAATCCAAAGTCCTGGGCTAAGTATACTGGGGAGAGAAGGGTAAGAAATTTTAAACTTCCAAATTATAGCCTTCAGATTCCTCATTTGATTTTAAATACAGGTTTCCCGAAAAAGGTAACGTTCTGCATTCCAGTATGTGCTTCCCTGTGGTACTGAAATCCTCATGGCACTGCCAGTGATAGAGCAGCAGCATGGGCTGCCTGCCCTGAAGCATCATGTGGGCCATAACTTGAACGAGGCTCCAAGAACTGGAGATAACCAGAAGGGCAAGAAGGTATGGGTTGATCACTAGCGTGGCTATACTTTAACTTGGAGGAAACACTGTTATTAAATTTAGGTGGGTGGAAGCTTTCTATTTAAGAAAAAGTACCTTACTCCATAGTGGGTTAAGTGCTGAAAAATACATAAGAACTATGTATCTAATTAGAACATTAACCCAAAAATGCCTTCCCTAATACTTTAGCATTCCTGTGCCAAGTTATGATGACAGAGAGCTTTGTTTCTTAACACTTCTGAGACTTCTGAGAGCCAAGTTGAACTTTGGACTGTTTTATTTTCTTCACAGGCAAATGGAGAGCATAACCTTTCCAAATGACTCAGTGATTCATCTTTAATTCATTTTTCCTGTCTGGGAACCCGTGCGTTTTCCTCTGCAAATGCTCCAAAGTACATGTTTCATTTTTTAAGAAAATGTTATAGTTCTTCCTTTGCCATTTTGGATGCATAGTGTATTCAGTAAATGGTTGGTTGAATAATGGCTTCTCTAAAGATACAGTCTGGTGACATGAAATAATTGGTATACTTCTAAATAGAACATTACCTCCTTCAAAAAACAATGAATGAATTAGCATGTAGATAGATGCAAGTTTATTATCTCTGTCCTCATTCTCAAATGGGTATTTGGTGCAGATGTGTGCATTTGATTACTTTTTGTTTTTTTTTTTTTTTAGACGGAGTCGGAGTCGGAGTACAGTGGCATAATCTTGGCTCACTGTAACCTCTGTCTCCCAGGTTCAAGCAATTCTCCTGCCTCAGCCTCCCAAGTAGCTGGGATTACAGGCATGCGCCACCACACCTGGCTAACTTTTGTATTTTTAGTAGAGATGGGGTTTCACCATGTTGGCCAGGCTGGTCTGGAACTCCTGACCTCAGGTGAACCGTTTGCCTCGGCCTCCCAAAGTGCTGGGATTACAGGAGTGAGCCACTGCACCTGGCTGCATTTGATTGTTTTATAACATATATAACATGTTTGGTCTTACATCTGAATCAAATACTTTAAAACAAAAAAGAAAAAAAGAATAAATGAATTATCAGTCTTCCATTGTTGATTTTATAGTCTAGATCATGACAATGTGTTTGTCTCTAGGGAAGGGGTGAGAAGATGATGATTTGGGCATAGACCTTAAGTTCGTGGGGCAGTTCCTTTATCTGAGCCCAGGGTCACAATTCATACTCTTCCCTTCAGGGAGAGCACTGGAGAGAGATGAAAGGGACACAGGTAGGGAAAGCAGACCGATAGGCCACTCCTGAGCACTATACAAGGAGTATTAACTGGACTCTGGGGAAGACACATGGTAGAAGAAACAGCACTCCCTCTACCAGTCACTGCTGAGCTCATACTGTTACACGTGAAGCCCAGATATCACACCTCATGTATTCATGTTAAAAAAACAAACAAACAAAAAAACCCCAGCCCAACCAAATTGTATTGAAGCACAGACACACATACAAAGAATTTTCGTAATATTTTCTGCCCCCATGGGAGTTTATGCTTACCTATAAAAGAAAAAAAGAAAACTCCGAATGTATAACACATATATTAGAGAAGCTTTCTTAACTGCTTTGTGGTGAGAGGCTTGCAGTAAAAATAGACATTGGAAGCATTTAAATAAACAATTATCCAGCATCTCACACTGGAGTCAAATTTTACATTGACATTTCCTGCAAGGGCAAATGGGAGGAAAAAAGCCCAAAGCTCTCAGTATATATTTAAACCAGCACGGCCACAGAGAAATGATTGGCAATGGAACAATCAGTATTCGGCAATTTTCTCACAATAAATTGGACAAAATCACTGCAATTTGGTATAAATGTTCCTTTCAGGAATTATATTTTATTCTAAGGTTCTTCTTCCCCCTTTGCCTCCAACTTAGCTGCATCCTAGAATTTGTATATCAAATGAAGCTACAAGAATCATTATTATTTTAGATTTATCAAGGGTTGTGCCCAACTATTATATGTAAACACATAAATGAGTAAGTGAAACAAATAATATGTAAACTATGCAACGCACAGTTTGGCACTGGTCAAACTCCTCTGACACAGGACTACGTTCATTATATGGAAGACTCTGACTAGACACCATCCTTAATACTCAAGTTTTATTCTTAAAAACAAGGAAAAACTGAGTCATAAGTTCTTAGTAGGGAGGCTCAGTGGTTTCTTGGTAAGGTAAAACGCTTCTATTCTGTGTCTTCAAGTTGGGAGTGCCCTCTACTGCCCAAAAGCATGGCTTCAGTTTTGGTTATCACAAAATTTTGTATGATCTATGCCAAAATATTAAAAATGAGAATAGCCTTTTCACTCCTCTGCAGGTGTATAGCTTAGAAATTAGTTAATAACTATGTGACCTAGAAGTTTAGTTTTCAATAAATCAAATCCCTCTAGGGGGAGTTCTCTGCCTTAAGAAATTATATTAAGGTGAACTCCTTGACTGTCTTCCCCTCACAGAGAGCTGTCATCAGAGCTACAACTCCCATCCCCTATTCTAGCTTTCCTCTAACCCTAGCTATTATTAGGAAAGGATGAGAGTAACTACTGCCTTGCACTGGCATGGAAACTACCACTTGGGCTTCAAGGCTCTAACTGTAGTAAGAAAAGCTGAACTGAAACCATCAACCAGGCTCCCTCTTTACGGTCTGATCAATCCTGACAGTACCATGTGAGCAGAAGGGCACAGAATTGACAAACAACATTCCTTGGCTGAGAAAATAAATTGGTTTTCATCAAAACCAGTTCAGACATGCTATTGGGTGGAATGTAGGGGGAACCTCAATATTTAGGAATGAAAAACAACATTGTTTTAGAAAAAAGATACTTGTTGAATTCTGATTTCTATTTGCTATGTTTTGGAGGTGCTTTGTTGAAGACTGCCTAGAGAGACAGAATCGTGGAGAAACACAGGTCATCTTGCTTACAGCATGCTTTCCAAGGCTGAGGATGCTGAGACACTGAGAGATTCCCCTGGTTTCCCATGCTAGGATTCTCTCAGTCTTGGATGAATAGCACCTCTGCAGCATCAGGGACCTCCAGGCATATGGCCCAACCCAAGCTGAGATGGCTTCGGAACCTTGGGATACTTTGATGAACATATGCATCTTTTACAAGGTTCCAATGGGTACGTGTATCTTCTGCCAGGCTCCTAGAATTCTAGATACAATCTCAATGCAAAGATACTCATTAATAGAGGCACATGATCCACAGTCCCTCAATCCCAGTCTTTCCATCCCTACTGAAAGGGCTCAAATGACAGACCATAAAGTCTTTGAGCGCAAACCTTTTATTTTGGATATCTGCAGAAAGAAATATATAGAAATAAAAGAACACACAGACTAAGGTATGCGTAATCTGATTGTATTTTATTTAATGCATTATTGCCTTCTTAATAATACAAATTTGAAAGACTTAACTGGATCTTACAAAAGTTAGATATCACTATCTAAGATCAATCTAACCCATCCTTAAACATTAATGTGGCACTGAAACAATGCATGTGATCACCTCCCTGCTCCTCCCTCTGGCCTGCTCCCTCCACCTTGAGCCATGCGGATATCTGGGGGAAGACAGGCAGATGGGTGGAGCATTAGGCGGGAGGGAGGCTAAACTGTCCTAGAGACAGCAAGGAGGCTGCAGAGGCAGGGACAGAGGAAGCGAGCAGAAGAGTGCTAAGGTGAGAGACACAGCCCTTATAGAGCTGGCCTGGTTTTACTGGTCAAGGCCCAGTAAAATAATTTCTTTATTCCTTTCACAGAGCCCACCAAAGTGATTCCAGATAATTGAGTGATGATTTATTGTTTATGGAGGGCATGCCAGGTGTCAGTCTTCCTAGATAAGAATCACTAGCTTCTGCTTTGTGCAGAAGCATGGGTGGGATGGATGCTGACCCCTTGGATAGAGTAGTTTGGCATATTTGCCCTATGAAGTCAGAGGAAACTGGTGTCAGGTGAACCATTTATTCTGAAATTGGCTTTCGAGGTGGAAGTAAAAGGAAGTCTACAGGGAACCTAAAGGTTTCTTTGGAAATATAATGAACACACAAACATGGGGATGTAATTTCTTTGTAACACAATTTAAACAGCTGTTCCTGGGCATGTTTTCTGCATGGGGTCAGTCATGGCTTACTCATCAGACTAAGCCACCTAAAGCCCATTTGCAGTTCCATCTCAAGGACCTTAATTGAGGGCCTGGATGGGTCTGTGGCTCAGAGGGTTGTGTCTGGGTTCATTATCATATCAGGTCCTTATAACTCAGAAACTTCTTATGCTGACCACACCCCACCATTCTGGCAGAATCCAATAAGTGCCAAATTACTCTAATGCAATCTGCCACGGAGACAGTAAAAGACACTTCTCCCAGGACTGGCCTCAATTTCTTTTTGGGGTAATTTACAAAATTCCAGGTTTGGAGTTCCTGGGATTTGAAACAGAACACTAATCTCAAGTTATCATGACAGTGGACTTCCAAGAAGGTTGTGGTGCACTAATTGGTCCCTTTAAGCCTTCATCTAGCAGAAAACAATGGAAACTACCAAGGGCTTCACATCTAAAATAATGATCCCACTCCTGGGCAAGAGGACAAGACCACGTCAAATTGAAAGAGGCCATGAAGGGGCCCACTGTTCTCTTCCTCAACAACCCCATCCACTCTGGGCCATTCCTCCATTAAAATCATGTCTAGAAATGAAAAATCCATTATATTGGCTTAAAGGATTTTTCTTTATATTATTTCTCTATATAACCAGAGACAAATGCATAGGAATAAAATAAACCATCAGAAAAAATTCTGATCAGAAGATTCCAGGCTTCAACCAGCTGCTAAGTATAAGATGGATCCCTAAGATTCTGAAAATCACAAACTGTAGGAAGAAATTAAAAATGGAAGATGTGAATCAGAATTTCAATATACTACCTGCTGTGTGTCCTTGAGAAAATTATTTAACATCTCTGAATCTGCCTTTTTACATTTTTTATTTATTTTGTTATTTTTTTTTGAGATGGAGTTTCGCTCTTGTCACTGAGGCTGGAGTGCAATGGCATGATCTCGGCTTACTGCAACCTCTACCTCCCGGGTTCAAGTGATTCTCCCACCTCAGCCTCCCGAGTAGCTGGGATTACAGGTGCCTGCCACCATGCCCAGCTAATTTTTTGTATTTTTAGTACAGACAGGGTTTTCACCATGTTGGCCAGGCTGGTCTCGAACTCCTGACCTTGGGTGATCTGCCTGCCTCGGCCTCCCAAGTACTGGGAATCTGCCTATTTTTAATGTATAAAACAAAATTAGAAATCTTTTTAAAAACTATCTTACTTATTACAAAACTATGGGGATGAAGTTAAATACTATATATGAAAGTTTCTAAACTGCAAAGTACTACTCTAACATGAAATTAGTTTTTTTTTAAAGCATTTCAATACTGTAACTCGTTGGAAATATAACTCAAAGAACTGGAGATTTTAAAAACAAACCATTTTTGCAGGGGTCCTTGGCACTACTTCTTGTCAGAAAATCTAAAATGGTATTACATTTCTCTCTCCACTGGTAATGTTTATTGTTTGTTTCTTACAATGAGCCACTGGCAAGTGTCAGAAGCAATTGTTGAACCTAAGTTGGAGCTGGAACTTCCTTTTTTAAACAAAACTCTTGGTGGTGAATTGCTTCAGTGTATTATTTCATTATACACTTGAGATGGAATAATGCAAATTCCTTACAATCTATCTGGCATCAAGAAAAAATGTAGGTTACATTGGTAAATATCTGCAGAACACATGAGAAAATCTAACCAGTTCCTTTGTGGATATTATTTTAAAAGTAATTTCTTCTGAGCAGGGTTATATTCTCATATGAACCCCCAAAGTTACTTTAAAGAACACAATTCCATAAGCACATAAAGAACACAATTCCAAGTTCACTATAAGGCTTGTATCTATCCTTCCTCAGCATCTCACAACCATCTCTTTATAATCAGAAAGACGACCACCTCATCCAGAAACACTGAAAGCAGCAAAGACACTTACTGTAAAACTTTACACAGTATAAACAATCTGCAACAGATGGAAAGTGACTGACATGGGCAATCATCACTCGGCTTGAAGAAAGGGTGGTATCTTGGAGGGTCTAGCATAGGGACCCTGAGGGCAGAAAGGCCAAGACTAGTATAGATAAGAGGGTCCTAAAAAAATGTCACCGTCAACTAAAGAAAGAGTTGTTGCTTAAAGTGGGAGTCATGTCACAGCAGATCAAAGAGAAATGTGACCAAGTGAAACTAGAGAGAGTCAGAGGTAGGCCAGGAGGCGATGCTCTAGCTGAGCACTGCATTCATGTGTATTATCCTTGAGGAAACGAGGCACACTTGTGCTCAAAGACCTGAAGATGGTCACAAACCAGCCGTCTGTGGGCAAAACACAGTTCACAAACGTGCTGTTTGGCCACGGTCTGTTGATTTGCGTAATATAATTTAAAAAACATTGAAATAGCTTCCAACATTAAAAATGAGGAAATTTCCCTTAAAAATCCTGATTTCTGCCTTCTCTTGAAAAATCAGGAGATGTGTGGCAAGTCAGGGCCCTCAATTCCACAAGGTAACAGCTGGCTGCAGCCAAGCTGTGGCTGCCCCTTGGGAGGGGCAAGCGCTTTCCGCCTGCTTCAATGCCATCAATTCCTCACCCTGCCTGCTCCATTCACCTGCACACTTGCAGGGATTTGAGTTATTGTTGCCCAGCTAGAAAAACAAGCTGGTTAGGAGAGGCTGATTATGATAGGAAAAAAGAATGAAGGGGGTGGTCCTTATGGGTGTGCAATGGGTCCAAAGAAACGTGGGCAATCCTGGTAGGCCAAGAAGACCTCTTCAAAAGAACAACACAGAGAAGGAACCAGTTAGATGGGTAAGGTAGGTCGGGAAGGGGCCAGGGAGATGGCCGAACTGTTTATCATCTTATTTTCTCCTTTATGTGAGGAGAAAATGCAGCAGAGAGTGAAGCACGTCCCTTTTAACCTAAATATAGTGAACAAGGCTCTCTCCTTGGTTAATCCTCCCTCAGAGAACAGTATCCTTAGAGTCTAATATAAATAACATTTTTGTAATGTTTTAGAGTTAGCAAAGCACTTCTACATATATTTTCTTTCATTTAACCCTCAACTACAATTCTATGAGCCAGACAAGACAAATATGATTATCTCACATTACAGATGAGGAAGCTGAGGCTCACGAACTTCACTGGGAGGGAACTCAGACAGGACTAGACTTTTGCCCCTGGGACCCAAGAACTCGCCACCCCTCAGTAATGACCTACCCTGTCCTGAAAGGAACACTGGAATACTTCGAACTTCCTGAACTGTGGTCGCTGAGATAGCATCAATGCCAGATTAGTGATTTAGAAGGTGTTTGCCTTACTAGGATAATCTTTCCCTGAGCAAATCCATCTAAAAAAACTCCGACAGCCAGAAGTTTGCTCAGCCTTGCAAGGCAGTGGTCTATTATGTCTAGAAACATCTCTCGCTCAGCCTTGCAAGGCAGTGGTCAGTTATGTCAAGAAACACATCCCTTATTTGTTCACGAAAGTCCTGCAAATATTTTGGCAAATAAATTCAGAAAGCCGGAAACGCTAATTATTAGGCAGAGACAAACCCACAGTAATAACATAAACAACAAAGTGCCTTTTCAGCACTGCTATTCAGTGTGCCTTCCTGTTGCCAGTGCCACGAAAAACACGATGGGAATGGCCTGGAGGAGATGGAAGAGGAAATGACTCCTTTAAAGACCACGTCCTGTGGGCAGAGTGCTGCCTTACAATTTGCTACAGCAGATATCAAAAAGGAAGGGTGGGTAGTATAATTTACAGGGAGAGAAAAGTGGTTAAAAAAATAGAGCTCCTTAAGAATACTGTTAAGGTGGGGCACATACAATTAGTTTTTTAATAGATGAACTTTATTTTTTACCTTGGGAATGAAAAGTGGGGAGGTAAAATAAGGATTTGGTCAACTGGCTACAAATATCTATGAACTAGTCCACTGTCAAGGCAAACGTCTATGCAGGGCCTCCCTATGTGGTTGTGCATTTTGGGCCTTGTGCAAAGGGACATGTGGTGGAGATCAACCTGGGGCCTGGAACCAGTCAGCATTCTGCTCACCAAGCTGTGTGCCTTGGTTAGTCACTAAGAAGCACCTTTGTGTAATCTGCCTGCCCATGGGGCCTAGAGATGCCTTTTCCATTTGCACAAAGGCACTCTATGGTAGCAGCAGACCTGCACTTAAGTATCTGTCCATTTCAGTTTCTCTCCCTTCAAGGCAATGTCATTTTAGATGTTAGGTGATGTAGTCGTGTTGGATGCTCTGGATTTCAGCCAGCTAGGTAGGACCTCAGACAAATCACATAAGTGGTTTTCTGCTTCACTGTCTCTATCACGATCAATGAGAACAGTCCCACCTACCCCTGTCTCCTTGGGGCCACTGTGAAGCCACTGCCAAGAGTCTAAAAATCACAGTTCTTTCTCTGATGTGTCCAGTAACATCTTCTACAGAGCTTTCACATCTATTAACACCAAATTCTTCCCCCTCAGTAAAGTTGAAAGTAAAGAACAAAGATTTTAAGTTCAGTGACAAGCTAAGTGACAAAGGGGACTCATAAGCCCACTTGAATAGGGCAATTTCCACTTCACAAGCAAAGCACATACTTTCACATGTCGGAATTCAAACCACTCTCACAGATCTTCAAGCTATTTCACTAGAGTCTTAGGGTGCAACTCTCTTAACAAGCAACCCCATTGCTGGCATCTCTGAGGCAGCAATTCAAACCCCAAATTGGCCTGTTTTCCCTGACAGACTGCTGGGATACAGATTCCTGGCCAACAGCAGAAAAGCTGGCAGCTCACTGCCTCTTCCAGAGTTGGCTTGGCCAGGGCAATGCCAGAACAATTGGTCTCATTGCCTTCTGAGATGACAATTAATTAGTGTGGTGGGAATAAGGAGTGGTCTATCCAGGGAGCTGAGCCTTTGCCCTTCTGAGGGCTGTGGTATTGGCCTCTCATCAGAGCCAACGTCCGCATCATAAGTCTCACTGTGCATGGCTTCTGGCTTCCCTAAGGCAGTCTGGAGGGAGACAGGGATGGAAGACCTTCCAAGAAGTTCTTTGTTGGGGAAAAAGGAAAAGGAAAGAACACAAGCAACACTAAAAATACAATTCAGAATCAGAGATAAATACCCGACAGCAAAATGCAATACTAAGTTAGAGAAGACACCGTTCTAGACATAATAAAGGAAAAAAGGACAAATGTTTCATTGAGAAGTGTCTCAGAGTGTAGCAAGAAGAAAAATGTGTGGTGACAGAAATCTAGCCCCACTGAGGAAAATTCGAGCTCAGTGACAACATCCTCAGCATGCTTTATTAGGCACTAGCACCAAGTGCATTGCTCAACATGCTGTGAATGAGAACACATGAGTCACAGGACAGCACCCCCTGCTCCAGCCGACAGCAAAGGACGTCGATTATTTAACCGTGGAAGAGGATAACTGATGACTCCCAAAGGTTTTCCAGAAAGCAACATAACATCTCACTGCAGGGATGGGGGAATTAAAACATGACTCTCAAGCATCCTAAAACTATCTAAAAAATAGAAATAATAAGAGTTTTTTTTTATTTTACCAGAGATTTTATAGACCTGATAGTGCACTACTTCTCAGCCACAGACAATATCGAGACAAAGCCTTGATACTGGAGTGGGGTCAGGAGTTCAATGTGGAGCCATGTGGGGTCTACAACTAGAATGATGATTTAAACCTGACCCCATGGGTACCTTACCGGCCAGTGCTTTCTGAATCCTCTCCCAGCTAAACTGAAGGAAAATGGTCATCTGGTCATCCGTACTGGCTTTTCAACCTGCTTCCTACCCTGCTTCCCCCATCCTGTTGTAATCTGTTTTCCACCTCCACCACAGTTCCACAAAGCAAGAGCTGGCAGGAGATGATCGAATCCAAGGGGCCCCTTTCAGCTCTTCTCTTACTTGCCTTCTCTGATGCCCAGGCTGGAGAGCAGTGGCACAATCATGGCTCACTGCAACCTCAACCTCCTAGGCTCAAGCGATCCTCTCACCTCAGCCTCCTGAGTGGCTGGGGACTACAGGTGCGCCACCATGCCTGGCTAATTTTTAAATTTTCTGTAGAGATGGAGTCTCATCATGTTGCCCAGGTTGGTCTCAAACTCCTGGCCTCCCAAAGTGCTGGGATTACAGGCATGAGTCACCTTGCCCAGCCCTTGACAGTATTTGATAATGCTGTACTGACCACTCTGTCTAAAACTACGTTCTTCTGTGATTTTCTGATACTACTTTCTCCTCATTCTATGACACCAGTGGCACCTTACCTATTCAGCCAGGCTTTCACCTAAGCTCTAGGCCAGTACTTCCAAATGTCGGCTACACACTTCACCTGATGGCCGCAGGCCCCTTCAATCGCAGCATGTCCCAACACATCTCAACATGCCCCGCATGCCCCTATCTGCTTCCACTACCCCTCAGAAGCTGGTTTTCTTCTCATTTATCTGTCAGAGTCAATAATGCCCTCACTCACCAAGTCAGCTCTGCCAGAAATCCTGGACAACCCTGGCTCCTCCTGGTCTCCTGCATCCACCACTTCCAGTTTACTCACTCAGTGTTCTTCAGTCTCCTCCATCTCTCTCTCTCACTGTGTCCCTCCTCTACACCTCCACCTCTACTGCCCTGGGTCTGGGCCTCATTCTCTCCTGCTCGGGCCACAGCAACAGTGTCTATGCTCATCTTCTGCATCCACGAAGATCTTTTTCCAGTCCGTTCTCCACAGTGTGATGGAATGATTTCTCGGGAACGTAAACCTAATCACATCACTCACCTGCTTAAAGCCTTTCCACAGCTCCACACGATTTACAGGACAAAGCATTTCTGATTTGAACCCTCTAGAACTTCCTAGCCTCCTCACCTCCCACTCTGTGCCTTTAATCTTAGCAGTCACTCAGACCTCCTTTCAGTTCCCCAGACCTGGCAAACCCATCCAGATGTCCACACTTTCTCTCTTTGAGGTTCTCTTTGCCTTACATGTCTTTTGTCCACCTGTAAAAACTGCTGGTGTCCTTCATGACCGACTCAAATGCCTCCTTTTCTCTGCAGGCTCTCGTGACCCTCGCCTGCCTCTTCCCAGGCACCATCACTCCTGCCTGCTCACCACCATGGCACATCCCCACCCCCACATCTGTCTCACACAGGGTCTTAGAGCTCCTGGGGAACAAGGACCACCATTGCTCTTTTCTCCTCTTCCCAGCTCTTACTAAAGTGCTTGGTACCTCATAAAGGATCAATAAATGTTTACTGGAAAAAAAAGATGTCACCCATCCCCAGATCTTCACAGGTGTGTCTAATTTCATATCCTCTCTTTCCATACAAACCTGTGTTTATGAATTGACACTTAACATACTTGTTTTACTCAACAAGGTCATTTCTTCCACTGAAGATGGAGAAAGTAAATCCAACATAATTGTCTAGCTTACACAAAATCGGAAAGAAAAAGACTGAGACACCCAAGGTTTCAGATGAAAACCCCATTTTTTCCCCTCAGTGATCAATAAAAAGTTTTTGTGATAAACCTCCCCCAAAACAGGATGCCTATTGTGTAGGACATGCCTCCTTCCCCCACCATGGAATTTAAAATGTTCAGTGATAAGGTTTCTGATATGTGTCATTATCTGCATATTCTGAGTATTTCTGCATGAAGAGCCAAAATCTGTGGCTCCTGAGAAAGTAGAGCTGGACGTATGCTCTGATGTCATTCTTGTCTTCACAGAGGGCACTGAAAAGAACCCAATCACTGGGACAGGTAAGTGACATCAAGTGAGTCTTAACCATTCTAAATGTTTTGCTTTTGTTTCTATCTCCAAGCCTTTATTACGTATCTCTGCTCTAGTAACTGTGTCCTGCCTCCCCACTCCTGATCCCTCCTGTCAGTTTCCCACTAGCTAACCCGTCTTCCAGTAGGGTCCTATCCTGGGGGTTATTACAAATGCTGGTAGCAGCATGTCATGGAAAGTTTGCTCTGTTTACTTTAATTGTTGTTGCTTTACTTCTGCCTGCTGCAAAGACCCCTTTTCTTTACAGTCCATCGTTTCCAACCCATGCAATGCACAACCTAATACCAACTGAGCTGGCACCACTCCTTTGATGTATTTTTTCAGAGGAAGGTTATTTTTGCTGGCTTGAAAGGTTTTCTTTTCTAGCTTTAGGTAAAAATCAGCAAAGATTCCAGTTCTTATCAATTGAGTGCTTAAGTAAACAGAGCAGGTGCCAAAGTCAATAGGATATGGAAAACAAGATTCTGCTGAAGATTATTTGTAATGGGGATCAACTGCTGACATAGAATCAGGAGTTCACACTTGATGAAAAAGAACATGAAAGAGGAAAGAGCCCAAATTTCAAAACACAGGGGCAGGGTTGGTTTGCCTGCAGCCAAGTCGGTTAGGCAAGGCTCATGTTTTCATGAAACTAGATGGGGTTTCCTTCTTGCATCGGAAGAAAGCTCTCACAAATACAGAGAATAAAACTCTCCATTCTGCCTCATCCTCATTTTAATAAATTCTCAGTGCCTGCAGTGACGTCCTGACCACTTCACTCACTTAGGACAGTCCCTTCTGTGCCTGGACTCAGAGCTCCAAGGCATAAGTGCTTTGGCAGAGCAATGAAGAAGGGTGCTGGAGTATAACTGTTCAGTGGCAGAATAACCATGGCAATGCATAATCAACCTGTTCTGCCTGCCAAGGCCCTGAAGCCACACATCTGCTAAACAGGGTGTGCTTCCTCCTGGCTTTCATGCCCCAAAGGCACACTCAAGACCCTCCACTAGCCACAGGATTGAAAAGGTTGGCTCCTCCAGTCCTTCACAGCAAGGTGAATTTACATCCTCTTTCCAGGTATGCCTCCCCGAAAGCATCCCTGCTAACTTTGGGACTACGTGATCGCTCAGTGCTCTTTCTCCTCCTACTGTTTTATGTCCTTTGACACATATCACCTTTTGCAGGCTGCTGAGATCACTCAGTATCTCATGAGGAAACCTCACATTTTCATATTTACAGTTATATCCATGGCCTATTATTTATAATTATACTGTCTGTAATTATGAAGGACATTACTCCTTCATCCCTACTTTGATAGCAAGGCACAGTGATTTCATCTTCATTTTTCCAGCGGAGAAACAAACAAAATAGGCTGAAGAATATACACCCAGGCTGTCAGTGGTAAGGCACACTACAGAATAATGGTTCTCTCAGCATAAACCTTCAAGAACGTCCAGATGGAGAAAAGAACATACATTTTTCCTTTGTCTCTTTCTATAAAAATGGATAGTATTTTAGAAAAGGAAAAGAGACAGATAAAAGTGGGTAAGAATTGTTACCAACCAAACTATGATAACGGGAAGAAAATTTTAGAAAGCAGTACACTACATGTTATTAATATTTTCCTGTTTCATGGTCTTCCACCCAGAAGAACAAAGAGAATTTGTTGGCAGCTGTCAAGAGTCAGCTCTGAGCTGGAGTTAATGCTACTATGTGGCTCTTTGGGCATATTTTTAACTTCTTAGTTCCTCATCTGAAAATAAGGATATAAGAGTAGTTATCTCAAAGGGATGTTACAGGGCTACATGAAATGATGTATATAAATAGTAGTAACAGGGCCTAGTACAAGGCAAATGGTTAATATACCTTGTGACATATTATTATTATTTATACCACTGGACGAAATTTCAGGATTCTGACCTCAGTAAGTATGAGCATAAAATTTTATTTCCAAAACCATTCACTATGAAAGAAAACCATGGAAGCCATTCTCTTGACTAAGAACTCGACAGCCTTCCGGACAATACAAATATATCAGTAGAGGCTCAGTGATTGTAGATTTTGTGTCAAACTCTGGGAAATCTTAACTGGCAGTGTGAAAAATAAACCTACAATATGCACAACCACAGGTCACAGATACAGCCATGCTGTACGTAATAGAGAACAGCGGCTACTCCTGTGTGTCCTATTATTCCAGCGGATTTCAATTTAGGATCTTTGTGAAATTACTACCAAAAAAAAAAAAAAAAAAAAAAAAAACCCACAGGCACTATTTCATCAGGAAAAAAAAGCAATTACCTTATATCCACCCTGTCCCATTTCTAAGAATCGTTCCACTATTACATAAACCACCTAAATGAATTTTGGAGTGCCTCCAGGCGAGAGGACAGAGGTTCCTGAAATCTGTTGATATGATGACAAGCCACTGCTATAGGAAAAAATGAGTTAGGGGCTCAAACTATTTTTGATCCTAAGTTGGAAGAACCTCTGATTTTTATCCTACAACCCAAATATAGATCCATTATTTCATATGGGTCACATGCCTCTCTTACATCCTGTATATTTTTATAACTCTAACATGAAGATCCATAAGTACATAATATAGAGGACTATGAAGTTTGCTTCTAGAAAAGTACTCTTTTTGGTTTTTTTAAAAAGCATTTTTAGCCCAGAGATGAATGTGTTTAAAAGACTATTAAAGATACAATGGCTAAAGAACAATGTCTTATGAGAAATAAGAATTGATCAACTTTGAGGTTTGACCTAATGCAACTGATACCCCTACTTACTGTTTAGGAATTATAGGTCACATCAATTTCAAAATCAAAATTCTGAAAATATGTGCTATTGTCAGGAAATGTTAAAAAGGAAGGAAAACAGGAAAGATTTGTCATGGGGCAAGACTAAACACAGGTTAAGTGGCAGTGATGCTCATGCTTGGGAAGTTATCTGCTCATTAATTGCTTCAGGTTTGGTCTGTTCATGCTTACTCTTTCTCTTTAAATGGCCCCTGAAGCCAGAAACAAATCAGCAAGATGTACAAATGCCTTATTTTCTCTGCCCTGGTCTGCCCTACTCATTCATAAACAAACGTGTGAATGCCGTTTAAGAAGCTAAGGCCAAGGCAAGCTTATTTCCTCTCTCCATATACTATAACCAGCACAACCACAAAGTTCAAACTCTGCTGGAGCAGTGTACCTAATGCAATCTACAGGGACCAAAGGACAGACAGTATAATTTATAGGTTGGCATGCTATGCAGGACAATGGTATCGATCCTGCTTTTCTATGAAGAGAGGATAATTACAATAAGATTTGCTCACCTAGAAGTTCAGGGTTTCGTGTGGAATGGAAAAGTTTAATTGAAAAAAGCTTACATTTTCAAAGAACAAATAACCAGTCTTTCTGGGAAATGGGCACTTCAAAAGTAGGAGAAGAGAATATTTAATAAAGCTCTGCAGATATTTTACTGGTTACAACTGTCTCTTACCCCAGAAATGACGTCAGTGGCAACATATGACAGTATCAATAGTGTGCCCTAGTGTGCCCTTGTTTCAAGCCTTAAAGAAATTGCACTACCTTGCATCACAAGAATGGTCAGATGACATCATAGTGAATAAATTTATCTGAAAACATAAATGAAAATTTAGAAGGGAAACAAGAGGAGACATGAAAATTGGTGTAATGCAGCAGAATCAAGAAAAATTAGGATAAAGAAAGGAAAAGTAATTACAGAGGATATAAATAAATTAAAAGAAAGGCAGAGATCCTAGTTAAAGGCCAACGAGCAGTTATTTTTTTTAAAGTCCCTTGTAAAAAATAAAAATCAATAAAAGCAAACGAAAGAACCTGTGGCTTCCTGGCTAGAGATATAAGCTGTGTTTTAAATCGCAGTTCCCCAAAAAATGACTTTGCAGGTTTATACTTTGATTTTGCATGGTATATCTATATTACTAGCCCAATTATGTCATCTTTTTTTCGCCCTCTTTGAGCTCTTTGAAATAAGGTCTGTTTTATATGAAAACACAGCCCATGTCTATGATGGAATAAAAACCCCGTAATTAAACATGCAGAAATAAATATGATTACCCACAGCAAGAAAACAAATGCCATCACTCATGTTAATCTATTAAAGTATTTCAAGGCAAAGATGCTGAGATTTAATTTCCTAGTGAAAGTCAGTTTCACTACCTACCAATAAAAATGCAATAAAATGAACTCTCAAAAAAAAAAGCCCTCTGCCATTTGCTATAAAAGTCATGACTGGCTATAATATAACCAAAAAAGTGACTCTAACAGGAGCATCTATTGTTATTTTATAATTTCATTGAAAATATTTTAATTTAGTTCTTATATTTTATACACACTTTGGTTAATGTATATGTATCTATAGATATACATAACACAATAAACCTTCTAGTCAAGAGAATAAGGAACATAACACAGACTATAGCTAAACTGCTGACATTAGGCTCAGCTCATAGATCTTGCTTACCAACTATTTGCTGAATGAATAATAATCTACACATCATTTACATGTGTTTTATATTTTGGCATGGGTAGTGCTGGCTTTTCAATGAAAGGCATTCTTGGGCCTACACAAATACTTTCATTATCTGACTGATGGGGGTACAGGCTGATTTATGGGTGTGTTTACCCTGTAAGTGATTCTCTAACTCTGGAGGAACTGAAAAGTATCTAGGTTCTCCATCTTGTGATTTCAGACTTAGCTGGTTCCTATGAAAGCCAAGTGCAATACCCCAGAGCAGGGGAGATGAACATTTTATATGCAAATGATTGATGTATTGTATATAGAAAGAATTGGAAAATTTCAAAATATATATATATTTCTATAGGAAGGAAGGCATGGGGTGGATGTGTTTTTAACTATTACACATGGATTAACTCAACTTTTTAATAAACTGGGGAAACTAGGACTTTCTTCTAGAGTAAGTGAATAATATCAGTATTTCATACACAATAGTTTACAATTGGCAGCAGGTAACATCTAAGTGATTCTTTTCTGATGGAGATCCTCTTAAGGAGACTAAGCCTTGCCCCGAACTTCAGAATTTCAACATGACTATAGCAGAAGAGAAAAGACTGAGAAAGACTACCTAGCAAATTTAAGGAAACTTCTTTGTAAGTAATTACTTTAAAATTATTTTTATAATATATACTGTGCATACTTTCTAAATGCATCTGTTTAGCAGGAAATTAATGATTCATCCAGGAAAAATGAGTTAGGCTGTATTAAGCCGTTATTACTTTTCATTGTTTAACCTTGCAAAGCAGTATCATGAAATAAGTAAGAGAAATATTTAACATGACCTGGTACCAGCAGTTCTCTTAAATATTTGTTTGTTTAGCTGAAAGGGAATTTGTAAAGAGGGTGGAAATAGTCTGTGAAACCAAGAGGTGTTAGTGCCATCTGGACCCACTCTCTTCCAAATTCCCTCTGTCACCATGCCCTCCTCTTCCTCAAGGAAAACAGTGAGCTGACTTTCTTAGCATTCTAATCACCATCACCTCTAAAACTACAGCAAGGCTGAGAGGTTCAGCAAGACATGCTAGGCAAGGCAGCAGAGTGAAATTCAAACCTGTCAAGGCTCAAGTGGGTGAAAAACCCAAACATGGAATTGACCAGATTCTCTTCATCACCGTTGGTATTAGCATCTTGCAACCGCGGGCCCATTTCTTTACCAAACATGGATTACTCTGTTGTGAAATTCAATCACTTTCAACAGGCATCTAGAACTCGACCTACATCTCTTAGCTTTGTTAAGATCAGCGGTGTACAGCTCCCTGAAATACCATTTTTAACATTACACTTCTTATCTAGATCTTTGTTTAACTTGCAGGGATCCAGATCATATGTAGTACACACTGTATTCCAATCTAAAAGGATGGGGAGGGAACAGGAAGGGAAGGAAGGGAAAGAGAGGAAGAGAGGAAGAGACACAGGAAAGAAGGAAGGGAAGAAGGAAGGAAGGGAAGAAGGAAGGGAGGGAGGGAGGGAAGGAAGGAAGGAAGGAAGGGTAGAAAAGAGAAGGGTAGGGAAGGAAAGGAGAGGAAGGTGGGGAAGAAAAGGAAGGACGGAAAGGGGGGAAGGAGGGAAGGAGGGGAAGGAGGGAAGGAGGGGAAGGAGAGAAAGGAAGACAGGAAAGGGAGGAAAGAGTCTACCTAAATTTCTACTCTGAATGTTAATGCCTGTTAATAATAAGAGGGAAGACTTTTATACTCTTTTTTTTTTCAAGGCCATTTTCTTTTCTCCTGTTTACCTTAATGAAAAAACAATTTATAGGTAAAACATTTTGAGAAGGCAATAAAGGTTTTTTTTTTTTTCCAGTTCTGAATTGAGGTCACATGTTTCACATAGCATCAGGCTTCTTTTTATTTCCTTACAAACTCCCCAAAAGCTTTTTTAAACAGAGCTGTCAGCTCTGTTTGTTCCAGTCCCTGATTTACAAAGCGTCCATGGATGAGAGCAAGTACCAAGTAGGAAAGTTACTGCAGCATTTCCATTACAAACCATGCTTTTCAATCTCCCCTTCCTGCTTTCCACAGCAGCTCTCTCTGCTCACCCCAACCCTGGCATGAGGAGTATCTAGGATTTCAGGGCAGGAGATGGTTTTCAGCACTGGCACAATCATGAGATTGAGTCTCCAGACCCAGCAGCAGTGTGGGTTCTGTGCTTTATCCTCCAGCACTGGGATTCCAACGCAGAGACAGGACTTTGACCACATAACCTGGGAGATCTTTTCAATACAATACGTAGTCTGACCTAGTTGAAGACCATTGCTCTAAATCCATAGGAATGAGTGAATCAAAGAAGGGAGGGTTTTCTGTTGCCCCAATCAGCCCCCCTCAACCATTTAGAGTGACCACTACTACCTTCATTTCACTGCCAGATCGTAAGTTGTTGTCTTTACTTCTCCCTATTCCCTTAATCACCCTCTCTCAATCAATCTTCTGCTCTCAGTGGACATGGAAACAACTCTTTCAGAGGTCTCCAAAAGCCTACGTGTGGCTTCTTCTCAGTCTTCACCCTCCTCTGTAGTGTCTGACGCCATCAGTCACCCCCTTCTTCTTGGAAATGCTGCCTAGTTCTCCACCAGCCTCTCCAGCCATGCTTCCTTTCTCTGCTTGGCTCTTTCTTTCCTTTTACTGATCCCACGTGCAATCATCTGCCAGAATTCCATGCCCAGCCCACTACTTCTCCATATTAGCCCACTGACCATCTTGGCCATTCTCTGAGCTGCAGCTATCACCTGTACACAACTAACAGCCAAGTCTCTTCCTTCCCTAACTCAGGCCCTCTTCAAAGCACTTGAGTTTTGTAATGGCCTGAAGGCACCTCACCTCAACTCACTCCTTCCGTTGGTGCCTCTGTACTTTCCTATTTCCATTCGTGTCTTTCCATCTCCATACTTAGGCCCCATCACACTAGCTATAAATGTCAGCTTCTTGGACTGTTTTTACTTCTTTGCCTAACACATCAAACACAGGAGCAGAGTCCTGCCTGTTCCTACCTAAAATGATCTTCCCATGTTGACACCCCCAATTTCACATCGCCTGTGGGAGTACCAATACCTGCTCTAAATGCTAACTCCTGGAAATTTTCTCTGGTCTCCTTTGAATGCAAGAACTCTATTCTTTCCAGTACTATTCTATAACGTAATTGTAACACCTCATACTCTGCTGATGAATAACAAAATGAAACCCAGAAACGAAGAGCTAATGAAAGTATATTCTTACAGTACATTTAGAAGAATTATCCTATTCACTCCCTTAATGGATTTGTTTTGCTTTAACTACAGAAGGAGATAGATGTGAAATAATGATAAATTTAATAATTTCATTAAATCAATCCTACATTTAGATCCACATATCTGTTTGGATACACTATGTATAGTAAAAAGCATATGAAGCTTAGTAAGCCATCAGTATGAAACCTGAAAATATGATTTAAAAAGAATTATCTCCATTAGCGTAAATTGGAATTTTTGCTTTAAAGTAAAGAAACAACGGTTGCCTTTCAACTTAAACACACCAACTCTAAGCCCTGGTAACCATAAGACCCGGAGTTGTAAGAAGATCTGAAGCTCAAGAAAATTAGCTCCATTCAGGATGTTCATTTGTTTATAGATTTGGACAGACTGCATAACAGCAGCTTTTCAATGGAAGCCAAGATTTTAACATGGTATTTTAAAGTACCTTTAGACTAGCATCAGCCATACAGAATGCAGTAAAATATGAGGCTGGCTATGTAGGATGAAGAGTAATTGCTTGACCCTACCTTACAGTTATTCTTGGTCTCAAAAAAGTGAAGGTCTTATCGGTCCTGGCAAGCTACTAGTAAGCTAGCAAAATTACAACTTTTTGTGCTGGATTTAGTAAAAAAATGTTTAACTTCTTCTTAGGCAAAGAAAAAAATCCCTACATAAATGCACAGACATCTATAATTTATAACAGAAAGGAAAGAAATGATTCAGTGTGTTTCATGCAAAATTTTTCAAAGGCGTCTAACGTCTCCATTTAATAGAAGCCATAAAATACTCCTAAACTGAGATTTCATATTAAAGCTGCCCTAGAACAGACTCACTATTTCTTAGTAGCATGGCCCATGACCACCTGGGCATCTGCAGGCGGCTGAGTGGGGGTTAGCTGGAGCTTATGGCTGGGTTAGAGAGTGAAGGTAGCTCATTAGTGCTTGGTTTCTCTGTGCTCTCTTAGTCCTGTTCAGACAGCCCATCTTTCTGACTAGTTTCCCTGCTAGACAATGCCCTGAGGAGGTTGGTATGACTCTAAAGATGACCCCATCTCACTGCCAGTGGTTCTCAAAAAAAGGCTGACTGCACTACCCCACCCCAGGGGGTATTCTGTTGCTATAAAGACTGTGGAATGCTACAGAGATTGAGTAGGTGAGGCGGCGGGGGGATTGTTTGGGGATGAAACTGTTACACCTCAAATCATCAAGCATTAGTTATATTCTCATAAGGAGCGTGCAACCTAGATCCCTCCTGCACATGCACAGTTCACAATAGGGTTTGCACTTTTGTGAGAATCTGATGCCGCCACTGATCTGACAGGAGGCGAAGCTCAGGCAGTAATACTCAGGCAGTGAGTGCTAGTTCGCCCGCAGCTCACTGGTCCATGGCGCGGGATGTTCGGGACCCCTTCCATAACACACTGAACAGTCCCCACAGGACTGGAAGGCAGAGCATTTATTTCCCTGGCTCTTCCGTGGAGGTTGCCTCAGGCTAGATGTACTCCCAGCTGAAGTTCATGACTCCACTTAAGGCAACAAACTCTCCTTATCTCTCACTCTCTGTGGTAAGAAGAATAATGGCCCCTCAAAGATATCCACCATCCTACTCCCCAGAATTTGTGAACATATTACTGTCTAAAGTCAATTTTCACTGCTATAAAAGAATACCCGAGGCTGGATGTATTAGTCCATTTTCATGCTGCTGATGAAGACATACTCAAGACTTGGCAATTTACAAATGAAAGAGGTTTAACGGACTTACAGTTCCATGTGGCTGGGGAGGCCTCACAATCATGATGGAAGGCAAGGAGGAGCAAGTCATGTCTTACATGGATGGCAGCAGGCAAAGAGAGAGAGCTTGAGCAGGGAAACTCCAGTGTTTACAACCATCAGTTCTCATGAGTCTTATTCACTATCACAAGAATAGCCCAGGAAAGACCTGCCTCCATGATTCAATTGCCTCCGGCCAGGTCCTTCCCACAACACATGGGAATTCAAGGTGAGATTTGGGTGGGGAAACAGCCAAACCATTATTATTCTGCCCCTTGCCACTCCCAAATCTCATGTCCTCATATTTCAAAACCAATCATGCCTTCCCAACAGTCCCCCAAAGTCTTAACTCATTTCAGCATTAACTCAGACAGTCCAAAGTCTCATCTGAGAGAAGGCAAGTCCCTTCCGCTTATGAGCCTGTAAAATCAAAAGCAAGTTAGTTACTTCCTAGATACAATGCGGGTACAGGCATTGGGTAAACACAGCCATTCCAAATGGGAGAAATTGGCCAAAACAAAGGGCTACAGGCCCCACACAAGTCCAAAATCCAGTAGGGCAGTCAAATCTTAAAGGTCCAAAATGATCTCCTTTGACTCCATGTCTCACATCCCGGTCACACTGATGCGTGATGCATGAGGTCAGGCATGGTGGCTCACGCCTATAATCCCCACACTTTGGGAGGCTGAGGCAGGGGGTCACGAGGTCAGGAGTTCGAGACCAGCCTGGCCAACATGGTGAAACCCCATCTCTACTAAAAATACAAAAATTAGCCGGGCGTGGTGGCATGGCACACACCTGTAATCCCAGCTACTCAGGAGGCTGAGGCAGGGGAACTGCTTGAACCTGGGAGGCGGAGGTTGCGGTGAGCTGAGATCGTGCCACTGCACTCCAGCCTGGGGGACAGAGCAAGACTCTGTCTGGGGTAAAAAAAAAAAAAAAAAAAAAAAGAGGTGGACTCCCATGGTCTTGGACAGTTCTGCCGTTCTGCCCCTGTGGCTTTGCAGGGTATACCCCTCTCCTGGCTGCTTTCACAGGCATGCGTTGAGTGTCTGCAGCTTTTCCAGGTGCATGGTGCAAGCTCTCGGTGAATCTACCACTCTGGGATCTGGAGGATCTCTTGTCACTCCACTAGGATCTCTTCTCACAGCTCCACTAGGCAATGCCCCAGGAGGGACTCTGTGTGGGGGCTCTGACCTCACATTTCCCTTCCGCCCTGCCCTAGGAGAGGTTCTCCATGAGGGCCCCACCCTGCAGCAAATTTCTGCCTCGGCATTCAGGCATTTCCATACATCCTCTGAAATCTAGGTGGAGGTTCCCAAACCTCAATTCTTGACTTCTGTGCACATGCAGGCTAATACTATGTGGAAGCTGCCAAGGTTTGGGGCTGTCACCCTCTGAAGCCACATCCCAAGTGGTACCTTGGCCCCTTTCAGCTACTAGTGGAGCAGCTGGGCCACAGGGCACCAAGTTCCTAGGGTGCAAACAGCAGAAGGACCCTGGGCCAGGCCCATGGAACCATTTTTCCCTCCTAAACCTCCAGGTTTGTTATAGGAGAGGGTGCTGAAAAGGTCTCTGACATGCCCTGGAAACATTTTCCCTATTGTCTTGGGGATTAACATTTGGTTCCTCGTTACTTATGCAAATTTCTGCAGCGGGCTTGAATTTCCCCTCATAAAATGGAATTTTCTTTTCTATCACATTGTCAGACTATAAATTTTCTGAACTTTTATACTCTGCTTCCCTTATAAAACTGAATGCCTTTAACAGGACCCAAGTCACTTCTTGAAGGCTTTGCTGCTTAGAAATTTCTTCCGCCAGACACGGTGGCTCATGCCTGTAATCCCAGCACTTTGGGAGGCTGAGGCACGAGGATCACCTGAGGTCAGGAGTTTGAGACCAGCCTGACCAACATGGAGAAACCCTGTCTACTAAAAACAAAATTAGCCGGGTGTGGTGGCACATGCCTGTAATCCCAGCTACTTGGGAGGCAGAGGCAGGAGAATTGCTTGAACCCGGGAGGCAGAAGTTGCAGTGAGCTGAGACTGAACCATTGTTCTCCAGCCTGGGCAACAAGAATGAAACTCCGTATGAAAGAAAGGAAGGAAGGAAGGAAGGAAGGAAGGAAGGAAGGAAGGGAGGAAGGAAGAAAGGAAGGAAGGAAGAGAAAGAAGGAAATTTCTTCCACCAGATACTCTAAATCATCTCTCTCAAGTTCAAAGTTCCACAAATCTCTAGGGCAGGGGCAAAACGTTGCCAGGCTCTTTGTTAAAACATAACAAGAGTCACCTTTGCTCCAGTTCCCAACAAGTTCCTCATCTCCATCTGAGACCACCTCAGCGTGGATTTCACTGTCCATATAATTATCTGCATTTTGGTCAGTCATTCAACAAGTCTCCAGGGAGTTCCAAACTTTCCTACATTTTCCTGTCTAATTCTGGGCCCTCCAAACTGTTCCCACCTCTGCCTATTACCCAGTTCCAAAGTCGCTTTCACATTTTCGGGTATCTTTTCAGCAGTGCCCCACTCTATTGGTACCAATTTACCGTACTAGTCCATTTCACGCTGCTGATAAAGACATATTTGAGACTTGGCCATTTATAAAAAAAAAGAGGTTTAATGGACTTACAGTTCCACGTGGCTGGGGAGGCCTCACAATCATGATGGAAGGCAAGGAGGAGCAAGTCATGTCTTACATGGCTGGCAGCAGGCAAAGAGAGAGCTTGTGCAGGGGAAACTCCAGTATTTAAAATCATCAGATCTCATGAGACTTATTCATGATCACGAGAATAGCAAGGGAAAGACCTGCCGCCATGATTCAATTACCTACCACTGGGTCCCTCCCACAACACGTAGGAATTCAAGATGAGATTTGGGTGGGGACACAGCCAAACCACATCACTGGGTAATTTATAAAGAAAAGAGGTTTATTTGGCTCATAGTTCTGCAGACTGTACAAGAAGCATGGCACCAGCACCTGCATCTGGGGAGGACCTCAGGCTGCTTCTGCTCAAGGCAGAAGGCAAAGGGAAGCAGGCACCACATGGCAAGAGAGGAAGGAAGAAAGAGGGGAGGAAGGTGCCAGGCTTTTTTTTTTTTTTTTTTAAACAATTAGTTCTCTCAGGGACTAACAGAGCGCGAATGCACTCATTACTGGAGGAGGAAACCAAGCCATTCATAAGGGATCTGCTCCCATGACCCAAACACCTCCCATTAGGCTCCACCTCCAACACTTGGGGTCAAATTTCAACATGAGACTTGGCAAGGCCAAACAAACCATATCCAAACCATAGCAGTTGCTTTACATAGCAAAGGGAAGGTTGCAGATGAAATTATTGTGGCTGATCAGCTGACTTTAAGATAAGGAGATTAGCCTGGATTATCCAAGTGGGCCCAATGTAATCACAAGTGTCCTTAAAGTTGAAGGAGGCAGAGGAGGTCAGAGTGATGCAAAGTGAGATGGACCTGATCCCTGCTGCTGCGTGGGAGGATGGAGTAACAGGACACAAGCCAAGGAATGCATGTGGGACCATCCTGGAAAAGACAAGAAAACGGACACTCCCCTAGAGCCTCCAAGAAAAGAATGTAGCCCCAGTGACACTTGGGTTTTGACCAGTAAGACCAGTTCATACTTCTGACCTCCAGATGTCTCCAATGGTTTAAGTTACTAAACTTGTGGTAATACGTTACAGCAGCAATAGGAAATGAACACACTCTTTTCTGGTTCTGCTCACTGTTCTCCTTTCAGGCCTGGGGAGGAAACAGACTGTCTTCTACCACATCATGAAATCTCCTTGGTGGTTTCCATACCCATGCCTTTGGAGACAGCTTCTTTAAACCCTACTCTAGAGTATTTTGAGTGTGCCCTTGTTGGAATTTGGAATCATGTATCCCTCCTACCTTATCATTTGGCTTTTTCCCCATCAAAAAGAAAATTAACACCTTTTCACCTACTAAAAGAAAATTAACCCCTTTTCACCCTAAGCTGCAAACGGAGTCAAATTTATTAAAACCTAGAATGACTCCACATTTGTCAGTAATCTATGAATTTCTTTTAACTTAACAAACAGCTCACTCCGCTCTTCCATACTTCTTTTCCTACCTGAAAGGCCACTGAGGCCAATCATCAGATCAAGAGTCAGTATAAAGTGAGTTCAAAATGATGGCATTTGGTGAATACTTTTTTCAGAATATCATTTCAAGAAACTACATGTGACTTACAGTACTATGGGAATAAAGAGTCATTTTTCTCATCCTTACCTATGTGATTTTATGAAATTACTAAACTCATGCAGTAAGAAAGCTATCTGTATCACATAATCTGTATCCTGAAACTTTAGGAAATTTCTGACTAGGTTAGATATCAGCCTTTGTCAGATAAATGTTATTTCAAAGCAACCCAATTAAACATTGTAAATACCAAGGAGCAAAGTCCATGGAGCTGTTATATGTAAAGAGCAGCATCACCAACCACGTGACAAATTTAATTGCTGGAGAGAGGTGGCTGAGTGGTCAGTAAGCAGTAGCAAGGAGTGGCTAGGAACATGCCTGACCACAAGGTGTTCAGAGTTCCAGGCCCAGCTCTGCCAGTCACAGTCTCTCTGTCCCGTGGCAAGTCAATCCTTTCTCTGGATCTCAGCTTTCTTTCACCCGTAAAAAAGGAAATTAGGTCTCCTTAAAAATCACTCCATCTCTCGTGTTGTATGAGTCTATGAAGTACTGAGTTGGCAAGTGCTGCAAAATGGTAATACAGAGTTGGGTGAGGCTGATTATAATTAGTTGTAGCAATGCTCACTAAAGCTTTCACTGAGTCAATGGTTACTAAAGATTTACTCTGTGCTGGCTACAGTTTCCAGTGCTAGGAATATAATGATTAAGATACAGTAACCCTATCCTTGAAGAACTTACTGTTAAGAAGAGGAACAGATATTAAACTGAGAAAGTTGCTATAATAGATGTTTACATGAAGTTCAGTGAGGACACAGACAATTGTGTTTCAGTCTAATATTCCTAGAAAGAAAGAAGCAACCATACTTGATGAATTCTGCTTCATAATATTTATCACTAGCTGGTAGAATAAAGTTGGGCAGTGATTTAAAAAAAACAAAAATTTAGGCCGGGTGTGGTGGCTCACACCTGTAATCCCAGCACTTTGGTAGGCCAAGGCGGGCAGATCATTTGAGGTCAGGAGCTCCAGACCAGCCTGGCCAACATGGTGAAGCCCCATCTCTATTAAAATACAAAAATTAGCTGGGTGTGGTGGCAGGTGCCTGTAATCCCAGCTACTTGGGAGGCTGAGGCAAGAGAATGGCTTGAACCCAGGAGGCGGAGGTTGCAGTAAGCTGAGTACTGTCTCAAAAAATAAATAAATAATTAAAAATTAAAAATTAAAACTAAACCAAATCATCACAGCTAAGACGGTTACTTGTGATATCTTGTCAGTCTTTACCAAAAGCTATAGCTGAGTAAATTACCAAATTATCAGTTGCATGTACTAATCATACTGATGGACAAAATAACCCAATCAGGAGTACTTCTCTAGAAATTTCACACAGTAACTTTAGATGCATACAGCAATGAGTTATAAAAAGAATATAAAAATAACAACTGAGTAGTTCTTGAAATGCAAATTAAACAACACTATCTTGAGTTGAAAATGAATGTAAGCTTGGAAATTAGCTGTTATAAAATTTGGCCAATATTTTGTCTAAATTAAAATACAAACTTTTTAAATGAAGGTATATAAAGTTATGATTTTTATTAAAACACAGTCGTCATCTGGAGTTTATTATTTTCTATAGTTAGTTAATGTACTGTCTTTAAAGAAATATATTTATGCTTTGCATCTTAAACTGAGAATTAAAAAGATGTTTCCCTACTGAATTTTAAAGTAGGTAGTTACTGAGCATGAAAAATGTACCAGTTGAAAAGAGAGCTCCTTTAGTAAGACAGAGTGTGTTCTGAACATCCTTTCTACATTTATCACTGTTCAGAGATCAATTGCATCATCTTCCCTACCCTTCACTTTAAGAAGCAGCTCAAACTCCATCTCTTTGCCTGAGCATCCCAGCTACAATGCCCCTGGCCCCCACTTCCCCCCGCCTTGGGAACTCTCCTGGACTCTCAAAGAGTGCTCACTGTGCTACTCACTGGAGCCAATCAACAGAGGACTTTTTTTATTGTTTGAAAAATTCATTTGTATTCCCTCAACTAAATGAAAAATTATATAGAAGCCTGGACCAGATCCCCAAATTACTGTTTTCCTTTTCTAAACTGTAATACTTCCAACTTATATTACTTTGCTCCTTGTAAACCACTTAAAATCCTCTTGGATCAAGGCAAAGTAGAAAAACAAAATTAAAGATTTCCAAAAAGGACCAGGGCTGTGCCCTAAATATATGGTAGAGTCTTAATAAAACATTATTAAGTGATTGATTTAAAATTTTGCAGTCAAATCATAATTTATTAAGATTATACACTCATCTGAAACAAACTCCAAAGTGTGTGAATGAAGTAAAGTCAAGCAGAAGGAGAGCATGCTTGGGCTTAAACCCAGGCACCAATCCTTCTGTATGCAGCCCTCAGGAAGAGCAACAGTAACTGTGTATGGAAGCATCACATGCAAGTACATATGTGCAGGAGAACAATCCAGACTCTCAATTGCAGTCCTTTCTAAGAAGTGAGGTTGCACACCATTAAGAGCTGGCCCATCCAATATGGATTATTCCCAATCATAGTATTATGGAAGAGGACTAGAGACAGGTGTAAAAGGACATGCAGGAATAAAGCTTTTCAAAGGCCACATCATCATTAATCCCCTTTAGAAGAACTCAAATATGCTATGAGCAAAACAACTTATCAAACTTGACAAATAATTTAGCTTTGCAATGTAAAATTTACCATATCAGCCCTCCCTGACCTCAGTAGAGCCAATTTTGCTTAAGAGTAGTCAATTATATGCATCTGTGATCATCCCTTGTCATAGATGCAATAAGGAGAAGCATCAGCATATACTGGAATATACTTTAGACTTTATAAGTACATGTGCATATCACAGCATATAGCATATGAATATAGTATTCCTCTGTGTATCCTAAACAACAGACATATACTTAGTAATAGAAATAATAGCAAATGGTTACACTTTTCAAAATAACCTACTCCATCCAATACAAACATTCTTGGTGTTCAGTATTAATGGTCACATTTTGTACATGTGCAATAATCCTTTTCAAGCAAAAGGCCAACCTTTGTTGAAACAGACCAAACATTATGAATCATGAATAAGAGGATATTTAATGATCTGTGGCATGGTTTGATTAATGGACTTACCTTTAATAAGGAAGCAGTTTATTAAATTTCTTCTGGAATGATGACATTTCCCAAAATCAGCTTTAAATATAAAATTTAATTCTTTGAGAAATATGAATGCTTGGCCAGGAGCAGTGGTTTATGCCTGTAATCCCAGCACTTTGGGAGGCAGAGGCGGGCTGATCATGAGGTCAAGAGATCAAGACCATCCTGGCCAACATAGTGAAGTCCCGTCTCTACTAAAAATACAAAAATTAGCTGGGTGTGGTGGCACGTGCCTGTAATCCAGCTACTCAGGAGGCTGAGGCAGGAGGATCACTTGAACCCGGGAGGCAGAGATTGCGGTGAGCCGAGATCGGGCCACTGCACTCCAGCCTGGTGACAGAGCGAGACTCCATCTCAAAACAAACAAACAAAAAACCAAAAAAGAAAAAGACAACAAAAATCAGCCAGGCGTGGTGGCGCATGCCTGTAATCCCAGCTACTTGGGAGGCTGAGGCAAGAGAATTGCTTGAACCTGGCAGACAGAAGTTGCAGTGAGCCGAGATCATGCCACTGCACTTTAGCCTGGGCAACAGAGCAAGACTCTGTCTTGCGGGGGAGGGGGGAAGAAATATAAATGCTAAACACCAGGGGACAAGTTATATTTAGGGACTCAGTCAATATATTTCATATTATGAACAACATTGTTTCAACTGTCGCTCCACTGTCTTTGTCAATATTTATTTATATAAAATTTTGATCTCTAAATACACTAACCATGTAAGTAATTATTCATTTTATCATCATTTCAATAGGAAAAAACAAAAAATTGACATTCTAGAGGGGAAATTTAGCTGTCTAATTAGTAGGACAAAACTGATTAAATGAAATAAAAAGATTATGTTTTCTCTGCTTCTTCAATTTTGAGCCATTTTCATTTCAGTGGAAAAAAC
The DNA here is from genome assembly GCF_000001405.40 of Homo sapiens. Lineage (NCBI taxonomy): Eukaryota > Metazoa > Chordata > Mammalia > Primates > Hominidae > Homo > Homo sapiens. Next base: position 77,869,328 of record NC_000009.12, read on the forward strand.
TAGCCCCAACCTCAGTGCATAAGGAGAAAATATCAGAAGAATATTGATGAAATTAATAAGTCACGGTTTCCTACGCTTACTGGGTGTATAGGAAAACAATCTTTTGTGTTAAAAAGGTTAAATAAATTTAATCAGCTTATGCAGAATTTTGAATTATTCCTTCTTGGGATAATTTAGTTACCAGAATTGGTAAACAACCATATTTGCTATATATAAATGTAAAGAGGACAGGAATGAGACCTTCCTAAATACTACTCTAATAACATCATCATTCTCTAGAAAAATTCGTAGCTAGTCTCAAATGCTTCTAGGATAAAATCCAAACTTCAAAATGCAGCCTATAAAATACTCCTTAATTTGGCCACTTCCTACCTACATAATTTTATGATCTGCTACCCTGATTTACTCTCCTCTAAGCAGTCCTCATTGCCCTGCCTATAGTCAAACCCATCTCCTTCTGGGAATGCCTTCCCCACTCCCCAGTCCTCAAAAGCCTGACACAAGGTCCCCTTTGCTACTAGCCTTTCTAGCCATGCAGCTACACTGAACTCTGACAATATTTAGAATTTTTAATTTGATAAGTAAATGGATGAGTATGTGAAAAATTCATAATGTTTATATCTACATGTGTATAGACATAGATTCTCTTCTAGATAATGCCTTCATAATAGGGACTTTCTCTTTGAGGTCTTTGAATCACCTGCAATCAGAAATATAGCTAGAATAATAGGAAAAATAATTGCTTCCATTTATCACCTGGTTCTTTTAAATAAGGTAATAAGCGAGTATGCTGATCTAACAGTTTTCAACACTGAGACAAAAAGTGATCTTCTACATTGAGAAGGCTATGGGAGCTTTATCAGCTAATAGAGAATCTTTGAGTAATTTCTTTTGGGGATAATTTAGTTATGCGATATTGATATTTGTTACATATAAATGAGGTTACAGGAAGCAGTTTGAAACCTCAAGAAAGCTTGATGCCTTTTTTTGGTGCTAGTTTTTTTTTTTTTTTTTTTTTTTTTAGACGGAGTTTTGCTCTGTCACCCAGGCTGGAGTGCAGTGGCGCGATCTCAGCTCACTGCAAGCTCTGCCTCACGGATTCACGTCATTCTCCTGCCTCAGCCTGTAGCTGGGACTACAGGCGCCTGCCAAGGCGCCCTGGCTAATTTTTTGTATTTTTAGTAGAGATGGGGTTTTACCGTGTTAGCCAGGATGGTCTCGATCTCCTGGTCTCGTGATCCGCCCGCCTTGCCTCCCAAAGTGCTGGGATTACAGGCTTGAGCCACCGCGCCCCGCCTTTGGTGCTAGTTTTTTACCCACCAATGGCTAGGTCTCACTCCAGTCACATTCTTCTTGAGATAAATACTTGTTTTGCCAAAAATGACAAACAACTCAAATGTCCATCAAGAGGTGAATGGATAAACTGTGGTACATTCCAAATAAAATACTACTAACCAATAAAAAAGGAAAATAAACTGGTACAAGCACATTAAAAAAAAAACCTCAAAAACACTATGTTGAATATAAGAAGCCAAACGCAAATGATAGATACTATGAGATTCCATTCCTATGGAATTTGACATCAGGCAAAATGAATCTGTCATCACAGAAAGCAATTAGTTGTCTAGGGATGGGAGACTAACTGTAATGAACATGTGAACTTTTTAGGGTTATAGAAATGTTCTACATGCTAATGGTAGTGGTGGGTGCATGGTTCATACATTTGTCATAACACCTCACAGTGTACACTGGAAAAGGCAACATTTTATCCAATGCAAATTATATTTCAAATAAAGTTAATTTAACATTTTTAAAGGTTAGTTATGACTGCCTCTAACATAATCCATATTACAATTACACATGATAGCTAAGGAAACTAAAATCTAGTTGACAATTTTCTTAAGATGTAGTCTATAGGACTATTTTCTTAAGGTATAGTCCTCTGGATTCTCCAGAGGATAAATAGTCCTTTACTCAGCACTGAACTCTTTCCAAATCACAATTACTACTCATTACTTAGGATCCAGGGATAAGAGTAGCCATCCCAGGAGTCTACTCAGGTGAGACAGATTAAATACAGAGCTGAGAAAGGTGATTTTCAAAACACCCAGACTGGTTTAAATTACTCCTTGCTTCTCTAAATCACAGACATGGTTTGTGTTTTGTTTTTTAGGGGTAGAAAGGTGGGATGATTTGTTATGAAATCTCGGAGAGATCCTCAACAGTGGTGGGCTTTTCTGATCCCTTTTAATATCCTTTTTAATATCCCTTTTAATCCCTTCAAAGGCCAGGTATTTAAATGCTGCCTCTTGGTGGCTTCCTCCCCATATCCTCACCATGCTTTGTTCCAACAGCAGCTCCCAGATGGAGCAATAAGGATGTGTCAGTTGCTCAAAGTGTACTATAAAAACATCACTTTTTTCTGATCTATAATAGAATTGCAGAATTTTACTACCTAAGTGGACAAGTGGCATAACAGAAAAATCTTCCTATATGACAACTTAATATTCTTTTGATTGTGTAGCACTTGGATTTTCATGGGGTGAGGGAGAGGTATGGTTTCATAAATGACCACATGAAAGGGCATAAGGGTAGAGACTGAAACTTTGGACAAAACATTGCTATGCCCTAAATTATTATCTCATGTATATGGAATTCAAACTCTTATTCCAGGGCTAATAAGATACATGTTTTAGCAGTTCTTCCAAATCAAATAATAGGTAGCATGTGCATCCAAAATTTCCTGAATGGCAAATGCTATCATTTGTTTGTTGAATTCTTATACCTTCCTACCATATTTTATTATATGCTATTCAATATTTCTTGAACATCCACTCAGCAATGAGCTAAGTAATTGCAACTATGCAATATGCAGTGCAAATGTATTGTTGTTTGGTTGTAAAGCAGAACTTAAAAATTACATATGGTCAAATTACCATTATGTGAAAATTCCTAACATCACTGTCAAATTACCATTAAACTACTAGGATCTGAGTTCTTGGAAGCTTAGAAGCAAAAAAAATAATCATTTCTTTTGTTTCTGTTAGCATCTCAACTGTGGCTTTCCCTTCCCTGGGGCAATGGAAGCCAAGGTTTAGCTTCAGAGGGAACACAATGTGTAAACTGAATTTACCATGTGCTAAATTATAATTAATATACATATAAATTTGTAATATACAGCTCTACTGTATAAAAAACTGTTCCTGCCTCCAAGAAACCCATAATACAAACATATATTTCATAACAGGGTGTAGAATACAAAGCAGATTTTAACACATCTCAGCACATAGTTCTTGACCATGAATGTGTGTGACTGGCATGGAAGAGATTATCTTCCATTTCACAGATGTAAACGCTGAAGCCCAGAGAAACAAAGACAAAGTCCAAGTTCACACACCAAGACTCTCAGGGTTTCTGACTCCTGTTTCTGTATTTTTAATAGCATACCAGCCTCTTTAGGGATACAATACACAGACACATGAAAGGGGCTTAAGTACACATAGAAACCAACACAATACACCTGAAGGTTTTACAAACTGATAGTGCACTCTCCCTCGGTAAGGACCAATTTGAAAGGAAAAACAGAAACTCCAAGGTGGAGTCTGACAGAAGGAAGATCTGGCTTGGAGGTAAATAAGAGGATATTCTAGGTCATGAGAATGTTCCCACAAAGACACTAGAGGGAAGGATTAGCAAGCGAATTTGTTTCGCTGGAAAGAGAATGTATTGGAAAGTATAATACAATAAGATTTTGTATTCATCCCCTGGGGTCTAATCTTGAAGATGTTACAACATTCAAACAACCCACTTAGCTGAAGCTAGCTGAAGAATAGAAACAGAACTGTAATAATGGTGGCAAACAGATGTTTACTAGCACAATGAAATATCTTTATCTGTTTGCACATGCAAGGTAGAACAGCCAATACCTACTAGGTGGTTGGGCACAAAAAGGAAACGAACCTCATTACATTATTACATTTATTATCATTTTTTAGGCTTAACTTTACCCCCAAGGGAAATAAATGCTTATGTATTCTCTAATAAGGCTAATAGCAAAAATGCCTATTTGTTTTATATTTACTTGCAGTGCTCTCAGGAGTTGAAAATTTGACCCCGCATGAAAGCATATATAGGAATCCAATCAATAAGCTGATCTCCTTACTGTAAACAATGTATTTAGGCATTTGTGGCAGGTGTCCTTGTTTCAGTGACATCTCCTGAGAAATAATAAGGAAGGGGTAGGAAGAAGTAAAAAGGGGGAGGAAGGGATGGGAAAGACTGGCAGTGCGTAGCCAGGGAAGAAGAAATGATTCCTGGAGAAAGACAGCAAAAGTTGGCCACAACACTGCTTCTGGGCCAGGCAACGAGGGGAAGCAAGATATACAAAAGCAGCTCTGTGCATAGGCAATGAGTAAATTAAGCACACAAATGAAACACCTATTGCATTTGCATTCAGATTTCATGATCGTGGTAGTTCTCAATATATCTAAAGCCTTTGCCGGGCGCGGTGGCTCATGCCTGTAATCCCAGCACTTTGGGAGGCCGAGGCGGAGGAATCACCTGAGGTTGGGAGCTCCAGACCAGCCTGGCCAACACGGAGAAATCCTGTCTCTACTAGAAATACAAAATTAGTCAGGCATGGTGGTGCATGCCTGTAATCCCAGCTACCCGGGAGGCTGAGGTAGGAGAATCACTTGAACCTGGGAGGTAGAGGTTGCAGTGAGCTGAGATCGCACCATTGCACTCCACCTGGGCAACAAGAGCGAAACTCCATCTCAAAAAAAAAAAACAAAAAAACAAAAAAACAAAAAAACAAGAAAGAAAAAAATATATCTAAAGCCTTCTTGTCATTCCTTTTTCATAAGTACAGAACACAGGTAGTCTGTGACAGGTACTTCACACAGCTTATTAGGCTTGGGCTTCCCTTGGGTAAGTCCATAAAAAAGGTAAAACGAGTCTTTCCTCCTGGTCCAACTTGTCTTCTATGAAACCTCCTACCTATTTCTGGCCTAGACATGAACTCTTGGGGCACTGGCCCGCGTTCCAAGATATTCTTCCTTCCACCTCCTCATATCTCCCATCCCATCTCAATCTGTTCCCTTTTAACCCACTAGCCTAGGAATTTGCAGATACAATTAGATACTAGGAGCTTCAAAAGAAAGGAACTGGTCATTTCAAGGAGTCTAGAGAGAGAATTTGGGGCAACAATCCTTCCCTATGTCCCTCAAAATCCCTTGAATTCTGGAAGCTGCCATGTCTACTTACATTCAGGACAACTAGGCTAAGCACCTCAACTAAATTTTTTTTCTTTTTCTGAGACACAGTCTCACTCTGTCATCTAGGTTGGAGTGTCATAGCGCGATCATGGCTCACCGCAACCTCCACCACCCGGGCTTAAGTGATCCTCCCACCTCAGCCTCCCAAGTAGCTGGGAATACAGGTGTGTGCCACCATGCTTGACTAATTTTTTGAATTTTTAGTAGAGGTTTCGCCATGTTGGACAGGCTAGTCTTGACCTCCTGCACTCAAGCAATGCTCCTGCCTTGGCCACCTAAAGTACTGGGATTACACATGTGAGCCACCTCACATGGCCTTACCTAAAGTTTAAAATAACCCTCTCAGATGAAGGAAAGGTCATGACCAAGCAGAAGGGGTTGGGGTTGGTGATGAGACAGTGAAGAACCCTCCCACCTCTAACTGGTTCAGTGTAATTTATTTGACCCACTGAGATTCTGAAAACCAAATTCTCTGGTTAGGCTTGAGTAAACAGCATGCTAAATGCAAAGGAGAATGTAAGAGATGACTTCATCATTGCTTCTGATAACTAACTTCGTCATACTCCTCAAATCTAAAGATGGTCGGCTGGTTACCCTGCATCCTAGAACTAATAGAATGAAATTAAACAACACAATTTTTTAAGAAATTAAATCCTTTACACAAACTAAATGAACCTCTTTAGTCAAAGGCAAGAAGTTACATGAGTCCACATCTTTGCCACTGGAATAAGTGTAAACATAAATATAATTTAACTTTTTACCTGGCTCAGCAACAGTCAGCTGTGCTAATTATCCCCAAAGATTTTCAGCAGGAACCACCAGCCAGGCCAACAAACTATTAGGTTGAAAGCCTGGGTGTTCACCACAGGCAGGTCCATCTACTTATCTGCTAATGACTTTATGGATTTGCTTCACGCAAATAAGATCTCTGCAGAGCTCTCAGGAATGGGAAAAACACCTTGGGAATGTCAACTTTCACAGATCAGAGCCAGGTTTAATGCCACTAAAGAGCTTCAGAATTTGAGCTCATGAGTTGGTCGCCCTTTTCCTGGAAATTAGGAGAATCACAGAAGCCACAATCCTAAAGGCATCCCTTTATACTTCAATCATGCACCCAATGGGAATTGCTCAAAGTCAGTGACATAACAAGAAGGCCTTGATGGACAAGTCAAATGAAATAAGAATCTTAACCCAACCACCCATTGCCCACACCATGATCAGACTAACTAGTTTAACTCACCATTGCTATTTTTCAGTGGGAAAGTAGAGGGGAGAGTTTTGCTGAAAAGAGGGAGAAAATAAAGGGGAAAAACCTACCTATGGAGAGGTGCATGACATGCAGCAGCATTTCCCCAAATCCAGTTGCCCACATACCACCTGCACAATTTTCTGCTACATCTGCATACCATGAGGATTATTATTTATATTTTTAAAAAGACACTTGATATTGTGGCTTTAAATAAAAAACAAATATCATTTGCTATATAAATCTATTGGTAAACATAAAATGTAACTACTGATTTTTTTAAAAAATAGCCCCTGAAGCAGAAAAAGAACTGGCACCAGGATTCCACAAAGCTGGCCCCAAGCCAGCTCAGGCAGAGAATGCAAATTCCTCTAGATTTCCCGGAGGAGCTGTCTCCTTTCCTCCTCTACTGAGCAGGACAGGATGCAGAGCTCCTGTTCCTTTGACCAGCTGATGGAGAATGAGGCCTTGTCAGCCAGGCCTCGGTTAACTTTCTAGCTCCAACTGCATCCCTGTCTGGGGGAGTTTAGGCAAGCTGCTTAATCACTCTATTCCACAGAATGACAACAAATTTCCTTTTTACAGTAGTTGTAGAGAGCAAATGAAATAGAGTAATGTACATAGAGCACTTGGCACTTTACCTGCTGGATAACAGGGACTTATTATAATTGTTGTTGCTGCTGTTTTAACCCTAAAATGAGGATAAGCAAACATATCTCCTTTACAGGATTGCCTTAAACCCATTGTTTCCAGCCACTGTTTATTAAGGGATTTGCTTCCTAGGTGCCAGGCATTATGCTAAGCACTGGACATTAATTCTCATTTGATCCTTATCTCTTTGAGCCTCCTAATAACCTATATGATAAGTATTATTAGGATCCCTACTTACAAAAGAAGAAGGCGGGACTTGCCCCAGGTCACTCAGTAATAAATCAGTGAGCTGGCTTCAACTCCAGTCTCTGAGAAAGCATTTAAAAACTGGAGAACTGTAGGAGTGTGAGCTATCTACAACAGCGATAGTCTCAACTTGACTTTCTTTATCTCTTAGCCACAAAATAGAACCTTAAAAGGTCAAAATTCTCCACACAGAGTAACTGAGGAAAAATCAATTAAAACAGACGGCCATATCTATTATTATCATCAATTAAATATAATATAACAAATCCATTCAACTAGATTGATTTTCAACATAGTAGCCAAAAAACTCATATTTGGAGTCATTTGAGACTAGCCATTTTCAATAGGGATGTTCCCAAGAATGATTAGAAAGTCCTACGAATGAATGGGCAGCTGCAATTACTCTGTCACATTTTTCTACACCTAATAATGGCTCCAATGCTTGTCTTGTAAACCAACTCTCCCCGAAGAATATTCAAATATTCTGTACTCATATAATTTGTTTATAATCCCTATTCCATGTCATAGAAACTATCATTATAAGGGTATCATTGGTTTTTCATGAACTTTGTTTTAGCATTATAAATACTAAGTATAGTAGTCTCAGAAACAGAAGTAGCTCCTTCACCACCCCATGTAATGACGAGAATAGGTAAAAACTCATCAGTTCTTTTCAAGGACACTTGAAAATCGAAGCTGAATTGCTGACAGACAAGTTCACGTATTTTCAAACATAGATTCTGCACATTTATTGAGACTCCTGTATTATTTTTCAAATTAGGGAAAAAATATAGGTGGGTAATAAATGTATATCTTCCACCAAATTATGCTTTTTATTTGAGGAGGAGTGTGAAAACAATTACCGTAACCTACTTTAATTACTGACTTTCACGTACAAGTATATGATCCCATTCTGTACTTAAAATAACTAATTCATAAGAATTTGATTGAATAGCATAATCTCTTCTTGGCTAACAGGAATGACCCATTTTTATGAGACAAGGGCAGGAGAAAATGGGTTTAAATTGCATGGCAAACAACGCAGACCCATCTGCAATGCTCATTTCTCTGTTACTGTAATTATTTATGGCCCTGCAGTTCAAGTTCTAGTACCTCCAACAAGTTTGCCCCAACTACTCCCATTCCCGAATGCCCAATGCATTTTCAGTCCACTCCACTGACTAAAACTTAATGTCTAGCCCTCTTCCCTAACACCATTTGCTTCCCCTTTGAACTGTACACCACAATTTTAATTACCATGTCCCTCTTTCCCACTAGCCTGGGTGTTCCATGAAGATAGAACAGGATAGGTCTCATTCTGCTGGCAACTGGCAGAGTTTTTAGTTGCATTATGTTCAACAAATAATTGTTGAATGAATTACTGTTTTTGTTTAGTCCCTAACTTGACTGCCAGTTCCCAGGAATATGAGATGGCTCTCTGGTAGGAGTTACGCAAAAAAGTGGAAGAGGTATTTGGTGTTTTTTTTTTTTTTTTTGAAACCCTTCCAAACACAAAAAACCTACAATCCAACCAAAAATTTTAAAACTCAGTCTAGGGAAAATGGCCCAGGGTAATGGCAGAAAGGGAAGGAGAAAGAAAGGATTGAATTCAAAATAGCCAAGGTTTACATGACACCTCTGTGCCTTACAAATCTGTGACTTGGGCAATTTCATCTTCTTGGGCTGGATTCTTCATCTCTAAGACGATCATATCACCTAGTAACACCTAATAAATAGGATTTTTGAAATTGAACTGCATTGTATATAAAATGCCAATGCACTTCCTGGGCCATAAAATGCACCTAATATGTTGGTGCACTTTCAACCTCTAATTATTTGATTATTTCAACCCCTAATTATTTGATTTAAAGAAAACCGGGTAATAAGGTTCCTGAAAAAAAAAAGAGAAGAGGGTAAAAATTAAGATGTGTTTTGGTGCTTTTAAACTAAATATTTGAGATAGACATTTTAAAGGTAAGATATTTGGGATAAGATTTTCAGTTAAGATGAAGAAAATGGCCAGGCAGGGTGGCTCACAACTGTAATTCCAGCACTTTGGGAGGCCAAGGTGGGTGGGTCACTTGAGGTCAGGAGTTCGAGACCAGCCTGGCCTACATGATGAAACCCCATCTCTACCAAAAATACAAAAATTAGTCGAGCGTGGTGGTACATGCCTGTAATCCCAGCTACTCAAGAGGCTGAGGCAAGAGAATCGCTTGAACTCAGGAGGAGGAAGTTGTAGTGAGCCAAGATTGTACCACTGCACTCCAGCCTGGGTGACAGAGCAAGACTGTGTCTCAAAAAAACAAAACAAACAAATTTAAAAAACCAAAAAATAAAAAAATAAGATGAGGAAAATGAGCATGGAAAGTAAAAACGAACTAAGAGCATCTGAAAAATAGAAAAAAATACAGGAAAATACTGCAGTTTTAATTGTAATTTTTTAAAGGACTATTTTTTAAAAAATTGTCTGTCACCCAGAAATTGTTCTTACTGGATGCTGGATTTTTCTTTTTTAGTTTTTTTCTTTTTTTGAGATGGAGTTTTTGCTCTGTGGCCCAGGCTGGAGTGCAGTGGTACCATCTAAGCTCACTGCAACCTCCGCCTCCCGGGTTCAAATGATTCTCCTGCCTCAGCCTCCAGTGTAGCTGGGATTAGAGGCACCCACCACCACATCCAGCTTTGTATTTTTAGTACAGACTGGGTTTCACCACGTTGGCCTCAAACTCCTGACCTCAAGTGATCCGCCCACCTTGGCTTCCCAAAGTGCTGGGATTACAGGCATGAGCCACCACGCCCAGCCGATGCTGGATTTTTCTTACTGGACGTATGAGTAATATCTGTCCAGACTTACTACAAAGGCATATCTTCTAGTTTTGTTGATTACTTTCTTGGCAATCACTTGATATCTAATGGATATTTGTGAATAAGGCCTAAAATATTTTTAAAATTATACCTAATGCCTTTGCAAAGTACTGCAAAGTAGTCCCTTGAGAGGCAGATATGATACGGTGAGATTCAACCGAAAGACTTAGACTGTGACTAGAAAGAAAACAGACCATATCTGAAAAATCTCACCTAACCAGTTCACTAAGGTTAAAAGTAAATTCTGCCCTTTGGGTTCTGAAATGTGGCGAGGCTTGAAAATCCCAGTTAGCTGTATTTTACAGCCCCTGTCTGGTTTTCATTATGTGTGCATTACATTTCCTTCAAGAAAATTACAAAGTTCAGTAATTTGTTTAGTGTCCAAGCATGCCACACAGCACGTTAGTGAGTAGAAAATCAATCATCACATCAAGGAAAGGTGATAGGAAATTATCTCATAATTGATGGTATTTAGAAATGTATTAATCAGTCAGCTCTTCTAATGAACAAGGAAGCTTGATGGCAATACCGTGGCCCCAGGAGGGACCTGCTGTGAGAAGCAGCTGAACTGTTCACTGAACTCCCTGGGCCTTAGTTTCCCCACCATAAAAAAGGAAAGAGCTCAGAAATATGTCCTGTCTGATTCTTTAGTGTTTAGGAATTTGTAATAATGTTTATAGTTCCACTCTCCAGTGGAATTATTTATACCCTTTCTCACACAGGTAAGACAGCCAGTAAGTCAAGATATCTTGGTGGACCGTATTTTCTTTTCTTTTTTAGAAACAGAGTCTCACTCTGTCACCTAAACTGGAAGGCTGGAGTGCAGTGTTGTGATCCTAGCTCACTTTAGCCTTGAACTCCTGGGATCAAGCGACCCTCCCACCTCAGCCTTCTGAATGGCTGGGACTACAGATATGTGCCCCACACCTGGATGATTTTTTCTGTTTTTTTTTTTTTGTTTTTTTTGTTTTTGAGACAGGGTCTCATTATGTTGCCCAGGGTGGCATATTTTCATTTGAGAAAGCCTACTTCATTAATTGCACATGGCACCCCACATCCCAAATTCTATTTAGCTAAGTGTGAAAAACAATTTGCCTTCATCATGAAGTATGTTTTGTTCCTTCTGGAACAACTCATTTTCTGTTAGTTTGCCCCTGCTGATACGCATTATGCCTGGAGTGTGTTTTTCACTGCATGGAGTATTTTTCACTGCATGGAAAGGACATGCTTCCCAGGGTCTGTCCCTGCATGACAGGTTTGAGGCTGAAGACAGTGCTTTAGAGGACCACGAGCGAAGTAGGAACTGGGACTGAATATATTCTGGGCTTATGCTTATGGGTGTGCAAAAATAGCTTGAAGACCTTGAAGTTCTGGACCACAGCACGTCCCTGCCAGGCTCACCATAGGAGTTAGCATGCTCCCTCTCTACCTACAGGTCTTGGCCCAAATGCTAGTATCTCAGTGAGGCTGACATCTTACTTCATTCTGTATATGTCCCAAGCCCCTGACACTACTATCTATTTTGTTCCCATAATATAGACCTTTTTCTACACAAATTATGTTTACCATTTATTTTATGCCGCACCCCCCCCAAAACGGGCAATATATTCACACCTACACAGACACACATTACAATGTCAGCTGCACAACGGCAGAGAGCCATTGTCTGGTTTGTTCACTGACGTATCCCAAGCACCCCGAACACTGCCTGGCACGTGGCCAGGGCCAAAAGCTCACTGGTGAATAAATGAAAAGTGTCCCATTGGTTGAATATTATTATTTTAAGAGACAGGGTCTTGCTCTGTTGTCCATACTGGAGTACAGTGACGCTATCATAGCTCACTGCAGCCTTGAACTCCTGGGCTTGAGTGATCCTCCCACCTCAGCCCCCCGAGTAGCTGGGACTACAGGCACATGCCACCATGCTCAGCTAATTTTTCTGTTCTTTGTAGAGACAGGGGCTTGCTATAGTATATTGCCCAGGCTGGCCTTGAACTCCTGACTTCAATCTGTCCCTCAACCTTGGCCTCCCGAAGCACTGGGATTACAGGCATGAGCCACCATGCCTGGCTGGTTGATTATTTTTTAACAGAACAGCTGTGTTTTCAGTCAATCTGTGTTCTGCCCAATTCTTGTCCTTCATTGAGTTTTTATGGGTATTAACCAAAGGTGTACAGAGGATCAAAGTCTGAAAACTGCTGCTGACTGAATCAGTTGCCAAGAATTCTTCTAAATGGCATTATGGGCCGGGCATGGTGGCCTACGCCTATAATCCCAGTACTTTGGGAGGCCGTGGCAGGCGGATCACTTGAGGTCAGGAGTTCGAGACCACCTTGGCCAACATAGTGAAACCCCATCTCTACTAAAAGTACAAAAATCAGCTGGGCATGGTGGCGGGCGCCTGTAGTCCCAGTTACTTGAGAGGCTGCGGCAGGAGAACTGCTTGAACCCAGAAGGCGGAAGTTGCAGTGAGCTGAGATCGAGCCACTGCACTCCAGCCCGGGAGACAGAGCAAGACTCCCTTCCCCTCAAACAAACAAACACAAACAAATAAAAAAACAGCAGTATGAGTTTATGGCCATAGCTTTATACATAATTTTATGAAAACCAGAAGACCCTGCTGATATATGAGTTGATTTGAGGTTCTTTTCTCTTTCCCCAAACATAGGAAAAGTGGTAAATAAAATGGGAGATGAGAATTACTGTTCCAGATCTTGTATTTAAATAACCCAAATTGAACCCAGAAGCTTAAAAAAATAAGCCATCTGGACGGCAGTTTGGCAAAACCTTTGACCCAGCAAATTACACTTCTAAGAATTTAACTAAAGGTTGCAAACAAGCAAGATAAAAGGTTTTCAAGAATTTCACCGCATCACTGCTTATACTGGTGAACAACCAGAGATAATCTAAATGTCCAACAACCTGGGTTGATTATGCGAGCTGTTTAAAGATATACAATGGGAAAGTCCACAGCCACTAACACAGGGCTAGAGAAGATGGCCAAATGACATGGAATGGTATTCACCACGAGGTTCATGAAAAATGATGTGTTGAGATCCAGTTTTTGGTGAGATAGAAAAAAAGCATAGGAAAAAAACTAGAAAGATACTATTTTAGAAGTATTCACAAGCCTATCAGGAAATGACACTTGATGGGATTTTTTTTTTCGTTTTCACTTGTCTGTATTGTCTAAATTATTTTTGTAATAAACTATTTTTAAAGTGCCTTTGTGCAGATGAGATACACAGGAATATGTTACTGTTTCTGAGGGAAACTATCTGAGCATTTAACTTATTCTCATGATTTCCATACCAATAAGTCTATTGTTGTTACCAAACACATATATCAAAGCCATGTCTAAAAGAGTTAGCACCCTTCTGAGAAAAAAAGCAAATTCTTAAAATCAAAATGCAAACACTTCAGTTCACAGCTTACTAACCCAAGAAACCATCTTACAAGAGAACAGATGTGATTAGTGAAATAAATTGTTTAAGTTACGGGGAAAAACATAGTCGCTGGAAGTTTAAGTAGGGACATGTTCCAGCAGTTAACTGAAATATAACTGATGTCCCATCTCTCCATTTCTCTCTATAAATAAGTCTTTACCCTGACTCTCTCCAGTGTGTCCCCAGCTAGCCTAGCCTCTGCCAGTGGCCAGGGAAGTGACACTGTGCCCTATATGAGAGTCTCCAGATGGTTACAGCAGCATCAAAAACATCCAGACACCTCATGTACCTTCATTCTCATTGCCTGATTTAGAGAAAAGAAACTTATGAATCAGAGTAGAGTGCTTTTCTAGGTAGGCTGAGGAACAGTGGTTACTTCTGACAGAGAAAAAAGGGGGTAGTTTTTTTTTTTTTTTTCCAAACCTTAGGTTCTGTGTTGTTGTTGTTTTAATTTTAGACTCAGGCAGTACATGTGCATGTTTTTACATGGGTATATGGCATACTGGCGGGGACTGGGCTTCTAGTGTATCCATTCCCCAGCTAGTGAACATTGAACCTATAGGTAATTTTTCAACCCTTGCCCCCGCCCCCACTCTCCTCGCTTTTGGCATTCCCAGTATCTATTATAAGGCTTGGGTTTTAATATACCTGCTTCTGCACTGAGTCTGTGGACCAGGGTACAATCAGAGTTTTTGGTCTCTAGGAAAATGTGCTCTGTCCCATGTGGTCACACCCTATCTTTGCTTCCTCCACTTACTCCAAATCCAAACTGTCTAGTCTCTGTTCCCTGTTCATTGCCCACCAAAGTAGTTTTGATAATTCATGAAGTAGAAACTGCCAAGTTTATTTAACACTGTCACAGGCTCTCAAATTCTTCTCAAGATTTTGGTATTTCAGAAAAACAGGTTTAACTGAAGACAAGAGGATGTCTTTGACCAACAAGTATGCCCTCAAAACAGAAATGGAGGGAGAATTCTCTAACTGCAGATAAAATCTCAGGATGGGTGGCTGCTCTGGGTGAGAAGCAAATAATGCAACAACTGACAAAAAGAGACAGCCAGCCCAAGAAGATGCTCAGAGCTACTAGCATTTCTATAGCTTCAGAAACACTCTCAGGGTTGGAACTGGGAGGGGAAAAAAGATTCTCTCTGAAGCTGTGTAGGTGACTCCTCCAGCACTTGCTTCTGGCAAGCCCCTGTGGGGGTGTGAAGGCTTGTTCTAATCCAATCTGCCTGCTGAGCCAGCTGCCTTGAGGACCACTATGTGCCAGTTGTCTCTAATCAGTCTGCTGGCCATTTTGCCTGACTTCTCTGTTCTGCTATATTTCAGAGGAAGAGAAAATGCAAACGACTATTAGGAAACCAAAAGAAGGCTTATTTCAAGCGGGAAAAAATTTTAAAGCATGAAAGAAAACAATGAACGAAGCAAGCTGCAACAAAAGTGCGACTTCCCATAATGGTGAATAAGGAGTTAGGAATCTGAGTTAGGAATCCTAGCTGCAAAGCCAGAGATGCCTGGAGAATAAGTTCTCCACCCCACCCCCTCAAACTGAAGCTAAAACTCCACCTATACCTGTTGTCATCATTGGTGGCTGCTCTTAATAAGGTCATTCTTTCCTAAGGAGGACAGGCTGTGGCTGTTCACTCGGGAAGCATAGTTTGCATCTCAGTACACCCATCTACCCCATCATAGTCTAAGTTTCAATCAGCATTCCCTTAACTATAAATGTCTCATTTTACCTGGGAGAGGTCAATGCCCCAAGGGCACTGTGAGTTAAGAAACTGGTCAAGAATCAGCAATCCCTTGTAGGTGTCAGAGTTCAGAGAGGGAGATTTTGAAAAGAAAGTACTATTCTCCTTTGTAGCTTTGTGATCTTGCGGAAATACACCCATTTCTCAAAGCTTTATCTGTAAAATGGAGAAAATAATGGAACCCACCTGCTGGGTTTCTAAAGACTAAATAAGACTACACAGATTCCTGGCCTATACCAAGCTGTCCAAAGTCAGGGACTATTACTGTTACAGTAATAACAGAGTTTCGGATGGGTTTTAGAGATATTTGTCCCATACCTTCATTTTGTAGCTAAGAAAACCAGAGGTAAGGGCAATGAAGAAATGTGCCCAAAGTTGTGGTCTTTTTTGGAACCTCCCAGTGCCTCATCATGCAGGAGTACCCTGACAGAGGCCTAAACTCTACTCAAGCTCAGGAAGTCAGCAAGCTCAAGGAGCCGGGGAAGGCTGAGACCAGCCAGGCACACAGCCAGGTGAAAATGAGGATGCAAGCAAAACTCCAAGAACAAACTGGAATTCTAAGTGAGCTTTGCTGAAAAGTGAGGGTAGTAGGTTTTAATGAACTATTTTCTTTCTATTTGTTAAGGGGAGAAAAAAGCAAACACATACCAACAGGGTCGGCCCTGTCCAGCACAACTCTCTGAGAGTTAACTGTGCTTTAGCAACTGAGTTCAGAAAGGGAGAAAAGTATAAATTAGATTTCTGTTTAACTTTCCCAGTAGCTACAGCATTCTACATTTACAGCCCACAAAAACAATCCTTTGCTTTTAAGAGTTTGAAATACCAGGCCCCAAATCTGAGGTTACTGTCTCAGTACGGATGGAAAGAAAAGCCTCTTTCCAAATTCACTAAAAATCACTCATAATTTTGGACAACTTACATTTCCCTAAAACTTTTTTTTTTAATGAGATTGAAAGAGAAAACTAGGAAGAGAAAGAACAAGAACAAGGACCAAAAAAAAAAAAAGTGTTATTATCAACATGAAAATTTGTCTTTTGTTGAAACTACATTCAAATTCAATAAATGCTGATATAAAAATAAAAGCCTTCCCCTTAAGGTTTAAAATTGTAATATAATTCAGTGATCTATTAAATGCTCTAATACAGTCTCCCTGGCATTTAAAAAGAAAGGCAGGACCTTTTTTTTGAGACAAGAGTCTTGCTCTCTCACCCAGGCTGGAGTGCAGTGGCACGATCTCGGTTCACTGCAACCTCCACCTCCTGGGTTCAAGTGACTCTCCTGCCTCAGCCTCCTGAGTAGCTGGAATTACAGGCACGCCTGGCTAATTTTTGTATTTTTAGTAGAGATGGGGTTTCACCATGCTGGCCAGGCTGATCTTGAACTCTTAACCTCTGGTGATCCACCAGCCTCAGCCTCCCAAAGTTCTGGTGCTGGGGTTACAGGTGTGAGCCACCACGCCCGGTCACAGCCATTTTTTAATTTGTAAAATTAAACAAATCTGGAGAAATCTGTCAGAAAATATATTTACACATTTCACATTTTATTAAATTGATTTCTTAAATTTAGAGCTATGCTCTTAAAAAAAAAAAAAAAAGCATCTTAGTGGTTAATCTCTAGTGTTCCAACCATTTCTCCCCAGAAAGTGGGAGCATTATGAATTGCTACAGTTCAGAAAGAACGCCCCACAGACTCCTGGAATGAGCTTTGAATTTTTTAAAAAAGAGGATTCTATTGGCTTAAAACAAAGGGGGCTGGTTAGCAGGAAATATTTTGGTTAGTAGGACAAATTTCTATCACTTGACAATACAGTATTTACAAGACAAATGAAAGAGTAAATGATGTAAAATAAACTTTATTGTGAACTGAATATCATCTTTGGCTGTACAATCACAACAATAAAAGCAATCAAACAAATAAACAAAAAAACGCTGTAAAGAAAAGCTACTGGCTCATGAACCTTTTATCTATCTGGCTATGGATACAGCTTAGCATGTTAGCCATCCAAAAAAATAAAATACGCAGCCGGGCACGGTGGCTCATGGCAGTAATCCCAGCACTTTGGGAGGCTGAGGCAGGGGGATCATGAGGTCAGGGGTTCAAGACCAGCCTGGCCAACACAGTGAAACCCCATCTCTACTAAAGAAATACAAAAAAAAAAAAAAAATTAGCTGGGCGTGGTGGCGGGTGCCTGTGGTCCCAGTTACTTTGGAGGCTAAGGCAGGAGAATCTCTTGAACCTGGGAGGTGGAAGTTGTAGTGAGCCAAGTTTGCGCCACTGCACTCCAGCGTGGATGACACAGAGAGACTCTGTCTCTAAAATAAAATAAAGTAAAATAAAATAAAGTAAAATAAAATAAAATATGCAGTTGCTTAGAGAAGCTGAGCAGGGTCTCCCATGTTTGGGAAACAGCTCTGAGCTTGCTTTGACTGATGATTTAATGAATCAAGATTCCTGAATAATGGCAGATACATTCAATGTTACTAAAAACTGAAGACTCATTTTCTATACTTCAGGGTGAAGACAGTAAAGCAAATTTACCTATTCTTTTAGTCTGTAATTTCAAACCCAAACTGGATTTAATACTCCTTTTACCTTCATTTATCAAAGAAAATAAGGAAATAGTTTTTAGGGCCAAGCCCCAGCCTATTAGGCTTGCTTTACTATTTGCTTGCTTTACTCCATACATTTCTATCTCAAAAGACAATAAGAGGTTCTGCAGTTCTATATGTAGTTTTGTGTCCATGGACATAGGTAAGGAACACCAGATAAACTGTGGGCATTTTGCTGGAGTGCACTATTAGTGAACTTCCAGCAGTGCCTGCTTGTGATTCAGAGAATATTAATCTTCTAATCCCCCCAGTTAAAGCAGAATGTTCCTATTATTGTTCTACCATATATTCTTAGAAATATTAAAAGACTATAAATCATGTTAGATGTTATATTAATATATAACATATCACATGCTACATATAACATGTTTTTAATATACATATACACACACACTATTATTCCCCAAGGCTTCTTTCTGTTGCACTCTTAATCATTTTGTCCACACCCTTTCAATAAATATTTACTGAAGACATTATGAGCCAAGTACTGGCACATGAATAATTCTTTTAGCAATTATTCTAGATCAGTAGTTCTCAAAGTGTAATCGGGATGCTCCTGGAGACTGCTGAGACCCTTGAAGGGGGTACGGGATGCCTAATTACTTTCACACTAACACTAAGACATTTTGTGCCTTTACTGCTCACATTCTCTCATGACTGCACAATGCAGTTTCAAGACATGCAATGATGACATCTTTCTGATGGCTAATGGAATGGGTGTTTGCACACACTTGTTTTGATGGGGTCCCAATTTTAATTTCCAATAACATAAATATCAATAGACATTAAAATAAAATAAATATAAATAAAAGCTCATTATTGGAATCCACGATAACTTTTTAAGTATATAAAGAGGTGCTAAGATTAAAACATTTGAGAATCCTCATTCTAGATCACTGGCAATAATTCCTCCTGCTACTACACAGATTTCAGAATACTAATTCTTGAATGACTTCTGGAATTCTTGACCTTCAAAATTAGTGTTCCCAGAGAAAACATCTAAATAGGAAAGTATAGCAGTAATAGCTCACTAAACAACTTTCCTGAGCAGAGTGGGGTAAATGCAGCAAGGAGAAAAGTGGCTTGCTATAAGAGTGAAAATATTTAAAATGTCTACTCATTGTCGCAATCCCCTAATGCCTCAGGACAAGATGAACTTTTACCATTTAAACCTTATTTTGAGTTATCCTAAGGTTGGAGTTCTGCTTGCCTTAAAAAAAGTACTCTGAATCTTGAAAAATCCAGACTGAGTCTGTTTATTCTTCACGTGGAACGCTGGCTGAGAAGAGTGTCAGATTTTGGAAAAAAAGTGAGGTTTATGAGAAAGATGAGGAAAATAATCATTCCTGTAAATCAGAGCAGCAGAATGGGAGCCTCTGGATTATTCACTAACAATTAGTCTAGCAAAGTCCCTTGAGTGTCTGACGCATCAAAGCACTAAAGCCATTTGCTCCCTCAGAGTAGGGGAGAGGACACGGAAGAGATTCCATTTTCAGCATGACATTTAGAATCAAATTAGAAAATCAAAAAATTTTTCATTCTTCCCATAAGCTTGAACTCCTCTTTGTCATTCTACAACTTGAATGCCCAGTTTCCTTTGAAGCACCATATATCATCTTTTAAATACACCTCAAAACAACTTTTGATTCCTTCACTTTACTTAGTCATGCCATACCTACTGAATTAAACATTTCAAAAAAATTCCTTAATCCTGAGGCTGGGCATGTTGGCTCACACCTGTAATCCCAGCACTTTGGGAGGCCAAGGCAGGAAGATTGCTTGAGCTCAGGAATTAGACCAGCCTAAGCAACATGGCAAAATCCCATCTTTTAAAAAAAAAATTAGCCGGGTGTGGTGGTGCGTGCCTGTAGTCCCAGCTACTCATCAGGAGGTTGAGGTGGGAGGACTGCGTGAGCCTGGGAGGCGTAGGGTGCAGTGAGCCAAGATCCTGCCACTGCATTCCAGCCTGGGCGACAAAGCCAGACCCTGTCTCAAAAAAAAAAAAAAAAAAAAAAAAAAAAAAAAAAAAAATCCTTAATCCTGTTTAATGTCTCATTATGATGTTTATTCATTTCTGATCTGTTTCTAGCATCTTGCTTTTGTCTGTAAATTGCAGGGTTTTCAGAATATTCTCAAAGAAGGATCAACTGTCCAATGCTTATTGGACACATGTTGATCCTTCCAGATCCCTAGTGATGCTGCAAGTTCATTTCCAATTTGCTGTGTTAAGTCCTTCTTGATACCAGGCAGAAATGTTTCTTGTTTTTTCTCTTCCCTTTATTATCACAGTCTCTAATGAGTCCTGCCCACTGTATTCAATTAGTATGCTTCTCTTTGTCAAAATACGTCACCGCTTATTTCTAACCAAATGCACAACTATCTTTATACCTGTTCTTTTGGTTTTTTCCCAAACTCTTAAATTATCATGGCCTAGAAATTTTAATAAACTGACATTTCATCCCAAATGAAGCTTTTGCTTCCATCTTTCCAGTTATCCGAAATGTTTGTCAAAGTCAAATTGTATTAATTTTACATGCAAACATTCTATAATATGCATACTAAAAACAAGTAAAACTACAAGTTAGTTACTCCTTTTATCTACTCGCTTACAAAACACATAATAGCTAATCCTTCAAATAGACATGGGTTTGTAAGTTTTCTACTTTATTCTTTATTAAAAATTATTTTAAATGTTTAAATTTTGAAATACTTTATCTTAGTTATAATGTATCTTAATTCTGTTCCCAATGTAATTGCCGATTCGCACATATCTTTGTATTGGTTATTTGGGTTGGCATACCATACTCCTAGAATCCTCCACAGTACTTCTTCCAGACCCCTAAAAAACTTGAGAGTTTGACTGAAAGACTTCATAATAATTTATCGAAGCCATCTGGCATTACTTAAGCTATGCCTAAGAAAGCTTTAGTAGCATTCATTTTCTAAATGTTCTTATTTCATCCTGAAAATAGAGGGGGCATAGAAATATGAGAATTAGAAACGTGTCATAAAACTGCATTGCAAGGCTGGGCACAGTGGCTCATGCCTGTAATCCTAGCACTTTGGGAGGCCGAGGTGGGAGGATCACCTGTGGTTGGAAGTTCGAGATCAGCCTGACCAACATGGAGAAACCCCGTCTCTACTAAAAATACAAAATTAGCCGGGCGTGGTGGCGCATGCCTGTAATCCCAGCTACTTGGGAGGCTGAGGCAGGAGAATCGCTTGAACCCAGGAGGCGGAGGTTGCGGTGAGCCGAGATCACACCATTGCACTCCAGGCTGGGCAACAAGAGTGAAACTCTGTCTAAAAAAACAACAGCATAGCTCTAGTAACAAAAATTCCATCAAAAATGCATTGAGGAGACATGATCAGGATACTTAGTTTTCAATCATTTGCCCAGAGACTCGTCAGATGGTAGTATCTTACTCAAAAGTCATGGTATAGGTGGGGCACGTTTAGTTGCTCATGCCTACAATCCCAGTAGGAGGATCACTTGAGGCCAGGAGTTCTAAACCAACATGGGCAAGCTAGTGAGACTCTGTCTCCCTGGAGGAGTAGGAGAAGGAAGAAATGCAAAAGATATGGTATAGCAAGAGAGTGTTTTAAATTTCCATAATCTGTTTCTTACTTTATGTATCCTTGTTTCAGGGCTTAACTTTCTAATTCATTAACATAATATTCAAATATAAAATGCACTGAAGTCAGCACTTAAGCAAAAATGAGAACCTTTAGTTTTCCTTATTTTGATTTTTTTACTGTATCCATTTTGCCATTTATATATCCTCATACATATTCTCATCTAAATTATTCTTTTTCTTGCCTATTCTCAGTAGCCAGCCCTATCACACGTTCTCCTCTCCATCTCTTGCTCTCTTTCGTAGCAGCAGTTCTTATCTTTTCTCTGCACGTTTAAATAGTTTCTGTATATTTTTGTTGAATTATTTCCTTTACCTAAAATAGGTTGTTTTTTGGGGAGGGGAGGAAGTAGGAGATCGGGAAATGGTTATTTTAATTTTACATCTTAAAAATAAAGCAATTTACTGACCTTGCCACCACATAATTTGGAAGAAAATTTCACGTTTAAGTTCCTTTTGTAAGGCTGAGGACATGTTGCTATTGCTCTGTCTTTATATGAATGTATTATACGATTGTCATCTAGGACTTCCTCAACACCCCAGCCTGAGGGCCCTGCCTTTGCCACTTCTTTGAGGCCCACTCACTGCCCCCAAGTATACGCTGTCTTTCCATTTTGCTTGCCCTATTAGATATGTGAGGTCAGAGCTTTGAAAGCCGTACTAGTTCTCATTAGCAAGGCCTCCATATCAATAACACAGACCAAACAACTGTGTGCAGTGCTTGCTGTTCACTCTTCCAGTGTGATTTCATTAGCATGTATTCCTTTAGTGTCTAAGCTTTTTCTTTTTCCCCTTCAAGCACATTTTAGACTCTAAGCAACTAATCCTTGTGGACAAACCCCTTTGAACTACAGCTTTGAAGCCAGGTCATCGCCCCAGGCATGAAACAAGATGAGAAATAAGCCTTTAAATACTAATTTCACCAAACCCTGCCTTTTTTCAAAAGCCAAGATTCTGTAACCAGAAAGCACCCCCCAGATTGTTTTTTTGTTTGTTTGTTTGCTAATAGGTCTTGAGCAGCAAATTATATTATTATTTTAAAACATACTAGGTTCTAGTTTCAGTTGTCCTTCTATGGCATCTAGGGATTCTTAAATCTAGCCTAGTGCATGGATTTTGAGTCCACTGAGCTCTTCTGAAACGTTATCTGTCACAGTGGGGCCTCTCTCCCCTGCTTTGTCTTCATGGGGCTTTCCAGCCCTAGTGTGGAACCCATCCTCCTCACTCCTCTGCAGCTCTTCCCCTTTCACAAGTACCTTCTATCACTCCCTATGCCATGTAAATGCATTAAGTAGGCTCCCAGCTCTGCCCACAACCACTGCAACTGATTATCAAACACAAAATAAACACAAAGAAGGACACTGTCTTGGATTTCTCATAGGTTCAATACTGGTTTCTATCACACCCACACTGGTTTCTTCTAGGTCAATGCCCACTTTCATGGACAGTGTTCAGAATATATATATGATGTTCTATCTTACAAGAGTGAATTTCATAAAAAGTTCATTCAGAGATGTGAAATCCTCGGTGCTGCGAGTGATCTTTAACAACAGTCATAAGCAATGTTTTGTTAAAAATAGAAGCTGAAGAGCATTATTGAATATTAACATGACCTGGGCTTTATTCTGTGGCATAAATGACGTGGAAATCAAACATATGCTACTCATTCTCACTTGAAAAAAGCTTCATTTATAGGGCACAGATAAGAATCTATGAGGAGATTAAAAACACTGAATGATCCCTTTTGGAAACTAGTAAATAATACATACTTTGAAAAGAAAGAAAATCCCTTGTCATGTTTGGTAAACAAGAAGCTCCTCAAAGTTTTTCCTTCACCTCTTGAATAGGAATAAAATTAAGAAACAATGGGTGGAATATATGCATATTTGAATGTAGTAGGTAAGATAACTCTATCAAAATGTCAAAGGGTTTTATTGTTCCATCCATTACTTAATTATCTAAGGGTAAACTGCCCACTTTATGGATAATCTACTAGGCTTGGAAAGCTTCAACAGGGTCATGATGTCAAAGGGTTTCAAACCAGAGCGACTCCATCTTGAAGTCACTGGGTAAAATGAGGCTGAGACTACTGGGCTGCATTCCCAGATTAGGCACTTCAAGTCACAGGATGAGACAGTAGGTCAGCACAAGATACAGGTCATAAAGACCTTGCTGATAAAGCAGGTTGTGGTAAAGAAGCCAGCCAAAACCCACCAAAACTAAGATGTCCGTGAAAGTGAGCTCTGGTCATCCTCATTGCTCAATTATCACACATTAGCATGCTAAAAGACACTCCCACCAGCATCATGACAGTTTACAGATGCCATGGCAATGTTCAGAAGTTAACTTATATGGTCTGAAAAGGGGAGGACCCCTCAGTTCTGGGAATTGCCCACCCTTTTCCCGGAAAACTCATAAATAATCTACCCCTTGTTTAGCACAGAATCAAGAAATAACTATAAGCATACTCAGTTGAGCAGCCCATGCTGCTGTTCTGCCTATGGAGTAGCCATTCTTTACACCTTTACTTTCTTAATAAATTTGCTTTCACTTTACTCTATGGACTCACTCTGAATTATTTCTTGCTCGAGCTCCAAGAACCCTCTCTTGGCGTCTGGATGGGGATCCCTTTCTGGTAACAATGAGGAAAAGCTGGGTTGTAAGGAAAACAGATGAACTAGTAGGTCATACAAGTACTTATAGTACAAGCTTTAAGTAAATTTATGGATTCTTGTCTATTTGGCACCTGAAGAAGAATTCAAGGAAATCAGGTCCTTGCAACTAAGCCATTAGAGGGTACAGCCTCAGCATCCATTAGAGGTGAAGTCTGCTCTCCCTGCAGGGGCCCCAGTCTTGTCTGACACCTTCTTCCTCCCCACTCTCACCTGCGGACACCATGCTAAACTCTCGAAATACATTTTCTCTGAGATGATTTCAGAATGGCTCCGGCATACCAGGCACTGCTTGAGGACTTCAGGGCTCTTCTAGTGTCCCCCATTTTAGAGGTGAGGAAAATGTGTCCTAGAGAAATTATCTCACATGGCAAATAAGTAACAAAGCTAGCATTCCAATCGAGATGTCTGGTTTGTAAACTCTTCTTTCCAGAATGCCATGTCTTTCATGTTATTTCTCTGTTATCTGTACTACATAGATAAGGGTATTACAGTATTCTTAAAATATAACTAAATTTTAAATGTTTCATTTAAGTCATAAAAGAAGCAGTATTGCTAATAATACACTGTTTTAATAGAATATATATAATATATATTTAATAGAAAATATATATTATATATATTTAATAGAAAATATATATATTATATATATATTTAATAGAAAAAAAATATATATTTTATATATATATTTAATAGAAAAAATATATATATATTTTTTGGAGACAGTCTCACTATGTCACCAGGCTGGAATGCAGTGCTGTGATCTAGGCTCACTGCAACCTCTGCCTCCCAGGTTCAAGCAATTCTCCTGCCTCAGCCTCCCGAGTAGCTGGGACTACAGGTGCACGTCACCATGCCCAGCTAATTTTTGTATTTTTAGTAGAGACAAGGTTTCACCATGTTGACCAGGAAGGTCTAGATCCCTTGACCTTGTGATCCATCTGCCTCAGCCTCCCAAAGTGCTGGGATTACAAGCGTGAGCCACTGCCCCAGCCTTTAATGGAATGTTTTTTAAGGGATTTGCTTGTGATAAAATGGTGAGAATAAATATTATTGTTTTCATTGATCAAGAGCATTATTTTCCAGAAGTGTTTATTTATATAATAAACTTAAGAAGAATGCTAATTATACCTCAATATAATATTTTCTCTTAAATAAAATAACAATCAACTAAAAAAAGAATGGCAGTGGCCGGGCACTCACGCCTGTAATCCCAGCACTTTGGGAGGCCAAGGCAGGCAGATCACGAGGTCAGGAGATTGAGACCATCTTGGCTAACATGGTGAAACCCCTGTCTCTACTAAAAATACAAAAAAAAAAAAAATTAGTTGGGCGTGGTGGCAGGCGCCTGTAGTCCCAGCTGCTTGGGAGGATGAGGCAGGAGAATGGCATGAACCCGGGAGGTGGAGCTTGCAGTGAGCCAAGATCACACCACTGCACTCCAGCCTGGGTGACAGAGCGAGACTCCATCTCAAAAAAAAAAAAAAAACAGAATGGCAGCAAACATCGACTCTGTGCAAGGCACTCTGGTCATTGCTTCACATGTGTTAGTTCATTTAATACCCACCCTGTGACTTAGCTATTTATTTTCATCATTCCCCTTTAACAGAGGAGAATATCAAGCACACAGAATGTAACTGATCTGCCCAAGATCACAGCTAGTAAGTGGTGGTGCTCAGATCCAGTCTTGGTGAGGGGAATCTGACTGCAGTGTTAGGCACTGTACTATCCTGCTGCTAGTTACACAGATGGTTAGAGGAAGCCTCAGAGCTGAGGAGGGAGGTGGAGACACTCTAGAGAGAACCTTCTCTTGGTCTGCAGGGTTTGAGGCCCTCAGAAGAATCCAACATGGCCTTGAAGTTGGATTACAGCTCTTGATACCCTCTGTTCCTCCTTGTGAGAGATGACAAGAAACGGACTGGAAAATGGCAAACAGAAAATTCCTGATACAGTTTGGCTCGGTGTCCCCACTCAAATCTCATCTTGTAGATCCCATAATTCCCATGTGTTGCAGGAGGGACCTGGTGGGAGATGACTGAATTATGAGGATGGATCTTTCCGGTGCTGTTCGCATAATGGTGAATGGGTCTCATGAGATCTGACCATTTTAAAAAACAGGAGTTGCCCTGCACAAGCTCTCTCTGTCTGCTGCCATCCACGTAAGATATGATTTGCTTCTCCTTGCCTTCCGCCACGATTGTGAGGCCTCCCCAGTCACGTGGAACTGAGTCCAATAAAAGCTCTTTCTTTTGTAAATTGCCCAGTCTCGGGTATGTCTTTACCAGCAGCATGAAAATGGACTCATACAATTCCTAAATTAGAAAATACCTAAAATTTTGCATTTAGTTACAAAGTGGTAGAAGACATGCTGGATAGAAGCCTGATCACAGATTTTATTTACAAATCTGGGGGCAGGGGGCAGTTTATTAGCACTTACCTAGTTAATACATGATCCCCATTTTTAAAAGTAGAAATTTACAACAAAAGAAGCTAAATTGGAACACTTGTGAATTACTTAATAAACTTCAGTAGCTATTTCCTTCTAGAACTCAGTTACTTTAAAACACTCACCAGGAATAATTTCAAACATACATAAAAGTTTGGAGAATTATAAAATAAACTCCCATAAACCTTTCAAAAATCACCAAGATTTTACCATACTATACTATTTGCTTCATTTATTCTACGTTTTAAAACTGTTTTACTGAAGTATTTCAGAGGAAGTCCTATCTGTCCTAAAGCTGTCACTCATCCCTACCTGCTTTAATATGCAGCAATAAAATAAAAACTTTTTTTATACAACGACAATGCCAACTGTCATGCCTAACAAAAGAAAGAATAATTTCTTGGTATCAAGCCTGGTCCATATTCACATTTCACCAGTTACCTAAAAATTATATTTCTTTTCTTTTTTCTCATTTCTTTGTTCCAATCAGGATACAAACAAAGGACATGCACTAACAACATTTTGTCTCTTCTAGATTTTAATACAGAACAGCTCCTCCTCAACTTCCCCTTTTATCATGCCATTAGCTCAATGAAGGCACTAGCTCAATTTTACAAACCATTTTCATTCATTTCATGACCCTAATTATTTACTATGCACTTCAGAACATAGTGGATCTGGCTGACACCTTCTAGCTTCAAATACTTATTTCTGTTCCTTCACTATTTGTCATAAAAGAGGAAAATGACAACATATGACACATTGCATGGGCAGCTGTGTTTTGTCCTCCAGAAGTTATCTACACTACTAAGGACTAAGCATGTCTGTTATTACAATGATACTTAATTATAAAGGGAAACACACTTAAGTCCCATTTGAGAGACTGGTAGGAACTCTGCCAACCCGCCCCTTTGCCCCATTACAAAGGAGGCACCCGTGCCAAACCGGGGTAATTCTCTGCAGAACAGAGCTGCCCACTGTTAATTATGGAGTTTGGGGAATTAGTAGGCTAACAGACGACTATGATGCCGGGGAAAATCAGTTTGCTGGATCACAGAATGTGCTCAGCTTATTTTCTTTGTCAGGGATTTTAAAATTATTTATGATGAAGCTCTATTGAATGTTTTGTAATAATAATGAAGTCTTAGTAACATGAATCCTTACTGCAGCAGAGCACAGCTATTAAATCTTTGCTGAGAGCACAATGAGGGAGCCAGGGCTTTTTGTAACCAGCAAGGACTGTCTACAGAAAAAAAAGTGAGAGGTGGCCAACTTCGAAAGGCAAATTCAATTTAATCTCACAGTGAAGCCACCAGGGGCAGCACAATGCTGGAATGGTCTCTGCTTTCATAGGATGCAGCTTCTCCCTGGCCTGCCCTCAGCCGGCTTGCCCTTCAGCACTGGGCTCCTGCCATGGGCTGATGAGCCTCCAAAGCAGGACCTGGGCAAAACTTCGGGTGGGGGTGTCCCCTGAGATTCTCATTAAGACTGTCTCCTTCTTATGCTCCTGGTTTATAGTCTACAAATTGAAACACCAAAAAAACGTATGTTTGAGTGAAGGGAGGCCACTCAGGATCTGAGCAGCTGCTAAGTGCCAAGATGGCCAGGGGCCACAATGTGAGGCTGGAAGGCACTGGGACTTCCCCTGCCCCACTCCCTGCTCCCCCACATCAGTCATTCAAACCCATTATTTTAGTTCAGAAATTACTATTATCAACAACAACAAAAGTTAGTGAACTTTTGTTCACTAACTTTTAAAACACTTTCCCTGGAAAAAAAAAAAAAAAAAAGCAATGCAAGAAATCCTTCATTTAAGATAAAGAAAGTGAATTGTAAGAAGGGCCAAG
Source organism: Homo sapiens (assembly GCF_000001405.40). NCBI lineage: Eukaryota > Metazoa > Chordata > Mammalia > Primates > Hominidae > Homo > Homo sapiens. Next base: position 77,898,018 of record NC_000009.12, read on the forward strand.
AAAGCGGGATGACAAAATTTATTCAGAATTATCATATACCCTTAGTCTATGGAAGAGTAATATCTGTAGAAACGATAGAACCACTCTTAATTACCAAGAGGCCAACTGTTCTGTCACTGGATAATCCAGGCTCTTCTCCCTCTTTCTCTACAATCTGAAGTCATTATCCCACATGCTGTGCATTACTGTTACTTAATGCTAATAAAAGGCACAATATATTACCAGCTTGCCATCATCCCTCTCCAATAGCTTTTGGGCTCTTGGGTGACAGTGACTGGGCTTAAATCAACCCAAAGCTTTGACAGAACAGATGCTCAATAAATATCATCTTTAGTTAAAATAATAAAAAGTCTTAGGGAGCCATTCTGTCCCTCCCATCTAGGCTATTGCCTATTCAGAGTATGCTATAGTTTCTCCTACTGTAACACTTACTGCACTGTATTATAAATTGCCCATGGACTTGCTTGTAACCCAGCTAGCAGGTTAGCAATTCAAGAGCAACCTATCTGTTAGTTATAGATGCACTGCTTAGCACAATGCATGGCATATGGGTGCTCCTTAAATATCTGGATTTAATGGATGGATTGATGAATGAATGAATAAATGGATGGATGGATGGATGGATGGATGGACAGATGGAAGAACAAGTGAAAAGAGTAGAGAATACAATTTATAGCAGGAAAAAGTGAGTTTTTTCAAACAAATGGGAAACAAAATAAAAATTGATCCTTGATTCTACAACTCAGAAATAAACTGCTATTAAGAATTTATTATATCCATCTAGTATTTTTTACAACATATACATTTTGAGGTTGTTTCTTTCTTGCATATATTGTTATTAAAACAGGATTACATTATACCTGATAGTTTGCAACTTGCTTTATAAAAGACATAATATATCATGCATTACTTTCTAGATCAGGACATATAGTTCTACTTCAATGTTTATTTCAGCTGAAAAGAATTCCAAAGAGTAGCTGTACTATAATTTACTTCCTTATTGATAGATATTTGGCTTGTTTCCAAATTTTCACTATTATAAACAATGCTGTACCAACCAAATCTCACTCACCCGTTTTTTTGTTTTGTTTTGTTTTGAGACAAGGTCTTGTTCTGTCGCCCAGGCTGGAGTGTTGTAGTGCAATATGGGCTCACTGCAGCCTCCACCTCCCAGGTTCAAGCTATTCTCCTGCCTCAGCCTCCCGAGTAGCTAGGATTACAGGCATGCACCACCACACCCAGCCAATTTTTTTATTTTTAGTAGAGATGGGGTTTCACCATCTTGGCAAGGTTGGTCTCAAACTCCTGGTCACAAGCGATCCACCTGCCTCAGCCTCCCAAAGTGCTGGGACTACAGGCATGAGCTACTGTGTCCGGTCTCATTCACTAATGTGTGCATGTGTTTGTCTGTGTGTGTGTCTGTGTGTGTGTGTACTCTGCTTTTTACCAGGCACTGTTCTAGGGATATAAGAGTGAGTGGATACTATCCCACACTTAATGAGAGACACAGGCATTATTCAAAGAATCACATTAACAAAAAAAAAAATCAAAAAATGGACTACATGACTAGGAAAAAAAAGGAATATAATCATATGAAAGCATCTCATAAAATAATCTGGAAGAATGAAGAGGTGGGTGGCACGTGCAAAGGCAGTGCAGGAGGAAAGACAGCAGAGGTCAGAGGCGAAAGACAGCAGAGGTCAGAGGCAAAAGACCATCTGACTGGACCTCAGAGAACTTGGGCAGAGAATGGCGTCTCTGCACTTTTATGAGTGTTTCAATCACATATTTAACAAATATGTATTAAGCACATATCAAATGCACGGAACTGTGCTAGGTGCTGCTGATTCAGCAAGAACAAAGACATGATCCCTGCCGCCTCAAAAGCTTGCATTCTAGCAGAGCAAATTCTGCAGGGTGGAATTGCTACAGGAAAGACAATATGCCCTTTAAATTTTGTTACCTGCTGCCAACCTGTCCACTCTGGGATGTACTCAGCCCTTCCAGAGTCCACCTGTTCACCAAGTTAACAGAGTACTCAAAGCTATTTCTTGACTCAATCAGGTCTCCTTGGCCTGACACAGTTACTAAGTCAATCAGTAATCCTGGAGTCTTTGAGATATCTAAGACTGCTGAGCTGTTCTCATACTTGTGGTATATGTCTCATACTTGTGGTATACGTCTAAGTTTCAATAAGTAGGAAATTTAGAATGTGGAGGCCAGAGGTATTCCACATTCTAACAGAAACACATGTACGAATAACACAGTCAAAAAAGATCCTTCTGTCACTCCATCAGGAGACACTAAGATATTTTACTGCAATAGAAGCTTATTGCTAAAATGAGATTTAGAGCTCATCTGGAGATTTTAATTATTCATGTTATCAATGTTCTCCATTTTCATGGAAAACTGTGGGATAACTATACGGAATCTCACTACCAGTAAGGCAGGCTGATAATATCTACTTGTGGTTAGATACTGGGTGCACAGACAATTCTTTTATTCATCTCAGGTTCACTCCCGTTCACTAATTCCTAATTATCTACACTCCATGCAGTGGAGATGGGGCCTCGCTATGTTGCCCAGGCTGGACTCCAATTTCTAGGATCAAACTATCCTCCTGCCTCAGCTTCCCAAAGTATTGGGATTACAGGTGTGTGCTACCACACCTGGCTTCTCCATGCAGTTTTTTTCCTTCATGTTTTCCCACAATCCTTACTCCCATTCTCCACTTACTTACCCTTCTTTCTTGGCAGAAGACCGTACCAGTTCAGACAAAATTGACTAGCACTGTCTGTTAAAAGCCGCCTTCTTCTCAAAACCTTAAACTTCACCAATTCTCTGCTTGCTCCCAACAGTTTCAAAGCAATGAGTGTCCTGCTTCTCCATTTCTTTGTATTTTATATTGCTTGTATACTGTCAAATAGTTTCCCTCTTTACCAGCAAATTTCCACTGACCAACAAACACACTCGGTTCTCTCCTGAAGTTAAAGAACCAAACAAGCAAACCAAAATAAAAATACTTGCTTGAATCCTCAAGCTGCCATTTCTCTTCCATGTCCATCCTTTCACTCCGGCTCCTCACTCCTGGTCACGATCTTGCTTCCAGAAAGTACCACACTCTCACACCACCTGTGTAGTACCCGATAGTAGTACCACACTGTCACACTCTCATGCCACCTGTATTCCAAAAACACAAACTCCTATCACATCTGTTTCCTGCCCAAGGGCTCTTGGGCAGCCTCCACAGTGGTTAGAATCAATCTCCAGGATGTGGAATTGGAGGCTCTTTACAATACAATTCCCCTACACCTTTACAGCCTTATCTCTCACCACAAAACCTGGCCCATCTGTGTATTTAGTCCCTAAATTACTCAACTTTCCTGGGACTGTTCCTGTACTTTCTTACTCTCTGCCTTCACTCTGCTCCCACTCTCATTCATCTGTCCAAACCCTCCCATCTTCAAGAGCAGTACAGATACCATCACCTGGCAGAGCCGTCCTGCCTCTTCCTCCTTAGGCCGAGCTGGAGCTACTCTTTCTCTTAGGCTCCCTCAATGTCTTATAAGTGTCTGTGCCCTCACAAAATGGCACATACCTTGGGGGCAGAGAACCTTACTCTCCTCTGCATTCCTCACACAGCTACCCTAGAAATCCTGGTTTGAACGCTACCATCCTATACTTTTACAGTTTCAGTCTAGTTACAGTCTCAGTCCTTCTGGGTTGCTATTTAAAAATTCCATAAACTGGGTGGCTTATAAACAACAAACATTTATTTCTCACAGTCCTGGAGGCTAGGAAGTTCATGATCAAGGCACAGGCACACTCAGTGTCTGCTGAGAGCCAGTTTCTTAATTAATTGATGGCAGCTTCTTGCTGTGTCCTCACTGAGTAGAAGGGAACTAGCTTCCTTCGGCCTATTTTATAGGAGGACTAATCCCCTTCATGAGGGCTCCACCTTCATGACTGAATCACCTCCCAAAGGCCCCGCCTCCCAATACCATCACCTTAGGGGTTAGGATCTCAACATACAAATTTTGATGGGACACACATTCACACCATAACAAGTTACCTAACTCTTCTGAATTTATATTTATCATAAATAGGGTTACTAATGCCTCCACCTCTTAGCATTACATTAAAACTCACTGGCTGATGCAAAATGAAACTTTCAGAATGTTCTTACACCTTAAACAAGTTATAAATTTGTAAAAATATATTTGTAAGGAGTATTTTGTTTGCTTTTCACTTGTTATCATAATAATTAATTTCCAAATATTTCATCTGATGAAGAATATCATTTTCTCTTACTTGTGGTATATGTCTGAGTTTCAACAAGAATGCTTTTCAGTATGATTACTTTGGCAATTAGCACTAGCATCCTCCTTAATCTAAAATCCCACCTTTGTTGCTGACTTACATAATAAAAGCCTTGCTTACAAAGTTGAGAGGAATGTCTTAACAGATTATGACATTACAAGATGAGATACTTGGTTTGACATGGAATATCAGCTAAAATATTTAGTTTTAAAATACTAAAAAGGAAAACAAGAATGCTAAAAATAATAAAGGAAGAAAGATCAAGATGGTTTTCATAAAATCAGGAATCCACAAACTGTTATTGATAATGAGTTCTGGTCTTAGTCTTCAGAACAGGGTTTACAAAACCTAACCCAAGTTAGAAAAATGAACGCCAATTTGTTTTTGTACAAAACAGGATAAATTTGAATGGAGGCTGCAAAATTTCACCCAAGTTTGACCTTAATGGTCCTAGAGAGTGTGCAACTGCTTCCCAATCAGCCAGTGCAGCTTTCTTAACCATAAGCTATGGTAACTGAGTTAGCCTATTTCACAGCTTTCTTTTACTTCACGTATTCCTTCAACATGCAAGCTGGAGTTTCTGCTTTAACAATTTTGCAATTTGGGCCAGGCCTTAGTATCACAGGGAACTTATAATCTTAGGAGTAAGTAAAATTTGTAGCTGTCATCAATCTCCAAGCAGGTGTCAATGGTCTGTTAGATGAAGAGGTGAGCAAAGCCTGGAAGAAGTGCCTGGTATCTCAGCTAATCAGGGCAGGGGTGGGAAGAGCTCATGAGCAACACAGGTCGTTAGAAGAGGTCAGCCCAGAATGGCAGGATCTGTACTTGTGGAGGAGAAGCAGACTAGATAAACAAGATTAAAGTTTGAGGAGCCCCAGATCCCACTCCATAAGTGGACTTGGTCACAGACTCAGGCTGCAAGGATGGACCTGAATGCCCAGCTGCCTGATGGAAGCTATTCCCTAGAGAAGGCAGCATGGGTGTTGGACGCTAGAGATGCCTCATCCTCACTTCATCCTCACTCTGCAACCTGAATTGTATTTCACCTCACAAAGCCTCAGTTTCCTTACTTATGCAAGGGAGAGGATAGAAGCAGGGACTGTAAGGAGGAAAATGGAAAATGTTTAAGTGTTTAAAGGAAGATCCTAGAACATCTCAGTGGGAACAGACAGCCCAGTAAGGGTGAGCTCTCACTAAATGATAATTCCCTTCCTTTCCCCAGGGGCTAAAGGTGACTCCTTCCAGGCAGGCTCTATCTGGTTGACAGGCAGGCAAGTGATTCTCCTGTGGGAAGCTGAGAGTAAAAAGGGTGAGAAGCAAAATAATTTCTGACACTAGCATTTCTAGTCCAAACCTTTCATTAAAGCACAAGTGTGTGTATGTATGTGTGTATATATACATATACACACACACACATATATATACACACCTTATTTTAAGTGGAGAGAAAAAAAATGCTCAAAAGTGAACTGCCAGTTTTCTAACTGCCACTCCAGGGCTGTGTGTGACTTCTGGGAGGTCACCTAAAACCCGTGCCTGTTTCCTCATACCTGACAGCCAGGCTACACATACCTTCCATATTTTAGGGAAACCCTAAAACAAAACACACAAAAAAATCTTGTGAAATCACTCTCAAAACAGGCAAAATGTAAATGCCCTTACAAGGATGTGATGGGATGCCTTTTGGAATTTCCATATCAACTTGGATAATTTGGCTTTCTGGCAAGCTGGATCAGACTTGCTGATCTTAGATAAAGCCCAGCCCTTTTGCCTGGTAGGCTGAACACTTGCTAGAGCAAGTGTGTGGAAGATTAATGATCTATCCTGCATCTACTTGGATGATAAGCTTGCTCTCTTGTACCACATTTTGGCATACTTACACTTTTAGTTTAGCAAAAAGCTGACTGTGGAAACTGTAAATAATCAATTTCTAGAACAAAAGAGATATGGGCAGTGGAGTTAACAGAAGTTCACACCGGCTTTTTTTTTTTTTTTTTTTTTTTTTTTTTTTGTGAGACAGAGTCTCGCTCTGTTGCCCAGGCTGGAGTGCAGTGGTACGATCTTGGCTCACTGCAAGCTCCACCTCCCGGGTTCACCCCATTCTCCTGCCTCAGCCTCCCGAGTAGCTGGGACTACAGGCGTCTACCACCACGCCTGGCTACTTTTTTATATTTTTAGTAGAGACAAGGTTTCACCATGTTGACCAGGATGGTCTCGATCTCCTGACCTCATGATCTGCCCGCCTCGGCCTCCCAAAGTGCTGGGATTACAGGTGTGAGTCACCGTGCCCGGCCCTGTTTATGTTTTAAGAATAAAGTTCACATAATAATTAGTGCTTAGGTAAAATAATTAGCAAGTCTTTTGGGTTGATCCAAATTAAAGCTGGTGTAGCCTAACATTCTTTTCAGTTTCTTTGACTCCAAAATGCTGAACCACATCAACATGTTTGAAAACGATGCAGCTATTATTTTTTGTATAAATTGGTCAGAACAATGCTTACAACAGCTAGATTCTATATGGGATCATTTTAAAGGAGACACACGAAGAAACACACACACACAGAGGAAGAAAATACAAAATATAATAAATTATACAAAAGTGAAATGGCAATAAGAAAATTTCTGGTTTGTCTGTAATAGTCTATTGTTCAACTAAAGAAAACTAATTCCTCCCTCCCAAAATGACTTTTTGTGATAAAAAAGTTTTCTCTGTGTTCAGAAGTTAAGAATGGCCCTAATTTCAAGTACTCATCCTCTATTACCAAGAAATAAAATTAAGTTAGATGTTAAGAAAGGCAAATCCAGAAGTTGCCCATTCATTGAATGTGGAACTTGGAACATCGCTGAGTTATCAGATATACTTAAAAGATTCATAACATTACCATTAATAGAAATTTTTACAATTATTAGTACTGCTATTATAGTAACAATTCCTGTTTTTACAACTACAAAACCACGCCTATGAGTATTACTATTGTTCTAATAATCTGATTAAAATCAGAGCTGGGCTACCTTTCTCAAAAGACAGTCTAAGGCTTACTGGATTAGAGTCTCTGGTGGCTGGGCTCAGGTGTCTGCATGGTAATTAAGCCCCCCAGGTGATTCCAAAGCTTATCACTGCTTCAGGCTTAGGGGAAATCTTTTCAGACTCTACAAAATGAAAGAATAAAATTTCAAAATTTCTCTTTTAAAGCATGCAGTGGGGCTGTAATATTTTACACTGTCAGAAAACTGCATGAGATAACTGCACAGGAACATGGGGCATAAACTTGCTTATTCTCACTTAAAAGTCGATCATACACTTGGAGATAATTCAACCTGAAGCCTTTAGCTGTCAATGCCATTAAATACTGCTTTCATATTCAGGAAAATTCTGTCCAAATGATTCTTGAAAGAGTCCTTCAGGATTGCCAGCACTTACGGAAACATTTGCTCTTCAACAAAACTTACTTTCTAAGCTGGAAGCCATCATCCTCAGCAAACTAACACAGGAACAGAAAACCAAGCACCGCATGTTCTCTCTCATAAGTAGGAGTTGAACAATGAGAACACATGGACACAGGAAGGGGAACATCACAAACTGGGAGCTGTCAGGGGGTGGGAGACAAGGGGAAGAAGAGCATTAGGACAAATACCTAATGCACATGGGGCTTAAAACCTAGATGACAGGTTGGTTGGTGCAGCAAACCACCATGGCACATGTATACCTATGTAACAAACCTGCACATTCTGCACATGTATCCCGGAACTTAAAGTTAAAAAAAAAATAATTTCTAAATAAAATAACCAATGCAACTGATACTACCTGACATGTAATTAGTATCTCCAGAACAACCTAAGATAACAGCCCCAGTTTAATGATTTGAAAATATCTTAATCTCTGGAATGAATATAGAGGAAATTTTACAGCCAAACGTTTATGAAATGAAGTACATCATCAGTATTCAAAAATGTAGATTAAAGTATCACTTTCACCAATTAGATTGGAAAGACCTAAAACACTAATAAAACTGAGTTGGTAACGACGTGGTAAAAACAGGCAAGTTCAGATGCCACACAGTAATCTGGTATGATCTTTCTGGATGGCAATTGAATAATCTTTATCAAAAGCCTCAAAAATGTGTGTATTTTCTGACCCAGCAATTCCATTGCTAGCAGTTTATCCTGCAAGGATGTTCATTATGGCACAAGTGAGAAAACAACTCAGAAAAAAGTACTTGTGATATATACTCGATTAAAAAAAATCACTATTTTGTATATAAGTCCATACTCTCTTACTTATTAACTGAAATCTCCAAATTTCCAAGAACTGAAAAGACTTTTTTTGTAATTAATTTATGGGAAATGTAACCTGCTGCAAAGCTATTTACAATCTTCATTTGTTCCACTAATTGCAAATATTAACATACTTTGCTGCTAAAATGTTAATGTATTTGATTACACAGTACAACTCCAAACCTCAATGGGGGTTTTCTCACATTATCTTTCTACAATCTAAGAAAACTGTCCCAAGAAGTTTTAGATGTGGGACAGTGAACCTACATTTGTATGTGCAAAGTTAAATCTCAGTATGTGAATATACCATAAAATCCAGTGGCTTTCTCACACAGTGAGATTACAAGTGATTTTTTCCTTCTTCTTTTGCTTTTCTATGTTATCTGAATTTTTACAATGAACATATTTATCTTTATATTTATAAAATGTTTTTCTATTTGAGAAAAAGAAAAAAGGATCTAGTATTTATAGAAACAAGCTTCTTAATTTCAAGTGTACAGCTATGTTCACATACCAGAGGTGTTTCATAATTCATGGGCAAGTTATTTTTCTGCTGCATAAGCTTTCCAATCACTTTCTTGATTTGTGACCAAGTTTTTCATAGAGTTGTGCATTTCATTATCCCAAGACTGCAGTGGTAATTAAGATGCCTTCCCTGGCTCCTAACAAAGATATCGCCATGGGAAATGGTCAGAAAATGGACAAACACCCAGCACTGCCAGATGCATCACTACATGCACCAACCCAGAACAGCAGGAAAGGAGGCAAAGAAAGGGAAATAAGGAAAGAAAGAAAGAATATATGAGCTTTCCTATAGAAACTCTGCCTTGACTGCACATTAAAGAACTAAATAATTTTGTTAAGTATCTTGCCTCTCCAATGAGACTGCAAGTCCCCATAAGCAAAGTACATGTCTTACACTTCCTCTGGCTCGAAGAGAAATGAAAAATACTTGGTGGCATTTTAAAAATTATTTAAGTCGATGTGAAGTGTGTGGATTAACAAAAAACATAAAGAACAAGTAAAAGGAGTGTACAGTCAAGAAGGAGAAATCAAATAGGTGGTATCAGAGTTAAAAGTTTAAAAGATCCATAATAATAGTGGTATCATGTAATCGGCTCTCTGATTAAATACTGACTCATTCATTCCATAGTATTTACTGAGCCTAACTGTGGGTCAGGCCCTTTGCTAGGTCCTGGGGACACGGCAGTAACTTTAGCTGGCTGAAGTGGTGGAAAGACAGCTGGAGTGGCCACAGGTAACTGCATTTACTCTTTTGCACAAGAAAATTAAATACATGTGTCCTAGGTGCCAAAGGTGTTTATGGAGTCAAGTATACGAGCTGCCTTTAGGGAATTAAGCCTAATTCTGGGTTGGGCTTAATCCAGCCCCATAAACTTAAAAATTGAGTTATTTGGGGCAGGTATTTTAAACATTTTTCATCTGTAGAATTAGAACACTACTACTTACCTCACATTTTGGAGCATATTAAATGAAAAAGGCCCAGAAGTGGTTGGCTAAAGTTATTTCTCTCCCTTTTTCTTCTGTCCCTTTGCCTCTTTCGTTATTCGACTATCTGCCTCCTTCCTTACCTTACAAACACCCTGCAGTCAAGGGAAAAAAGTTAAGACTCCTTTATCTCAGCAGTGACAGAAATCCATGAACCCCTTCAGAAGGGCCCCCACTTTCATTGACATTCTGATGCCTTAAATCCTACCAGAGGCCAGCCACTGCTCCCAAGAAACCACTGTTGCACCGGATCATGGAACCCAAGTCTCATTCTTGGATCATAGCCTCTTGTATGTCTTTAAACAATAAGCAATTTCTTCTCAAATACTGTGCACTTTCCCCAAACAGATATACATTTCTCCTGACCTAGCACTTTCTGGGAAGAATTCAACAACCATTTAGTAGACACTGACTATGTTGATGTTATTGTCCCAAAAGTTTTGCATCTATATATTGTCATTAATGCTCACACTAACCATACAAAGTGAATACTATTATCTCCTCACATTTCCGACAAGGCATAGCATGGAGAGTTTAAATAATTTGCTGAATGTCTCATGGCCAAAATCCTATTGAAGTATTTTCTGGGATCTTCTCTCCAAAAGGTAGCCTACTGGTGATTTCATATTGCCTCTGGTGGCAGAGAGTCAGTTACTTCCAAGAGGCCTTTACTTTGGGCTGCTTCAGCATCAGCTTGTGAGGAAAGCAGAATCTCAGGCCCACCCTGGATCTACTGAAATACAAATATGCATTTTAATGAGAGCCTCACATGATTTGTATACATATTCAAGTTCGAGAAGCAATACTCTAGAACACAAAATCAATGTTCTCAACCTCACATTCAGTTAGGAAGACCCAAAGCTGTCATCACTGGAATATGTGGCACTTCTGTGCATATGAGAATAATGTACCCACCTCTCCACTTTCTGTTTATAGAGTCTGGCAAAAAGAGAGTGCTGTAGAGAGAAAAAGGCACCCCTTCCTCTGGGCCACCATTCTCCTCCATGGCTGGCAAAAACTGCACAACACTGATACACGCCACCCACAAAGCATATGGTATTGATTATTTTATGCCAAGGATCAAGGTCAACTGAAAGGTGAATCTAAAAGTATTTTAATCCCCAACTTTAGTGAGGTACTTTGACTGCAGTGTTCCATTAATACAATCAAACAGCTACATGATCTCATCCTGTTGCCATCCACCAGCTGCCCAGTAGATAGTAAAATGGCTAGAAGACGGTCAAGAGAAGAAAGACTAGGCTAGTGCCTTAGAGAATGCACACACAATCACCTAATTAACTGAACTCTTACCACAGAAGCACTGTTTTTAAGGACGTTTCACCACCTCACAGGGAGGCCAATATCGACAACACTCAGTACAGTCTTCTTTTTAGTTCAAAACCGTTATACTTTTTACCACAAAGGAAGTGTGCACATTGACAGAAGCAGATAACCTACCAGCCAATCCAATACTACTGCTCATCTCAGCGGGGATATCACATTTCTTGATATATGCCAGTCCTTTCAGTTACATTTCAGTTTTAACAAATAACACAAGATAGTAAAAAAAAAAAAAACAACAACTGCATATGCATCTTACAAAGTGGTAGCAACAACTTAAAGGTATCTTCTTAACAAATTCACTTTAAGAAACATAAAATCAGGAAAATAAAGGTGGTAAAAGTATACATTTATACGGGAAAAGCCAAAATGAGTAACTGCAGCTATTAATGAAGAGCTTATTTTTTTCTCTCCTGAAAGGAAAAGTATCATAATATAACATGAAATGACACAAAAAGTCATTTTTTAAAGTGCATTTCTTGCTGATATTCATGTTTGGATATACATGCTTGTACTAATGAAAATCATGAGTAGGTTAACAACATACTATTTAAAAACATAATTGCATAGCAGGTGTAAGTAATTTAGGGCAAAACAATATAATAAAGAATAAGACTACAATTCCTGAGAAGCAACAAGTTTTTAGGTTTTGATACATGCTATTAAAATGAAGGAAACTATTGCTTTGCTAAATATTAAGTAAGCACTACCCTGATTTTCTACAATAGCAAAAACTAAGTGCATCACTGAGATGACTTCTCCAGTGGCGTAAAAATGAGAAGGAAATGCCCCAGCATTTCTCATATCCTCCCTCGACCTCCATTCAGGCATTCACTTTCCTTGGCTCCAACAAATATATTCTGCCTAACTGAAAATAGATGCATTGTTTTAAAATTAACAAGGGAAAACAATACATTACTTGGTTTAAAAGAACAAGGAAAGTATTCATCTGATGCTTTGCCAGGAGTTAACCAAGAACAGCCAAATGACCAGCTTCACAACTTCCTACTAAAATGCGTTAAACTATGCCACATGTGTTTTATATGGTGGCTGTCAATTCCTGGTCATTCTGCGCAGGTTTGTCTAAGCAGCTGAGAGCAGTTTAGAGACAGGCTGCTAAAGCAGAGTTCGCTCATGTGTTTGGACCAATCAGTAATGTTCCTTAGAGTGCTATTTTTTTTTTTTAATCAGCCATATCAGTTTCTGTTGACTACAACATAGGAGATACTTAGCAAACATTTGTTGAATGACTAAAGAACATCATCTCCATTTAACAATGGACAACACTTTCAACTTTTCCAGACTATGTAATTCTCAAAACACATTGTGAACTAGGCATTAGAATCACCACTATTTTAGAAATAAGAAAACTGGAATTCAGAGACATTAATTTGCTTAACACCACACAACAGTTTTGTCGTAGAGTATGTTTCAAACCAAGTTGTGTATGACTCCAGTAGTTGTGTTCTTGTGTGTATACCACACAGTACACAAAACCCATCACGGTCAACAAGTGTTCACTCGTTAATTCATTCAACAGAGTAGAACCATATGTCAAATACTGAACTAGGTTTAAGTAATTAAGGCCCAATCTCTGCCCTCAAGTGTTAATTTTCTTCCTTTCATCCAATTTTAAACGATTTGGATTAGCTAAAGATGAACTGAGCTGTGGCTGTGGAAGCTGTGCATGAGCTGAAGACAAGCTGAGCTAGGTTACTTTGAGATGAGATGAAAAACAATGCAGATAGGCCACCAAGCATAAGCTGGGGGAACATTATGCAAAGACAGTCACTGCATGTGTACAATTTAGAGATAATGCTGGACGTCCATCAGTTTTATTCCCACATACATATACAATGTAGTGTCCAAAGGTCATTGCTGGCATACATGAGTGTGTGTATACGTGTGTATGTGGATACATGTTTACAGTTGCACCTGTGCTTAATGCCCCTACTTTACCACAGTGAGCTGCTTCCCATTATCTGCATTAGGCACAAATGAGTAATAATTTTACATACCAGGATTAAAATACTATAGTTAATAAAAGGGCAAAATCAGCTTTCATTACCTTCTGACGTAACTTTAACTCTCATATTGAGCCACACGAATTGGTCTACTCCCAATAGCTTGAGATCATAAAACACAAAAAAAGAAAACCCAGGTAAGCCTTTTCAATCTAAATGCTACAGATGGTGAAGATAAGAAACTCGAAGGGATTCTGATGCAAAATCCGGTGCTGTAGAGCCATGTTGGCCCAAAAAGCGATTTGTGGAAGGGGAATTTGGTAGAACTCCATTGCACTCAGTGTCCAGCTCCAACTCTTGTTAGAGGAAATGCTTAAAGTGAGAAAGAACATCACTGAATAATAATGAAGCCACCATCACCCTTCATAAATAAGGACACTGATCTAAAAAAGAAAACCGTATTATCAAACTAGGAAAAATAAAAGTCCTTTTACTAAGCTATGCAGCTAACACAGTCTGGATAAGGAAATAAACCGAGGCCTCAAGAAAAAGGAAGATGTCTGCATTAGAGAGAACAATTAACACATTTGGATTAACCCTAGGAAATCTACCTGCCAGTTAAAAAAATGCTCTTCTTTAAAAGTACACAGGAATAAATTCAGCTCTTGTGCAATCCCAAAGAAGAAAAACAACACTGAGTGACTTCTACTGCTGCCCAATATTAAAACATTGCAAAGCTCAGTCATTAATAGAGCACAGCAGTGGCACAAAGATATACAAAATAGATCAATGGAACAGAATGGAGAGTCCCGAAACAAACTCAAACATATACATTCACTTGATTTGTGACAAAGGTGACACTGTATTGCTCTGGGTAAAGGATGGTCATTTCAATAAATGAATTGGGTTAATTAGATATCCAGATAAAAAACATAAAAACTTGGCCTTTACCTTATACCATACTCTATAATCCACCTGAAATGGATTTTAGATCTGAATGTAAAATGTAAAACAATAAAGAACTTCGAAGAAAATCCAGCAAATTATCTACATGACCTTAAGTAGGCAAAGATTACTTTAAAAGGACACAAAAAAGCAATTATTAGAAGGGGAAAAAATTATAAACTGGGCTATCTTACCATTGAGAACTTTCACTGAAAGAACCATTAAGAAAACAAAAAGCCACAAAATAGACATCTGTAAGCCATTTACTCAACAAAGATGTATGTCCTTAATATAAAAGGAACTCCTACAAAACAATGAGAAATCAGACAAGCCAATGGAAAAAGGGTAAAAAATTAATGTATTTTATAAGAGATAACCAAATAGCCAGTAAACATATAAAAAAGTGCTCAGGATGCTTAGTTATCAAAGAAATGCAAATTCAAACAACAATGTGATACCACTATCCAGCCATCAGAATAGCCAAATTAAAAAGACTACTGGGTGAGGTGGTACACCCCTGTAATCCCAGCTGTGGTGAAAGGACTGCTTGAGCCCAGGAGTTCTTGACCAGCCTGGGCAACATAGCTGAGACCCAGTCTCAAACACAAACCAAAACTAGTAATACCAGCCATGAGAATAACTAAAACAAAAAGAATACCAAATGCTGTTGTCAAGGATGTGGAGCAACTAGAACTCTTACAGCTTGTGGGAATGTAAACTGGTATGATCACTCTGGAAAACTCATTGGCAGTATCTACGTACTAAAACTGATTATATGCATACTTTCTGACTCAGGAATTCCAAATGCTAGATACATACTCCAAAGAAATGCAGACTTATGTTCACCAAAGACAGGTACAGGAATGTTTATATTTGCAGTATTTTTATCAGCCAGAAATGCCCAAATTTATAATAGGATATAATTATATATATATAATTATAACAAATTATAGCATATTTATAAAATAAAATGTCATACAACTGTACTGTCCAGTACAGTAGCTGCTGGTCACATGTAAATTTAAATGTAAATTAATAAAATTAAATGAAAGTAAAAATTGAGTTCCTCAGTTACACTAGGCACATTTCACAACTCAATAGTCACATGCAGCTAGTGGCGACTGTATTGGACAGAAGAGATAGAAAGCATTTTTATCACCACAGAAAGTTCTGTGAGGCACTGCTATTACATAGCAATGAGAATAAAGGAATTACAAGTTAACAACGTGGGTGAATTCCACAAACACAATGTTGAGTAAAATAAACCAGAGACAAAGGAATATATATTTTGTATGCCTTCATTCATACCAAGATCAAATACTAACAAAACTAATCTACGTTACCAGAAGTCAGGATAGTGGTCATCCTTCGGAACTTGGGAGTATTGACTGGAAGGGAGCATGAAGAATCTTCTGAGGTTATGGTTATATTGACCCAGATCAAAAAATCCAGATATACATGTATTGACAATGGAAAAACACACACGACTCAATACTGATGTTGTGTGCACTCTTCTGTATTTTTTTGAAATTTTTATTATCGAAAAAGAAAAAAATATCAGTCTCAGTCCACTGCTGAAGTCTTCCTTTGTTTCAGAACCCTCCTCTGATGAAAATGAACTTAGATGTACATCCTAGAAAGGCAATATGGCATGCCTTGGGATTACGAATTAACTTTAGCCAAGAAAACAAGGAATTTTAAATATCTCATATTCATCTGCTATTTTTACATGGCCGTCATGGGTATAAAATGAATAAAGAACTGCAAAGATAAAGGGAGGAGAAGAAAATGTGGCTAGGAAGTATCTGCAAGATATTAAAAGAGAAAAGAAATTATAGAAAGGGATTTTGAAAGTTGATATAGTTACCAGAGACTCCATGGTGATTCAACTCCCAAGAGTCCTGGAGAGAAGGGAGAAAGCAGTAAACCAATCTTAGAAAAAGAGGTGGCTGACTCATCAAATTGGCCATGAAAAGTCCATAGATTCCTTTAGACTATTAAAAAGCCAAGAGGCACAGTGGCTCATGCCTGTAATCCCAGCACTTTGGGAGGCCGAGGCGGGCGGACCACCTGAGGTTGGGAGTTTGAGATTTAGCCTGACCAACATGGAGAAACCTTGTCTCTATTAAAAAATACAAAAAATTAGACAGGCATGGTGGCGCATGCCTGTAATCCCAGCTACTTGGGAGGCTGAGGCAGGAGAATCGCTTGAACCCAGGAGGCGGAGGTTGCGGTGAGCCGAGATTGTGCCATTGCACTCCAGCCTGGACAACAAGAGCAAAACTCCGTCTCAAAACAAAAAAAAAAGATGAGAAAACTCTCAAAGATTTATAGAAGCAGGAGTAGAAAGTTTCCCTATGAAAAAGCATAGGCTGTTTTGGTACCCTGTGGCCAAGAATCCAATTAAAATCACTGTCACCCACAAAAACCTTCATCTGATATTTTACTTTTGAACACCAAAAAAAAAAAAAAAAAAAATCAACATAGATGTAATCATTACAATCACGTATGGGATTTAGATACAAAGAAAAAAATCTCTATTGGGCTGGAGACCATTATCAAAGCAAATCTGTTGTTTATTGTCTTTTTAAAAATTTTTCATAGGTGCTGTAGAATGGATAAAGTTCAAGAAAGGCAAAAGCTTCAAAATATAAGAAAATAATTTTAATAACAGCATCATCTCTTTTTTAGAGTTTCAGAATGAGAAAATCAACATGAAGAAAAACAGTGTTGAGAAGAATTTTAGAGGTTGTCTAGTACATTCCTAGCTTTATTTTAGCAAAAGTGCTTTAAAGAAATTCACATGTTAAAAATACATTCTATTTTGAACACAGCCAGATAAGGAGATTTCTGTACCTCTTTTAGTATCCCATTTCAATGACTGTCACTCTGAAGTGACTCTGAGGTTTTCCTTAAATACCTCCTAAATCTGGTCACATTGTTTGTTTTATTCTTTGTTTTATTCTTTATTTCTGTACCTCTTTTAGTATCCCATTTCAATGACTGTCACTCTGAAGTGACTCTGAGGTTTTCCTTAAATACCTCCTAAATCTGGTCACATTGTTTTTTTGTTTTATTCTTTAAAAAGATGGAAGGTTAGTAGTATTCATTCTCTACATAATGACAATTCCTCTTATAACTTCAAAACTTTCAAAAACCATTTATGAGACATTTTCACATACATTATCTATTTAACCCTTGAAATAATCCCATTACTATTTGTCACAGATGGAGAAATTCAAGGCTTAGAGAGTTAAAACAATTGAAGCTGGCGGGGGTGGGGGTGGTGTGGAAATGGGATAATCCCAAGCTTATTATATTCAATCCTTAGAGTCAAATTCAGCTAGCTACTTCGTATATAACTAAGTCACTAACCCCTTTACTTCTTTCCACTCCAGAATAAGAAATTTTATTTTAACAAAGACTTAGCAAACAGTAAAATCAGAGGGCTTGCTTCTATGGAGAATCCATGTGTCACTTTATTTTTCACGCTGTGTATTTTTGCAGTGAAGATGTGTAATTTGTAACACCATCATTCCCCTTCTTCCACCAACTGTACCCAGATTTCCCTCAGGGGCTGTCAATCATATTGTTGAGCCTTCCCCTGTCTAAAGACTTAGCACAGAATCCAGGCTGCTCCAAATCGGCACTTTTTCCCAGAAATCTGAATCTTAGGTGGGTGACAGAAGATTGGAAATGGCCAGAGTTCATCCATTTCACAGATGAGTTCTCTGAGCCTGCCCTAGTTTCTAAGAGGCCATCCTTCAGCTTCTACTCCCTTCTCCCAGTGAGTCCATTTTCAGATAAATTCATTTTCTGCTTAAGTTAGCCAGTGTTGGTTTCTGTTGCTTGCAAGCAGAGAACCTTGACTGATAGAGCTCTTCAGAGGGGTAGATAAGAATATGTATTTATTAATTCTGCCTCTATTATGTATTTATTATCTAGGTGGGAAATACTAAAATGAAATCAGCCTTTTGGCATTTTGTAAACTAAGAAAATTCACTCATGTTGCACAAAGTAGTAATGTTTTATTCCTTGATCAAGGGCAACAATAAGTTGGCAAGTTTTCCAGAATCCTGGCTACATTTTTCAGGAAAATGAAAAATGGCTTCTGGGACCTTGGATTATTCAGGAAGTACAGAAAATTCAGAAAGTGTCAAATGTGTTTAACGAGGTACTTTCCTGTGACAAGTTCTTTCTCAGAATTGCTTAGAGAGGACAAAAGGCACTGTAGCAATACATCCTCTCATAACCCCTCCATGCTAGGCGAAAGGGAAACACAGGTGTCAGGCCTCAAAACGCCTGGCTAGTTTGTCAGAGACAGCTGCAGCCAAGGTGCTAAATAAGCCCTGGTTATCAGGACTTTCAAGTCTAAAAGGAAAAACTGGTTTACAAAAAAAAAAAGGTGCAACTGTCCACTCAACATTGGCCCAAGGTGAGGCGGAGTTCTCTTAGACAACTGTCTTAAAATTCACTACATGAAGAAGCATTGTATCAGATTCTTTTCTCTTCCCAGGACTGGCAAAGAGAGCAATGGCCTATCAATACTTTGAAATTGCCACAATACCACCCTTATTTCACAGTTCATAGAGATTATAAGCCAACTATCAAAGGATACTATGATCCGCTATCTGGAGTAATTCACTCAATAAACAAAAGCTTCTACAACATGTCTGGCATGTTACGGAGGAGATAAAGAATTATAAAGGAAGAAGCTTGCTTACTGTAAGATAATTTTCAATCTGAGAAAATAAGGCAAACAAATATGAAATAACTAGTAACAGGCAACGCAGGAAGAACCCCAACTGCCAAGTTCAGACAGTAAAAAATCAAGGATTCCAAACCCTGAGATCCACTCCCTCAGCTGTAACTCAAAGACAGTTCCTTGGCCACATAAACACAGGCACTTTATATCCTTTCCTTTTTAATTAAGAGCTGATTTCAACACCAAAGCAAAGATCCATCAGAAAAGCACATCGGTATAAAGAGGGCGGAAGGAGGGTGGGGGGGAAGAAGGTAAGAAAAAATAACTACTGGGTACTAGGCTTAGTACCTGAGTGACAAAATAATCTGTACACCAAACCCCCATGACACGAGTTTACCTATAAACAAACCTGCACATGTGCCCCTGAACCTAAAGTAAAAGTTTTAAAATAATAAACTTAAAAAAAAAAGGAAGCCATAAAATAACAGGGATAAAAATTCTTTCTTTTGTAAACTAAGAAATGACACAGTTATCTCACAGTCAAATGCCCTTGCACCTAGTAGAGCCTTAAATATGGCTTTTGATTTGACCGAGTGACAAATACTTAATCCCTTTTTATCACTAGTTATCAATATTTGTGTTCAGGGAAAATGCAAAATAATATTTAGGAATAAACAAACCCTAGTTCACAGACTATTCAGAAGTCCTAAGACGTATGTCTTCTCTCACCTGGGCTGAGTCCAAGCAGCTCACCTATAAACAGTGCTTGTTTGGCAAAAAGTACAAGAACAGGACAACAGATACACACTCGGGGAAGAATTCATCTTTCTTTTGGTAAAATGTGCAATTACAAGCTCCTTACTAATTATGCAATCTGTTGACAAAGGGCATGCAATGTCACACCATTTGGTCCAGAGACTGTGAACTGGACTCCCCCTGACCACAGCACCCTCCGGCCAGCTAACCAGGCAGGACTCTCGGTTCAAGCAATAACAAGTAAGCAGGAGCAACAGAAACCTCAGTTACTCTGGGGTGGCATTCCAAAAGCCAGAATCAATTTCACAGCAAACAAAACTGAACACTTTCCCAGTTCAGAAGAGCTCATATAATGTACAGGCCATGTTTTGCTTTATAAAATACAGGAGCTCAAAAGCAAGTACAAAGTTATGCTGGACAATATTAGAAAGTATCTTTATTTATGCTACTATAGATTATGGCCAATGTGATGGTGGGTGCAGAGAAGCTTTACTAAAAACCAAATGGTTATGTTTTTAAGCCAAATTTCCAAAATAGTTATTTATTTTATATCTTTAGTGTCACAATAATATAAATCAGAATGTGATACCTCCATGTAACTGTTAATCAAATATACACCAAATTCTTTAGACTATTTATAAATTATAAAGTATATACCTTTGTAACCATAGAAAACTCTAACCAAAACATAAAATATTATTATTAAAATAATAAACACAAGAAAATAAAATCCAAATTTAGCCTGCATGTGAAATCTTTCATGAAACATCCTAAACCATTTTCTAGTCCTCCTCTATAAGAATTCCACTCAAGCTAAATTGGCAGATTTCTACATCCCATGCAAATTCCTTCTTCTGATCATTTATTATAGCCATTCCTTCTCCCCAATGTGCCCCTCCCTCAGATCTGCCCTTCTCCCTTTCTGGATTGTAAATTTCTGCCCAGCCCTGATTAAACTTTTCTGTATCCCTGACAGTATATAGCATTTATTCCCTTATGCATACAGATTTCAAGAGTTATTTGTTGATTTGAATAATCATTTCGACAAGTTTAGGGCAGACGAGGAGACTCTCAATTGTTAAGCTCACAAATAATTTTTTTTGTTTGAGATGGAGTCTTGCTCTGTTGCCCAGGCTGCAGCGTAGCGGCATGATCTCAGCTCACTGCAACCTCCACCTCCAGGGTTCAAGCGATTCTCCTGCCTCAGCCTCCCAAGTAGCTGGGATTACAGGCATGTGCCACCACGCCTGGCTAATTTTTGTATTTTTAGTAGAGACAGGATTTCACCATGCTAGCCAGGCTGGTCTCAAACTCCTGACCTCAGGCTACCAGCCCGCCTTAGCCTCCGTAAGTGCTAGGATTACAGGTATGAGTCACCATACCTGGCCACAAATAATTTACCTATTCAAAAAGATGTATTTTTTGAGCACTTACTATGTACAAGATATAATGCCAGGGACAATGAAGAATGAATGCAAAGATGGAACTGATGAAGACTGACTTTCAAGGAGCTCAGAATCTAGTGAGGAAAATAAGATCAACATCCAAGTCACCATAATCAATACAAGCTAGGCAATTACAAACACTTCGCTATGGATATGCTAAAGAACAGTAGGATTACTTAGCACTATGAGGGGCTGGGAAGCTATCAGAGAACTCTCGGAAGAAGAGGCAGCTGAGCTGAACAGGAAGGAGTAGACATGATGTCCTTAACAAGCATAAACAAAGGCAACAAGTGGGCAGAGTTCAGAAAGTTAATGGATGAAGCAAGGTGAAAATGACGCTTTAGAACATGTATATGATATAGAGAAAAAGAAACAAACGTGAAAGTCATTTGTAATATGAATGAAAGGTGGTTAAACATGGGAAACTGGGAGGTCATCACACTAAAGTCATGATATGTAGGAGGATTTATGAGGATAATTATGGTATCTGAGGAAAACTCATATATTGTAACGTTTTATGATGTCAATTTATAACTGAATAGTATTCAACACAGTAATGTCTACTTAATTAGAATTGACATGAGGCCGGGAGAGGTGGCTCATGCCTGTAATCCCAACACTTTGGGAGGCCGAAGCAGGCGGATCATGAAATCAAGAGATCAAGATCACCTGGTCAACATGGTGAAACCCCGTCTCTACTAAAAATATAAAAATTAGCTGGGCATGGTGGTGCACGCCTGTAGTCCCAGCTACTTGGGATGCTGAGGCAGGAGAATCGCTTGAACCTGAGAGGCGCAGATTGCAGTGAGCTGAGATCGCGCCACTGCACTCCAGCCTGATGACAGAGCAAGACTCTGTCTCAAAAAAAAAAAAGAATTGACATGAAAAGTTCAAATAACTTGTTAAATATTCTTCAATGTGTTACATGAATAAGGCATAAATTCCACCCCATCTTTAACATCTACATGACTGTATAATAAATGATCTTCATATGGGCAAGGTCCTGTCTTAAAACAGGGCAAGGTCCTGAAGGATTCTTCTGGAACATCTAAGAAATAAGATTTTGGGGGATAAAATTCAGGGAGATTATATTTTAGTGTGTAAACTGGCAGTGTGGTGTGTATATATAAAAAACAAATAGCACACACATGGTAAGTCAGGCAGAATTCATCAGATCATCATATTATTAACTGACCGTAAACTGGAAAACTCGCTGGTATTAAAAAAATAAACAACAAACAAACTCAACACAATTACAACTACAAGGAAACAAGCATGCTAACGATTTCAGAAACCACTGAGATTTCTTGGGGCAGGGAGAACCCTGATCCTTTCAAATTCAGACTACTTAGATATATCCATGCAGCTTACTCTGGCTCAATTACCATGTTCCTGGGCTCACAAACTTGCACAGTTCTTTTTCACCCTTGAAAATAAAAGCAGGAGGAATTATTTGTGGAGGGTCTTTTTGTTATTTGTGGAAAGATTCCTGTTGCCACCGGAAAACCAGGTATGAAAGTATCAATTAGGTAAGAAACCAGTGTTAATTTCAAGGAACCATCTAAGAAAAACAAATGCCTGATTTTAAGATGATTTGGTATTTTATTATAGAAGCCTTGGGATGGTAACAGAGGCAAAGGTATACAGAATTGCCTTATTTTAGCAGTGGGTTCACTTTGTGAGTTAAATCTATGAGTCCCACTGGACATTGCAACTTCTTGCTATTGCTTACTGATCTTGGAAAATGGAAATATCCTTCACAGTAGATTTATCAAAAGTACTGAGAGAATGAAAATTTCTTATTGAAGGCTCTAAAATAATTATAGGTATAAATGCAGTGTTTTATCAACAAAAGGCAAGGCTCACTTATAGGATCAGCATATCTAAAATCCCTGAGGAGCAAAGACTGCATCCATGGGGGATGTATTGATTAACGGGAAGGCAACGAAGTCTTTTGAAGACAACAAAGACATTTCTAACAAATTCCAAATAGATATCCCTTCCCTTGGGCTGGTAGCCTCAGCACAGACAGTCACACCCTGGGTGCAGGTCCAGTTCCTGCCTACAAGCTTTATGTAGGACAACTGCAGCATAAATTCAAACATGGGACAACACTCAGGTATACCAATCTTGTTTGGTATTACATCTCTTTAATATTTAGAGGATGAGCAATCACAGCATTTATTTTCACTCAGGGGAGAAGTGGGATGGTATTCTACTTCAACCAAGAAATAATGCTAGAGGATACTGGAAGTGTGCTTATTTTGTAAAAAGCTAAAATAATTTTAGGGTTTATTCCCCCAATCCTTTTTCAAGTGGTTTTAGAAGTTTCTGTTACTTTAACACAGTTGCAGGGAAATGCGTTGGAAAGGTTATTGGAAGTGACAGATGGACCTATTTTGAAATCAAATGAAGCCTGTGGTACTACTGAAAGAAAATCACAAAATTCAAAATTAAACCAGACAGAATAGTTTTAGGTTGTTTTCACTCTTTTTTCAATGTATTAAAAAGCAAGGCCACCACCTCTTTGAAATCCCCTATTTTGGCCAATTTATGATACTTACAAACTCTCTCCTTAACATAATGTGCTTCTCCAAATTTTAAACCTGAAAATATTTATTGCTGAACATCCAAATATGCCTTTCATTGATATCACTAAAAATACAAATCTGGTTTTTTATAGGTATAACTTTAGAGGTTTAAGAAAAAGACATTTATCAATAACTTATTATCTATTAAAAGTCTCATTTATGATGGGATGGAAAATGTATATTTCCAAACCCCCCTATGCACTCCAGACATGTCAAGAGGCTACTCGTGTTGTCACATTATTGTGAACACCTGGAACATTCAGCTGACTGCTCCAATGAAGAGTCGCACCTACCTTATTGTGCTCATACTTGTATGGGATCTTGAGTGTGTCCATGGCTCTGATCATGGCCTGCATGGCCGTGAAGATGTTCTGATACACCAGCTTGGTGAAGCCCCTTTTATCTTCATCAGAGTATCCTGACCCATGGATGATTCTCATCTGCTTGATAAACGTACTCTTGCCACTCTCTCCTGTCCCTGAAAGATGAACAATAGCAGCTCATCAGACCACAGTGCCATCTCAGTCTCTCAGATAACTAAACCAAATACCATGCCTTGGATTTAACATCCCCAGATAGCCTGCTGAGAGGAGCGACTCTAGAATTGGAAACACTACCTATGGTGAACATTTAGCAAAATTAGAGGGAGAGAGTCTATTTCAAAGGCAGATGACCTCAAACAACAACAATGAAAAACCCAAACCCGTCACCTCCTTGGAAACCACTCAGCACTGAATTTTGATAGTGATTTGTAACCATGTATCTTGCAAGAAACAATGGCAACAGCATCTTTTGAACATGATAAAACTTGATAAAGCTCTGTTCCCTGGAGAATATCTGAAACGCTTCCAGGACACTGGGTTGATTAGCCAGGATTTGGATCTGGAAATGACAGTGTACTTACACAAACGGTATTCAGACAGAGATAAGAAAAAAAGGTCTGAAAATTTCTAGACACGCTCCCTATTTTATTTTTTTTAGACACAGCGTCTTGCTCTGTAATGCAGGCTGGAACGCAGTGGTGTGATCATAGCTCACTACAGCCCTGAACTCCTGAGATAAAGAAATCCCATCTGAGTCTCTTGATCCTCCCACCTCAGCCTCCCCATAGCTGGAACTACAGGCATGCACTACGATGCCCAGCTAATTTTTTTTTTTTTTTAAATTTCTGTAGAGACAGGTTCTCACTAGATTGACTGGGCTGGCTGTGAACTCCTAGCCTCAAGGGGTGCACCAGCCTTGCCTTCCAACACCCAGCCCATTTTCTCCAATTTTAAAATGTGGCATAAGAACACAGTATCCTGATAGGACAAGAAGAATCATTTTTCTAGATAACACATATCCCCTGAATTTATTTCTGGTGGGAGGTTGGTTGACTGAGTTATTCCAAGGAATCACGTAATTCAGGAAAGCAACGGTGGTTCTTCCCTCTCCCGATTCTTGACTAGTAACATTATATAGAAATTTATTGTGATTAGCTTTTTTTCCTTCTGTGCTATCTCCTTTTTCACATCTTCAATATTACTTTTCCGTTACCATAAGCCTGAAGGTAACCCCTAACAGAGCTATATATGTCCCTGGGAAGAAGACAAGACAGAAAAATGGGATCACTTCACAAAATGACAGCATATTTCTCCTACAATGAATTCAAATCTAAAAGCTTCATTTTTCTAAATATGAGTGGTTATTTTCATGTGTCCTTTCTCAGGGCCTGTTTCTCACTCCCTCTCAAATTTCCTTGAGATCTCCAAAACAATAACTGTCTTTACCTTACCCCAAAAATGTGAAGAAAATAAAAGTGCCAATTTGGATATTAAAGACGGAATAATAGAATGAAACACAGAATGTCCCTATCATCAGGGTCCTTAATGCCATTTGCTCACTACAAAGCTGAGAAAAAGAAAGAAAGAAAGGGAAGGAAAAGAAGAGAGAGGGAAAGGAAGGAAAGAAGGAAGAGAGGGAGGGAAGGAAGGAGGGAGAAAAAAAATAAAAGCTAGTAATACGCCATCTGTCCTAAATTCATTTTGTTTTTCTGATGGTTGGATTTCATTACTATCTTTATAAACAATCACAAAATTTCAATTAAGTATTACAGTTTTCATAGAAGCCTCTTAAATGACTGCAGATGTCTTGGTAAATACATAGCCCTCACACAGTTACAATGAAAGGTATTTCTAGCCACAGAGTCCTGCAGTGGCTGATTCCTTTATAATAATTTTCCTATTACTTTTAGTAAAGTGATCTGGAACTCCTAGAAATATAAATTAACAGCTGTAATGTGAATGCTATCACCCCAGTTTAACAGGATTAATCCAAAAAGTTTAAAATGAGTATTTTATAATCCCAACCATGAATACTGGATAAAAGCATAAAGTGGTTGAAAACTACCATCTCTCTAGTAGAAATAAAGCTACAAAATTTTTTCTCATTATCAACCAACGATTTATAGAAACTAGTATTTTTACTCTCCCAAGCAATTAAAAGTATACAAGACAAAAAAAATCCCGATTGTTTCTTTATTATCACGATCCCAGAGCCAAAGGTTTGCTCTGAAGGCCCAAGTGTAAACAATCATTAATTCACAATAAAAAAAGAAGAAATCCTAATTTGTGAGGTTAATATCAGGCAACAGGACCTTTTTTCTCCTGGTCACCTGAGAAATTTTTATATACTTATCACTACCCTACGCCCCCACCAAAAAAGAGAAAGTATATGAAGTATAAGCACACTGGCATGTGTTTAAATGAAATCACGTTGGGCAAGAGCAGTCAACATTTGGCACTTCTTTGGATCTAGTCACCAAGCCCCTGGGCACTGTCCACACACTGGATATCACACTAATGTAGACTCCAAGTAGGGGCCAAACATGTGACTGATGAATGAATTAGGATAAATTAAGAGGAAAGAAAAAACAATAAAAGTATCAACTCTAAGATATTTTCCTGTTGGCCAGAAACACACCCAGGGATCCTTTCTCAACCATCTCATCTTGCTGGGTACCCCCAGGAGGCTGACCAATAGGGATTTCAACAGCTTTGTTATATTCTGTCTTCTGCTTGGGCTTAGCCAAGAGGAAACCAGAGAGCGGGACAAACAGGAAGGGGCATTTATTCTCCTAGCTTCCTCGCTGCAGTGGCAGCACAGGTGTGCTATGTTGCCTTCAAAAGGTCCCAGCTCCTGCTGGGTGGCCCTCTCCATACTGCTGCTCTCTCTGGGTCCCAACAACTGCTCCCTTGCCTTGTCCAGCTATTGCTTGGCCCCAGGTTACTGCACCAGCTCTTACAAGTTACTTACACCTGGTCCACTCCTCAATCCCCACACTGGAGTGTGCTGTTCGTTTCCTTCTGGAGCTCTGACTAGCACAAATACCAATCAAATGAAGGACAAGGAATACAAGGGAATGGAGGGCATCCTCTCTTTCTCCTCTGTCCTGTTCTCTATAAATCTTTTATTTATAAAGTGTTTTCTATTCAGTAACTCATTCTCATGACACACTTCTGGAAGCCAATCATGATAAAGAAACAGGTCTGGGCATGATTTTCACAATTATCCTAAATCCATGATAATTCACTTCTATTGCCCACAATTTAAAAATATCTCATCTGGGCTTTGACTACACCCAGTTTTTCTCCCTTTAAGCTAATTTTGAATTTCTGAATGTTATTTCAATTAAAGGGACCCATTTTGAATCTTGCTGCCATCTTCCAATTGACCAGCCCTAAATTCCAGGTAAATTTCACTCAAGAACTTAATGTTCACATTTTCATTTTATTATACAAATGTTGTGAATTCAAAGTGAAGGCAAAGTTTCACGTAAGAAAAATCTGTATGATGCAAATATTGTAGGCAGAATAATAAAAGTAGGAAATTAAGGTATTATTTGGCACTAGAACAGAATTCAGCCAAAAAACCAGAGTCATACATTGGTATCCACAAGGGATTGGTTCCAGGATTTCCCTCTTTGGACACCAAAACCCAAGGATGCTCAAGTACCTGATATAAAATGGTATAATATTTGCATATAACCTATACACATCCCCCAAATACTTTAAAACATCTCTAAATTATAATACCTAATACAATGTAAATGCTATGTAAATAGTTGTCATACTGTATTGTCATTTGTATTATTTTTACTGTTGTATTGTTTTTATGGCTTTTAAAAAATATTTTCTATCCAATGTTGGTTGAATCCATGGATATGGAACCCGCGAATAGGGAAGGCCAAATGCATATGGACTAAAACATCAACAAAGAAAAAAACTCAGCTTCTTTGTTCCATACAGTTCTATGACAGAGACAAATGAATTATTTCTAACAAATGTGTAAGCCAAATTTCATGTGTCATTCTCCTATTTTTATAGAATTATACCATACTCTCTGAGTTTGAAATGGCCATTTTAACAATCTAGTCCTGATTAGTATGAAAAATTTTGGTATAATAAAAAAACAGCTGTTCCCAAATTACATAAAATTATGTTGTTTCCTAAGGCCACATGAAAATGAAAACTGTAAGAGACTTCACAATTCTCTATCTCTGAATGAAAAAAAGCAGACTTTTCTACTAGTAGATTATTTCAAGAATGCAGTGATGACTAATGTCTTTTCACAGCATAGGGCAATGAAAAGCACAAATAACTCTGACCAATCTAAAGAAATATGACTCTGCTTCCAAGACCACTGGTACTATAAAATCTGGTGACAAGCCCTTACATAAAATATCTAGGGGAGGGATAAGGATCTCATTTTTGCTAATTTAAATATATCTCCAATCAAGTCATTTAATAACTTTAACAAGCAAATGAACACACACAAGGGTGTGAGTCCCAGAAAAAACCCTGCTCTTTCAATGGCCTATATAAATATGACTTGAAAATATCCCCATAAAAGTTATTTGTACCTTCAGGCAAGTACTCTGCCTTTTCTTATCTCAGCTCATCTAAATACCCAGAAATGAGATTACCCAGAAATGAGACTATTTAAGAACCATGCTATGAGAAGGCCACTTCATCCAGTGTGCGTAATTGGCTATAAGGAATACTAATTTTTCTTCCCTATTCGCTAGATCAGGATAAAGCACAGAGAGCAATCTCCAGTTCATTCACATCTCCTTCCATCAGAACAAACATCAAACACAAACTCAATATACTATGATACAGTGCATCAATTTGTAAGCTGTTAGAATACATCACATTAGACACACACTCTCACACAATCTGATGCTTCCATTTTAGGCCTTTTCTTCCCCCCAAGATCTTTTCAACACAACAGGATTCCCACATACAAGTTCTGCCAAAAATCTGTATTTACTCTATGTGTCTGATTCACATAAGCCATATATATGTTTACAATGATTATTTTGCCTATTTGCATGATATAGTCTGCAAATAGTAAAATGACCATTTTAAATCCAATCATATGTACCTTCTTAATGGTAATAAATTAGCATTTATTGTTGAAAGCAATCGTGGACTCATTGGTTCCTTCTCTCACTTAAACTGGCTTCTTGGGCTATTATGTTATCAAAAGAGCTGCCAAGGCCAAACCACATATACAGAAGCATTGCTCAATGCTTAAAAAATGTCAGTTATTACTGCCACTGCTCCGAAGGATGGTGGTGCCCATTTCCATACAAGGGCTCTGGAAAACAATCACTGAATACTACCAGGAACTTCAAGGGTCTACATGGTTTATCATCTTTACTCTGAAGAAAAAAAAGGGGGTGGGGGCAGAAAACACACCTTACCAGGGCCTCTCACAGACTGAGGGAAGCCCATACCACTTCTACTTTTTTTTTTCAAGGGTCTCTGTTATGCCAAAACAGTTACCAAAACTGTGGCATTTAAAGTTACACAATGAATATATTTATTTCACACTGCCAGGGCCTTTCATGACTGTATCTGGAGATATTGTCAAACTATCAGAAGTCTAATCTGAAGATCTTAATGAATGGGAAGGCTCAGGACGAATGCCCCCACCCCACTCTCTTAATTGGTCAGCACCCAGATAAACAACAGCCAAGAACAAAACCCAAGACTCATGGAGCTGAATTATAGAGTAACTGTACTTCAGGTCCACTGGTTTAAGCTAGGAGTTTGAAACATGAAATCTCAGCACCACCTCATCTGAACTTGGGCTACTTTCACATACACTTGGATGAAGTAGAACTAGAAATTTTAAGGAGAAATTTTCTACCAATAAGCACATCATCAATCCACACCTGCAAAGAAAAAAGTATTCAATAACACTGAGTCAAAACTCAATCCATGTGTTGTCCACATTCCAGGCTATATCTACTTTAAAATATGTGTATTCTGTTTTCTGCACATTTTCCTCTACTTAGATTAAAATCCTGCATTTGAAACACAGCAGCTCTAAGACCAAAGTTGCCATAACTTCCCGTCTTTTCATGACTGTCTGTTGAGGGCAAGAGTTGAATACAATTAACCATTTGTCCCCAGCATGGTCGTGCAGAAGATCCCAGACAATTTTTAAAATTTAACACAGAACAGAACTGAATTTAGTATAACCAACTACAAGTGGAAACTGGACATGTAATTTAGTGGTAACCAGGACTATTAATAATAACTAATCCAGTTAAGTTGTTTTAAAGGAAAAGACAGGCAAAACACATTGAAAATTCATTCACTGAAAGTATTAGAAGGTCATGTCAGTCCTGGACTTCTCAGTGTGGTAAAATCCTCCCAGAAGAGTCACTTGATCATACAAGGTTATTCAAAGGTACAAGAGCATTTTCTTGGAGTGCCCGTAGTAAACATTTGTGTATTAAAAACTAACATCAGTTGGTTGCAGAACTTCCTGAATATACTAAAAAACATAAATTTGTACACTTTAAAATGGTAAATTTTAGGTCCGGCATGGTGGCTCACACCTGTAATCCCAGCACTTTGGGAGGCCAAGGTGGGCAGATCACTTGAGGTCAGGAGTTCGAGACCAGCCTGGCCAACATGGTGAAACCCCGTCTCTACTAAAAATACAAAAATTAGCTAGACGTAGTGAGGCGCCTATAATCTCAGCTACTCAGGAGGCTGAGGCAGGAGAATCACTTGAACCAGGGAGGCGGACATCACAGTGAGCTGAGATCGCATCATTGCACTTCATCCTGGGCAAGAGTGAGACTCTGTCTCTAAATAAATAAATAAAAATAAAATGGTAAATTATGGTATATAAATATCTCAATTTAAAAATTTTTTTAAACTAGCATCAGTATAATTTGGAGAACAGGAAGTTTATGTGAATTTTCATGCTAAAACTTGTTCAGCAAGTTACTTTGAGCCAATCTGCTCAACTTATTCCTATTCTTTCCCCTAAGAGTACATGTTCACTCTCTCTGCCTCTGGATGTATTTTGGAGAAAAGGTGTGAGAAGCCCTGAACCCATTGATTTCATTAAGGAGGGAACCAACTCATTCAAAGATTCTGCTGGTTGACAGCTAATGAGGGAGAAGGTAAGACTGGAACCTACCAAGGTCTCTTATCTGTCCAGAGCTCCTGATCTTGTGTCCTCATACACTAAACATTTTTTCTATTAATAAAACTTACAAATATTTGTTATAGAAAATTATTTTAAAACTTGAACATTTTGATATATTTCTTTCCAGTCTTTTTTTTCTAGGTAAATGTACTTTTTCCTGTTCTTGTTCTAAAATAAAACTGCAACAGGCTGGGTGCGGTGGCTCATGCCTGTAATCCCAGCACTGTGGGACGCCGAGGTGGGTGGAACATTTGAGGTCAGGTGTTCAAGACCAGCCTGGGCCACATGGTGAAACCCTGTCTCTACTAAAAATACAAAAAAAAATTAGCCCGGTGTGGTGATGTGCGCCTGTAGTTCCTTCGGGAGGCTGAGATGGAAGAATCAATTGAACCCAAGAGGCGAAAGCTGCAGTGAACAGAGATCACATCACTGCACTCTGGCCTGGGCGACAAAGCAAGACCCTGTCACACACACAAAAATTTTTTTTTAAAACCTGCAACAATACTTTATTGTTATTTTTCGCTTAACATACTATGACAATTATTCTCTGATACTAATTATTCTTCAGAAATGGTTAATAATGATTATCTGAAAAACAACATAAAGATGTGTGATAATTTAAAAATTACCCTGTCATAACACATTTTGAGCAATTCTAATTTTTTGCTTTTGTAAATAATGCTCTGATAAACACCCCTGAACAAAAATCTCTGCCTGAATCTCCATTTCCTTAGGAGAGTATCATAGAAATGTGATTAGACCAAGGATGTAATCTTTGTGCAGGATCTGGCAGTCCTGTAACTGTACCAGCTGACACATCCACAGACCCATCCCCCACCTCACTTTTGAAAAGACTATATTTTTTAACCCCTACAAATTTGAGAGACTGAACTAAATTTAATTTACATCTTTTGAGAAGAAACATGCTTCATACTTTTCTTGTCCATTTCTATTTCTTCTATGAACTTGCCCTTTCATTTTAATTATTTAAGGACTTGCTGTTTTTCCTACTCGTTTTTTAAAACAATGTAGTTTTTAAACACAAAATTAATGCTCATTTACAAATATTTCCCCAATTTGTCATTTTATTTTCATTTGTTGACAAAACTGATGCATAAATTTGCACTATGAAAGAAACGATTACAGTCATTCATATAAGCTTTCCTTTAGTGATTTCTTTCATTTATGTCTTTAAAAAGGCTCAAACATATATATTTTATTCTAGGTTTCAAAGTTTTACCTTTTACAATTAACTAACAAAATAAACATACATATTTTGATGTGTGGTGTGCAGTGATTTTTTTACTAAAAAACTTTTTCTCAAAGTCATTACATACTTTAAGGTCACAGGGTCTCAGGAGTGTTTGGCCTCAATAGGAAATTTTTTCATATCCTCTAATGTGCTGCTAAATGGTGATCAAAAAAATATATGAAGCATATTAAGTGTCCTAAAGCAGCAGTCCCAACCCCCAGGACCACAGCCCAGCACCAGTCACTGGACTGTTAGGAACCGGGCCGCACAGCAAGAGAGTGGCAGGCATTACTGCCTGAGCTATGCCCTCCTGTGCATTAGATTCTCATAGAAGCATGAACCCTACTGGGAACTGTGCATGCGAAGGATCTAGGTTACATGTTCCTTGTAAGAATTTAATGCCTGATGATTTGAGGTGGAACAGTCTTATCCCGAAACCAACCCCCCGACCCGACCCCCATCCCTGGAAAAATTGCCCAAAAAACTGGTCTCTGTTGCCAAAATGGGAACAAAATGGGAAGAGGGAACAGAATGAATGTCATTGAGATGCTTGTAGGACAGCGGTCCCTGTCCTACAAGCATCTCAATGACATTCATTCTGTTCCCTCTTTTTCTCTTCCTTACACAACCAGCAGGTCCGCATTTCCATCCCTAAGCATTAGACTTTTGCTCACTGCCAATTTATTTAAAGAACTCTCACTGGGTGCGGTGGCTCACGCCTATAATCCCAGCACTTTGGGAGGCCGAGGCGGGCAGATCACGAGGTCAGGAGATCGAGACCATCCTGGTTAACACAGTGAAACCCCATCTCTACCAAAAATACAAAAATTAGCCAGGCATGGTGGCAAGCACCTGTGGTCCCAGCTACTCAGGAGGCTGAGGCAGGAGGATGGCGTGAGCCCCGGAGACGTAGTATACAGTGAGCCGAGATCATGCCACTGCACTCCAGCCTGGGTGACAGAGCGAGTGAGACTCTGTCTCAAAAAAAAAAAAAGAACTCTCAAGAACAGTAGTGAAAATATTCCAGGAAGTTAAAGACTCTAATCTCTCTTCCACTTTATACATCTATTCCTACCTACATATTATGCATATGCTACCTATTCCAGTTCCTCCTCTTAATAGCCCTGTGGCCTTGGGTAAATTACCTGTCCTCTCTAAGCCTGCTTCTTCATCTGCAAATACCACCACCTAGTTTACAGCTCTGCTCTGAGTTTTCAATTAGTTAATCCAAGTAAAGCAGTACCTGGTAGGAAATAGACAATAAATGTTAGCTATAATTTACAATGCAAAATCAAGTGCAAAAATGAGAGAGTAGTCTGATAAAAGGCTACAGGGCAGGGTTGGGTGGGGGGACAACAAAACCTCAGTAGTCAAGAGAAATAATATTTTAATGCAATACTTTTAAAAGTCAAAATTAATACCCAAAATTCACAAAGAATAAAATAAAGACAGGATCATTAACAGAACTATGTTGCACCATATTGGCACCTAAGAAGCTGCCTTTGGTTTTGATCCAGTGGCAAGTGCTTTTATTCACCTTATCTAGTCTCAGCCCTGACTCAAATTCTCCATTCCCAAAATAACTGAGATAACCATCACCAGCATTTCAGTATTTAAATTCATAGTGTTTGGAGATTTTTAGCTTGAATTGTTTATTCTTAATTTTATTGGATATAGATTGCATATCAGACATTCTTCCAGTATCAAGGATGCAGGACACAGTCATTACTGTCACAAAGGTAACATGCAAGTGTGAGCAGATGATTTATTGATAGATGAATAATAAAATATCTAATGGAGATGAGTGCTATGCGCTAAAGAATTAAACGACAATGAAATACAGAGTGACCTGACTGCTGCTTTGAGATACCCTCTTAAGAAGGTACATTAAAACTAATATTCAAGAACCCGCAACAAGAAAATTAGAAGGAAACAGCATTCCAAGCAGTTGACCAGCTGACTTGGAGGCTGAGGTGGGAACATATTTAGCTGGCATGTTGCAGGTACAAGAGGGTCAGTGTGGTTGTGGCACAGCAGCTGGATGGCAGAGGTAGGAGGCACGGCAGGAGCACAGGCTACAGTTGCAATGGCCAAGTCACCTGGAGCATTATATTTTAGGAAACAAGTTGGATTTTATTCTAAGTGCACTGGACAGCCTTGGAAAGTCTGAACCAGTGAAGTAACAGGCCTTGATTTATGCTAGGTAAAGAATGGATGACTGTTAAGAACAAATTAGTAGGGTATTCCAACAATCAAAACAAAAAAAAATCCTAAAAAAGTCTGTGTGGGGCTGACAAGGGGAGGGATAGTTTGGAGATGGATGAAGTGAAAAAGGGAGGAGATGACATAGGGAGAACTCGTTGATTTCTGGCTTGATGGATGGAGGCACTAGATTCTTAGAGAAGCCTGAAGAGGAAAGAGTTTGCAAAGAGAGGAGGTTAAGTTTGAAATGTGTATTCATCCCAATGAAAAGCACTCTCGTACACCTAGAAAGTTCACTGCATCGACATGGAGACTACCCACGGAGGATGAAACAGAGGATGCGATTTGTGTCCTACATTCTCTGGGCCTCAAAGGCAAGGACACAGACATGACTGACCGTCTTCTGCTAATGTGTGAGTCAGAGCAGGCTGCAAAACCTGATTTGCAATTTCACTTCCTATGAGATAAATCTCCTTAGCTAAAGAAAAGGTAAGAAACTTGTTGGTCTCTAAGTTCCACACACAGACACACAAACACACACACACACATTTATAAAGTGGCATCATCTGGCCAGGAGCGGCGGCTCATGCCTATAATCCCAGCACTTTGGGAGGTCAAGGTGGGTGAATTGCTTGAGACCAGCCCATGTTGAAACCCCATCTCTACTAAAAATACAAAAATTAGCCAGACGGGGTGGTGCACGCCTGTGGTCCCAGACACTCGGGAGGCTGAGGTGGGAGGATCACTTGAGCCCAGGAGGCAGAGGTTGCAGTGACCTGAGATTGTACCACTGCACTCCTGGGTGACAGAGTACGACCCTGTCTCAAAAAAAAAAAGTGGCACCATTGATACATGCACACTTCTTTTAGAGAAAACCGGGACTTCCCTGAACATTATTTGGGAAGCAGAAAGATATAAAAATATAAAGTCATAATAATAACAGATTTTAAGCAGCGAGGACCCTTCAAACTTAATACACCACCCACAGAATTTAACATTTTTTTTCCAGATAATAAAAAACGTGACACACGCAATCCAGATTATTAGGTCACACATAAAGATAAATTGCACACTTTAAAAATGCAGCGGCTGGGAAATTATGGGACGCTCTTTTGAAAAGCACTCTGAATTTCCTTATTAACCCTGCAAATACTTCCTCAGGATAGAACAGCTCATGTGGCCCTCCTCAAAAGAGAACAACAAATTACATTTATAACAGAGGAAAAGGCCTAAGATGGATTTGAAATGCCATTTTCCACCTTATTGCATATTCATCAAGAGATCAGCTACAGGCAGAGGTGCGGCACAGAAAGAACATCAGCTGAAGTCAGGGGCCCTCCCAGCCCGCCCACAGGAGACAACGATCCGCACATAGCCACTTGGCCAATGAGAGCTGAGGATGAGCGAATTGGCCTGGATGACCTCAAGGGTTCTCTCCAGCGTTGGATTTTATGATCATTTTCCCTCTCTCTATATTGTTAAACAGCATTAACAACTATTAAATTTCTCACGAGAACGTCACCTAGTATTTAGTATATATTCAAATAATAATTCAAATAAGTTGACTAAAAACTACAGTAGTCTTCTTTCAAGGTTAATATGTCAAGTTTTTTTTTTGCTTTTACTCACGTGGCTCTTCACTTTGAGCCTCTAAAAATAATTATCTTTCAAGGTAGGGGAATTAAGGTGCTAGAGGGAGCCAGCCAAGTACTGCCCCAGTTAAGAGAAGCAATGATCTAGGAAGTCTCAAAAAATACGCAGATTTTCAGATTGCAGAACATGGCATGCTTTCTGGGCTAATATTATCCCAGTAATTTCAAATAATGACATTGAGAATACTAAGAAGGACTTATATATGTTCCAAGTGTGCCTAATACGCATACAACCACAAAAGGATCTGGAAGACAGAAAGTATCATGGAAAACAAAAGTTACTGAATCTGCACATGCAGAGCAGTTACTGACCTTTAAGGACTTTTAGAAGTCCACTGTTCATGTGGCATCTAATAGTCAGTTAAAAGGAAAATTAGGGCCGGGTGCGGTGGCTCACGCCTGTAATCCCAGCACTTTGGGAGGCTGAGGTGGGTGGATCATGAGGTCAAGAGTTCAAGACCAGCCTGATCAACATGGTGGAACCCCGTCAATACTAAAAATACAAAAATTAGCAGGGTATGGTGGTGTGGGCCTGTAGTCCTAGCTACTCTGGAGGCTGAGGCAGGAGAATCACTTGAACCCTGGAGGCAGAGGTTGCAGTGAGCCAAGATTGCACCACTGCCCTCCAACCTGGACGACAGAGTGAGATGCTGTCTCAAAAAAATAAGAAAATTATACCCAAAGAAATACTTCCCTTTTCTTAAAGGAAGAAAAAGAGCATGATTAGAACACACATGTACAAGCAAGCCAAACCTCTGCATTGTTCACATTTTAAAGTTTAAAATTCTCTCTTGGGGGGAAATGTTGATGTTGATCAAAAACCATAGTACCTGCTGGGGGGTCTCATTATTGGCATTAAACCACCCAGCAAGGACTCTTGAAAGTATCATTTCCAAATGGCTATTTGGGAGAATCCAACTACGTCATAAAGAGATGCATTAGGAAATCAGTTGGGTTCTCACTTCTCCTAAAACAAAAAATTTTTTAAGATTCAGCTTTTGTAAAAAGCCAATACATTTGCCATTGGAGATAGGAAGTTGCCCCTTGGTAGCGAATGCTCAGAGAACTTCGAAGATAGGTACATGAAATGTCCCTGTTCTTTTAGGTTATAATTACTCCAAAGCAGTCCAAAGATGCTTCTTGTGTGTTCCACATGTGCTGTCCAAAAGACAGGCGCAACATCTGGTACCACCAATTTTGATGTCAAGACGATTTCACCAGCCAGTTAAAAAAGGTACCCTATGGGCTGTTTCATTAATTTAAATTTTGTCCTCTAATTTATTTCACCTGATTGCCCTATGTTCCTCCAGTATTCAATCCAGTGACAGGAACAGACGTGCAACAAAATGGTAACAGAGCAGGAGTCTCTCTTCCCATCTTTCCCCTTCAGTTTCTTCAGAAACAGCAATAGTCAACCTAAGCCTAAAATAAATAAATGCGGGTTTCCTTACTACTAAGTAAATTGCACATGGAAATATGCCTTCTTCCTGCAAAGGGAAGGATCTCTTTGCTCGGAAGTATCACACCTTGAAATGTATAACAAGCAGGCAGGAAATAAGAAAGGACACTCTTACAACCAGAATTACTCCTTGAGAAAGTAAAGTTAAAGAAAGTACATCGGTGCATTTTATTAATGTTTAGTAAAGCCTGCACATATGATGACTTCCTACCATTTGCCTGAAAAACGAGGAAGTGAAACCAATTTGCCTCTTAATTTAAATTGAGCCTCTCCTCTTGTTCTACAACCCATGAAGTGATCCAAGAAGCAAAAACTAGAGTTAAAGGGGAAGAGATATCATAACCCAAGATATAATGTATGGCTCTTGGATTAGTTCTTGGTTTAGGCCTCATGACCCAACAAATGCTGTCTGAATTATAGCAGTATATACTCAGACCTTATTTTTAATACACCGACCCAATAATACATAAAAATAACATTGGAGGAAGCATAATAAACATGGTTTTAGTCTTTAAAAAAACGATCAGAAACCAACTGTCTTATATGCAACCTTCCCCCTGAAATGTTTCATCATAGAAAAGATAAAAAAGTCATTAAGGCATCTAGTGAAAACAGTGCCTCACATAGACTGTACTTGCTTACTTGAACCAGTAAGGAAGTTAACAGAAATTAAACCAACTAAATGCAAAATACTTTAACAAATCAAAAAAAGAAAATATTGAATCACTAGGCATCACTAAGTTGGGTGATATTTCCAGGGGTTTGTGAAATCACACCCATACCCCCGCACTCACACCACACATGAGTTGGGGCAGGGCTTCAAAAACCAAAAGCTGTAGCCTAACGCTGACCCTAGAATGATTCCTTTCTTGTCCTGTTGTGTACTTAAGGCTCTCCCAAGTATACTCACCATCAACTTTTTTTTAGAGCCTGTCAATATACTACATATTAAATGAATGACTGCTACAATATTCTAGATCTTCCACAAACTAGAGTTGAGAATATAGAGGTGGGAAAATTTCCAATGATGAAGTATTCTTCTTTCTTTTCCATATATTCTTCTTAATAAATATTACTGCTGAGGCAATTAAGTCATTACTTATTGCTTGTTTTGTACTATAACAGGTGCCACAGGAATTTTATAAAGTACAGGTAATTAATTTTTTTCTAAATAACGGCTTTGTTGATATCACATATATACCCTACAACTCAGCCATTTAAAATGTAGAGTTCTGGCCAGACGTGGTGCCTCACACCTATAATCCCAGCACTTTGGGAGGCCAAAGGGGCAGATCACTTGAGGTCGAGTTCGACACCAGCCTGGCCAACATAGTGAAATCCTGTCTCTACTAAAAATACAAAAATTATCTGAGTGGTGGTGCATGTCTGTAATCCCAGCTACTTGGGAGGCTGAGGCAGGAGAATTGCTTGAACCCAGGATGAGGAGGTTGCAGTGAGCCAAGATCGCACCACTGCATTCCAGCCTGGGAGACAGAGAAAGACTACATCTCAAAATAAATAAATAAATAAATAAAATGTAGAGTTCAATGATTTTTAATATATACACAGATATGTGCAAGCATCATCACAATCCATTTTAGAACGTTTCCATTTGGGTAATGAGACTTTTAAGGAGTTGTCAAATACCTAACTACTCAAAACATCACACTACTTAGAAAAGCTTGGCCGGGCACAGTGGCTCACGCCTGTAATCCCAGCACTTTGGGAGGCCAAGGCAGGCGGATCACCAGAGGTCAGGAGTTCGAAATCAGTCTGACCAACATGGTGAAACCCTGTCTCTACTAAAAATACAAAATCAGCCAGGCGTGGTGGGGCATGCCTGTAGTCCCAGCTACTCGGGAGGCTGAGGCAGGAGAATCCTTTGAACCTGGGAGGCGGAGGTTGCGGTGAGCTGAGATTGCACCATTGCACTCCAGTCTGGGCAACAAGAGTGAAACTCTGTCTCAAAATAAATAAATAAATAAAATTTAAAAAAAGATAGAAGAGCTTGCTGCTAAATGCATTCCTTCTTGTTTTGGCTTTCAAGTACAGTTGTCCCTTGGTATCAAGGGGATTGTTTCCAGGACAACCCTCACCCCTCCACCGATACCAAAATCTGCAGATGCTTAGGGGCCCCATATATAAAATGGTATAGCATCTGCATACAAACTACACACATCCTCCTGTATACTTTAAATGATCTCTACATTACTTATAATACCTGATACAATGTAAATGCTATGTTAATAGTTGTTATACTGTATTGTTATTTAGGTTATTTTTATTGTTACTTATTTTTAAGTATTTTGCATCTGAGATTGGTTGAATCCACACAGCCTATGGATTCAGAAGATCAACTATATATATTTATATGTGGGCTCTGATGTAACCGCTTTGTTCTTTCTCTATGTAACACATGACAGAGTTTGGATCAGATCCAACAGCCTATGAGATGCTATTGAAAAGTTCTGAGCAGGTAAGAACTTCATCATAGGACTCATGAAGAAGACACTGGCATGGCACAAACAGTTCAATTTTACAGGGAAGAAACACAACAAATAAATGGGACCAAAGAAAGCTACCGCAAGGCCCACACAGGAGGTAAGTGCCTGAAATTGTGTGGTGAAAATGGGCAAGAAGGAAGGACTTAATATTGAAAAGATAGAACAGGCAGGTTGTGGCTGTAGTCTGTGCTGCAGTGAGAGAAAGAGGAGACCAAGAAAGAAGCACGGCTTGAACCTGGGAATCCGAGAAAATGGGAGCACCTTTAGCACTACTGGAAGGTCCAGAAGGAAAACTGGTGAAGTGTGAAGCTGATAGGCCACTTTTAGCTGTGTTACGTTGTCAAACGCATTTTCAGGGCATACAGGCTAGAAGCGCGATTCTGGAAAGCTTCTTCCTGGGGCTTTGGAAGGGAAACGCTGCTAAGTATGCACAACTGAATATTCAAAGCAGGAGACAAAATCATCTGGATACTGGTTGATGGAAGGTTTTAGATGTGGTGGGAGGACCAGTGGAACTAGGCAGATGGGACTGACAGGGCCCCCTGCCCCTCTGCAATGTAGCAAATGGCTGCATGAAGGAGGAGAGGGCAGCCTTGAGGGTTCTCTGGGTGTGAGGGTCTGCCCAGGCTGACCTGGGAGAGACACCAGTACAAATCAAGTTTATCCCACCTTCCAGTGTCACTTCTTTCCCACTGTTCTCCTATATCAGGTGTGTCCCCATGACCTTCCTAAGGATATGGAATGAGGGGCAAGGAAGGTTCTAGAAATGTTGAATAAATACACACATTTACAGTCTTTTATAGCAATGGCCATGAAACTCTACCTCAGAGCCTCCACTGGGCCAAAAGTAAATTTCCAAATTCTATTAATGCATGCAACGGCTACGCATGAGTCATGTGCCTTCAGTTTGATAAGAAAATTCTGATCCTGCAGCATGAAGAACTAAATATGTTTACTCAAACCTCACTAGGAATATTTTAGTCACCTTATTGAAAACTCATTTATTTTTACTAAAACTGAAGAGTACAGTTGATGTCCCAACCTATTGCTGACTATAAACTCATAAATTTCACCACCTTGAGATAGTATAAAGCATGAATAATTCTAAAATACTAAATAAGTTCCCCCCTTTTCTCTCCCAATTCATCTCCAGAAATGAATAATACAGAAAGCAAAGAAAAAAACAGAAAAAATCCAAACCACAAGTCAATAGCCATAACAGATAATCAACTGGGTGAAAAAACTCATTCTGGAATTTTGATTTCAACCTAATTTTAGAGTAGGTAATTATTCTGTCCAACAAGAATTAGCAAGAATCAAACAGATAATGCCATATAGAGAATATTTTATAATCATAATATGTTGGGTGTTTTGAAACATGGCCATTGAACTCTTTTGCATATTAAGAATATAAGACTGTGTGGCAAGCCTGATTTCTGCACCCTCCCCTTTTAAACCAAATCCAAGAAAGTAGTTCTGATTGGGTTACCTCACAGTTATGTACTCGCTGATGTCCTGACACTTAATGATTAGGGTGATCATATAATTTATCATCCTAAAACAATAATTTCTAAGAGTAAAAGGGGTACTATTAAAAATTATACTAGACAATATGTGTAAACCACAATAGTCCTAGGCAAACTGGGACATACATATGATCCTATTAAAAGTATTCTGGAATAGAAGAAGGTTGTAAAAGAGCATCTAAAAAGCTGAAGAGAAGTTATAAAGGTGAAGAACATAGGGCATGGAAAAAATCTGAATATTAGCAGTAGTACACAGTCCTAATATCCCTTATAGTGCATATTACAGATTATAAAAAGTGTATGAACTCCCATAACAAACAATCCTTTAAAAATAGGACCTAGGTTGTGCACAGCGGCTCACACCTGTAGTCCCAGCACTTTTAGGAGGCCAAAGCGAGTGGACTGCCTAAGCTCAGGAGTTTGAGATCAGCTTGGGCAACACGGCAAAGCCCCATCTCTACAAAGAAATACAAAAATTAGCTGGGCATGGTGGGCACCTGTGGTCCTAGCTACTTGGAAGGCTGAGGGGAGAGGATCACTTGAGCCTGGGAGGTCAAGGCTGCAGTGAGCAGAGATCACACCACTGCACTCCAG
Organism: Homo sapiens; assembly: GCF_000001405.40. NCBI lineage: Eukaryota > Metazoa > Chordata > Mammalia > Primates > Hominidae > Homo > Homo sapiens. The sequence goes on from NC_000009.12 coordinate 77,940,551, forward strand.
CCTGAGCGACAGAGACCCTGTCTCTTAAAAAAGAAAAATTAAATTAAATTTTAAAAAGAATCTAACACATTGGGAGAAAGTATCTGCAAAATACTACAAAGAGTTAATAGTGATGTATTTTAAAATTTGCAAGTCGGCTGCGCGCGGTGGCTCACGCCTGTAATCCCAGCACTTTGGGAGGCCGAGGCAGGCGGATCACGAGGTCAGGAGATCGAGACCATCCTGGCTAACACGGTGAAACCCCATCTCTACTAAAAATACAAAAAATTAGCCGGGCGTGGTGGCAGACGCCTGTAGTCCCAGCTACTTGGGAGACTGAGGCAGGAGAATGGCGTGAACCCAGGAGGAGCTTGCAGTGAGCCGAGATCACACCACTGCACTCCAGCCTGGGCGACAGAGCGAGACTCCGTCTCAAAAAAAAAAAAATTTGCAAGTCATTTTTTTAAATCTCCCAATAAAGAAAAGGGCAATTGGAAAAAAAAGTAACAACTAAAAAATAATTTAGCTTCACAAGTATTAAAAGAATTAACAAATTCAAATGGCAATGACATAATATTTTTCAAGTATTAAATTGGCAAAGATGTTTTTAAATGCTCATATTTAGGATTTGGAAATCTAAGGCAAAATTGGAATTCTATACACCAATGTGAGAAATACAAACAGCCACAAAGCTTTCTAAAAAAACTCAACAATAGCTACCATATCTTTTTTTTTTTTGAGACAGAGTCTCGCTCTGTCACCCAGGCTGGAGTGCAGTGGCGCAATCTTGGCTCAGTACAAGCTCCGCCTCCTGGGTTCACGCCATTCTCCTGCCTCAGCCTCCCAAGTAGCTGGGACTACAGGCACCCACCACCACACCTGGCTAATTTTTTGTATTTTTAGTAGAGACGGGGTTTCACCATGTTAGCCAGGATGGTCTCGATCTCCTGACCTCATGATCCGCCTGCCTCGGCCTCCCAAAGTGCTGGGATTACAGGCGTGAGCCACCATGCCTGGCCAATAGGTACCATATCTTAAAATATTGTATACGTTTCTGCTCTAGTGATTCCACTTTTAGCAACTTTCCCCAAGGAAATGCTCATGTATGTTGCAAATATTAGCTATTGGATGTGTATTCACAGTTGATTAAAAGCATCAAAAAATCAAAACCTAAACATTCAACGATAAGGAATGGGTAAAATAAATAACAGTCCATCCATATGATGAGAGACTACGCAACTAGGAGAAACAATGTTTTATTACGTTTAACTAAATAAAACTGTTGACAATATATTGCCAAATGGAAAGAGTGGACTGCAAATTCATATGTAAACCTCATACCAGTTCTCGAAAATGTGCACTTACATACAACATACATACACACACACACACACACACACACACACACACACACACACAGAGTATTATATAGAAAGAGGTAGGGTAGAAAAATCTATAATAAAGTGTTGAAAGTGATTATCTCTGGGTGGTAGGATGAGTAACTTCTCTTTTTCCTATTGCTAACTTGTATTTTCCCAATTTAACAAATTAAAATGGTATATTTTGTAAAAATAAAACAGTTGTTAAGAAACTGGGAGAAAAAAAAGGTCTATCCCCTTACAAGGACTTTACTTCAAAGATGTAACAGAACTGGTAACAGAGTTAAAAGATCATGTTCTTTAAGTCAGAAGATGTGGAAGGTGAGGTAGTTTGGGGCTGTACTTGGAATTCCTCTAAGACCAGCCTTGTGAAGATAAAACTGAGATAAAATATACAAGAAAATGTCAGAGAGTGGTCAAGTATTATATGAAGGAATTTGAATATTATATAATGGAATGATTTTACTAGTGAGCCATTAGCAGAACATGTTTTGGGTTGAGTTGTTTTTCTTAATTCTGCAGTGATCCATCACTCTGCTTTGTGAGTACTGTGATATACTTGCAAAATGGTTGGCTGGACAGAGCAGAAACAGAACTGGCATGCTGGATGAAAACCACAGCCTTTACATTAGTAACCCTTGTCCTAATCAATGGAAACAAAAAATAATAAGGCATTCCCAATAGATTTCCTGGGAAACTCACCAAAAAGTAGAAAATCAATCAACACCCCACCACATATATTCCTCATAGTCCTTGACCTCAGGACCCTAAACACAGTAGAGGATCAAAGAAAAAAGGGTAATGCATAATTATCTCAACTGCACCCCTTCAAATATCCACATGTAGAAAACTTTTAAAAATAAAGACACTTGAAATCTACCAGAATATGATCAATAGCTGTGTCTGGCTTGTAAAAATACAGGTTATATTATCTTTTTGTCTGTATTTTACAAATTTCTAACAAGCATTTACAAATTAAATTTTAAGCAATCTTTGCAATCCTTGCAAATCTGCTGCACTTGGATCCAATAATTAACCAACTGGTTATTTGACTGTAAATGAGTGAATTTACCTTTCTGGTTTTCATTTATCATTAAATGGGCTGGGAATGATGACTTCTTAATGGATAGAAACAAAATCCATGAAAAAAGAGTACTATTTTTAGAAGTTCCACTAGTCCCAGTTAGCACATAAGACTAATAACCTCACAAGGCAGATGTTGGGCATTGCAGAACCCATTTCTGACCTCAAAAGCTCTCAGGTCAACATAGATTTGAAGATTATTCTAACCCAGGGAACCAAGGAAAGGGCTCCCCTCAGGGGTTTTGGTTCCTGAGTCAAATTTGAGCCTCAAGATCATTTTAAAGCCAAGCTACAAACCACAAAAGAAACTTAAGAGATATTAACTACAGTATATACTGACACATGTTCGACGTGTCTTGAGAAAAGGAAAAATATGTTGTAACAGATTTGCAAATGTAACATGACACGGGCAAGAACACTGGGAATGTTAGTCCCTTTTCTGCGATTAAAATGTTTGACTTTCAGTAGTCACAGGAATAATATGGGTCACAATTCTCCCATATTTACAAGAGTCAGACTGGATAAACTCAAAAGTGTCTTCTCTTTCTATAATGATATAAATCTCTAGTATGCACATTCATGTGAGACCACTCTTAATTAAAGCTTGATTTCCTCTACTACACAAATTGGAAAAAAAAATAAAGTACCTTTATCCTGGAAGTAACTAACTTTTTTTTTTTTTTTTTTTTTGAGACGACGTCTTGCTCTGTTGCCCAGGCTGGAGTGCAGTGGCGTGATCTTGGCTCACTGCAACCTCTGCCTCCTGGGTTCAAGCAATTCTCCTGCCTCAGCCTCCCAAGAGTAGCTGGGATTTACAGGTACACAACACCACGCCTGGCTAATTGTTGTATTTTTAGTAGAGATGTGGTTTTGCCATGATGGCCAGGCTGGTCTCCAACTCCCTACCTCAGGTGATCCACCCACCTCAGCCTCCCAAGGTGCTGGGATTACAGGCGTGAGACACAGTGCCTAGCCAGTGACTTCTTATTTTAAAATTGTCCCATGTGGTGTTAGGCAACTACCAGAATACTGCTTTAGAAGAACATTCAATAGTGAGAAAATATGTTCCTCATATATTAGAAGAGAAAACAGGCAGGCAGTATGAACGAATGATACCTGTTCAAAATCTACTGATTCATTCAGAATACATACATAATATTAACAATAGGATATCTGGCTAATGGCAATACTAGTACTTTTTTTCTTAATCTTTTCAGTATTTCAAAAATCTGGTACATTTGAAAATAAATTACTTTCATAATCAAAAACTATAATAAAAGCATTTTAGAATTATTCCAGTGGGGCTCACAAATCTTCCGCCATACCAGATCACCTGGCTCCATCAAACAACCAATAGAGGCTGTTTTATGAAGCTGTGTATACAAGATGCAGGTTGTCACTTAAACCATTCATTTAAAACACTCAATCATCCTTGCACCATCAAGCCGCCTCACCCCATATATCCTCTTTAGACCAGAAACCAAACCATTCCTATTCCCTCCTCCACCAAACTTACCATTCAGCAACCTCTGAGGCCCCTCTGGTCAGGCCCAGTAGAAAATATGTTTGGGAGTAGGTGGAAGTTCATGGGACCCCTCACATAACTCTGTGAACCACCATTTCTTCCACTGAGGCATTGCTCCAACCTCTGCCACTCATTGTAACGCAAGAGAAATCTGGTCTGCCACTTTGACACTAACTTAGCTTGCCCAGTGTGAAATTAACTGTGTAAAGTACAGTAAAATATTCAGTGAACACAAGATGACACACTGCCTCTTTAAAGCAGCTGTGATTCCATAATTACCTGTTTGTGATTGGAGTGACAAGAAGATCTGAATAATTCAGGTATTCAGAGTCTAAATACTTTACGAAACAGCTAGTTCTGGAAGGATATAAATCCAAAGAGAGCAAAGGAAACAAGGGAGAGCCACTCTGCTCATGTGGGCTGTCCCATCCAAGAACACCAGGGGTCTCAACCCACCGCAGAGAATTCAGCAAGGCGGCTGGGGAAGCACAAAGGTCTGTCAGCTTTCCAGTTCCTTCTGAGTCTGTCTTCACAGTGCAACTTCCTTATTTGTTTGAAGTATTGTAAATTCCGAGAATATCAGGCACACCCATACTCAAATGTAAGTAGAAAAACACATCGCAAAGCCAAATACAAATTGGTTCTTGGGCTATTAACTGGGGATCATCCATCAGATAAGGCTGATTTTCTTCTTTTAAGTGTTTAATGTGGCACCTTCACAAAAGAGGTAAATCTATTTGCCAGCTTTGAAAATGTAGCACTTGAAACAGATATGAAGTAGCTATAAAGTTGCTTTACTCAAAAAGTAAGAAAATAAGTAGTTTAAAAAAAAAGAGAGAGAGAGATTTCTTAAATTCCACACTGCTTTGTTACCACTAAACTAAATGTACTGCCTCAGGTTGTGTCTGTCTGGGTTATGATTACATGCAAAACCTAGGTCAAAACGGCCCTCCATTATTTTATGCATGTGGCTTTTCAATAAAGTGTTTATTAGGAAAACAGAAAAAGCCTTCTTATTTTGGAAAATGCCTTAAAATGCTTAATTACCTAGGTTAGAGGTAAGCTACATACTCACGGATGAAAAATATATCCTCTTAGGGAAAAAAACCCGGTTGCCCTAATTATACATGGATGATCTAATTAAACTGTCATTCACAATTCATTAAAGCTATTAATAAATCATAAATGGGCAAAAGGGATAATATAGTTAAATTTATAGGAGCATTAAGACCTATTAAAGGCAGCCAAGTACTAGTGGTGAAGTTCCCTAAGAACATGAACTTTACACCTCATCCAAGGGACCCTTAGAGGCCGCATCTAAAGGCTCTAGACTGCCTCCTCGTTTATAAATGAGGAAACTGAGGTCTACTGAAGTTATGCGAATCACCCAAGTTTACATCCTCTAACTTTCCCACTACTTATAAGGTTGCCACACTTCCTGAATTGCAGGCATTTCTTCAGTCCTAAACAGAAAATGCTAGCATGCCTTGCTACTTTAAGTGGAGGACGAGAGCTTGATAATCATTCCTGGAATAGTTCACAGAACAAAATATTAGATGGGAAGTTAACTGACGCAGAGGAGAGAGGACCAAATGGTGAAGTGGTAACATCACTATCTACAGAACAACCACCATGCTGCTAGTGGATACTGCAAGAAGAGAGAAGCAACAGGAACTAAAGAAAAACAGAAACATTTTGTGAAGTCTGATGTGTCCAGAAAAAGGGTTCCTAGGAATTTCTTGGTGAGTAAAATATCCTTATTAGTAATCTACCTGTTGACAAAAGAAATTTTTGCTTAAACTAAGAGAATCACACTGCCAACCAAAACAGCAGAGTAACCACTATGTCAATAAAGGATTGAGAATAAGCAGAACATTTTCCAGCTCTATAAATACTATGTTTTCTTCCTCTTAAGATTCCACATTTCCAAAAACCCCAAAAACACCCAGGCAAAGGAAACTCCATCAAAAGCACATTACGTCTTAGCACTAGTCAGTCAGTGCCTGCACCCCACAAACCAACGTGCAAAACCTGGGCGTATGACCCAGCAGTCGTGCTCCACCACTGACTGCTGGAAAAACCAGTCTCTTCAAATAGGCAATGCAGAATAAGACAAAAATAAAATAAAATAAAATGAAACCTTCTCTGTATTGTTGTTAACTGCAGTCTTTATTTTACACAATAACAGTGTATTTCTGATGCCTTAAAGCAGTTGCTATACGGATCAACAGTAACACATGGGTTAAAGCCCAGGGTATCAGATTCAGGTACTACCACTAGCTAGGTAGCTTTGAGCAAGTTGAGGGACCTGTCACTTTCTTCATCTGCAAAATGAGGATAATGATGCCTAGCTCACAGGGTTTGTTTGCAAAAAATACAGGTAGAGCCCTTAGCAATACAGGTAGAGCCTGACTGCCACAAAATAAATTCTGTAACTTAATATTATGGCAAATAAAGCCATTCACAATAAAGCCTCATTTGCCCTCTCCGGGCTACGCCCAACTTCTCCCGAGTAACAAGCTATGTTCTTTCAGACCTTCAGGCTTTTTACTTCCCTTTCCCCAAATATCCTTCTCTGCTGGGCAAAACCTCCCCCATTCTTGTCCTTTAAGTTGGCCAACTCCCCAGAGGCCAGCTGGCTGCTCCTTCTATGTCTATTATGTGATTACATTTGGATTATAATTACTTATGTAACAAGAAAGACATTTATTTACTGGAATGAGGGGGAAGGGTGAGGACCAGTCTATCCAGGCTATTTCCACAAGGAGGCAAGCAGTGAGCCCTGGGCTGGACTGTACTTCCCAGGGGCACAGGCTGTGGGGAGGGCCCCAACTTAAAACGAAGAGAGGACAAGTTTTCAAAACACCACAAGCATGACTCTGCCCTATGCCAGTGCCATCCCATGTTATCTCTAAATTTACTAAACTTCACAAAAGCCATGTGTGACTGGTTGTGTATGCATGTGTGGGTACAAGAAACAGAAGTGTGTGACACGAGGCTATCTGGGAAGGAATCTGAAATGTCTAAAGCACTCAACTGGTGTTCAATCTGTTTCACCAAAATGTTACAAGGGCAGCTATTACCCATACATGCCCCTTTATTTCCCCCACAACAATGAAATTCCCATGGCTGGAGAGACAGTAAGTAGGCAGAATGGTTTAGAACAGTGCTTCTGAAGCTTGACTGTGCATTCGAATGTCCTGGGAACATTATTAAAACACACATTCTGATTCTGCAGTTCTGGGGTGGAGCATGAGATTCTGCATGTCTAACCAGGGGCCAGATGATGCCAAGACTTCAGCGCCATGGAAGCAGCCTGGTCTCAGAGCACAGGTGTCAGAGCCATAAGGCCTCTGTTCACAGCCCAGCTACTTAACAGCTGTGGGACCTAGAGCAACTTACTTAAAATCTCTGGGCCTCTTTTTCCACCATCCATAAAAAGAAGAAAATAGGAGCACCTACTTCATAGGGTGGTTCTTGAGGATTAAATGAATGAACATGTGTGAAGGTAGCTAGAAGAATACGTGGCACAAGAAAGTGTTAGACAGGTGTTAACTATTGTTATTAATATTTATTTCTGAATATCTCCTATACCTATCATACAAAGGAACAATTCAAAACGGCATAAATGTTTTTGAATAAAATAATGTTATTTGTGAATTAACATGTTTATAAGATAGTATAAACAATTAACAAAATAGTGCCTATATTAAATCCTCAGAGGGCCTAAATGTAGTAAAAGATAGGTAATATTTAAAACTATAGTCATTTTAAACTGATGAAGAATTGCATCCAAATCTTGCTCCTCGCAGGAACCTCACTGGACTGCAGGCTCACTATCCCAACACAGGACACAAACTGCTAGCACTCATCAGCCAGAGATGGCCTTTTACCCTTTTCCAGCAAAGAAAGGGAGACTGAGGCCTGACACGGGACTACTCAGAAAGCGGGGGACCTAGCGGTAGGGATGGAAGAGGACACGGATGAAGGAGGACACAGAGGGGGGGCAGATGACTGTGGGGTCCAGCCAGGAGGGCAGCCTAGGCCTGTGCATGCAAGAATTAACACAGCGTCCTAAGAAGTGGGCAGAGCACAGCAGAAAGAACGACCGCTACTGTTGACTGAACATCCATTATTCGTTAGGCCCAAATCATGCCATTCATCCTATAAATAACCCTGTGAGGTAAATTTTATTTTCCTGATTCTGCAGCCTGGGAAGCCTCCCTAGCATTGTTTAGGAGATTTATTATCCTTTTTAAATGAATATTCCTACAGCCACTGAACCTGGACCCTAAGGACATGAACAGACAAACACCTGACCAAGAACCAACAGCTCCGTGTGAAGCATCTGCCCCTAGATACTTTCCATTTGGGAGTCACATTGGAACTTGGTGTCGGTTCCTCTGCCCACAATGTCTTGATACAGACAGCCCACTTCTCCCACAAGACTGTAACTCCTTTCAGGTGCCCCAGGGTCTCCCCAAGAGGATCTCACACATGCCTCGAGGCCTGTGTTCAATCAATTCCCTTGCATTTACTGAAGCAGCCACCTTCTTAGGATAACAGACAGAAAATTCATATTATTAAAATACAAAATGAGGACACTGACACTGAGAGGTTAAATACCTGGCCTGAACCCAAAGAAATACTAAGCGGCAAAACTGGTATGTGAACCCAGGACACCACCAGGCTGTAGAGCAACAGCCACACACCATGAGGCTAGAAGCAAAGATAGCTCAGCCCTGGTGCAGAGGCAAGTTCAAGGATGGAACTTCAGTCCTTAGGGGCAGAAATGAATGTGGTGGCAACACAAGGCTCAGAGGCCACTGGGGAGTGAGACAGATTGTCACAGCAGTATTCCACAATGGGAACCAAAGCAGAATTCAAATTCTGAATCTCTTGGGAGAAACAGGGGCTTTGGAATACTCCTGGGGCTGAGAGAGGGCTCCCAGCAAATATGAACTTGGTTAGCATGGACCCCAACATGAGTGAGCAGTAGTGCCGGCCACACAAGTCCCAAAGCCCTTGGTTGGAGTTAATGAGGGAACAGCAGCAGCTGGGGCAGAGCCACAACCAGTATCTCAGCCCTAGACCTGACAGCTCTGGAAAATTGGCATAGGTGAGCTAGAGGAAGGGAAAGACCTATTGCTCTGTCTGCAGGAAAAGATGTGGGGCTAACACCAGGTCTACCAGAGCTGGGAGCTTCATTTTATTTTTAAAGGGAAATATTAGAGATTCACATGCACATTCTCCTTGTGGGCAGGAAACTTTTCCATATTTCCCGTATCTTTATTCATATTCTAACTCAATGAAAGCTCCACCTTGGTTCAGAATCCTATTCTCCAATTCCCCCTTGAATTTCCTGCAATCTGGTTTTTGTCTTGAATCCTTGGAAGAAGCTATCCTCAAAAAAGATTCCCGATCCATGCAGCCAAGTCTTGCTCCATCTGGTGTAAAACAACCCTCACATAATCCCCCCTCCTCCAGCTCCATTCCCTCTTCCTGTACTTTATTTCTCACAGATGAACCTTCCTATTTACCCTGACTCTTCTCTTATCAAAAAACTTATCATATCTGGGTTAAACTACATACTATAATGTTCTTACCGGGTTCCCTTCCTGAAACTTTGCTTCTCTGGAGGCAATTAGAAATGATTCCATTAAGCTCATATTCATGTGCTGGTCAGCTCTAAACTCATCATGAAATTCTCAATTCCTTACAAAGGGAATCTCCCATTTGGGGGAAGTAACTCATTTTCTAGCTGCAGTATGTTATTAAGCTTGCTCACTTCTTAGTGCTGATTCTTCCCTGATTTGCTTCTGTGCCTCCACGCTACATGGCTGTCACTACCTGATGCAGGAAAACAGGTTACAACACATTTTTGTCCCATCCTTGAACACACACACCAGCAGCCGTTTGCTCCCACAAGCCTTCCCCATTCAGAATACAGCTACCTTCCCATGCTCGTTTCTGCAACCTATTGCCCATCTACTAAAGTTCCAATATCTGCTTTCTCATGTATGAAAAACAAAAACATCTGTACTGATAAACAAGCAAATGTTTACAGGTAGTTATCTCTAGGGAGGAAATGGGGAAGGAGAAGGAAGCTTCACTTCTCATTTCATTTATTTCTGTGCCATCTGAAATTTTAATGAGCACGCACAGCATTTGTTTTTCACTAAACACTTTTTATGAAAGAAACCAGTTAGTATTAAAAACACAGGTACAAGGATAATCACTACAATGTTCTCATGGCTGGGGGAATAAAACAGGGTAGAAAATAATAGGTAGAAAGCAGAAACACATAAATCAATCAATCAATAGGGCCCTGATGTAATAAATAAGAGACATCTATAAAACATAATACTGCGGAGCTGCTAAAAATACTATATTGTCATTGAAAACATCTATATTTAAAAAGGTTATAAAATAACTTTTTAATTTAAAAAAAGCTACATTCTTTAGATAAGATTAAAAACACTATGAGGCCAAGATGTATATCCTGTATCTTCACCCCAGTATACTTTGTTTAGGGCACATTTATAAAATATGAATACTGAACGCAGTCAAGTGTTCTTTTTTTTTTTTTTTTTTTTTTTGAGGCAGAATCTCACTCTGTCACCTAGGCTGGAGTGCAGTGGCATAATCTCAGCTCACTGCAACCTCCACCTCCTGGGTTCAAGCGATTCTCCTGCCTCAGCCTCCCTAGTAGCTGGAATTACAGGCTCACGCCACCATGCCCGGCTAATTTTTCTATTTTTAGTAGAGACGGGGTTTCTCCATGTTGGCCAGGCTGGTCTTGAACTCCTGGCCTCAAGTGATCTGCCCGCCTTGGCCTCCCAAAGTGCTGGGATTACAGGTGTGAGCCACTTCATCCAGCCCATTCACTTATTTTAATAAATCAGTTATTGCTAAAGATATGTTTGGACTCATCTTTCACAAATGCCACAGGTATTTGTGAAAATCAGTCAAGCTTTATAGTTTATTTACTTATTTGGTTTGTTTTTACAAGACAAATTAGTCAACTTTATAGTTTATTTACTTAGCTGTGTACCTAAAAATGTAATCATATAAATGGTCAACCTCTTTTTGTAAAGTCTGATTTGTTCTCAGTCCATGGTTGGAATAGGTCCCTCAACCTGAACACCACAGAAGGGGTTACTTTAAGGAGGAGAGGCTGCATAGATGAGCTCCAAGGCCTTTCTACCACCCAACCTTACGATTCTCTCTGTTCCATTTGTGGGAAGGTGGTGAAGGGGGTCATCTCGATGAGTTATCAGATCCAAGAGATGTGAATGATCTCAAAGCTCACATTTCAAATTTTCCTAAATAAGCTTGTTCAATATTCACTCTGTCCCTAGGATCAGTGCATGTGACGCAAAGCAGGTCCACAGACCTAGGACATGGAACACAGCATCCATTCCCATGAATCTCAGGCCTTCAATTACAGGGAATGTCTGCTCCTTACCCTCATTCCGTCTAGCTTCAGCCGAAAGGCATTCTGATGACCAGCAGGATAATCATGAGTGGGCAAAAAGACAAAACTCATATTCAATTCCCTGTTCTTAAAAAACATTTCCTGGGAAGCCTGAAATTGAGGTTTGGGTAGTATCTGTATTTTCTATTTCTCTAACCCACTTAACAAAGTGAGAAAATATGCCCAAAGGTGGGTTGATTTGAAGCAGGAAATATACTCAGTTTTTATATTTAAAATAACATTGTTGCTGTTGTTGTTGTTCTAAAGTTACACTGGAGTGGAATATGACCCAACAGTTCTACAAAACAGAGAAGAAATCTTTTTAATTTTACCTTCAAAATTTTTCCTTGCGTATGTTGAATCCATAATATTAAAACAGTACAAAGAATACTTGTTTTATAAGAAGTTGTCACTTCTATCTTCCAACTTTTAGTCATTCTATAACAAAAATATTGATGACACAAATAATAAAAAAGTAAATAAGTATGTTAGCAGTATCCAACTGTGCTGTTATTCCAAACTTTATTCTTAAGTTTATTACATTTTGTTTTCAAATGATTGCCTTAGAACAGTTAAGAAATGAAGAAAAATTAAGAATTGCAGAAAAAAGTTAAGTTTTAGCTTTCATCAAGTTACTCCTTATTTATTAAATTTCAATGCAAAATAGCCATTAGGCATTTATCTAGCATCTTCCAAATTCAGTTTACCATGCTAAATCAGAAAGTGTCAGTTGACTACTAAACCCAACATCTGTTTCACTCCTTGTATTGCTTAATTATTCATTGGTAAATGTCTAAGAAGCCCATTAATAAATAATAAAACAAAATATCAGGTTTCATGCTAGTGACTCATACCAAGACAAGAATGAAACTGGGAAAACATGAAAAACACTTCCAAAAAAGAAAGCAGGGAAATATTAAGTATGTTTTTGAGAATCCTATAAACATCAGCAATTGTTGTTGTTAATTCACTACACAGAGGTTTGAATAAACACAGAAAACTTGTTTTCAAGCTACATTATTGATAAAATAATACACTCCAATAAAGTATCATGTTGTGTTCAGTTCCAAGTACAGCAGCTCTGTGAAGCCTACTAGCTGGAAATCGTTGCTAACAATTTGGACGTGGAGAAACAGAGGTCCCAAGAGGTTAGGTAAGGCCAAGTGCTCCTAAGCTGCTGCTGCTGGTCTGGGAGTTACACCCAGCCTATCTGAAAGGTGCCCTCAGCATAGCCCATCCCAGGAAATGTAGGACCAGGTCTATTTACACAAGTTCTTGAGATGATCTGAAAGTGCATTTAAGTGCAAGAACCCCTAATTAGTTCATGTCTCTCAACAAAATCATCTCTGGGTGTTTATGTTATTTTCATGTTTATGATACAAAGAAAATGATTTGTATGCTTTGAAAATCATTCAGTGTCTTTAAGACAGTATCCAAAAGTTGGTGTAAACTGGATTACAAAATTACATGGAGGAGAGGTGTGTTTTCCCCTTGGACCTTTCCCAGAACAAAATCTAATGAAGGCAAGCCTTGCAGTATACACATATGAAGGGGATGAGCCGGAATTAGAAATGGCTTCAAGGGCCCGGCGAAGGTCTCCCAAAAGGCACTACCAGGCAGTGAATCCCTGCACACCCAAACCTAGTGGCAGGCCTTCTTTCTTAACACAAAAACAAAATATGAACAGATACTTCATCTGTGACTGCTGTGTTAAGTAATCCTCTTATGGTATTTAATCTGCCAGTGTTTGAACAGATCATAAATGTTGTGGCTATCAAAACTAAGGAAGTAAATCAAATACAGCTGCTGGCAATGAGAACCAAGTAACAGTTACAAAGAACTCTGCACAGGTGACTGACCCAGCCTTCTGCCTGCTGCCAGCACAGACAATTTGGCCCCTAAAATTTATCATCCCCAACACTGTTATCTTCCTTCATTGACCAAATATTTAATTATCTATTCCTATCAAATTAAAAAATCAAGTCACAAATATTTTGTATCCCACTTTACCAAGTGGCATAAAAACATATTTTCTTCCAGAAAAAGGTTTAAGATGTCTTTGAAACTCTAACATGAAAACTGTTTCATTTCCTTATCATCTGTTTATCATGTGATCCTGAAAAGTCCAATTTCACCCTTTGCACACATTTGATACTGGGAAGTAAGTAATGCCATCACGTACACAGCATTCAGCTGAGTTTCACTGCAAGAGGCACTGTAACTAGATGACTATGCGGTCTGGAATATTTTGGACTATTTTTCCTTCCTAATTTGTTCAGCTCAACCATGTGCCAAATGGTGTTAGAGAATTCCTGTTAAGGAGAAGTCATCTTCCTTTCACATAGTAAGTGTCAAAGCAAAAGAAGGTGTGCTAATACGATGTCAACCTAGGCACAGCACCACCATAGTACGGCTTAAGGAAGAGAAGAACTGAGAGCACTACAATTTTTAGATTTGTGTTTCAGAAGCATCTTGATGCTTGATAAAACAGGAGAACGATACAAAGAGTCACGCTGTTGGGCACACCCACTGTGTCACCTCCTCCATGCCTCATAATTTCCTGGCCAGTTTAACATCAAATCCTAATTAATTCAGATCAGCACTCAACAAAGCATGCTATATTTCAAAGAATGTTAGAGTTTAATGACACAAAATTGAGATTCCAGAGCTGCAAAAGGTCTTCAAGATCCTCTACCTGAATTCCTCATTTATTAAAGACATAAGCTAAGGCACAGGGCTATTAAGAGATCAGACTACACCCACAGAGCTGGCTAATGGCCTGGCAAAAGGGTCTCCTGAATCTTGCAACGGCGCTATTAAGCTGACAAAACGTCACCAGTCATTCCTGTGTTAACCACCAACACAATAACAAAAACCTTCTGAGGAAGGCAATAGTAGTCACCAGAGAAAATTCCATATTAGCACTCTGGGTAACATGTTCAATTTTCATTAAATTTGTTCTTGACCACCGCATGATTTCTGTTAAACCAGGCCTCTCCTGCATAACCACCGAATAGTAACTGGCCAGATCATAAGCCTGAAGTAGTTTAAGATACACGTATGACACAGTTTACACTGGCAAAGCTAAGAATGTTCGAACTCCACAGCAGTTGCTCCAAGATAAGTGGGAGTGGGGAGGCTTTCAAGAATCTTTTTCTTGTTTTTTTGAGATGGAGTCTCACTCTGTTGCCCAGGCTGGAGTGCGGTGGCACGATCTTGGCTCACTGCAACCTCTGCCGCCCAGGTTCAAGCAATTCTTCCGCCTCAGCCTCCTGAGTAGCTGGGATTACAGGTGCCTGCCACTGCGCCCAGCTAATTTTTGTATTTTTAAGAGAGACGGGATTTCACCATCTTGGCCAGGCTGGTTTTGAACTCCTGACCTTGTGATCCACCTGCCTCGGCCTCCCAAAGTGCTGGGATTACAGGCGTGAGCCACTGCGCCGAGCCAAGAATGTTTACTCCTTAGTGAAATCATGAAAGAAAATAGGAAAGTTATATAACTGCATTTAAGCACTTTTTGTACATAACGCTATACTTTGTGTCTACTCCTATGCGAAACAAATCTATTAATGCAAAATTTGGTAAACCAAGAATTTTGCTCAGTAATTCTCAAAAAGCTCAATTCATTAAAATTTGACTAGTATAAATATGAAAAGATCAAAATAGGTATTTAATTTGCCTACTTGAAATCACTTAGTAGATTAATTTTATGAATTAATCTAAACTCTTTTGATAGCTATTATAAACCTTTAGCTTTACAGGAACATTAACTCTAAACCTTTAGATTTACAGGACTTCAAGTGCTCTCTAGTATAACTCTGACTAAATATTCAGCAGACTTTCTGCATTAGGTTTGTCCAAAATCATTATCACATAAAGCTGTCTGACACACTGATGACAGGAATCACTTATTTCAAGACCAAGAGGTGATGTTTCTCTTCCGATGGCAATTCCTGCCACGGCAATTTCTTGGCTATCTTAGTGGGTCTATGAATAGGGCACATATATTATAAATAAAACCCTACATGTGAAACATTTTTGATTTATTAAGTTTTTTAAAAGAAATATTGTCTTTTTTGTTATGAAATAGTAATAGCAATAATATGTGTACTGAGCACTTTCTATTTACCAGGACTTATTCTAAAGTGTTTTATATATGTTCATTAGTGTAACCCTCCCTAGAACCTTATAAAGTTAGGTAATACTACTATTTTACATAGAAATCCAGTATCATTTCATCTTACACTAATTAGACCCCAAAATTGAAGCCGAAATGTATAGGCCCTAAAGAGAGGGAATTTGAAGGGAACTACTAGAAAAACAATTCTTGATTACTTGTACAAATTTAAGATTCCTAGCTATCTTGTTATGACCCTGTTGTGATCCTGTTATTCACTACAAATGCCCAGCTTCCTTTTTCATGTCCTTGGAATGCAGGAAGAGCTAGGAAAATGGCTTCCAAATCCAGAAGACTAATATTACCCTTTTAGTATAGGATCCCTCACTTTCAAAGCCATATATCCTATGGGAAGGAACATGAATCCTGGGGCACTGCAACCCTCTTGGATTAGCACTGCCTCAGTCATCGAGTCTCTTCTCAGCATTCCAAATTCTAATATATAGCCTCTCTTCAATGGTGAGTACAGAGCCCCAGGAAGGGGGAGGAGGGAAAATAACTGCTCCCAACTCAGCTAAAGGAAGAGAACTTGAGTAAACTAACTGTAGGGGCATGGAGGTGGAGGGGACCATTTCCTCTGCATATGCAATATGTACTCAACATTGAATGAGAGCCCTTCCTGTGCACTGCGGGGCTCCAGGGACACACTGTCTCTTTACTTAAAGACAGCAGGTGAGAGAGTTCTATAACACCTCAATGATACAAAAAGCCAAATTCAAGGAAGCATCATTTATTTGGGGTTTGAAATAGTAATGTGTCTAGGTGATCCTGATGGACAAGCAAAGGGACCATGTAAGAATATTCTGAAGCAGTACTTAGGATAACTAATAAAGTAGCCTCGTTTAAGAGTACAGCCCGGAACAGAATGATAGAAATAAATGCTGGCAATGTAAAAACTTAATAATAGGCTGGGTGTGGTGGCTCACGCCTGTCATCCTAGCACTTGGGGAGGCCGAGGCAGGCGGTCACGAGGTCAGAAATTCGAGACCAGTCTGGCCAACATAGTGAAACCCCTTCTCTACTAAAAATAAAAAAATTAGCCAGGTGTGGTGGTGTGTGCCTGTAATCCCAGCTACTCAGGAGGCTGAGACAGGAGAATTGCACGAACACGGGAGGTGGAAGTTGCAGTGAGCTGAGATTCCGCCATTGCACTCCAGCCCAGGCGACAGTGCAAGACTCAGTCTCAAAAAAAAACAAAAAAACAAAAACAAAAACAAAACAAACAAAAAAACCCTTAATAATAATATCCACATCAGTTACAGCTCTTGCTTGCCCCTATCCCTGGAGGCATTCATTACGTAACTTTGCACTACACACAGGAAGGCGCAGAATCACCTTTGCATGGAAAGCAACTGATGAGAAGTGAATGCTCCAACAGCAGGAGAAAAGCAAGGGGAATTTGCTTGTTTTTTCCAACTAGGTCAGATTCACAGAGGCAATGGGATTTCATGAGTAATTTGAGTGAAAGAAAGGTCAGATATATCTGCAAGCTGAAGGAGGAGGCTACAGGCAAAAGCGAGTCCATCTTATTTAACATCACAGGATGAAGGCCACTAGCATCATAGGATGAAGGAGAAACAGGCCATTCTGCACCTGCTGGAGGGAGGGAACTGTGGAAGTGCAGAGGCAAGTCTAGTCAGAAAGGGAGAGGGCAGGATATGTTTAGGCACGTGCTTGTCGCTACTAATCATTTCTGCTGGCCACGTGGCTTATGTGGTATGTCTATCTCCTGGCAACTTACATAGTGTGGCAACTTAAAGAAGAGACACATTTTAAACGGCAGGCATTTTTCTTACAAGATCAAATACTATATTATTCATCTATGGTCACCTTTACAAAGGTTTCTTAAAATACAAATTTTGCCTTTATAAAGGCAATGTGGACAAATTACTTAACATTTCTGAGCATTAGTTTCCTCATCTACAGGAATAGTAGAGTAGCTATTAACTGATAAATCTGTTGGGAGGGTTAAAACACAAATACTGTGTTCAGTTTGGTGTCTGGAATGGCGTAAATTATCAGTTAATGCTGGCTTTGCTTTCTATTTTTCATTATTTCTCAAAATCCCTTCAAGGACTGGAACTTAAAACTCTACATATAGATGTACTTTTTCCATGATCAGTTATGGGCTGTGTCTCCATTGTATCCTATTGGCAACACGAACAGAATAAAGATTAGTTTTAACAACTGACCAGAAAAGAAAAAAAAAAGGAAGTAGAAAAGTACATCTACAGCTGCCAGCCATGAAATGTGCTGCTAAAATAACAATAAATGACTTTCATATTCTGCAATATTGTGAATTACTCTGTCCTATTCACTAATGGGAAAATTTAGGACTTCCTTTGAAAGTTAGAAAATTGACAGAATGTAAGAATTGTTATACATAAAACTGACAAATATTTTTCAAGAAACCAGTTTAGGTTAAATTATTTGCTAAGGTTAGTGATATATTATTTTAACTGGGCCATCATTTCTTTGCCAAGATATCTGTCACTGAGGTCCTCTATGGTCAGCCACAATTTAATGCCATTAACAAACAGGCAGGTGAAGCAAATCCATGAAGCCATGGGTGCAGTACAGGGTAACAGGGAGCAGTACCGACTGTGGCCAATCAAATGCAATGGGGGTTGGGGAGTACCACCAGCTATGCAAAACAAAATACATTTGCAGACTGATTTCAACCCCAAAACTAGCAGTTTGCAACCCTTGGCAAACTCCTCAATTCTTTCATGATTTTCCCCTTTTCCCAACTCAGAGGTACCCCAAACTGTTATTAGTATAATACTTAGTACTAAGACAATTCATTGAAAAGGAGATAAAGAAAGAAATGAGCATTTTATTGTGCATATAAGCCTCAATATCACTGTTCTTCAAAGGTGTGGTCCATTTGAAAGGTGTGGTATATAAACATCTCCATTAGAATCACGCAAGGAGAGGGCCCCAGAGTTCAATATTTAGTAAGCTTCCAGGTGATTCTTCACGCATTAAAGAGAACCCATTTCTCCCTAAAATAATTAATTTACCTTGTAAAGTTTTTCTGTTCTACTCACATTGTCCTGTCATTCCAAAGTCTCTTGCTTCATTTACATATCCCAACTTTCAGTCTATGATAAAATATTTTCTTTTCTTCTGGTGTATTTTAATCCAAAGAATCATTAGTTTGCAATCATCTGTTTTCATATATAACTTTTATTTTTATATGTTTTAGTTCATCCTTCATACTTACAGATAATGTGAAATTTATTAGTAAATGTGTGATATTCTAAATATCCATAAAATACAAATAAATCTTTAAATAAAAACAGACTGCCATTGCAAGTCAGGATTTTATAGAAATAATTCTGTAGATAAATTTTCTAAACTATCATTTGCAAATTTCAATCTGCATGAAAGTATGTTTTTTGGGAAATAACAAGTCCGTTTTGAATATTTTTATCAAAACATTATAGCACAGTATATTTTGTTCACTCACTGTTTTATTCCTTCAATTATTTTTATCTCTATAATTGCTAAAAATCATTGAGTTTTTCTCTTCCTACCTTGCACAATATTTAATATTTTACCAATACTCAAAGTATAAAAAAAATCAGAAGAGTCTCCTTTCCAAACGACTGCTACAAATCTATATGCCAATCAGTTTTTCTACAGCAGAATTTTGGAAACTAAGGATGTCAAGATTCAGGCCCCCCAAAAAGGTGGCACCATGGTTCTAGGAATCCTCCATGTTCCACCCATGCGTCAGCCCCTTGGATTGTAAAACCTAAATTGTGGAAGCTAATTTGGACCTGCTATATCACCTCTATCCTCTGAAAGAAGGATGACAGTGGATGATAAATGGATTCCTTGCCTCTTCACTCAACACCATTTCTTTTTTTTTTATTCATATAATTCTCTTTAACCAAGAGAATGGGTATAGCTTTAGTTTTGTTATTAAGGGTAAGGGAACTTTAATTCTACTTGCTTTAATTCTATGCTCACTGGAATCATCCTGCTCATCTTTCTTTTATTGTGTTTTATTTTTGTATTGCATTTTTTCTGCTCTCTTTATTTCCTTCTCTTCCAGCCACCTCAGAAAGTAAGAAATTGACAAAAGGACTGATATTGTTTGGTCATCACACCAGAATGGGTCAGGAGGCAGAGGGAGTGAGGAGAAGGCATGGGTCAGGTCCTTTACTGTAGTTTTTTCAGAAAGAAACAGGCAAAGCGAGGTAGGCAGAATTAGAATTGGCTAATTTGAATATTTTCAGTGGACTGTGGTATGTAGGGATTGCCCTTAGTTGCCCTGTTACCCCTGGCCCTGGAGTGATATTACAGAAGAGAGATCCCGGCTCAATCTCTGAGAGCTAAAGGAGGTGGTTGGTGGCTGTGTGCTCTGGACTGATTGGTTTGCACAGGAAAGGCATGCCGCAGGGAGTCACTTGTTAACTCTAGGAATTAGCTAGCCCAGAGAGGGCGGAGTCTTTAGGATTAGCAAAGCCCCAAATGCTGGATCATCAATAATACAGAAAATAAGAAAATATAGTCAATACAAAATATCATTTACAAAAGATGGGAAAAACTAGCTAAATTAAAACCACAAAGAATCTAAAGTATCACTTTAACCTAAAAAAAATGATCTATTCACTACACTAGAATAAACAGAAAAATAAGAAACTTAAGAGTTTACATCCTTTCCTGTATTTTTCATGGCTATCTTTAAAATGAAATACTAACGAGCACAGGAGGCCTGGAAATCATTTTGTACAAGCAACCATTTCATAAATGATATATGAGATCATTCCCTGTATGACATATCTTTAATACATTTCATTATTTGAAACACATAGTTTGGATTCCAACAAACAGAACAGTTCAAATTCTAGCCATTTACTCTTTCCTTTAAAAGTAATGTCTGGTAACACTTTTATATTTAAAATTAAAATAACAAAAGTAGATGCTTTTAGAACCTAATGGATATTACCAGACTTTGAATTTATACTCATTCACTTATAAAATGGGGGGAAAAGCCCAGGAAGTCAAATAAAATATACAATTGTTTTAACACACGACAACAAGGAGCACAGGGATACAAATAAGGTAAATCCTAGGACTGCCTCCACATAACCACACGGCTTCAGTTTCCACACAACAACATGGCAAGGAGGATCCCAAAAAGAACCCAGTGCTCTCACTGGGTTGAAAAACAGAGATCAGAATCGAGAAAGGCTTAGAATCCTAGAATGTGCATGACAGAATGCTGGAAAGGAAAGAGCTGAACAGAGAGAAAGCTCTTGAGATGTGCAGAAGGGTGCCCTTGAACCTGAAGCTCAATAATAATGATCTACACGTGAGTGGGGTGAGAAAGAAACATGGGAACACATAGTCTGAACAATTCCCAAGGTTCACACAGGTTCACTGCACCACAAAGAAGGAATCAGTGAGTTTTCATAAGGGTATCAACGTAATAGTGAAGTTTAAGTAACTATGAAAGAGAGGCTGCTCTAAACTTACCCTAACAAAGCCTAAAAGCAAGACTACAAATTACTGAAGTGATCCCAAGTAAATCAGCTGCATGACAGAACAAAGTCCACCACTTTTCAAAGGAATCCAAAATATCCAGCAATCAACAATGTAAGATTCACAATGTCTGGCATCTTACCCAAAACTATCAGGCAAATAAAGAAACAGGAAAAGGTGACCCATAACTCCAAGAAAGCTCAATAAATTTAGACCCAGAAGACAAGGATGTTTTTTAAAAAGCAGTACTAGTTAGGTTCCACCACCTCAAGAATGTAGAGGAAAACATAAACATGAAGAAAAGAGAAAGGAATGTATTTTTAAAGTCCCAAATGAACTTCTGGCAATTAAAAATACAGTATCTAAAATGAAAAATACAACAGATAGAAATAAGAGCAGATGAGACTGAAAAGAAAACATATGTGAACCTGATGACACAAAAATAGAAATTATCAAAAATGAAGCACAAAGGGAAAAAAAGACAGAAAAAAACGAGCAGTCTCAGTGTGGAACAAAATCGAGTTATCTAATATACTTGGAATTTGAGTACTAGAAGAAGAGAGAAAGGTGGGAATATAAAAGGAAAAATATTTGAAGAAACAGCATCTGAAAATCTTCCAAATTAAATGAAAACTATAACACTATTGATCTAAGACCCTCAACAAACATCAAGCAGTAGAAACATAAAGAAAACTACATGAGGCAGTTCATAATCATCCTGCTGAAAACCAGTAACAGAGAGAAAATCCTAAAAGCAGCCAGAGAGAGAAAGACACTTTACATGTAAAGACACAACTATTTACTGCTTACAAAAAACACTTTCAATATGAAGATAAAAATGGTTTAAAAATAAAAGAAGGGGAAAAGATACACCATGCTAACACTAATTAGAAGAAAACTATGGTGGATATATACAAGAGGTCTTCAAAAAGTGCATGGAAGGCCAGGCACAGAGACTCA
Organism: Homo sapiens; assembly: GCF_000001405.40. Classification (NCBI taxonomy): domain Eukaryota; kingdom Metazoa; phylum Chordata; class Mammalia; order Primates; family Hominidae; genus Homo; species Homo sapiens. The sequence continues at coordinate 77,962,627 of NC_000009.12, forward strand.
CACCTGTAATCCCAGAACTTTGGGAGGCCGAGGCGGGCGGATCACTTGAGGTCAGGAGTGTGAAGCCAGCCTGGCCAACATGGTGAAACCCCGTGTCTAATAAAAAATACAAAAAGTTAGCCGGGTATGGTGGCAGGCACCTGTAATCCCAGCTACTCGGGAGGCTGAGGCAAGAGAATTGCTTGAACCCGGGAGGCAGAGGTTGCAGTGAGCCAAGATCACGCCATTGCACTCCAGCCTGGGCAACAATAGTGAAACTTAGTCTCAAAAAAAAAAAAAAAAAAAAAAACAGTGCATGGAAAATGTGTATTATGAAAAAACTATGCATGGATTTCAAAAATGTTTGTACCAAAATACAGACTTGTTATAACATATCTGAACAGGATCTAGTTTGAGGCACTAAGAATAAGAAGATACTGGTTTGAAAAACGCCACTATCAGAACAACACGAATTCTGCTAAAATTGAAGTAAGAACAAATGCCAAATTTATAGTGAAACTCACGTGGAAGAACGGTGAAATCACTTTGAGGACAATGCCCCAAAGAAATCAGCAGTTTATAAGTGGATAGCTCATTTTAAGAACGGATGAAATGATGCTGAAGATAAGGCCCACAACAGCAGACCATCCACATCAATTTGTGAGGAAAAAATTAATCTTGCCCTAATTGAAAAGCACTGACAATTAACAGTAGAAACAGTCGACACCACAGAAATCTCAATTGGTTCAACTTACATAATTCTGACTGAAAAATTAAAGTTTAGCAAACTTTTCACTCAGTGGGTGCCCAGGTCAGCTACAGTCAAGAGTGGAGCTTTCCGTGGAAATTTTAAACAACTAGGATCAAGAGCCTGAAGCATTTCTTTGAAGAACTATAACAAGAAATGAAACATGGCCTTACCAGTACGATCCTGAAAAAAAAGCACAATCAAAGCAATGGCTACGAAGAGGTGGAAGTCAAAGCAAATGCAGCAGAAGGGTCAAGAGCAAAGGTCATGACAAAAGGTTTTGGGGACACTGAAGGCATTTTGCTCACTGACTTTCTGAAGGGCCAAAGAACACCAACACCTGCTTATTATGAGAGTGGTTTGAGAAAGTTAGTCAAAACTTTAACAGAAAAATGCCTGGGAAAGCTTCACCACAACAATGTTCCTACTCGTTCCCTCTCATCAAAAAAAGGACAATTCTGTGAGAATTTTTACAGAAAATTATTAGGCATCCACCTTATGGTCCTAATTTGGCTTCTTCTGACTTATTTTTGTTTTCTAATCTTAAAAAAAAATTTAAAAGGCACCCATTTTTCTACAGTTAATAATGTAAAAAAGACTGCCTTGACATGGTTAAATCATCAGGACCCTCAATTCTTTAGGAATGGACTACATGGCTAGTATCATTGCTTACAAAAGTGTCTCGAACGTGATGGGGCTTATGTTGGGAAATGAAGTTAATACTTTTTATCTTTTAATCAATTTTTCCACAAAATTTCTGAAGTCATCTCATATTAATAACAGACACAGATTTTAATGCAAATAATATTATCAGAAATAAAAACAATCATTTCATAATGATAAACCGGTTAACTTATCGAAAGGACATAACAATCCTAAATGTTTATGTATCCAATAACAAAGCTTCAAAATATGAGAAGCAAACAATGATGGAACTGCAGAGAGAAACGGACAAGTCTACGATTATACTCAGAGATTTTAATACCCCTTTCTCAATACTTAATAGATCAAGTAGAGAGAAAAGCAATAAACCAAGTAGAGAGAAATACATCAAAGATAATAGAGGACTTTAACAACCCTGTTAACCACTTAACCAAACTGACATAGGCTGCTTTCCCAACAACAACGAAAAACATTATTTTCAAGTGCACCTGAAGCATTTATCAAGATAAACTATATTCTGGGCTATAAAACCAGTCTCAATAAATTTTAGAAGAGTCATATAAAATATGGTCTCAGACTACAATGGAATTAGAGATCAGTAACAGAAAGATACCTAGAAAAATCTCCAAATATCTGCAAACTAAAAATAAAACAAAAACAACAAGAAAAACCACTTCTAAGTAACACATAAGAAAAAAATCAAATAGATATTAGAAAGTATTAGAAACTAAGTAATAATGAAAACAACATATTAAGTGTGAAATACCACTGACTTGTACTTAGAGGTAAATAGGTAGTACCAGACACCTGTATTTAAAAATACAGAACTCATTTTTATAACTAATAATCTTAAGATAAAATACCCATTACAAATACTCAACTTCTCTAATATACTGGGCTTTTACTCAATTACAATTCACTGTACAACCCTTCACTCAAGCCTATCCACAAGCCAAAACCTGGTATCACTTCTATTAGACCTAATGTGACTAGAAAAGTCTATACCAAAAACAATTTCACAAACCCAGATCACAGCCTCCATTACTGTAACTACTCAAAAAGGCCTAATTAAATTTTATTTCCTCTTTTTTTATTCCACCCTTTTTTACTTTACTCTGAATTATCTAACCTGTTACCCTGAGTAATTTCAATCACAACATAAACACCAACAATGTTCAACCAGCAACTACCACCAATCAACACCCATAATTATATAAAGCACCCACACCCACAGAATCCTCACGAATCAACCCTGTCCCCTCACCCTCAAAAACCATTCAACTTCCCATACAATTAAAATTAACTACGACCACCAGCCCATCATACTCAGCTATCCATCAAATTAACACCAAAACTGAATTTCATCAAAATTAAAAACTGCTTGTCAAAAGACACTGAAAGAATAAAAAGACAAACCACAGACAAGGAGAAAATACTTGCAAAGCATACATACAGACTTGTATCCAGAAAATATTAATACACAAAAAAAATAAGAAATCAAGTAATCCAAAGGAAAAAAAATCAGTAAAAGGTTTCACACTTTATCGAAAAAGTTATACAGATGGCAAAGCACATGAGAAACTACTCAACAACATTAGTCATTAGGCAAATTAAAACCACAATTAGATACTTCACACCCATTTAAAATGGCAACATTTTTTTAAAAGACTGACTATACCAAGTGCTAGCAAGGATATGGAACTCTCATACACTGCACAATATTAAAAATCACTTTGGAAAACAGCTTGGCAGTTTCTTAAAAAGTAAAACATACCCCTGGTAATGTGTTCCAGCCATTCCAGTCCTTGGATTTACTCCGAGCAAAAAAAAAAAAAAAAGGCACGTATCTATCAATAACCTATGCATGAATGTTCACAGCAGCTTTATTTGTCGTAGCCAAACACTGGAAACAATCCAAGTCTCCATCAGTAGATGAATGGATAAAGAAAATGTAGTACATCCATACAACAAAATATGTCTCAGCAAAAAGGAGCGAACTATTGACACACAACAACATAAATGAATCTAAAAATGACTGAGTGGAAAAAGGCAAGCAAAAGTGGACATACTGTATGTTCCCTCAGGTGTAAAACGTAACTAAATACAAGTAAGTCTGCAGTGACAGGAATCAGATCAGTGTTTGGAGGGGGAGATAGGTGGGAGGGAGGATAAAAAAGAGGCACAGGCAACCTTCAGGTTTGATGAATATATTTGTTATCTTCATGGTGGTGATGATTTCATAGACACATGTAAGTGACAAAACATCAAATTCTACATATTAAATATGTGCAGCTTACTGAGTATCAATTACATCGCAAAAAAACTGTTATTACAAAATGTTATTACAACAAACTATAAGAGACAATGTAAATTCTATTTTACTAGGATCGTATTACCTACAAGCAAAATTTTTGCTATGTACGTTTTTCTTTATAATAGGATTTTACTAAGTTGAAAACCACACTTTAAACTTTTTTAAGGTAATTATGCTTCCCCAAAGGAACAAAATTCATTTTTCTTAGACCTGGCTTTCTACAGCAATGCCTCACTACAGCAGAGACACAAAATCTTATTACTAGCCAAAACTTCACCCAGGGGAAAGTAAATAGGGCATTAATAAACACTAAAACAAAGTTTATTCATCATAAAGTCAGGAAATTCAATGCTAAGATACTCATGAGGGGAAAGAGGTAATGAATTTGTGGAAAAATAATAATATTCACTCTGTGACTACCAAATCGCTTCTTGAAATGAAATACTAATCCTTGGCACAGGAGATGGACTGTGGACCTCTCCATTCTTCAACAAACTATGCTCTTGCTCAGTTCTGGAAGAGCTCTCTCAGCAAGCCAAAGGCCTTTTCCTCTGGGCTGCCCACCAGGTCCACTGCCTCTGCCACGGTCAACATCAATTCCTGCCCCAGGTCTTTCATTGCCCTAGGTTCGGGCAGTCCGTCAGCGGCCGCTTTGAACCCCTCTTCACAGTCTTTCTCAGAAACTCATTTCATCACTCTCCCCATGGGCTTTTGTTTTTCAGTTCTTTTTAGAATTCCTTCTGCTTTTCAAAACTTGGGACTTTTTATCTTCACGGGAAATCTAACGTGTAGGTGAACTATCTTCTTTAACCCTGAATGCATCTCAGGAAAAGGGTATCATGCCACTATTGCAGAATGGGAAGCTGCCCTGTCCCAGGTACATGTATACCCCTGTTGGGCTGACAACAGCTCTCACATGGAGGAAAAGATTCAGTTCCCTCGGTCAGATCCAACTGTGGCCACTCCGTGCTTTTAACATTATAAAATCACCTGCACAACTATTAGGCTTCCACCACCTGCTGTGCCTAGAATCAGCCCCTCTTCATCAATATTTAGGTTCTGCTCTTGTTGGTAGATTTCGGGTCCAGCTTTCTCTGTGCTCAAAGTGCCCTCTTCTTGTGCTCAGTTTCCCCTCCTTAGCCACTCGAAGACCAACAAAAGGAATTCAAGTACTGACACATACTACAACATGGATAACCCTTAAAAATATCATGGTGACTCAAGGAAGCCAGCCACAAAATGCCACATATGATTCCATTTATTTGAAAAGTCCAAAATAGGCAAATCTATAGGCATATTAGGTAGATTAGTGGTTATCAGAGGTGGGGGAAGGAAGAATGGGGAGTGACTGTTAAAATGTTCAGGTCTGCTGGGCGCGGTGGCTCTCTCCTGTAATCCCAGCACTTTGGGAGGCTGAGGCGGATGGATCACCTGAGGTCAGCAGTTCGAAACCAGCCTGGTCAACATGGTGAAACCTCATGTCTACTAAAAATACAAAATGAGCCGGGCATGGTGGCACATGCCTTGTAATCCCTGCTACTTGGGAGGCTGAGGCAGGAGAATCGCTTGAACTTGGGAGGCGGAGGTTGCAGTGAACCGAGATCATACCATTGCACTCCAGCCTGGGCAACAAGAATGAAACTCCATCTAAAAAAAATAATAATAAACAACAACAAAAAAACATGTTTAGGTTTCCCTTTGGGATGATAGGAATATTCTGCAATTAGATGGTGGTAATGGTTGCACAACTCTGCGAGTATACTATCCACTGAATTGTATACATTATAATCACTTTATAATTCAGTGATAAGTATACTTAAAAAAACCACTGAGTATACTTAAAATGGTGAATTTTATATTATGTAAATTATATGTCAAATTTTTTTTTAAAGATAAAGAACTGAAACGGTAGAAAGGCAGAAACAAAAATACCATGGATGTTGTCTGCTTAGAATAAAATATTTCAGGACCACTTCAGATGAAATTAAATCCCTACAGGCTAAATGAATCAATAAATTCAAAAGGTGAATTATATTCCTTTTTTCATTAGAGGAATCAAAAACTAAAGATTTCCTTTAAGTGTTTTCCAATTCTTATACAAATGATAATAGATGTATCAGGATGCCTAAGTGTTTATTTACCATACAGTTTCCTTCCTCTTGAACTACAAAGTTTATCTGGAACAACCTAATGCAATAGCAAAGCAAAAAAGTAATTTAAATTAGGCTATTAGACAAGGCAGTGACATTCTATGTATTGAATGTATTTCCCAGACACTATCTCAAATGCTTTCCATTTCCCAATCCACAACACTGCTCTGTTCTAATAGATCTGGCCATCAGATGTAAATGGCCTTCAATTACATTTCATTCCAAATTAATTTTCGTAAGTGTACCAAACCAAAGGCAAGACAGTGCCGTTTGCCAAAACAGAGACACAATTATGCCGGGGCTCTTAAAGAGGAACTCAGAGAGAATACCAGAGCCAGAATTCACTGGCTAAGTAACCCCTAAGTATGGGGATTTTATGGGAAATCACCTCCTGTGGCAAGGTGATTCTGCTCCCAGAGAGTCTGGGGGAAGTGATGCCACCAGCAAATGCACCCAGGTGAGGGCACCTTAATGGACAGTGCTCTTCTGCCTAGTGAGGTGTGATGGCGGAGCCAAGAGCTTACTCCAGATAAAAATATTTTCAACCAATCATGGTAGGACTTCACTTTCTCCCTGAAGAAATTAAAGCATATTTACTCTTTGAGGTTTGCCGTTGGTCTGCATGCACCCCCAGGTCTGTTATTGCTAATCCAGGGAGATACAGTAACTCCTTCATAATGCAGCCAAGCAGCCCATTCAGTCTTATTCAACACCCCAATTCTCCCTCTGGCCTTTCCACCTGGCAGGTGGTAAATACAACTGTGGTTTTCTTAATGATTTCACACTCCTGTGATTCCCTGTAATTTTCTAACACACCCGAATTACCATCCAGCGCCCTAAAGCATCAATTTAAGAATTTTTGCTGGACTGAAAGTTAATGCAATCATCAAAGTTTCCAATTTAAACTCAGGAATTAGCTTTACTGCCCAAGATCTTGCCTCCCTATACAATTAGCCTGATGCGACAGCCAATTTAACATTTCCTGACATGGAAGAATACAATTAAGGCCAACTTAGAAACAAAAAGTCATAAAATGTAGATGATGGAAGAGAGGTTACATTATATATAATACAGATTATACTAATGTATGTTTTATATAAGTACATACTATGAATTTTACTAATACACTAACAGTTTTAAATATCGCACAGCAAAATCTTCAGTAGTTTGAAGAGCACTGGAAAACAACCCAGCTTACTTTCTAGCCACATCAACAGTTCAACACTATGGATTTTCCAGGAAATTGGGGGCAGCTCTTTCTTTAAATATGTGAAGGCATCAAATTCATATATCCATCAGGCATGTAATGCATGCCTACTAAATGTAAGGCAAAAGGAGCAAAGTGTTGTCTTAATTTCAGGCATGCATTCCGTAGACACAGAGACCAGTACCCATTTCTCTAACTCACCACCAAATTCTTCATGAGCAACTTCATGAGCCAAAGATCTGAACCTTGTTACGAAAGTGATGGCTTATGCCTGTAATCCCAGCACTCTGGGAGGCAGAGGCGGGCAGATCACCTGAGGTCAGGAGTTTGATACCAGCCTCGTCAACATGGTGAAACGCTGTCTCTACCAAAAACACAAAAATTAGCCAGGTGCAGTGGTGCACGCCTGTAATCCCAGCTACTTGGGAGGCTGAGACAGAAGAATCGCTTGAACCCGGGAGATGGAGGTTGCAGTGAGCCCAGATTTATGCCACTCCACTCCAGCCTAGGCAACAGAGCAAGACTCCATCTCCACAAAAAAAAAAAAACAAACAAACAAACAAAAAAAACTGACTGAGTCACAAACTCCTCCTCTCTACTCTGCCCCGTGCTCCTGCTCAGTTCCACATTGCAAACCTGCATCACATCTGCCCTGGACACAAGTTTTCTTCCCAACTTGATTCAGTGTTATCAAAAAGTTACCAACGGCCCAACTGCACACACACATCAGGAAGAGAGGCACCTATGGCTTTTCAAAGGCAGTATGGTGGGCTATAATCAAAATCTGGGGTTGAAGGCAGGGGCAGTCCTCTTCCCATTCTGCCTATTCATCCTTAAAACATTAACTTTAAAAACATAGACTAAGATTTGAAGGGAGAAATAAAGATGTTCTTTGAAACCAATGAGAACAAAGACACAGCGTACCAGAATCTCTGGGACACATTTAATGCAGTGTGTAGAGGGAAATTTATAGCACTAAATGCCCACAAGAGAAAGCAGGAAAGATCTAAAATCAACACCGTAACATCACAATTAAAAGAACCATAGACTCAAGAGAAAACAAATTCAAAAGCTAGCAGAAGACAAGAAATAATTAAGATCAGAGCAGAACTGAAGGAGATACAGACATAAAAAACCTTTCAAAAAAAATCAATGAATCCAGGAGCTGGTTTTTTGAAAAGATCAACAAAATAGACCCCTAATAAAGAAGAAAAGAGAGAAGAACCAAATCGATGCAACAAAAAATGATAAAGGGGATATCACCACCGATCCCACAGAAATACAAACCACCATCAGAGAATACCATAAACCCCTCTACACAAATAAACTAGAAAGTCTAAAAGAAATGGATAAATTCCTGGATACACACACCCTCCCAAGACTAAACCAGGAAGAAGTTGAATCCCTGAATAGACCAATAACAGGTTCTGAAATTGAGGCAATAATTAATAGCATACCAACCAAAAAGAAGTCTAGGACCAGACGGATTCACAGCCGAATTCTACCAGAGGTACAAAGAGGAGCTGATACCATTCCTTCCGAAACTATTTCAATCAACAGAAAAAGAGGGAATCCACCCGAACTCATTTTATGAGGCCAGCATCATCCTGACACCAAAGCCTAGCAGAGACACAACAAAAAAAGAGAATTTTAGGCCAATATCCCTGATGAACATCGATGCAAAAATCCTCAATAAAATACTGGCAAACCAAATCCAGCAGCACATCAAAAAGCTTATCTACCACAATTAAGATGGCTTCATCCCTGGGATGCAAGGCTGGTTCAACATACGCAAATCAATAAACGTAATCCATCACATGAACAGAACCAACGACAAAAACCACATGATCGTCTCAATAGATGCAGAAAAGGCCTTCGACAAAATTCAACAGCATTTCATGCTAAAAACTCTCAATAAACTAGGTATCAATGGAACGTATCTCAAAATAATAAGAGCTATTTATGACAGACACACCGCCAATATCATACTGAATGGGCAAAAACTGGAAGCATTACCTTTGAAAACCGGCATAAGACAAGAATGCCCTCTCTCACCACTCCTATTCAATATAGTATTGGAAGTTCTGGCAAGGGCATGGAATGTTTTTCCATTTGTTTGTGTCCTCTCTTATTCCTGAGCAGTGGTTTGTAGTTCTCCTTGAAGAGGTCCTTCACATCCCTTGTAAGTTGTATGTTGTATTCCTAGGTATTTATTCTCTTAGTAGCAATTGTGAATGGGAGTTCACTCATGACTTGACTCTCTGTTTGTGTGTTATTGGTGTATAGGAATGCTTGTGATTTTTGCACACTGATTTTGTATCCTGAGACTTTGGTGAAGTTGCTTATCAGCTTAAGGAGATTTTGGGCTGAGATGATGGGGTTTTCTAAATGTACAATCGTGTCATCTGCAACAGGGTGACTATCATTGAATATTACAAGGAAAGTTCTAGCCAAAATAATAACAATTAAAATGAAAAAAAAATACTAGAAACAAAATCATTAGTATTTGGGGATGATATAATTGCTTTTCTTTAAAAAACCCAAGAGAAAAAACTATTATAGAATTAAGAAAGTTAAGAAATATTCTACAAATATTAATCGTGCACGCACCATGGCAAATCCTGAGGCAGGTACTAGGGACACAACAGTGAGTAAAAAGAGGGACCCAGGATGCACTGTAGAGTCTAACAGAGAATAAAATTAAAATATAAGTTTCTCATACTGTTTTTTTTTCCTTTGTTCACAAAACAAATGCAAGTAACATCGGTTCCATTTTCAGGCAATTCAGTAAATGGGCTTCATAAGCCCACTAATAAATGTGAAAAACCCAACAGCTTTTCCATAATAAGTAAGTACTAGTTACAAGATACAATTTAAGAAGTCTATTCACTACAACAATCAAAAACAAAATATAAAATAACTAGGAATAAATTTAACAGGAAACGTAGGACCCATATAAATAAAAGGACAAGATTTCATTTACTGGCCAGTTACGGTAGCTCACACCTGTAATCACAGCACTTTGGGAGGCCGAGGCGGGTGGATCGATCACCTGAGGAGTTCGAGACCAGCCTGGCCAACATGGGGAAACCCCATCTCTACTAAAAATACAAAAATTAGCCGGGCGTGGTGGTGGGCACCTGTAATCTCAGCTACTCAAGAGGTTGAGGCAGGAGAATTGCTGGAACCCGGGTGGTGGAGTTTGCAGTGAGCCGAGATCGTACCATTGTACTCCAGCCTGGGTGACAACAGCAAGACTCCATCTCAAAAAAAAAAAAAAAATTCCTTTACTTAAGTAAAAAGGAGAAGACATTTAAAAAAGAAAGGAAAAAAAAAAAAAAACAAGACATACCACATTACTGGACTTTAAGTATAAATTTTCCCAAAATCAATCTATATGTTTAGTGTGATCACATTCAAAACCAATGGGGTTTTTTTAGAGGTTAACAAATGATTCTAAATTTTATATGAAGAATAAATGTGTGGGAATGGCCAAAAATTATCCTTTAAGGAAAACATGAAATGAACTACTCCTAAACAGAACTCACGACATCAGCCCCACATCTTCAGACACAAGTAGGCTGAGCTACCTGGCTCTACTGCAAGGCTCCCCAGTCCTTGTCCCTGCATGTGCAGCAGTAAGGGCAGGGGCATATTTTTACACGCAGCTGGTGTATGCCCTCATTTCTGTGAACCACTCACTTCAGAACAACTCTCCCAAAAAAGCAGGTCTAACGTGTATGGAAAATGCTGTCAGCAGAAGGAGCAGAAATTCATTAGGAAGAGTTCACAACCACACTGAGATTCAAGTCAATTCTTTGAGGGAAACATAGAAATAGGAAGCAATGGCCGGGTGCAGTGGCTCACACCTGTAATCCCAGCACTTTGGGAGGCCAAAGCAGGCAGATCACTTGCAGTCAGGAGTTCAAGACCTGCCTGGCCAACATGATGAAACCCTGTCTCTACTAAAAATACAAAAATTAGCTGGGCATGGTGGCGTGTGCCTATGATCTTTAGCCACTTGGGAGCCTGAGGCAGGAGAATCGCTTGAATGTGGGAGGCACAGGCTGCAGTGAGCTGAGATTGTGCCACTGCACTCCAGCCTGGGCGACAGAGTGAGACTCAAAGTAGGGGGCAATGAAGTCATTTTCTGGGTCTTCATGTTCAATCTTAGAGATTTCCAGGAAATTTTTTTTAAAAAATTGAACAATTAACTAAAGTCCTTACTGGGTTATTATATAATAAGGTAAAACTTAATTTTCTCATATGGTGAATACTATATACTTAGATTCTTACAAAAACCTAGAAGTCAAAGCAATAATATTTAGCTGTTATATTTGCATCTCCTTTAATTTTTAATAATCTTTAAAATATAACTCATTCATCCAACCATTATATTCCTGAATTTCTTATGAAAATTCAGCACACACCAAGAATGAAAGGTTAAGCCTGTTTTGTAGGCACAAAGAAACTTTAAGACACTGAAGAACTCGCCATATATCAACAGAGCAAGTAAGCTGGAGCTGAGGCTGGGGCTGAGCTTTCAATTTCTGGGTCTGAAACAGGGACCCTCCAGATGCCCCCATCCATTCCACAGCCATGAGCTAATGAGGTCCAGGGCATTATAAAGTTATCCCCATGTACACAGTCAGCTGCATTCTGTTCTGAAACTACAGGCTGCATGTCCAATCCTGACCAGACAGCTGTCTTTAAAATTTTAATATACATTGCTCCAAGAGGGACTAATGATAGTAACTACCACATGCCATGCTTACTATGTGTGAGATACTGTTGTAAGGACTTTAAAGACACTCATGTAATCTTTGCAGCACTCCTTATGTACTAGGCACTAGTACAATCATACCCAATTTACAGATGATAAAACTGAGGCACAGAAAGGCCACCTAACATCTTGGAGGTCAGAGGGGAGGATAATGGCCTGCACTTTCAACACCCAGGATGCAAGGCTGCCTAGTGCTATAGCTGCTCACACAGATCTCCACCTCTCTGCATGCCCCAAGGCCAGCTGAGAAGACTCTCTGTAATGAAAAAATATGCAAAGGATGGCTCAACCTAACTACCCCACGTTCTAAGGTTTAATTAATACAAACTGCAAAGCATGACGGATTGCTGCTGTTCACCTTGCTCCTATAATGATTCATACAAAATACTCAGGTAAATCCTCATTTTACTTTGTTGCATAGCTTGAAATATTCTTGTACAGTGTTTGGAATGATTCAAACTATAAAATTCTACCTGCCAAATAATAAAGTGGATCACTGTGAAGTCTTAGTTTGGTATCAGCCCACTGTGACAACCCCTCAATGGATCGACTCAGCCTTGCTCAGATGGCCCTTGGTGCTCCCTGTCTTGTATTGTGTCTTTACCTAGTTAGCCAAAATACAAGTTCCCTACAGGGCCCATCCCCTAGAGCCTTGCAAAATCCTCTGTACATAAGTAACTCAACACTTTTTTGGTGACCCAGGATTAAGTGGGATAAAAAATTGTATTGCAGCAAACGAAAACATTTAAGTGCCGTAAATAAATCTTGGACAGTCACATTTAAATCATTCTGACAACTAAGCTCTCACTGCTAGCAATTCTCTAACTCACCACAGCCAACTTTTACAGAATGCTTACTGGGTACCAAGAACTGCAATAAGTGCTTTATTCAAACTGTACCAGCTAAGCCTCACAATGGTCCTTTGAGAGTGGTTGCTTTGTATTAATATAATTATCTTCATTATACAGATAAGGAAACAGGTTTAGAAAAATAGGGCAACTTACCCAAGGTCCCATTGCTAGTATCTCATTTCCCAAACTACACTTTTACTGTTATCAGCCCCCCCTTTTTTTTTTTTTTTTTTTTTTGAGACAAGGTCTCGCTCTCTCAGCAGGCTGGAGGGCAGTGGCGCGATCTCGGTTCACTGCAACCTCCTCCTCCCAGGTTCAAGCAATTCTTCTGCCTCAGCTTCCCGAGTAGTTGGGATTACACGCGCACACCACCATGCCCAGCTAATTTCTGTATTTTTAGTAGAGACGGGGTTTCACCATGTTGGCCAGGATGGTTGATCTCTTGACCTCATGATCCACCCGCCTCAGCCTCCCAAAGTGCTGGGATTACAGGCGTGAGCCACTGCGCTCAGCCCCGTTATCGGCCTTTTAATGGAGAGCAACAGGAAGAACAATCCTATAAAGCTCTCACTGCAATGAGAGTCATAGGATTCAGTGTGTTCTTTTGAAGACCCTTCTGAGAGCTGTCCTTCTGATCCTGGCATCGGGAAGAGCCATGTCACTGTTAAACAGTTTGTTTTAAAGATACTACAAGTGGTATAACTGATAAGGCTTCTATGTTATGCCAGTTGCTAGCAAGCTCCATGCCCAGTTTGAGGTTCACTGACATTATGTGTATCATTTCATTCTGATTCCATTTACTATCCTGCAGTTGTTTTAACTTTTTGTCTTCCACCTGCTTCTAATTTATATTAGTTTATATTTAACAAAAGCATCTTTAAATGCTTTTAGAAAAAGGTAGAACACAAAGTAAAGTGCCCAGTAAATGTTCAGCTCATTTTCAACAATCAAGGCTGAAGAACAACTGGGGTCAGGTGTTAAGAGTCCTAACCAGTGGTAAAAATTGGCAGCCAAAAACTATCCACTCAACAGGCTTGGTTTTTGTTTTTTGGTTTTTGGTTTTTTTTTGTTTTTGTTTTTGTTTTTTTTGAGACAGAGTCTCGCTCTGTTGCCCAGGCTGGAGTGCAATGGCACGATCTCAACTCAGTGCAACCTCCGCCTCCCAGGTTCAGGTGATTCTCCTGCCTCAGCCTCCCAAGTAGCTGGGATTACAGGCACGCGCTGCCACGCTGGCTAATTTTTGCATTTTTAGCAGAGATGGGGTTTCACCATATTGGTCAGGCTGGTCTCAAACTCCTGACCTCGTGATCCACCCACCTCAGCCTCCCAAAGTGCTGGGATTACAGGCGTGAGCCAACACGCCCGGCCCAGGCTTGTTTTTTAATTCTAGACAATAGTTTTAAGCTTTTCGATTAGTTGGCAACATTTAAAATCCAAGAGATTTCACATAAAAAGCAGATATTTTATTTACCTGGAAAAACTGGAAGCTCTGGCAAGCCTAAAAACCTGCTCTCCATACATGGCAACATTCAAAGCTGAACAACAGCTTCAATGAGCCATAAGGTTTTAGTTGGCCAGAGGTCCCACCCAGTGTCACTCATTTAAAACCACCTGCCTGAATCCCAAAGGCATATGACTTTGCAAGCATCAAGCACTAGACTATATTAACAGCAAATCAATTCCTGATAGAGAAATCTGCAGCTACAATTATTAGGCAGGATTTCACACCTGCTGGGAGAATCTCAGAGTACCCCTTTTTATCTCCTTTATCTTGAAAAATGGGATTATTTAGAAATTAGGCCTGAGAGAGGCAAAATGAGACACACTGGATAAAGGCAACTATTTATAAAGCCTCCTAAGGCAGAGCGCTTCCTTCAGCTATTGGCACTAACCCTCTAGTTAGCTCCTTCCCTGGCCCTTCTCCACACTCCATTCCCCACCCTAACCCCATCTCAGTACTACTGTCTCCACAACAACACAGATTAAGGCCAAAAGCAAAAATGGCAAAATCAAGTCCTCATTCTCCAAGGGCTCCTACCCCAAGACTTTCTTCCTTGACCGCCCACATGGAGGCGCCATGAACACAACTATCCACACTTCCCAAGGTCAAAACAAAATTGAGCTCCCTCTTGAAAAAAAAACAACAGCAGCTACCATTGTTCAACCCACAGGCATTCAGAGTGTTCATACAGCAAAGTCGAAATTTCCCCTTTCAGGAAGTTCCTGGGAGGAAGTCAGTGCCCTGAAGCTCAGCCACTCCTCAGACTAGAGAAAACAAAGGCAACGCAGACATGCACTCTCCAGAATGGCCATGGCATCCCAGAACAAGAAGCGGGGTTCTGCAACCCTGGAGCATTAGCCAGGGTGCTGGGCTTCCCCAGCAGCCCCTTATAGGAGGAACATTTTCACTTTGCAAGTCTGAAGAAGGCTAGTGGGGTTCTTTCCTTTATGTTTCTTCTATCTAAATACTTCTGCCATATTTTGATCAGGATCCAACCATGAAACCAGTTGAATACCTGAATGGGATCATGGGTGTAGTTATCTGTCACCTTGCCCCAACTTAACCCCCTTGTCCTGATTCTTTGGAAACCAGAACCCTCCACCAGTGGCAACAGCAGTCCCTGGTACCCTAGTAATAACAGTAATGTCATAGTATGCGTGGAAAATTATTCCTGACACTGTACATCTACAATTTGCTGAAATTCTTCCTTTTTCTTAAATTATATGAAAAGTAATACATGTGCAGGTAACTTTTCCTAAACAGAAGCATGGTAAAAAGTGGAAAGTAAGTGTCTCTGGGCCCATACTCCCCATTTCCACTCCCTTCCATTATTGCTTTTACAGTCCTTCTATGGTGATCAGCTTAACGAAATGACAGGCTTCTATCCCTGATGTGTCAACTTCAGACAGAATCTACTGACTTACCGCCTCCCCCGTATCTAACTCATTCACACTTACTTCACCTCTATTTTGTCTCTAGTTTTCTTGATTATACTATTTTTAGTCCTTCAATTGGTTAGCTCTGTTTCCTGTTTCAGCAGTATTACACAGTATTTCTCTACATCCCACCATGTAAAAGAAGAAAATGAGTACCAAGGTCCCTCTCCCTCCTGCCTCTTTTCCTGCCTTCTAGCCTCAGGCTTCTGTCTGCTCTTTCACTCCCTTTGCATTGCTAGATTTTAAAACCTTGATGATTGTTTTCTCTCTGTAGTTATAATTACATCTTTCCTGTCTTGTGTGGGGATTAACCAATAAACTATTTAGCTACATCCACAGCAGTATGATTGTGTAAATATTACCTCCCACAAAACCAACAGCAATGCTCAACTCCTAGAAAAGGAAATAGAACCCTTTATCAGTGAACCTGAGTCAAATGGGTTCTCTTTTCTTACACTCCACTAAATGTTCAAAACTATTATCACACTTTAGTTTGGTTTTTCACTTTTAAAAAAAATGGGCCAGGTACAGTGGCTCACGCCTATAATCCCAGCACTTTGGGAGGCGAGGCGAGTGGATCAATTGAGGTCAGTTCAAGACCAGCCTGGACAACATGGTAAAACCATGTCTCTACTAAAAACACAAAAATCAGCCGGGCGTGGTGGCACTGACCTGTAATCCCAGCTACTCAGGAGACTGAGTCACGAGAATCGCTTGAAACTGGGAGGCAGAGGTTGCCTCTGCCTAGATTGTGCCACTGTACTCCAGCCTGAGTGACAGAGTAAGACTCTGTCTCAGAAAAATAAAATAAAAATTCGGCTGGGTGGTGGCTCATGCCTGTAATTCCAGTGCTTTGGGAGGCCGAGGTGGGCAGATCACCTGAGGCCAGGAGTTCAAGACCAGCCTGGCCATCATGGTGAAACCCTGTCTCTACTAAAAATCCAAAAATTAACCAGGTACGGTGGCGGATGCCTATAATCCCAGTTACTCGGGACGCTGAGGCTGGAGAATTGCTTGAACACAGGAGGTAGAGGTTGCGGTGAGCCGAGATGGCGCCATTGCACTCCAGCCTGGGCAACAAGAGCGAGACTCTGTCTCAAAAAAAAAAAAATTAAATTAAATTAAATTAAAATTAAAATATATGAAAGAACTATTTGATATCTACCTGTCATGGCCAATATTTGTGTCCATGTTGTTCTTTTTTTCAATCAAAACTACACTCATATGACCTCAATACCAGCTGGAGTTCATCCCCTTCTAGTAGGGAAGTGCCCCTTACTAGGAAAGCACAAGGGAACAGTTAACGAGCTAAACAATTAAGCTAATAAAAAGAACCTCTGAGGTCCCAAAGCCCCAGGGTGCATGCCCAAGGGGGGGGAGACTGAACTCTCTGGAAGACTAAAAAATAGCCCCTTCTTTGATTACAATTCTGAACTGCATCTTATGATACTAAGATACTTTCACAAGCAACATGCAACATATATGCCTCACAATTAAGACGCTAGGTGAAAAGATGGCTTACTTAGCATGTTCAGTTTTTCTTTGTTCCCCCTATGTGTAGGTTTGCTACATGATTTGGCATCTTGGCTACCTGATTTTGGTTAATGTTTATTTGCTGAAAAACAACGTAAGACAAACAATAAAAAACACAGTCTCAAATTATGTACTTGGCCATGTTATGAGACAGAAAATAGGTCATAACATCTAGAAGAGAGAAAGCTGCCTGTTCCTAGAGACAAATTAATTTATGAAAATAGACAAAGTTACAAGAGAATCAATGCTGCACAACAGAAAGAGCAACGGCTGTGGGGTAACAGAATGCTGAGTTCAAATCCTGGATAAACTACGTTCTTTGTGGTGTGACCTCAAGCCTTGAAAGAGTTACTGAAGTTTTCTGAACCTTTGTTTCTTACCCTGTACAACAGGCACAATACCACCTCCTCTGCAGGGGTACTATGAAGGCAGACTGTGATGTGTATATAGCAAAAAGCATAGCCCCTGGTGCTCATAAACCAGTGCTGAGTAACACCAGATCTTGCATTTCAGTATCAAGTGTCTCTCGAATTAGCCACAGTAAGTGAGGACTGAGCATCAAGCTGTAGTACTTACTCAGGTCCTAAGAAAATATGAGGAGGAGAATGAGTATTATTATTCTTGTCATAAAACTAAAGAAAATATACAAAATGAAGATCTACAATGCTAGACGGAAATTTGGTCAAAGATCATGTTACTACAAAATTATTTTATAATTAAACTCTCTGGGATATTAAAAAATAGCCCCTTTTATTACAGTTCTGAACTGCACTTTATCATATCAAGATATTTTGAAAAGCAACATGCAACGTGCCTTATGCCTTACCATAGACAATTAAGAAGCAATTCCAAAAGATACCACTTTACTAGTTTAAAAAAAAAACACAATTCACAATTTATCCAAATTCAACAGTTCAGGAAAAAAGAAAGGCTTTGTATGTGAATCACTTGATAGGCTAGATTACAAAATCATGAATTCTAGAATTCTGGAAGATGAATACTCCCACACTTTGATACATATGTAAGAATCATGCATAGAAACATGATGTCACTAAAACAACTTCAAAACTGTGGCAGTATTTCAAGCTCCACCTCTCACAGTTCTATGAATTTTATTCTCTGGAATCTAAACAGGCTCTTCCTTCATTGCTTTCATCTGCTTAATCCATGCTATATCAGTGATTTAAACCTACAATGATTTCTATCTGAAAGGATATTGCCAGACTCCCACACACTTACAAAAATAGCTTCTATTAGAAAGTGAGTGGTGAGGTGTTAGATTCAGACCCCCCATTTAAATACACGGATTTTTCCACATTTATTTAATTACATTAGTATACAATATTATGTAAGCCTTTACTTTCATTATTTAATTGGCCTTTCCCTATCTCTCCATAAAGTCAATATTAAGCCTGCTTTGAATTTCTACTCACTGCCAATATTCTGCCATACATAGTATTTCCTTTAATCAATCAAGACAAAAAAAATAGTATTTAAAATGCTTTTAATCATCAAAAAAAGAGAGGAAAAAATATAATCAGTCCTTTTGTTTATGAAGGATACTTTCAACTGTTTAGGAAATTCATTTCTAAATATACCTTCTGAGCACTTCCTTTGCAAGAGGCTGTGCCCTACAGGCCATGTGAAGACGCTGAAGGCAAAGTCCAGTCATGCAGAAGGTGTGGAAGGCCACGGCACAGCAGGGCAAGTCAGAGCAAGGGAGGTGCATGCAGAGGCAAAAAATAACATTCACTGTGAATCAGGAAGTTCATAGCTGGCTGTGCACTCCCAGGCTGTATACTCTATTTTGCATGCAACCAAAAGTCCAGTAGGCTGAGGTGTCTTTAAAATACTTATCCCTTTTGACAACCTTATCTTAAATCTCCTTTCTCTCAAATTTCATGATTATTTCTCATGTCCCTAGCCTTAGGGAAAAGCTATTAGACATGTCTCAAGAACTCATTAACCAGGTGTTCTTCGCAGCTCCAGAACTCATCTTCCCATATAGAATAAAAACTAGAAAGCTTTTGCATTTTCACTCTGCTGCTCAATTTTACCTTGATTGGAATTCCCTATCACTTCCATATGGCTAGTTAACTGCCTAACCATCCATAAGAGTGATTACAAACTGTGGAATTATGAATTTAACAATTAACTGACTTGATAGATTTGAGGAGGGTGCTCTGTTCTGTGTTTAGGTTCCTGAGGTAGAAAAGTCTCTTGGTATCTGATTTAGGTTCCTACCTGGAAGCTGGGTCACATCAAGCCATCCCAGGCCAATGACTAGCCAACCTACTGCTAATTCTTAGCACAGAAAGATTATACAACCTATGACTACCATTACTGGTAAGCATTTCATACCCACTCATCATGTTTGTCTATGTGCTTATAGAAAGTCTTTTCATTTTTGGCAAAGCAGTATCACTATTCTCAGAGTTTTATAAAAAAGAAATGATTCTGGTCTTTGTAGGGAGGTGTGGGCTCAAATTCCACTCCTGCCACGCAGTTCAAAACAAATTAGAGAAACACTTGACCACTGATGTTGGCGAAGTAAAACAAAAATTTTTTTAATTGAATCCTCTTACTTAAGAATGGCAAGTTAAAGATCAGTCAATTATGGGAATAATGTTATAGGCTTCTGAAACCTCACAGAAATTTTCCACATGGAGAATCTCTTCTACACCTTTTCATGGGGTTATGAGAGAGACATATGACATGGGGGACGGGGAGACCACCATTCTATCTTAGAAGTATGATACAAACAAACATTAGCCTATTCTGAGAAGTAATGTGAACTCCCTGAAAAGCTTTTTCAGAAGTATTTACAGCACCTGAACATTTCAGGGGAATAAAAATGCCATCAAATATTCATTGCACAGTAGTGAAAGATGCATTCTCATTAATGAATCCTCTACCTGTATCGAACTGTTGATTCTATGTTTAAAAAAAAAAAAAAAAAAGTCAAAACCACAGGAAGGGGAACATCACACACCAGGGCCTGTCGTGGAGTGGGGAGAGGGGGGAGGGATAGTAATGGGAGATATACCTAATGTAAATGACGAGTTAATGGGTGCGGCACACACCAACATGGCACATGTATACATATGTAACAAAAATGCACGTTGTGCACATGTACACTAGAACTTAAAGTATAATAATAAAAAAATAAAAAAGTCAAAACCAGTATTAACAAGATAAAAACTTTTTTAGAAGAACCATAACAGAGAAAATACCTACATGGGTCTCTAACTGGCCCCTATATAATGTACCAATGCTTGAATTCATCAATTATTTACACTACCCAGAATTCTGCTGTACTGGGGTAGAAAGGGCTGAAGTAACTGTGGAAACACTGCCTACATAGAAACTGGCACTTTGTTTCTCACTTGCCAGCTAGTTCTATGCAACAGTATGAACTCGTGCATGGTGATAACATTTACATAGTATGTATCTGTGGAGTGCTGAGCATCAAAATCATGCTTTCATAGAAAGCAACTGCGTCATTTTAGGTAAGAGGGCTGACCTATTAGTAGCCAACTCTTGCTGCTAAAAATCTTCTAAAGGACTTGTGTGGATGTAGGTGTTTATTCCCTCCCAAATTCCTCCATGGGTAGCCTCAGTACCTCACCAACCTTTTGGTTCTCACCCTGCTGGGAGATGACTCCTCTGGGCCCCTCCCCTCTGGAACTGAGAGGACTGGTATGGCCTTGAGCCTCTTCGAAGAGCCATTTGCCTTATTCCTCATAGTTGGTGTATGTGTCTTTTACTTCTTTCTTTCAAGGTTGGTGTATTCCTTATTCCTCATAGTTGGTGTATGTTGCCTTTTGCCTCTTTCTTTCAAGGTTCCCCTTACTGTGGCACAGGGTTTGGCTGAGCAGCTCATTTTCTGGCATTTTATGGAAACACAGAAAAGTATCTATGCACTTAAAATCAGCATCACTAGCAGATCTAGTCTTGCCTTTGGCATCACCAGCAGGAGAATTTAGTGACTGAAATGACCACTGACTCTATTCCACTCTTTTAGTGGGGAGGACTCTTTCCTAG
Organism: Homo sapiens; assembly: GCF_000001405.40. Taxonomy (NCBI): domain Eukaryota; kingdom Metazoa; phylum Chordata; class Mammalia; order Primates; family Hominidae; genus Homo; species Homo sapiens. Next base: position 77,983,836 of record NC_000009.12, read on the forward strand.
GAAGTCACGGTCAGAACTTGCTGTATCCTAAAGGAAGTCCACTCCAAGAGACAGGAAGATTTACCGAGATCCTACTGTGTGGGCATTTTGCTCAGAACTGAGGGATACAGAAATAAAAGATCTAACACGTTGTGCTTTTATTCAAAGACTCTCTCTCTCTCCTCAAAAGTCATCCTGGGTTTTTGCAGCATATGCAAGTAGAATTTTGGAGAGCAAAAAAAAAAAAAAAAAAAAAAAAAAATCACCTAGATGAAGTTGGTCATCTAGGCAGGTAGGGCACAAGCAGAAAGTTTTTGAATTTTAGTTGAAGTACGTAGATTTCTGGGATTTTTTTGCTTTTCTTTTTTTTTTTTTGAGACAGGGCCTCACTGTCACCCAGGCTGGAGTGCAGTGGCATGATCTCGGCTCACTGCAGCCTCGACCTCCTGGGCTCAAGTGATCCTCCCACCTTAGCCTCCTGAGTAGCTGAGACTACTGGCATGCACCACCACGTGGCTAATTTTTCGTATTCTTTGTAGAGATGGGGTCTTGCCATGTTGCCCAGGCTGGTCTCGAACTCCTGGACTCAAGCAATTCGGCCTCCCAAAGTGCTGGGATTACAGGCGTGAGCCACCACATCCAGCCTGAAGTACCTGTTTAACTGTGTTTATTCTTAACTGCCTTAGAGTTGATGAAATAGTTAACAAAGTCCTTGGAAAAGATAAGATTCCCAAAAGTATGAATTCGCATAATTTTTGGTTTCTGTAGAACTCTTACAAACAAGTAGCTCCTTATTGTCTTGAAATACCTTTTTAAAACATTCTCTTTTAAAAAATTCCCTTGGTATAACATTATATAACCAAAAACCTGCAGTTTTAAGAGAAGTATACCCAGGGATTCAGTGCAGGTGCTCTAACGCAGGGGTTCATTCCACATTTTGAGAAACTCTGCTTTACAATGCACAGAGCAGAGCCAGAGAGAGAAACTCCCTGATTCACTTATTATAACTGACAAAGGGACCAGGCTCCCGAGTGAAGAATGGAGCAATCCTCCAACATCTATTCAGGTATTTAAGAGGTGAGAGGAGAAAGCAGAGAATTACAAAATCAAAATGGACTACCATTTGAGGATCCTGATACTATGGCAAGGAAATGGCAATTTTATGGCATGGACATACACTAGTTCCCCCTACATGGTTTTCAAAAGAGTTTGTGGGCCAGGCGCGGTGACTCACACCTGTAATCCCAGCACTTTGGGAGGCCAAGGCAGGCAGATCACAAGGTGAGGAGATCGAGACCATCCTGGCTAACATGGTGAAACTCCGTCTCTACTAAAAATACAAAAAATTAGCCAGGCATGGTGGTAGGTGCCTGTAGTCCCAGCTATAGGCTGGGAGGCTGAGGCAGAAGAATGGCATGAACCCAGGAGGCGGAGCTTGCAGTGAGCTGAGATCTCGCCACTGCACTCCAATCTGGGTGACAGAGAGAGACTCCATCTCAGAAAAACCAACCAACAAACAAAAGAGTTTGTAGAGTTTTGTTTTGTTTTGGTTTTCCTTTTACAGAGATCCACATCACATCATATAATGGAGGAGACTGAAGACATTAATTGTGAGCAGTCACTGTTGCAGAAATTCCTACTCCCCAAGTAGAGGATAGTTGTATGTCATTCAAATATTACATACCCTATAAAAGTACAAGGTGTTAAGCTTCACAGCTTAAAACACAGTAACTGATTATGTGTTTTTAGATTAGTATAATTTTTAATTTTTCTATTTTTATTTTTTTTGAGACAGAGTCTCGCTCTGTGGCTCAGGCTGGAGTGCAGTGGCATGATCTCGGCTTACTGCAATCTCTCTGCCTCCCGGGTTCAAGCGATTCTCCTGCCTCAGCCTCCTGAGTAGCTGGGATTACAGGCATGCACCACCACACCCGGCTAATTTTTTGGATTTTTAGTAGAGATGGGGTTTCACTGTGTTGGTCAGGCTGGTCTCAAACTCCTGACCTCAGGTGATCCACCCGCTTCAGCCTCCCAAAGTGCTGGGATTACAGGCATGAGCCACCGCACCTGGCCTAAGTATGATTTTTTAAAACAGCTGTCATTCAAATTTAAATGAACTTTGATCTTCTTGACACAAAGACTTTTTTTTCCTTTTTCTGGACAGTTTGACTGTATACGGCCTTAATATTCGAAGCAGTCAGAAAGATACCCTAACTAGAAAGTACAATCCACCTCTACTGTTGCTTCTTCCTAGAATGTCCTAGCATTGCCATAGTTTAAAGTCCCACATCAATATTTGTTTATTCTCCAGCCATGCAGATTATAGCCACCACCACCTTTCCCTTGCCACATAGCTGCTGCAAGATATCTGGCTCATACCTGCTGTTTACATACAGATTTCCCATCCAACAGAATCCTGTTGCTCTAAGCAACACTATTAGCCTAACAGAAACAGCCATTCTAAGTAACCTTTGAATCTTACTGAGCTTCACAGTATTGTGCACCCTGGTCCAGATTCAGATTTGACATTTGAGGCTAACTGTGACTATTGCTAATGAAACCAAAATAATCTCTATAAAAGCAGCAACCCTCAAACCTAATCAAAGCTCAAACCTTAAGCCTCAGTTTCTAAGAGAGGTCTACCCTGGCTCCTCCTACCATCATTCTTTCTTGCAGTGCCTGTTAAGTTTCTGTTTGTTTCTTTGTTTTGGGACAGGGTCTCGTTCTGTCGCCCAGGCTAGAGTGCAGTGGCATGATAACAGCTCACTGTAGGCTCGACATACTGGGCTCAAATGATCCTTCCTCCTTAGCCTCCCAAGTAGCTGGGACTACAGGTGTGCATCAACATGTCCAGCTAATTTTTTTTACTTCTGTAGAGATGAGGGTCTCACTATGTTGCCCAAGCTAGTCTCGAACTCCTGGGCTCAATCTTCTCACCTTGGCCTCCCAAAGTGCTGGGATTACAAGAATGAGCCATGGCACCTGGCCCTTTTTTTTTTTTTTTTTTTTTTAACCTTTTCTTCAGAGTTTTGATAAGGGTTTTTAAATTATTTACATATGTGTGTATTAGTAACTGTTCTCTACTTGTTTGGAAGCTCCATGAGGATAAAGATTTTATTCTTTTATTTATCATTATATTGATAATGCTTAGCACAGCACCTGCATATCATACATATGAAAGAAATGGTTCCTAAGTGATGGAAACAATTCAAGATATTAAAGGTGCAAACTGGTTACTACCCTCACTACATGCATCTTCAGTCTGGTCTGGCATTTGAGGGCCACTTGTTCTTCCTTTTCTTTTCTTTGCCTGTCGTCATGTTGTTGGGAAAGCAAAAACAATACTAATTCCATATGAAGTTCTGCTTTATGGCATGTAGGCTTATCATCTGCAAGCAGCACCATGCAGACTATAAAAGTGTCAATATTATCTTGAGTATCTCTTTGGGTCTGCAGAGTCATTGGCACATGAAAGCCTCTGGGTGCTTGCTTTCAAGGACTTCTGAAATGGTAGGAGTCAGTTAGACCGAAAAAAAAAATCCTTGCGGTTGAGAATTACATATAATTCCCATGTTTTGAGGCATATCAGAGTAACATATGCTGAATAAAACCAGACACTCTGATTCACTCTTTTGATGACAGAAAAGGACTGGACACCACTAATCTAATAGAAGCATCTAAATGGTTTTGCAATTAAGTAACACTATGTCCTTGTGAATATCTCTCGGCAATCCACCTGCTTGATCACAGCCAGAGTTCTAATCTATACATGAGTCATTCACTCATTCATCCGGTCCGCAATATTTACTAAGCAACATCGTACCAGGTCCTGTTCTAGGTACTTAGGATCTAGCAATACACAATATAGACAAAATCTCTCAGGGAGCTTCTAGTATTCGGAAAATAAATGTACAGTACATAAAATATGGAAAACAGCTGGGCACAGTGGCATCCACCTGCAGTCCCAGCTATTTGGGTGGCTGAGGCAGGAGGATCACTTAAGCCCAGACATTCAAGTCCAGTGTGGGCAGCACAGTGAGACCCCCATCTCTAAAAAAGAAAAATACTAAAAACACCTAGGAAGAAAAGAAGAAGAAAGAAGTTAGAGTATCCCATGAGTAGGGGGTGGTGTTGTGGTCAGCAAGTCCTCACTGAGACAACTTAAGTCAAGGCTGAAAAGAGAGACGGGAATGAGCTATGCTGATTCCTGGTGCGAAAAGCAATCCAGACAGTTGGACCTCAAGGTCAAAGTCCCTGAGACAGAAAAGAGGTTAGTAGGTTCAAGGAACAGCAATGAGGACAGAGCAGAGAGTGGAGTCAATAAAGAGAGGAGTAGAAGGAGATGATGTCAGAGAATGGAAGGAAACAGTAAGAGAAAGTACAAGGCCAGCAGGCCCTCTAACATTTTAGCTTCAGCTCAGAGAGATAGAAGGTTCTCCACAGAGGAATAACACAGTTGCTTTATGCTTTAGCAGGATAACTGACTGCTGCAGAAAGAATACCAGGAAAACGGCTGGACACCAGAACTTCCTTCAGTACTTGCTACACTGGAAATAGTACAGGTTGGGTCCTACACTGCAACCTAAAAGGATGTGGGATCATGTTGATTAATCTGCCAAAGGATTTGATCTGGTATCTTCCATCAATGGAGCACGTAATTGCTGTTTTCTCATCTTTCTTCTTTTGAAGAAGTATTATCGAAAACAGGATTCAGGGGACAGACAGATCTGATTCCAACTCTCATCTTGCACCACTTATGGGATAGGAAGCATGGTACATATTAGGTTTTCCCCTTAAAATAAACATATGATTAACATACTACCTGTGAAGCACAGGGCCTGGCAGTGTGTGCAAGTGACAAATAAAGAATGGCTATTACCATTGTTGTTATTATAGAAGACTCAAGGCTTTGTCAAACACATGTTATAAAAGGTCAATGAAGACAGTAGCATCTTCCTAATTTACTAATCTCAATTGCCAAACCAGCCACAGGAAGTACCCTCTTCAAATACTGGGGACTTTTTTGAAAGCTAATGCAAGTCTAAATACTCATATTTCATCAGACTATTACTTCATAAGATTTAGTAAGGATGGCAGTAACTCCTAAGATGATCAGAGATGAGTGTCAGCTATGGACTTAGAACTCCATTATTCCTAAAGATAAAACGCTGTTCAATTCAAGCCCCATGCCAGAGATTACATAAGAATTCCTGGATAACTATTTTGTTTATTTTTTAAAAATAAATTCTCTGCTGGCAAAACTTTTTTTTAGTAAAATTATCTTTAGTTCTTATTAGCAACATTCTCTTTACAGAAATGAAGTATGTTTTTTAAAAATCTTGAAAACCAAATGTTTTATTTGACAGACACGTTTTATGATCTTTTCAAAAACCCATTCTCATCCGTCATTTTCTGTTTATAAAAGCAAGTACCTCTGGCTGCCTACCCAACATCCCCTCTCCATTAAACATTTGCCAGCAAAGGCCCAAATCAGTTAGGGCACCCATCCCCTCATGTGCATCAAGGGGTGGTGGCCCTCAGTTCAGACTCGAATGTTGAATCCTGAATTGGACCATTGCTGCAAGTCCAAATTCCCTAGTGACTGAGCTGAGCCTGTGAAGCAGTTCTGACTGTGAGACTCAGGGAAGAACTGATATTGGAGGTGGCCATGTGATATTGGGAGCCTGTTAGAAGGGCTCTGGGGAAGTTTTCCTTGCTCCCAAGAAGAAAACACTGCAAGAGAGAGACCTTTTTGTCTCTAGTCTGGCTGCATATGGCTGTGGAGCTGGAAGCCCTGTGGCGGGCTTGCTAAGGGCCTAAGGCAACAGGATCCCAAAGAGGCTGCAGCCAGGGCCCTGAGCTGACATCTGGAGCCTTCCCTACCACTGGACTGCTCCATACATGAAGGAATGCATTTTCTTCTTGCTGAAACCAATTAGAAGTGGGTGTTTCTGCTACCAGCAGCCTGCTGAAACACCGTTTCATAGATGATTATTAATTTTATTTTAATCTAGTATTACAGCTGAAAGTTTATTTTGATAAATGACATCACATTTGCACAAATGAATAAACAGATGACCTTTCCCCTTTTATTTACTCCTTTTCATCATAAGTGTAATATATACTCCCTTCTGAAAAATCACTTTTAAATTTCATAAATGAACTGACTGAAGTCTGAGATTTCCAAAAACTAGTGTCTTCATTTTTATTAAACTTACATCTACTCTGGTTTGGCAGTTATTTACAAAAGCTAAGGAAAACTCCATGACTACATAAGCCCATAGTATTCTTGATAAGAAGAAGGTTGGAAAGATTTATTGCAACCTCTGAGCTGTGCTTTCATTCTGTAGGTATTCAGTGCCTCATGGAATTGGAGGATTCTTGTTGAAAATTGATCTTTTATTTTATTGTATTTCTTTCTTTAATTTTTTAGAGACATGCTCTCACTCTGTTGCCCAGGCTGGAGTGCAGTGGCACAATAATAGCAACCTTGAACTCCTGGGTTCAATCTTCCTGCCTTAGCCTCCTAAGTAGCTGGGCCACCAAATGAGCATGCCATTATGGCCCATTAATTTTTAAAAATTTTTTTGTAGAGACAAGTCTCACTATGTTGCCTGGAGGAGTCCTGAACTCCTTAGCTCAAGTGATCCTCATGCCTCAGCCTTTTCCAAGTGCTGGGATTACAGGCATGAGCCACAACATCCAACCTCTTTTAAGCCTTTTCCAGAGTTCTTGTCAAAGGCTCCAGGTTTTTCACACTTTACCCTCCATTAGTATCTCAAGAACCCTGTGGGGTGAATATGTGTGCATATTTGAATGCATGTATGTGTATACATGTATATATACAAGCACACATGTATGTGAATCTAATGTTATCAGAGACAATAGCGTAAGTATAAAAGGGTGTTGGAATCGAAAATTTGGCCTAACCATTTCATTAGACTGCTTTCCTACAAAATGCTTTCATGAAAGTAGAGTGTAGTTATGGTAAGCCAATAAATAGCAATTTCTCCCTCTCAGCAAACAAGGAGATGTTTATTTGCCTGCCCTCTCATACACACATGACCTAAGAATGCTTTCCTTGTGTAACTCTGTGTTGACCTTATTTATACATACGAAAGAAAATCTCTACTGGAGTCACTTATCACAATGCCAAATAAAATTCCCTCAAAATGTATTTAATAGAGTCACTTTAACTTCGGATTTCAAGGCAACTTATATACTCCAACTAGAGAAATTGCTTTCAAGTATGCATGACAGAAGGTGCACAAAGTGAAACAATAAACCTTACTGACAAAACTGTTTCTATACCAGTTTGAGCATATTTGCCATTTACAATTGACATATCATTTGTTCACTCAGAGAATCCTTCAAAGCAAAGCAGGTGGGTTTAAAAGGAATTTAGATGTACAGACAGCTCGTGTGGTAACATCGAACTAAACTGATCCAACACTATCAGTTGGCCTTTCCTCTTTATTAGTGACCTTTCAGTGATGTTCTTCACCTTAGCATACAGAATGTATTTAAGAGATACAAACCACCGTGGAATGGCCACAAATACCAGAAAAGGCCTAATGTTGGTCACGTTTCAACAATAAATACCACAGTCCTTAATTAGAACCAGTATGCTAACCCACACCAGGAAACAGGAAGACTACGAGATTGTCTTTTCTAATATTCTACCTCCACATCTCCATGGCCCTGCTCATTCCTTCTTCAACTCCTTTCAGTATTCCCCTCCCTCCTTCTTAAAAATCTTTTTTTAATTTCAATAGTTTTGGGGGTACAGATGGTTTTTGGTGATGTAGGTAAGTTCTTTAGAGGTGATTTCTGAGATTTTGGTGCACCCATCACCCAAGCAGTGTACACCGTACCCAATATGCAGTCTTTTATCCCTCACCCCCGTCCCATGCTTCCCTCCAAGTCCCCTAAGTCCATTATATAATTCTTATGCCTTTGTATCCTCACAGCTTAGTTCCCACTTAAAAGTGAGAACATATGATATTTAGTTTTCCATTCCTGAGTTACTTCACTTAGAATAACAGCCTCCAGCTCCATCCAAGTTGCTGCAAAGGCCATTACTTTGTTCCATTTTATGGCAGAGTAGTATTCCATGGTGTATATATGCCACATTTTCTTTATCCACTTGTTAGCTAATGGGCATTAAGGCTGGTTCCATATTTTTGCAATTGCAAATTGTGCAGCTATAAGCATGCATGTACATGCATCTTTTTCATACAGTGACTTCTCCTCCTCTGGGTAGACACCCAGTAGTGTGACTGCTGGATCGAATGGTAGTTCTACTTTTAGTTCTCTAAGAAATCTCCATACTGTTTTCCATAGTGGTTGTACTAGTTTACCTTCCCACCGGCAGTGTTTAAGAGTGTTCCCTCTTGTTTTACCTCTCTCTTCGCATTTTTCTGTCATTTCCCTGTAAATGGAACCATGCAAGAAACATTTAAAATTGGCTAGTCAACTACCTTAATTTCCGTAACAGAAAAGTTTTCGATTCAACTTTTGGCATTTACATCACTTGCAAGTTAACCGTAGACTGGAAAGATTAAAGTCACCAAATGTTATAATGCCTTATATGCAGGATTTTTATTCTGAAAAGGATGAACACAAAATAGTGAAATTTGTTTTTTTAATTTTTTAAACCTTCTTGGACTTTTGAGAGACAGAAGGACAGAGATCTCTCTAAAGACCCAAAAGTATAAAAAAAAAATTCCTCAAAAATAAAGACAGAAAATTCTTGATCCAAGTAACCTCTATAAAAGGTATGAAATAACTTAGTTTTTCTACATAATTTTTGAAAAGCTAGCAGGTTTGAAACAAAAGAGGAACGACGTCCAGGCATGGTGGCTCATGCCTGTAATCCTAGCACTTTGGGAGGCTGAAGGCGGGTGGATCACCTGAGGTCAAGAGTTTGAGACCAGCCTAGCCAACATGGCAAAACCCCTTCTCTACTAAAAATACAAAAATTAGCCAAGTGTGGTGGTACACGCCTGTAATCCCAGCTACTTGGGAGGCTGAGGAAGAAGAATTGCTCGAACCCGGGAGGTGGAGGTTGCAGCGAGCCGAGATCAAGCCACTATTCTCCAGCCTGTGCAACAGGGGCAAGACTCTATCTCAAAAATAAAAAAGGAAAGATGCAGATATTAGGAGGAATTAATTTTTATTATTTTTCTATTGTAATATCAGAACATTCCCTATCCTCTACAAAACACATTCCAATATTGTTAGCTAAAATATCTATCTTAATGGTAACCTTATATATAAAACACAGCGCCTTTGTTTTGGATTAGAAACTAATTAAATTCAGTGCAAGTCAACTTAATTCAGCTCTAAATAGGCTCTAAAGGTCTAAACCACAACATTTATGGTATGCCTTCTCTCTAATGGAGAAATATGCTTTGGTATTCAATTTTTTAATTAGCTGTCAGAAAATATTAACAGTTGATATATAATATATATAGACTATATCAGATATTTCAGCATTTGTCTTCAGTATAAGTAAAGCAAAGCAAACAAATGGAATATAAACACATTGTTGATTTATGTGTACTAATCTAAGGAGAAAAAAGAATATAAAAGTGCAGATAGGCCAGGCGCGGTGGCTCACGCCTGTAATCCCAACACTTTGGGAGGCTGAGGCGGGCAGATCACGAGGTCAGAAGTTCAAGACCAGCCTGGCCAACAATTGTGAAACACTGTCTCTACCAAAAATACAAAAAAAAAGGAGCCAGGCATGGTGACACGTGCCTGTAATCCCAGCTACTCCGGAGGCTGAGGCAGGAGAATTGCTTAAACCTGGGAGGCAGAGGTTTCAGTAAACCAAGATTGGGCCACTGCACTCCAGCATGGGCAACAGAGCAAGACTCCATCTCAGGGGAAGAAAAAAAAAAGGTGCAGCTAAATTATAATTTATTATAAAGGTACTCACAATATTGCTTGAAATCTTCCAAAAGGAAAAATAAAAAATGACATTTCAAGACTACTTTAAATATATGAACACATAACTGTAAAATATCATTTTGAAATGATTTATATAGAGCTAAAATAGGTAATAAAATGATGTTTTAACTAGTCAGGTATAAAAAAATCTAGAGTAAAATCCTTAAGAAATGAAAAACCATCTCATAATTTTCCCTTACTGAAGCTGCTTTGTAAACCCAAATATATTGAGGGGCTTTGGGTTTTTTGTTTGTCTGTTTGTTTTTGAGACAAGGTCTTACTCTGTTGCCCAGGCTGGAGTGTAGTGGCACGATCATAGCTCACTGCAGCTTTGATCTCCTGGGCTCAAGTGATCCTCCCACCTCTACCTCCAGAGTAGCTGGGACTACAGGTGCACATCACCATGCCCAGCTAACTTTTTTTGCCAAAGCTAATTCTTTTAAAATGTTTTGTGGAGATGGGGTGTCACTATGTTGTCCAGGCTGGTCTCTTAACTCCTGGGCTCAAGTGATCCTTCCACCTTGGCCTCCCAAAGTGCTGGGATAACAAGCGTGAGCCACCTCATCTAGCCACGTGTATTTTAAACAAACAAGATATATCTATAGTTATTTTTTGATACCAGGAATATGTGAATGTTCTTTAATTAGCCCTATCATTCTATTTGCTTTATGAATCTGTTACTATTCCTTCAGAACTTTGTGGAACACTTTATCCATCCTTCCTACTGGGTTACTAGTATCTCAGATTCATCCATTTCATGGTGTATTACTGGTTTCCGGCAGCCATATTAATTTAACTTTCATCAACTCCTACTGCTGTATTCACTTATGATCCACCTCAATCACTAACAATGCTCCACACTCAAAGGTATTCTTTCTCCCTGTGCTTAATATGAACCAATTTTCCCTTCCTATCTAGCCTGAGTTACTTCTATGTTTTGCTGCCTCTGAGCTTACTTTTACTTCATTCGCCCCGTTAAAAGTAATTAGTTACCTCCTATAAAGCCTAAACCTCTACTTGAAAATTCAAAACATTCCTATATTGTAAGTCTTTATTAGCAGCTTTTTTGTTCTAGGCCTAAATATGGGCCATATATGACTAATGCTAGGATCAGCTTAAGTTTCTCCACTTTCTAGGTAGATATTCTAACATCTTAATAGTAAAAAGTGTCACTTGGGTTGGTAAGCACCTACCTATCGAGAATATCCATTTTAGACTTTACAAAGTGAGAAATAATCTAGTGAATCAAGTCACTGATATATGGGCTATGTGTGCTATAGCAGCTCATATTACCCTATTACAGTGTTCTAAAATCGAAGTTAACATTTACATAATCCTTACCATGTGCCAAATTCTAAGTACTCTACATACTCTACATATATGAATGTATGAGATAGCACTATTATTAATAATACCCCCATTTATAGATGAAGAAATTGGGGCAAAGAGAAGCCTTGCAGCCTCAAAGATGCTACAGCTATTAAATGGCAAACTCACATTCAAACTCTGGTTCTATGACCGTAAGGTCCACACTCTTAACCACTGTCTTACACTACTTCTCTTAATTTTTACAATCCAAAGAGTATTAATGACCAAGAATTACAATTGGTACAACTGGGGGTAGAGGTGAGGGAAGAGGATGAGGAAAGGCATCAAAAAAAGTCTTCAGCAATTCAGGGTAGAATATTAAGGTGAGAGGGTGAGGGCAGAAGCTTATTAACATATATATATATTTTTTCCTTCCAGACAGGGTGTCATGTTGCCCAGGCTTGAGTGCAGTGGTGGGATCATAGCTCACTGCAGCCTCAAACTCCTGGACTCAAGTGACCCTTCCACCTTAGCCTCCCATGTAGCTGGGAGCTAACTACTCGGCTAATTTTTTTTTAAACTTTTTGTAGAAATGGGGTCTCACTATGTTGCCTAGGCTGGTCTCAAACTCCTGGCTCAAGCAATCTTCCCATCTCAGCCTCCCAAGGTGCTGGGATTACAAGCATGACCACACCTGACCCAACATAACATTCTTAAATAAAGTTCTAAACTTGTCAGGCTACAGAGAATTTTCATTTTTAGAATTCATTAGACACTTCAGTTTCATAAAATGAAAATTTGTTTTCATTTAGAAGACACAACTTGATAAATTAAATTCTCTAGAAGTAAAAAACTAAGGAATACACAAAGCCAAGTCTTTGCCATACATTCTATTTGCACACAGAAAGAAGACTGCGTATAGAAAGAACTTACTTATAAAGGAGGGGTGTCCCCTTATTCACATCTAGCAATTCCTCTTCACCACAGAATCAGGAACCCACACAAAACGGCACCATTCAGAGGAGCAGAGTACACAGGGCTTGGGAGGCTGCAGAACTGCCAATGGTCAGGACAGCAAAGCTCCTCAACATGCACCTAAAAATGCTTTGCTGTTCCCAGGACCACTTTCTACCTACTTATCTTGAATTAACTGAGGCTAGAGGTGGCTTAGAGCTTTATTTAATTTCATCTTTTGATAAGTTTAAAACTTGATGGGAGTGTAGTATAAGCAAAAATGCACTGGTTTTCACTACAAACTTGATGACAAGCACAAATAGTGTTACTGAAGTCATTTATACCCAGCTATCAAAAATATGCAATTGGCTAGGCGCGGTGGCTCACGCCTGTAATCCCAGCACTTTGGGAAGCCGAGGCGGGCGGATCACGAGGTCAGGAATTCGAGACCAGCCTGATCAACATGGTGAAACCCTATCCCTACAAAAAATACAGAAGTTAGCCAGGCATGGTGGCACAGGCCTGTAATCCCAGGTACTCAGGAGGCTGAGGCAGAAGAATCATTTGAACCCGGGAGGTGGAGCTTGCAGTGAGCTGAGATCGCGCCACTGCATTCCAGCCCGGACAACAGAGCGAGACTCCATCTCAAAAAAAAAAAAAAAAAAAGAAAAAAGAAAAAAAGAAAAACAAATGCAATAGTCAGATAAATTAAGATTTTAAGATGTCTTTTTCTTTGCTTACACACATAAAATTTAATTTTGTAACCCTTATATTTCACAGGATCCAGGCTGAAGTCTACACTGTTCTGATCTCATTAAACTAACAAATAAGCAGTATCTGCCACAATTGTTACTGGTTCTTCCCTTCTACGGATATTAGTCAGACATACATAGCATTAAAGATCAACAACAGCTAGCTTTTACTGAGTATTTACTACTCCTAGGCCCTGTGCAAAATATTCACTACGTATTATCTCATTTATTCTTTGTAACAATCACTGTGATTTATCTCCCATTTTACAAATAAGGCAGCTGAGCTTGGAAAGTTACTTTTATCTTTTATCACAGAGAAAATAATGTTGAAGTCAAGATTCAAACCCAGGCTAGGTGATGCGCATGCCCATAGCTTTAGCCATCATACTTCATTCATCCTAAAATGTCATTTGTGAGCTGCCCCAGCAAGCATTTTAACAGTAACATGGAGGTAACTTCTATGAGTATTCTCAAGGCCTCCATATTGTACAGTCACCCTTTTCTATAAAATGTCAATTAGAAGGCCTTCAGCCCCCTCCTACATTCAATCAGCATGCCTGCCCTCCCACCCACTCTCATATCTCCAGAGATTTTTCAGGGCTTAACTGCCGCTCTGTGACCTCCAGCTCCAACTTCCTCTGCCATCGAATTCTCTGTCTCCAATTGCTTCTTGCTTTCTACCTGATGCTGCTGTGCTTTTTCCCCATCAGGGCTTGGCATCCACACCTTAGCAGGTAAGGTACAGGTGCAAGTAAAGTCAGGTACAGGTGCCGGTAAGTCAGGCGAGGTGATCAGAACGGGATCCCCTTCCTGTGGTCAAGAGCCACGCCAGCCTGATTCTCTGTACAAGGGACCCAAGCAGGAGGCTGCTCCGCCACATCAATAAATGTAGGACCTGAAGAAGCAGTCTGCAGCTCAAGGCTGGAATTGGCCTAGATCCTCCCTGGAGGCCCAGATTCACAGTGTAATCGTTCCAAGCCATTAATCACAGGCACCCGGCGGGCAAGGGCAGTCCCTAGGCACCACTGTGTCTCGTCCCAAAGGGCATCTCAAGAGAGTTTTGCAGAGTTTCATGTAAATGATCATTACACTACTAATAAATATGGTTAGTGACTTCATCAGAAAGAGGATGAGCCACATCAGGTGCCTTGGGCCAAGGAGCTGGCGGAAAGAACTGCTATATTTCCTTAACTGAAGGCACTGACAACAGCCAGCAGAATTAATCCATCAACTGCTCTCTCTCCTCCTCCTTTCTTCCCCACTTCTCATACACACACACACGCACACGCGCGCATGTACACACACGCTGGCGAGGGCCCAGGACCAGAGCACCAAGCCCTCCAATGCCCATGTGCAGGAAGGGCAGGGTCAAGCTGCTCGGCTTCCTGTTGAAGTCCGCCTCAGGCATTCCCACTAACTGATCAGGATACACTCACAGTTCACCCGCAAGAGCAGACAACAAATGAGGAGAGATAGGGCAACGGCACCTCTCATGCTGCCTTTTTTGTCTGCAGCATTTTTAAAAATATAATTTACATGATACCTACTCTTTCAAACAGATTTGAAGTGAGAATATGGTTTCTATGAAATACCCAAAAATGAACTGCATAAACCATTGCCTAATGCTGAACAGCACTCCTCGATTCTTCCTAAATCTATACTCCAGTTCTTATGCAAGAAAAAGGTAACAACATCCCTGTTCTCCATGTTCCATTTTACTTCACATCTGGACTGTCACTGCAAACAGCTGAATCTGATTTTATAAAAGGTACACATATACCACTTTCATTATCAATGTCTTCAAATTACCTGATACATGTAGTTACTTAGAAATTATTTCCCATTGCTTCAATATCTATGAACAAAAAGTAAACACTACATAAGATAAAATAAATCAAAATATTAATGAGGCTCACAGAACTACTGATGAATAAAACTGTTAGTATTTTTTATACTATGTGAAACCAAAGACAAATGTATTTACTAACTGTATTTAATAACCACTGCAATAAGACTTAAAAGGGCCGGGCACGGTGGCTCAAACCTATAATCCCAGCACTTTAGAAGGCCAAGGCGGGCAGATCACCTGAGGTCAGGAGTTCAAGACCAGCCTGGCCAACATGGTGAAACCCCGTCTCTACTAAAACTACAAAAAAAAATTAGCCAGGTGTGGTGGCGGGCACCTGTAATCCCAGCTACTTCGGGGGGCTGAGGCAGGAGAATCACTTGAACCCAGGAGGCGGAGGTTGCAGAGAGCCGAGATCATGCCACTGCACTCCAGCCTGGGCAACAAGAGTGAAACTCTGTCTCAAAAAAAAAAAAAAAAAAAAAAAAAAGACTTACAGAAAAAGTTGAATTTGTAATAGAGGGTCAATCTGGCACAACTGTAGATTACCTATAAATGTTTAGAATTATCCTCTCTTCTAAAATGCAAACAGAATCAGCATGCAAAATAACTTTGGCTTACATGATTCAATTCTAGTCATCTAACAAAAGAATTTACTCCATCCGGGAAGTTATGGCCAGCCTGGAGGGCTAAGAAGAATCTGAAATAGAAAGCAAATTTTTATTATTTAAATACTTCCCCTCTCTTCTGCTAAACAATCTCTTTAGGCTTGATGGGCAAAAGTTTCTACATTCTTCTAAACCAAACTCAGTACTTTAAAAGCTGATAGAGAAATTCAGTCACCTAAAGGAGTCAGCTGTCACAGAAAATGTTATCTAATAGTGGAAAGATTACATAATGCCGATCTGCACAAGAACTAAGGAATTAGGCCTCCTAAGATAAAATCAGTATAAAGATCTCATTCTCTTCCCAGGTGACTGGACAAGGGAAAGATTCAAGCAAGCCTCTGGGAAGCTACTTATTTCAACAAACATTTACTGACCATCTATGCTGGGCCTAGGACTGTGCTAGGAGCTGATGATACATGGATGAACAGGATTAACAAAGAAATGATTTGTTCTTACTGAATCTCTAAGCCAACACTAAAATCAAATTTCATATATTACCCTGCCAAAAATCACCAAATATGGAAAACTGGAGGCCAATAAAAATGAGGAAAGAACAACTTCCTATAACAGTATTAGTTCCCTAGTAGGAAAAAATGTTATTAAAGCTCTAAGTTAGGGTAACATTTAGGGAGTATCTAGGCTTCCTTGAGCCAAAACAGGTTAATTTCTCATCAGTTTTAGATCATAACTTAAGAAAATATGAAGTTAATATGCTTAGAAAGTACTAAAACCACACATTAAAAGAGAAATTTACTTGTACGAGACACTTATTTTAGAAAGCCATCTAATAAAGGTTAAAATATTAGAGAACATAAACTATAAATGTCCAAAATCTAATCTATCATCTTAAATTACAAATGATAGAATTAAAAAGAGGGTAATTAGCATCAAAAATTCAATTTTTTTTCCTGAATTTAAAACTATAGGGAAATCAAATGTAGAGCGGTGAAAAATAGGCCCCAAATGTTATGCCAGCAGAACCTGAAGAAACACATCAGTCCTCTGGTAAGTAAGCTGATGACCTAACAGTTCAGACACAGAAACAAAAGGAACTTTCAGGTGTCTACACACATATCATTAAGAAAGATTATGTGGCAGATGCTACATCACATTTACGTCTCAGGAAAGACCATGTGGCCCAGAGATGAGGGATGGTTTTTATGTCAATTCAAGTAAAAGTGGTTGCCCCTAAAATAACCACATCTGTAATAAAGAAAGCTTGTCTGATGATACATGCAGAAGATGAGAAAAGTAAGTGGAAAATGAATATAAAATTATAATGTGTCACCTTGCTGACATGGATTACACCAACAAGCATAGTAATTCTGCTAAGATTACATACCAATAATTAGCTTTCCAGTGTGGGACTGATAATACATAGTTCCATTAACGTTAACTCAAGATTATTTTAGAAAATAACTGTAAACGCCTGCTCAGATTCAGCCATAAACAGGATACTAGCAAGTTCTTACTATTCATCTTTTAATTTGGTAGAACTTACTAAAATAACCTTTTCTCTTAAATGGCACATCCAAAAACCCTCACAGAAAAAAATGTTTAAAAGTATGTAATCCCCAGTGAGATTCAAAATATTTAATAACCAAACAGAACAAATGCACCAACCAATCACAATAAACACAAGATTAAAAATCAAAAACATAACTTTGCAGTAACCTTGTGACTAGCTGGGTATCAGAGCAGCACGCAAATCTGACAGAAAACAGCAAATAAAGAAATTAAACAAAGGCATTTCTGTCTTGACAACAACTTCTATAAAACAAGGAACTAAGGGCCTTGGGTTTTGGTAAGAAATAGAAAGGCCAGGTACGGTGGCTCATGCCTGTAAATCCTAACACTCTGGGAGGTCGAGGCAGGCAGATCACTTGAGGTCAGGAGTTAGAGACCAGCCTGGCCAACATGATGAAACCCCATCTCTACTAAAAATACAAAAAAAAATTGCCAGGCTTGGTAGTGCATGCCTGTAATCCCAGCTACTCAGGAGGCTGAGGTGGGAGGATTGCTTTAACCTGGGAGGCAGAGGCTGCAGTAAGCTGAGATCGCGCCACTGCACACTCCAGCCTGGGTGACAGAGCGACACTCCATCTCAAAAAAAAAAGAGAAATAGAAAGCAGTGCCTCTAAGTTTGGCTACAGCACCAAGATATATCCCCAAATGGTGGATCATTAGAATGCATTTAATAAGTACAGATTCTACCAATGATCACAGGATACTCTCAGTCAGCAGAATTATAAAAATAAATGTTACTTTGAATTTTCATACTTCTTTGTACTTTTTTTTTTTTTTAAGAAGTCATGGATTGAGTTGAAACACCGATTTCCTCTGGCTTCAGATTCTAGTACTTGGAATCTCAGATCAGAGGAGAAGGAACATTTACTGAGACCCTCTCATGAGTTCAGCCTCACTGTCTTATTTTTTACAACCCATAAAAGAAGGTATTATTTTCCTTAGTTTACAAATAAAGAAGCTGTGTTTCAAGGCCTTAAATTTAACCAACATTCCAAGATTGATAAGTAATAGGACTAAGATTTCAACTAGGAGTATTCTACTACACAAGTTCTAAGAGGATTCTACTTACAAACAAGCTCATATAGCCTCTCCAGGTCACTCTAGATGAGGACTGTATGCTTACTTCATCACAATTTTCTATTTCAAATGAAGTCACACTTGTGAAAGGGCATCATAAAGTAAAAAGGTTGTAAATTTATCCAGAAGATAAAGATTTGTCAATATAAGGCCATTAATGAAAAACCTTGATGCCATTTTTCTGTGATTTGCACTTTTTTCTTTGCATTCCTTTGACATTAGCAGTCAACCATTCCACATAATATTATTCAGTTAAGTGATGTGAATTAATCAGAGGAAGACATATTTCCTCCCCATGTGAACTAACTGAGAAATAACCCCCTTATCATTTACTCCCCTAAGCCACCTCACAGAAAGAATCTATGCACAGAGATTATACCAGTTGTCAAAGATTGAAAGGAGTCAAAGTCAAGAGGATTGTGAAATTAATATTTAAAATATTTACAGACACAAAGAGAAGAACACACCCCCACACAGAGACACACAACCACAAGAAAGATACGCTGAAAAAGAATCAAGAATTCTCATCTGGTTGCTAGTTTTACTAGCAGACAGTGGCCTCTCCCATTAACTTCAGGGCCCCTCCAGACACCAAACCAGCCCTTGGTACAGAGCCAAACAATGTCTACAAGGTCCTTGATCTCCGCGTGGCCTTTTCTAAGTCAGCTGACTTTTCAAAGGATGACCTAGAAAACTGTACATTCTCTGTGATATTCCCTAACCACACTGACCCACAATCTTACCCGCAGGTAAATTTCTACATCTGACAGGGACTGCATCTTTTCAACTAGGAATCTGAACCCACAACTTATACAATATGATAGCATGAAGGAATACATGAAATTAGGACTGAATGGAAAAAAATCAAAGACATCCAACTGTCATTGAATATCCCTTAATACTTACAATTGGTTTTCTATCATCATATCAACTACCTTTTCTCCCCACCTAAATGACTAATTCTTTGAGGGCCGGTAGAAAATGTCACATTTCCTTTCAGTCTACCATAGCATCTAGTACAGAACGAGATACACAGGAGGTCTCAAACAAATACATAGTAGTTATTTCATATTAAAAATCAAAAGAAAGCTCCATATAAGAAGTTTTCAAAACACTAGATTTTATGAGTCAAAGAAAAAATGAAATTTGGAAAACGGTATTCAAAATAAAAAGAGCTTTGATAATGTAGAGGAAATTTAGCAACCAAGTTAAAAGATTTGTTTTAGCCTTATAATTCAAAACCAAATTTGTGTCTGTATTACAGGAAATCCATCCAAATATAAAGGAGAATGTCCAAAAAGAAAAAAGAAAGAACAGAAATCCCTCAAGGAATGAAAAGTGCCTTCAAGAGGGAAAATTAGATGAGAGAGCACTAGCTATCTCCAAAGTTTCTCACCAGAATTCTTTCTCTTGAGCCGTATTCTCTATCTTCATCTTAAAAATAAACAGAACCCAGAAGTCCTTGATGGGGTAATTTTTGCTGTCTTCCATAGTATTCTTCTCTCTTGTACCTGTTAGCACTGACCAGTGAGGACAAGGCCACTGATACCTTCAGAGATGACGAACCAGGAAGAAGGCTTTTGTGTTACAGAATCTTTATCTTAGACACTGAGACTAAAAATGACAAGCTGCGGCCGGACACAGTGGCTCACACCTGTAATCCCAGCATTTTGGGAGGCCGAGGCGGGCAGATCATTTGAGACCTGGAGTT
The DNA here is from genome assembly GCF_000001405.40 of Homo sapiens. Taxonomy (NCBI): domain Eukaryota; kingdom Metazoa; phylum Chordata; class Mammalia; order Primates; family Hominidae; genus Homo; species Homo sapiens. The sequence goes on from NC_000009.12 coordinate 78,003,612, forward strand.
CAAGACCAGCCTGGGCAACATGGCGAAACCCCTTGTTTACTAAAAATACAAAAAATAAACTGGGTGTGGTAATGCACGCCTGTAATCCCAGCTACTGGGGAGGCTGAGGCACGAGAATCACTTGAACCGGGGAGGCAGAGGTTGCAGTCAGCCTAGATAGCGTCATTGCACTCCATTCTGGGCTTTAGAGCAAGACTGTCTAAAAAAAAAAAAAAGAAAAAAAAAAGCTGGAGTCCGAACTGCACCATAAACTGCACTTGTAACACTTTGCCAAAGTAGAAAGTACCAACAATCAACTCACTCATTGAGCAAACAAAAAAGCATAATATGCACTAAATGCTATTAGAACACAAGACAAATTACATATCCTGCCTTCAGGGATCTGACAGGTTGCTATGGAGGAACAAATGTGTATAAATCATCACAATTACAAGATGGGGCTGAATTTGCCCTAGCCACCCAAAGCTGACCTCCAACTACAGGTATCTGCACCTCGCTGCCTGAGGACTTTTCTCCAAGGTAGGGATGGCCACCCGAGAAGCCAAAGGTGGCAGGAATTGACAGCCCCCAACTAATGACCATCCAAAGTTGGTATATAAATACTCCAGTTGGCTATGACTGAGCCACTGAACTGCAGCCTGGACGACAGAGTAAGACTCTGTCTCAAAAAAAAAAAAAAAAAATTAATTAAGTTAAATGCTCCAGCTACCTTACTCTTCAGGTGGGACAAATTTACAGCATCACCATTCTCCGAAGTGGGGTCTCTGGACCCATGCCAACAGCATCATTATCACCAGGTGCTCATGAGAAATTCAGACTCTCAGGTCTCACCCCAGACCTGAGTCTGAACCTGCATTTTAACAAGGTCCCCAGGAGATTCTCATGAACATGAAAGTTTGAGAAGTCCTGCGTGACATCATCTCCCAGAGCTTCTCCCCAAGCTTGACCTCCAACTGCCCATTGCCATTAGTGGTTTAATAATGCACCTTTATTGGCTGCCTTCCCTTAGCTATCTCACTTCTCCACTTGCATACCAATACCTCCTGCACATATCAAAAAAACTCAGACATAAACAAACATAAAACGTCATAGGAGTCAACAGAAACTTTGACCACTAGAGGGATCAGAAAAGGCAATGAGAAAGAGGCACCATTTAACATGGGTTTTGAAACACGGTAGGATTTGCACAGAGAGCGATGGAGGAAAAAGCATCCTAGGGGTGGGAGAGAAGAGAGGAAAGCAACAAATATCTGAGGAGGGGAAGGAAAAGGGTTAGTGTCCTCATTTGGCTAAACTGTCAAATACCTCAAGGCAAGCAGTAAGGAATAAGGCTAGAAGAGGGGGTGGGATCAGATAAACTTGACTGACAGATAAACATATCTGGCCTTTATTTCACAATGAATGCAATGTAATTAATGGTTTGGAGAGATGACAAAACTACAATTTTTCTCTTTTTCTGAGACAGGCTCTTGCTCTATCACCCAGGCTGGAGTGCAGTGGGGCAATCATGACTCACTGCAGCCCTCACCTCACGGGCTCAAGCGATCCTCCCACACCCCATGTAGCTGGGACCACAGGTGGGCACCACCACACCCAGCTAATTTTTGTATTATTTGTAGAGATGGTGTTCTTCATGTTGCCCAGGCTGGTCTTGAACTCCTGGGCTCAAGCAATCTGCCCGCCTTGGCCTCCCAAAGTGCTGGGATTATAGGCATGAGCCACTGTACCCACCCAACTGTAATTAACATGGGTTAAGAAAAGTAACCAGAGAGCAATGTGAAAAATGTAGGAAGGGTGGGGAATTAGTGTCTAGAGTGCTCCCCATTGTCTGGGGAAGCGGGAGTTTGCCTTGCCTCATGTGAAGAAGGAGGCCCAATACTAACCAAAGGGTAAATAACTGAGCGTTCTATGTGTGCATAATAATGTCTTACTCACAGTAGTTACCAAAACATATCACGGAAGAAGCAAAATAATAATCACATCAGTGTGCATCTGGATAGTGATCTGTTTTCAAGGAACTTTTACCAACACCATCCCATGTGATCCTCCCAACAAACTTGGTGCAGTAGTGCATGGGTCAAGGTTGCAGTGCCAATACTCTAGCCCAGAGCACTCCACCTTAACCAAGTAGAGGCCTTCAGCAGTTGATGATGGGTATGTGTTAGGCATCCCCACGACTACTCCCCAGGCTCAATGATTCACCTGGAAGACTCGCCCGTCTCAGCATATAGTTGTATCATGGCTACAATGTATTACAAGAAAGCAAAATGCAAAATCGGCCAACGGAAAAGGGTATGGGATGAAGTCTGGAAGAAACTAGACACAAGCTTCCATGGGTCCTCTCCAAGTGGGGTCACATTTAATGCTGCCAACAACCAGTTGTGACAATAAACATGAAATGTCTTAAGTTATTGCACGCAGGCTTACTATGTTAACTCTTTCCTGTACGGGGTCACAAATGGATTCCTGGAACGTGAGTTCTAATAATGCTATTGATTTAAATGCCCTAGCTAATTCCCAGAGGTAAACTGTCATAAATAGGAATTTGAGGGACTTAGTGCAGGTTGGGTATGTGAAATATACATGCAATTTGTTCTAATCTGTCAGTTAATTTCAGAGAATAACACAACATAAAACAAATCCATTATGTGTGTGATAAGAAATATAATTACCTATTTCTATCTGGCTGCAATTATGTCAATAAAAAAGAAGTATACTGCCCCCTGCCCCATAAGATCTCAATTCAGTAGGACTGTCTTCAACTGAGACATAGGATCAACCAAAAACACTGTCTTGTACACACATACCAAAAAATCTTAGAGAAAAATACTCTATCAGGCAATAAGAAGTAAACCTACTGTTGCTTTCCCCACTGTTCTCAGCATATCCCTAATTGGTACTACCAAAAAAAATAAATTATCTGCAATCCCAGGACTAAAACCTTTCCAAGCATCATTCAAACTAGGATAGTGTTTGTTCTTTCATTTCCTTCATTTGATCATGCTTTCAGAAACAATGCTTATCTTAAGGTCTCCTGAAATACGCCTTTTGGAAATTTACTGCAAAGTTATGATGGAAATTGAGTTGTTTTCATATGTGTGTTTAGAACTGTCTAAATGTAACAAAGTCGAGTTTGAGACTTCTAACTCACAAATAGAAGATTTTGCAATGTAATGCACAATTTTCTTAACCTCAGAGATATGGCCTTGGCTTGATGGGGTAAAAGATCACATGAGGTTACTGGATGCATTTCTTGGCCTGTCAGGAGTTCATTTCAGTTCTTTGCTAGTGAGGTTTAGCATTGTGTGTGATGTTAGTCCTCATGAAAATGAGAGATGAGCCAAGTACTCTTTGCAACCTGGAATTGTTCAGCTTCACCAGAGTACTTAGCCAATGCAAGTTCTTCCCACTGTGCAATCTAGGGCTATTCTGATGACTGGTTCTACATTCAGAAGTCAGACTGCACTTGTACCTAAAAAGTAGTAGTACAGAAACTAAGTCTTTATGGTTTCAAGATAGGTGACATTTGCCTCTAACGTATTCATTACACAAGGACTAAAAGGCAAGGAACAACCATTAGAGAAAAGGCATGCAAATAAAAGAATTGATACTAATATTTGTCCCTTATCTTTCATTTTCAGCTGGGAAAGTACAAGTAAAGAGCAATCTAAAAGCTTTTTTTTTTTTTGCAAAGGACACTTAAAAACCTTGACTAAAATATTTAGTTTTTAATAAGTGATATAATTTCATAACCACAGATTCTAACGCTGATAAACTTATTCACTGCATTCCCTTGCTCAAGCAAGCCACCCACTAGAAAACAAGGAAGAAAAAAAAAAAATCGAACAGCCTCTGCACCATCTGATTTACCACGGGTTCTAAAAATTTATATGCAAGAACATACAAAGAAGGCTGAAAAAAGTACTCACATAGCCATGGCCATGCATTATTAATTTCAATTTCAACAGATATGAATTATGCTTCATTTGCTCAAAGTAAATGTCAGTACAACCACATTTTTTCTCAAAGGGAATCTTGATCATTGAAATTACACAAGCAGTATACTTACAACAAAGGCAGCTCTCTTAGACTAGCACTTTGACAAATCAGGGATACTTCTCCATCCAATCCCTATCTTGTGAGATCCCACACATCTGGGAACAGGGCTGTAATTTATCCACATGCAGTCAGCACATTTTAAAAACTCAGGTTGGCTTCCAAGACTGAACTCTCCAGAAAAGAATATAAATCTTGTTAACCTTAACTAGATTTAAGATGGTGTATCCCCACTGTAAACCTAGGTACAGAACAATTTTTAAACACTGGTGTGAAGGCCAAAATTTTTTTTGGAATAATTCTCATGAGCAAGAGAGAAGAAATCAAAAATGACTTCAGGCATTTCAACGAGCTATAATCATCGAGGCTAGAAAAGAAGATATTCTGGTAAATTACCAAATTAAAGAAGAAATAAATTTAGTGACAACACTGCTTACAAGCAACACTCACAATAAGGTGAGACTCAAGGACACTTAGGTGTGTTGTTTGAGCCGCTGAAAGACCCATGTACCTCTACACAGGTGGGGGAAAGATGGCCCCTGTAAAGGGGACATGCTCAAACCTTCAGTTACCTTTTCTGTTAAAAGTTCCACAAAAAGGCAATATCCTGACCACTGTCCAGGAATCATCATACATCTGCTGTGAAGAAGGGCCTTTCATCTGTGCTGGCCAGCCACATGGGCTCAGGCCAGACTCAATTAAGAAATGGGGGCAAGGGAGTGGGATAAAAGGAGGGAGGGCAAGATCCCTTCTCAATTTCTTGCTGAATATCCAGAATTATTTACTATCAACTCCTCCCCTGCTACCACCCCCACCATCCAACTGGAAAAACTGAGTTTATTTTACATTAAATAATCATACATATACACTGAATAATGCAACTTTCACTTAACTATCGATTTATTTCATTTCATTTCATTTCATTTCATTTCATTTCATTTCATTTCATTTCATTTTATTTTATTTTTTGAGACGGAGTCTCGCTCTGTTGCCCAGGCTGGAGTACAGTAGCATGATCTCAGCTCACCACAACCTCCGCCTCCTGGGTTCAAGCGATTCTCCCACCTCAGCCTTTCAAGTAGCTGGGACTACAGGCACATGCCACAACAGCCACCTAATTTTTTGTATTTCAGTAGAGACAGGGTTTCACCGTGTTAACCAGGATGGTCTAGATTTCCTGACCTCGTGATCCGCCCACCTCGGCCTCCCAAAGTGTTGGGATTACAGGCGTGAGCCACTGAGCCCAGCCAACTATCGAATTTCTTAAAGAAGAAATTTAAACATTGACACTAGCTAATGTTATTGCTAAAAATGTGGGCATACTGTCAAATAAAGTATACAGATTTCTAAGTTGGCTTTCTCTCTTTAAGAACCACCTGCCTTAGGAGGAGGGTAAAGGGAGATTAAATCTATTTGGCTGTAAAGTAAATAGGTACCAAATGAAGTTTGCTTTTCCTAAATATCCTTTTACTTCTACATGGAAATTAATATTCACAGAAAAGAAGGAAAAAGAAAATACTCCTTCTCTCCTTAACAATAATGGCTATTATCAACTGGTTGGCAACCTAAACTTCAGGTTATCGGGAGAGATTAAAACAGTTCACCAACAATGTGCACTGCCAGGGGTGCCACCCGCCACCTGCCACCACCACCACCACCACCACAGCTGTGACATGTGAGAAGCCCACTCCAGAAGGCCAATCTGATTTCCTCCTACGACAGGAGAGTGTGCCATAGTCAAGGAAGAGCAGACGTCCCTCTCTCTTGATTTCTCTATTCCCTTTTATACCAACACAAGTGGTGAAGTCAAATGTGGGTAGCCTATTATTGGCTTCATGCCCATTAAGTAAGTAAACAACAAAGTAATAAAGACTTGGAATCAACTGGAGATACAGAATGACAGACTATGGCAATCTGTCTTGAAATCTAAAAACTTCCCTATCTTTACTGACAGTATTAACAAAAATAGTTGTTTTTCCCTGATCTAACTACAAATCTTATTGTAACAGGTTCCTCTACTTTCCTTTAGAGAATGAACAGGGTAGAATTACAAATGCTAGAAATTGGGAATAAAGTTTAAATGAATCTGATCTTGGAAGGATGTTCCCAGAATTAGGATGAAATTCAATAGCAGTAAAAACTCTCAGAATTGAAAAAAAATCCAAGCAAATACATGATAAAGGGAAAAGGAAAAATGCAGAAGACTATGTACACATCACAGATGACCACAGATCAAAAACAGGACTAGCAGTGCAATGCTGTATCAAGAAAAATGAAACAAACATGAACTGGTACTGGTAGAGAAAGTTATTGAGTGCCCTTTGCACTAAAATTGCTGTAATTGTTGGGATAATTTATTTAGACAAAAAGACAAAGATTTCTAGAGTCACACGAATGTCAGGGAGGAAAGACAGAATTATCTACTCTGACTTCATCAAGGCACACATCAAGTGCTGGGTTTCATTACAGGTAATTTTTAAAAGATGAGAACAATCAGGATATTAAGGAACAAGATTTCATTCCTGCTTTATGAGAAATGATGGCAAGAACTCACGATGGTTCATAAAAGGAAGAAAGCCATCCCCAAGGGTGTCATGAGGCCAACTTCAATTACTGGGAGAAACAAATGTGTTCCAGTGGGTTCCAGTCTCTCCGTGTTCCCCAGGAATAGAATCTGAAGCTAGTTACAGGACAGATTTCAGCTCAATGAAAGATTTCTAATAAACAGATGACTGAAGATGGAATTAATTGGGGGATAATGTTCTCATCACTGAATTTAGAGGGGAACAGACTTAACGACAAATTGGGGATGTCACAGACGCCACTCAAGTATGGGGTGCATGCTTGGACTTTAAAGCACATTCTTAACTGAGATTCTATAATTATAACTCTCTATGAAAGACTTCACATGTGTTAATTACAGTCATCAAGACTCATAAAGCACACTTCCTGGAAAGACGGCAGCCCTCTAAAAACAGCAACTTCCTTTCTATCCCTCAAGATGAACAAGAAGAAAAAAAATGTAGAAAGAAAAACCTTATCTACATTAATAATAGCAACGGACCTATCAACCAGAAGTAATACAAATGGACCAAACAGAAGCGGCTGAGTCTACACACAGCTCTTCTGCTTGTAAAAACAGTACAATGTTGAGGGAAATAAGTGACAAAGGTTCTCAAAGACTCCCTTATGTCCCCCAACTTCAAGGAACATGTAATGTCTAATTAGAACTCACATTCCTACCTATTCTAGCCATGAAGGGGCTAAAGAGGAACAACATAGCCAACAGATCTGTTTTCCCCTCTGACTTGACATATTTACTGGAAAAGTTGAGGGCTAAAAGCAAGACTACTTTGCAAAGTGGTCTAGAAACGCAGAGAAAAAGACCCTATAGATGCACAGCAAGAAAATCCCAAAAACAGCAAGGCTCCATTCTGAATGACTTCTCATCAAAGTGGCTGGCTCACTCAAAAGAGAAGGACAAACAGAATCAGTTGTGAGATGAAGCAAAGTTCATAGTAGCCACTGCCAGAGAGCACTCCCTACCACTCTACTCAGACAACTGAACAGCTAAAAATAGAATATATACCATCATCTTCCAGTCCTCCAGCTCAAGTGCTAAGGGAAAGATACAAACAGACCCAAGACAAATAGGGAAGGAAGTCAATGAGATTCCACCCACCCTATTTTTGGACAAATACAAGGGCCAGACAAAATTTGGAACATTCCTAAGCACAAATGAAGACAAGGCAAAGGACATGCAAAAGAAAAATGAAGAGAATGCTTTGAAAGGTTTACTCTAGAAAACAGAAGAAAAAAATGGACTATAATTGCTTTGCACTATATCAAGAAAATGTAACAAAATGTGCATTGTTGAAATAGGACATTCTAAAAAATAAGGTGAAACAAAAATTGTCAGAACTAAGAAAGGAAATAAGGAGAAAAAACAATAATACTGCAGAACTTAAAAATGAATCTGAAGCATCAAAGAGATAGCAGGTACTTCATTCATTTAACACCTACTTACTGGCACTTGACATTGATATTCAAAACAGTGCCAAATCAGCATTGCAGACAAGAGATTTGGGCAAACCACACAAATAATGGAGAGATACAGCAATTAGAGGGAAGCTAACAGCTTTGGCAGAGAAACAACAAAAATTCAATTATGAATGATTGGTGTACCTAAAGAAGAAAAACAATTCCTGTGGAATATTAAAAAAAATTCAATGATAAAATAGGCAAGATCCTTGAAATGAAAGAATATTATAGAGATGGAGTGGGTTCAGTGCTTCAAGATAAATAACAAAAATTATAAAACACTGAAGCATAACCTGGATACGTTGTTAAGCTTTCATGTTATAGAAACAAATAACCAAATTTTTAAAAAAGCAAATCACAAAGAAAAAATATTCAGGCTGGCCACAGACTTATCAAATCTATCTGCTGGGAAACAATGGAGAAAAATCTACTACGTGGCAAGCAAGGTAGGTAAAAAAGAGGTCTAATCCAAGAATTCTATACCCATGCAAGTTGTTATTAATATGTGCATGCCACAGAAAGGCATTTTCTTTTTTTTTTTTTTTTTGAGACGGAGTCTCACCTTGTCACCCAGGCTGGAGTGCAATGGCACAATCTCAGCTCACTGCAACCTCCACCTCCCAGGTTCAAGTGACTCTCCTGCCTTAGCCTTGCAAGTAGCTGGGATTACAGGTGCGCGCCATACAGATAGAGTTTCACCATGTTGGCCAGGTTGGTCTCGAACTCCTGACCTTGTAATCCACCCGCCTTGGCCTCCCAAAGTGCTGGGATTACAGGTGTAAACCACCTCACCTGGCCTCGGAAAGGCATTTTCAAATACCCAAGAATTCAGGAAATATATCACCCATGGACCCATCATTTAAAAACCTATCTGAAGGTATAATCTAGCCAACTCATAGATAAAAATAAATAAAAGCATATAATTAAATTGAGAGAAGAAATATTTGGTGATAAGCATTTAAACACAGAACTAATGCTAAATATGCATCTTAATTGCAGACACAAATATATATATACATATATGTACACAATTTCTCAAGGAAAACAGAATAAGTGATAAATGACAATATACTTAAATGAGGTTCCTTAGGTTTAATTATAATGATTCCCTGTGATCATCCCTGATATTCAATATGAAATCAAAGGGCTAAGAGTTTTAGAAAGTGTGAAAATAAATAAACTCTAGGTATGAAATTTGAGAAACTACTACAGAATCACTTTCAAAACATTAAAGATCACATTGGCTGCAAGATCAAATATTAACTTGATGCTAGCAGAGATGGACAAAAGACAGTGAAGAAAGGGGGCGTAAGTGGAAAGAAGAGTAAACTACTTCAGGATTAAGAGGGCAGAAATAGGTGAATTGCTAGGAATCCGTAATCAGGAGGAAGAACAGAATAAAGGAAATGTAAGTTAGAGCAATGAACGTGGCAGTGATCTGAACACCATAAACACCTCTCCTTCCATCTGACACAAATACCCATATTATATTGAAATTAAGGTAATTTCAATTTTATGCTTAGCCTTTTAATAACCATCAATAAATCCTAGACTTCAGAAAGATGCCCTTAGCCATTGACAATTTTATGTTTTTCTTACAAGACTTTTTTTTTTTTTATTATACTTTAAGTTTTAGGGTACATGTGCACAACATGCAGGTTAGTTCCATATGTATACATGTACCGTGTTGGTGTGCTGCACCCATTAACTCGTTATTTAACATTAGGTATATCTCCTAATGCTATCCCTCCCCGCTCCCCCCACCCCACAACAGGCCCCGGTTTGTGATGTTCCCCTTCCTGCGTCCATGTGTTCTCATTTCTAACAAGACTTTTATCATTTTATATATCCAATGTTGCCTCTGAGAAGACTATTAAGAAAATAAATATATAAAATAAAATGTGTTGATGTTATTACTAACCACGAAGACTTAGAGAACCATTCTAAGTCTGGTATTGCTAATTTGTCTATAACAGACAGGAACAAAAAAGTTAATACACGCAAATAAAATACCACAAAAAGCAGAAAATGGAGTAATCAGAGGTTGGCAAATACCTGCCAGAATGCCAAATCCTGCTTCTGTTTGTTTTTGTAAATAAAATTGTATTTGAACATAGCCATACTCATTTATTAACAAACTGTTTGTGGCAGAGTTGAGTAGTTCTAATAGAAGCCATATAGCCCAAAAGCCAAAAATGTTTACTATCTAACCCTTAAAGTTTGCTGATGATCCTTGGTATAGGTGAAAAAAATTTCCCTCCCATGCAGGGGAGGGACATATAATACCATTTGATCTCTGAAGATGATAAACTGAGAAACATAAATTGAATATGACTACTAAAAGTTATATAGGCTACCAACAGTAAAATTAAAAGCAGAGTACATACCTTTCAAATTATCAGTGTGGAAAGCACAACAAACCCAATACAAATTCCAAAGGAGTGAGAAAGAGAAAAGGAAATAATGGAGGAGGAATAGGGGTAGCTGCAAGAAATCAAGAAAGAATCAGAAAACAGAAATCAGACGCCAATACACCCTAACATTATTCATCATACATCAAGTGTAACAAGAACAAACTCAACTATTTTAAGAAAAGATTCACTCAGGCTGAGGTTTAAAAAAACAAAAACTTTAGGCCAGGCGTGGTGGCTCACTCCTGTAATCCCAACATTTTGGCAGGCCTAGACGGGCAGATCACGAGACCAGCCCGACCAACATGGTGAAACCCCCCTACTAAAAATACAAAAATTAGCTGGGTGTGGTGGTGCATGCCTATAATCCCAGCTACTTAGGAGGCTGAGGCAGGAGAATTGCTTGAACCCGGGAAGCAGAGGTTGCTGTGAGCCGAGATAGCGCCACTGCACTCCAGCCTGGGTGACAGAGCCAAACTCCGTCTCAAAACAAAACAAAACAAACTTGTGAGGGTAGCTAAAACAAAGAATAGTTGAAAATAAATGAGAGACATACATCAAGTAAATGTAAACAACAGAACAATATTAATAACGATGCTGAGTTCAAGATATAATAGCATTAACTTACATAAAAGGTAATGCGGTAATGACAAAATTTTAATTCTCATCGACGTTTTTTAGGTACCTCATAAAAGAGTACAGTCCTACACCACATTAACAATGTTTCAGTCAACAACAGACCACGTAAATAACTGTGGTCCCACAAGATTATAATGGAGCTGAAAAATTCCTATCGCCTACTGACATCGTAGTTATCATAATGCAACACATTAGTCACATGTTTGTGGTAATACTTGTGTAACAAACCTACCAAGCTGCCAGTTGTACAAAAGTGTACAGTCATGTCCTAGACCCTCACATTCACTCACCACTCACTGACACCCAGAGCAATTTCCAGCCTGCAAGCTCCATTTATGGTAAGTGCGCTCTATGTGTATCATATTTTATCTTTTATTACTGAACCTTTTCTATGTTAAGATATGTTTGGATACACAAATACTTACCACTGTGCTACAAAAGCCCGCAGCGTTCAGTACAATAACATGCTTTACAGGTTTGCAGCCTGGGAACAATAGGCTTTACCACATAGCCTATATGTGTGTTGTAGGCTATACAATCTAGATTTGTGTAAGTACACTCTACAAGGCTCACACAATAACAACATCATCTGGCCACAAATTTCTCAGAAGGTATCCCCATTGTTAAGCAACACATAACTGTACTTACATAGAGCAAAATTTCTGGAATAGGAGAAATTGCCACAAACACCAGAGTCATGGAAGACTTCTGCAAAATTCTCAGTACTTGGCAGATTCACACACAATATAAGGAAGCAGATTAGCAGCAAATATCAGTCATAAAATTAAATAATACACATATATTTATGGTTTTAAGACAAACACACATATGCATTTTATGTACCCATAAAACAAAAATTGACTATATATATTAGACTACAATAAATTCCAAAAAGTAGAAACAGTACAGACCACATTCTATCAAAATGACCTCAGAATAAATAACTAAGGTTGAAAAAAAACTACAACCACTTGAAAAATTTAAACTATATTAAACAATCTTGGTTCAAAAACAAAAATAAAAATTGTAATTTTAGAATATCTGTAAAAGGATAAGAATGCTACATAGGGACATGTAATAAAATGCAAAGCCTTAAACACTACTAATTCAAATTGAGAAAATATTTTTTAAAATAATCTAAGAATTCTGATTCAAGAAAAAGTAAAAAATAAACTTAGAAAAATTCCAAGAAAAAAGTAATAAAGATAAGAAAAATTAACAAGAATGTCAAGACAACTCAATGAGAAAAGAATACGTTTTTTTCAACAAATGGTGCTGGGACAACTGGATATTCACACGCAAAGGATTATGTTGAAACCCCACATCACACCACATACAAAAATCAACTCAAAGTGTAAGACCTAAAACTACAAAACTCTTAGTAGAAAAGAGACGTAAATTTTTGTGACCTTGGATTTTTCCAATGGTTTCTTCCATATGAGACCAAAAAGCAGAAGCAATTCTTATAGATAAACTGGACTTCATCACCATTTAAAACTGTTGCGCTTCAGAACAATTCTGCATATAGCCAAACCTATCATTTAATCTTATCAGTTCTGTTCTTTTCCCCCTTGGAGACATTTGTCCTAGGGCACTCCATCTTTCCATAAAGAAAACCATCAAAGTTTTAGAAATATATAAATTAGGCCAGGCACAGTGGCCCACACCTGTAATCCCAGCACTTTGGGAGGCCAAGGTGGGCGGATCACGAGGCCAGGAGATCGAGACCATCCTGGCTAACACAGTGAAGCCCTGTCTCTACTAAAAATACAAAAAATTAGCCAGGCGTCCCAGCTACTGTAGTCCCAGCTACTCGGGAGGGCTGAGGCAGGAGAACTGATTGAACCCGGGAGGCGGAGGTTGCAGTGAGCCAAGATCACGCCACTGCACTCCGGCCTGGGCGACAGAGCAAGACTCTGTCTCAAAAAAAAAAAAAGAAATACAGAAATAAAGTGAAAGCTAAAAGTGATAGAAAATCTAATTCAAATGATAAGTTCAGGCATCTGTTAATTATTTTTGTAGGCATGTTTTGTAATTTTGTTAGTATATTTTGTAAGCAGTTTAGAAAATAAAAACTGTAAAATGAATACTGATTCAATAAAATGCAAATAAACACAACAAAGACATGTCTTTTTTTTAACCCATTAAATAGACATAATCCAAGGACAGCTAAAACTGTTATGTGTTGTGTTACGTTACGTTATGTTATGTTATGTTATGTTATGGACCAAAACGGCTGATAATCAAACTCTAAAAAATGTGCATGAAAAGAATCATACAGCGTGCAAAAATACCCAACAATGTTCACTGTAGCACTGATTATAACATTTTCTTAATAGAATCAAAGTAAATATTCATTAAAAGGTATCAGGTATAAATGGTACTGTGCTGATATTTAACAATTAGTTCTTCCAGAGATGGGAGTAAGACCTAATCTGTATCTGCCAATTTCTGTGGTGTAAACCCTAGCAACATGTCTGATTTCAAGCTACCAAAGTTCGGTCACTAAATGTAAAGTTGAGACAAAAAAATGATCAAAACTGGCTTTCGTGAGCAGGTACAAACTAGCTGCATCACAGCACTGTATGATTCAAAATGCACGGAGGAAACACTAAACAGCCATAAATATGTTCCAAAAGATTTATATTAACATGGCAAGACATCCTACATATTACTGAATGAAAAAAATCCAATTACACATAGAACAGCTTATGCTGTGTCATCTGTGACACTGAAACTTGTATGTACATTTCACCTTCATTTTGAAAGAAAAAGAACCATACATCAGAGATGTATAACACACTACATTCAATCTAGTTTTGTCCATAACAATGGCAGTAAATCTAGCTTTCATGGAATATCTAAAGCAGATCATGATTTTTATTTTAAAACAGAATAGCAAAAGATCAACAGTTTTGGCTTGATAGTAATTAAAAACTTCTGTATCAAATAATACAAAACAAAAGGAAAACAACAGACTGGGGTTAAGTTTTTGGCAATAAAAATGACAAAAGGCTAATTTCATTTGTAGGTTTGGAGTTCAAAAATAGGCAAAGGAAATGAAGAAACAATTCACAAAAGAAGCAATTCAACTAGAAACAAACATGGGGAAATGATCATTCTCACTAATGATCAATGCAAAGTTTAGAATTATGTACCATTTTTGCCTCCTAACTTACTGATATTCTAATAATATTGTTCATGATGCTGGAAACTGTATACAATCGTTTCAGAATATGTTTTGGGTGTGTATAACCAAGGTTGTAAAATTTTTCATATCCTCAGACCTAGAAATAACATTTCCATGAATCTATTCTAACAAAATTATGTGTGTGCATGTTTTAAAAAGCTATCTCCACCAAGAACTTCATCACAGCATTATTTTTAAAATGAAATCATTGGGAGAAACCTAAATGTACAAAAAAAAAAGAGTAAACAAGTAAACAATATACATCCTCTCAAAAGAATCTTATACAGTCTTTTCAAATGTTAATATGAAGTCTACATAGCCACATAAAAAATGCTTACAACCTAATGTTAAGTTGTACAGTATGATCACATCTATGTAAAAAACATAAAAATAAAACAGACTATAAAGGAATGTGCAAAAAGAGCATGGTTCTTAGTTTAGACTGGTATATTTTTGATAAATTTATGAATATTTTAAAAAGTTTTATTAAATTTTGTGCAAAAAACTTGCATTATTTGTAAAATTTCAAAATCACTGAAAAACAGGCTATAAAAAATAATGTAATTAAATAACAGAATGTGGGTTGTCATTCTTTCAAAGACTAGCATGAAAACAACATAATGTATTTCTTAAGAATGTCAGAACATTAAGTGGAAGAAAATAAACATTTCTTCTCGACTCAAACTTGGACTGTCTATTAAGCACAATAGCTTTTCTCCTTACCAAACTTTTTTTTTTACTATTTTACAAACAACCAAACCACCAAATGACAGTATCTCAAGTGCTCTTATTTCATTCCAAAAAGAGAATAAAAGACAAGGTAAATTCAGGCCACAGCATACTGCTTAAGGATACATTATAGTATAAAACATAAAGAATATTTTTAATAGAAATCATTGTGTCAACCCACAAGTAAGGACTAGGCATGCACAACACATTAATTCTGAGATGGATACACTGTAATTTGAGTAGCAATTCATAGGTAGACTCCAGGGGTTTAGAAACATCCTCCCACCCGCTGCAGAAGAATCTGTTCTCATAACAAGCATGGCCTAGAGTAGAAAGCCCTACAAAAAATACGTTTCTCAAAGGACAGAGCTAGTGATTTTCATGAAAATATACTTTGAATCAGGATTTCCCTAAAGAAATATTGATGAAGTCCTGTAATTTCCTCCATTAAAATGCCACTCTTTACCAAGATGTATTGGATAAGGAAACACAAACTGTTTCTCTGAAAATGATAAAGCAATATACAGGTATTTTCTCCCATATAAGATGAGAAAATGCATGGGACTCATTACTACAAGAAGTGGTATGTGCCCAAAATTTGTAATCGTTTCTAACGTGATCTGGATAACATCTTAGATGGTAACCCATGGCAAAACAGGAGAAGGTAGAATGTTCAGAGGACACCCATTCGTTAGCTCTGAAAGACAGCAAGAACCTTCCACCTCCAGACTCCATGTCAGAGCCAAACTTGACTCCAATAGGAGATAGTGCTTGCCAATTCATTAATTCTTGGACCATTAGAATGTAATTGATAAATAAAAATATAAAGGTTCATTTCAAGTACCTTTTGTTTCTGCACTACTGAGTTTTTCTCTCAAATTATTAAAAATTATTCAAATTAACCAAAACATATGCAGCTTCATTTTGAATGTCGGTCATAATTAGAGACTTTAGGAACCTTTAGGCCAGGTGCGGTGGCTCAAGCCTATAATCCCAACACTTTGGGAGGCCAAGATGGGTGGATCACCTGAGGTCAGGAGTTTGAGAGGAGCCTGACCAACATGGTGAAACCCCGTCTCTACTGAAAACACAAAAAATTAGCCAGGCATGGTGGCAGGCGCCTGTAATCCCAGCTACTTGGGAGGCTGAGGAAGGAGAATCACTTGAACCTGGGAGGCAGAGGGTGCAGTGAGCTGAGATTGCGCCACTGCACTCCAGCCTGGGTGACAGAGTGAGACTCCATCTCAAAAAAAAAAAAAAAAAAAGAAAGAAAAGAGACTTTAGGAACCTTTAAAAATCCTAGGGAAAAAGTCTGCTCTTAGGCTTGGATGTAATGGCCCAGAACATGAAAAAGACACAAGAGAATACATCCAATTGATAGGTGCCTTTTCTCAGCTAAAAGGTGTTATTTCTACATTACATGCCTCCACTTTGCATGAATCTACCTGGCAAGAATATCTCATGCTATTGCTTATTTATTTATTGCCGTGGGAAACTGAGAGCCATTTTACTATAGGAGATGCAAGCCAAGCAAAAGCAGATTTCCTGAGCAAGGATGTCTCAAGAGACATCTCATAACACATCACAGGATTAGCAGAGTTCTCAAAACAGTAATAGATGCATTTCTATCACCTGAAACAGCTGACAGAAAAAAAAACATGGAGGAAACATGTTGCAAATTTTCTTTATACTCTGTCAAGGGTTTTTCTCGGGACACAGCTTCATGAGAGTTCTATGCTCACCTATTTAACCACCTCTGGGAACAAAAGGACAGGAATGAGTACATGCAACACAAACTACTCCCATTCCACCAAGGCGTCTACACTTACTTGCTCATCTCCCAACCCACCATCTGGGTGAGGAAGGGCACAGTGGATGTGACAATGAGGATGAAAACACGTGGTAGGATGGTGGAGGCGGCCAGAAGAGGCAGCATTGGTCTGGCTCTTCCTGATTGAGAACATCAATCCAAGGCATCAGGCACCTCTCCTTTGCTCTTCTCTCCTTCTCTCCAGAGCCCAGCAAAGACACAATGGCGCTACCCCTATTGGCAACAACACCCTCTGCCCTTCCAAGCCCCACGGGACTCCCTATTACTCTACTTTACCCTATGTCTGTTCTTTTCCCTGGCACTCATTCAACTGCAAATGTGAGGTCAAGGTAAGGAAGCCCAACGCTGATAAGTTGATGAGGAGAAGGCCCTGGGCCAGGAGTAAAGTGGGCCTAGGAATGCCAACTGCCTGCCTGGCACCTCCAGTGGAATTAAGCTTTTCTTACATTTCTCCAGAACTAGCATGAGAGTCCAGCTGCTCTTTCTTTGGCCACAGAGTCTTTGTCCAGAATGCAAACGAGGAACACAGGAAGCTGCTTTTTTTTTTTTTTTTTTTTTTGAGACAAGGTCTCACTCTGTTACCTAAGCTGGAGTGCAGTGGCACGATCACAACTCACTGCAGCCCTGACCACCCAGGCTCCTAAGTAACTGGGACCACAGGCATGGGCACCCACGCCCAGCTAATTTTTGTATTTTTGGTAGAGACCAGGTCTCACCATGTTGCCCAGGCTGGTCTCGAACTCTTGGGCTCAAGCAATCTGCCTGCCTTGGCTTCCCAAAGTGCTGGGATTACACGCGTGAACCACCACACCTGGCAAAGCTGATTTCTTAAGGTTTCTCTGATCATGGTCATACCAACTGAGAATGGCTCAGAGGCCACAGCATTAGATATATTTTAAGGCAAAAAATTATAAAAATCTTTTACTTCTTTGTATGCATGCTATAGATGTTTCTACCATTATCTGTTTTTCTGCTTTTAATGAAAGCCCCAAGAAAATAAAGGCACAGTGATGGAAAAAGAAATGAACACACAAAATCCATCCAATGTTTAATTCTAAATCTTTCCTGGAAAGCCCTAGAAAAGAGACCTGCTAGCTCCAAATATAAAGCAGCCCCCTAGATGTGCCCTGCTGGGCATTCCCAGTGCTCAGGCTCATTGGCCAGCCAGCTGTCACTGAAAATGGCAGAGATGGGCTTGGGCAACAAGATTATTTGCAGGCAAAGGGAAAGCAATGTTGTGTTTGGCTTCAGTCACACATACACTAAAGAGAAGCAACGCTTAAAGCCCAATGAAGAAAAAACAAACAAAAAGAAGTAGTAAGTCAAAGGAAGCTGCTTGAGGATACGGAAGAAAAGACCCAGTCCTGAGCCGAGCAGCGCTGGAACACTGCGTCTCTCGGGCTCCACCTCTGTGCCTCCCAGGATATCGCCCTTCCTGCAGGAAGCAAGAGACCCATGCTGATATGACAGGAGGTTTCTGATACCATTTCTTGTGAAGACATTGCAAACTATCAGCAGCATGCCAGGCGGCACCAGGGGAGCTCTGGACAGACTTGCTAAGGCTTCATTCACAGGCCCCCCTCAAAGTGCTCCCCACTGCAGGGCACTCAGAGTTATTACAGAGGTCAAAGAGAAGAGCCAGGCCAACCCGAAGGAGCCCACCAGACCTGGCAATGCCTCCTAGTAGAGCCCATCACTGCTGGAGACAGCAGCAAGCTTAGACCCTTCATCCAGGGGTGAGTTTGGGCAGAAAGTGGCCGAGACGCCAAAGCTGCAAAGGGGAAGGAGAAAAAAATTCAAAGTTCAAATGGTCCTTAGAGATCATCTGCTGCAATCTCCTCATTCTACAGGTTTTTATAGAAAAAGCAAATGATCAAAATACCCTGAGGTTAGTTATGTGGGAAAAAAAGATTCAGTAAGCAGGGCAGGAATACTTCACCCCACTTTCAGTCACAGATTTTAGAAAAGATATATGTAACGAATCCAAAATGCACAGCCATAAAAGGTGCTTATTTAGCCAAAAATAAAAAATAAAAAACTTTCACAAAATTAGTCTGCCATTGTTTTTAAATTATTACATGTCTTACCAATGCTCAAAAATATATCACAAGAGTTACAGAGACAAGAGAGTTAAACCTGGCAATCTTTTAAAGGCAAACTGAACAAAAATTAAAGTCATCTTGTATTATTAGAACAAGTCACAGGAAATGGGTCATCTCTCTAGGACAAGAGGAAAATTGCATTTGCCATCTGCAGAAAGAACGCATACTATAATGAAGGAGCTCTGCAAAGCGCAGGTCCTAAATATCAATTCACATGGCAAGAAAATACCAAAACAAACCCACCACAAAAATGTACTCAGGCTGATTGGGTATAACAAAAGTAAAGGCCACTGCTATTGCCATCACCCTTAACTATCTGTATGGAAATACAATCAGAAAAAGATGTTAAGGCTTGCAAGTCACTGAGAAGAGGGTTTTCAAATCATTAAGTGAGGAAGATGCCTACACATGCCTACAGCACCTTCTCCCCTTCCAGCATACGCACTGCATCCGATTCTGAAACCCACTGGTCCGTGATAGATTATCCAGCACTGGCTCACTAACTCTCTGCTGGTAATCATGAACCAATCTCAAGTCCCTGCCCTCTGGAAAAGGAAGGAGGATTTTACATTGTGTTCAGTAACAATTTATTTTTGCTTTACGGACCAGAGTAAGTATTGCAAAAGAAAGTTAATCATTGCCTAAACACACACTCACAAATTCCTTCCTTTGAATGTATTAAAGCACCCAACTTCCCCTCTCACCAGCTCACAGCCACATGATGTCTCACAGAAGCACCAACTTGGAAGTTCTCTAAATCGTATGCAAATGTGCAAGTCAGAGAATCTGAGGAACCTCTTTAGCATCTGTTTAAGAAAGATGTGATGAGGAATTAAATGGGTGGGTGGTATTCACATGAAAGGGATGGGTAGGGGGGCTACAGAAATCACTGGTAGACTGAAAAGGGACTGGGTAAATCACAGAAGCATTCCTCTTTAGAAGCAACTAGATGCCTGCAGTTACCAGTAAATACATGGTGGTAGAAGATCTCACCAATCACCCTGTTGCCCCTACAGTAAAAGAAAATGTAGGAAAGAAACAATAAAAATGAAAAAAATTTTTCAACATAAAAAAGAAACAAAAAAATTCTATTTCTATTTTTTAGCAAGTGATGCTGATTAAAAAAAAAATTCTTGGAAAGCACAATTAATTCATGATTTTAGTTTTCCAAAGGGAAAAAAAATGAGGCTATCTCCTAGAAATATATGTAACTATGTGTCTAAACATCACTGTTCGCTTCCGGTAACAGAGCCAAAAAGTCTGGCTAGATCTCTTTTTCTTTAATTTGTGGGTCAATTATGTGTGTATAAACACACACATATTGTATATGTGTGTATATACACACACACACACTATAATGGCATTAGTAACATTTTCGTTCCCAACTGCACCACAATCCATTACTTGAAAACAACTATTTTATTTCTAAAGCAGACATATTGTTCACAATCCATGATTAATCCTGTAATAAAGGTGCACAGATTGTCAGATTTCAAAGAACTTGTGTGTGTAACAGCTTTCCATTGGAACAGCTGGATCAATTGCTATTGGCTTTTAACTGGAAACAATATGAGAATGTTCAACCGAAACATTGTCCCAAGAGAACAAATGAGAGGAAGGCAAGAAGGCAAAAACTGTTCCATCTTTAAAACGGAATTCCTTTCACTGTGCGCCCGGTGGCCCACAAAACAGCAAAGAGGAGTGGAAAATGGAGGACATATGGATGATGCCTATTAGAAGAAAGCAGGGAATTTAAATTCACTTCTTCCGATTACCCTCCATTCTTTTTGGAATCCAGCTTTCCACACACATCCCTAGTTACTGATAATAGAATCATCAGGAATTGCGATAAAGATACAAGAGCAAGGATCTTTGCCTTCACGGAGCTTCCAATCCACTTAGAAACACAAGGTAAAATCATCCGCATTCCCCAGTCCTGTGATCCCCAGGAAGCTCCTACAATGGCCTTCAGATTATTTTGTCTCTTTCTGTGTATGAAAACCCAATAGAAAAGCCAAAGCCAGGAAGGATAAAGTCAGAAGGGCATGTCAGTACGAGGACATCAGCTACAATACAAGAACTATGCAAAGTGCTTAGTCTTTCCTGTCGGCAAATAAGACATAAGGAGCATCTCACACAGCACATTATTTGGCACATAGTAGGTGCTCATATTTGTTCATTTGACTAGCATTCTGCATGAAACTGTTCCTTCTTAAGTTATGCCTGGTTAAAAAAAAAAATTAGAGGAAATATTTTTTAATAACTGACAAGTATATGTTGAAAAAATGGATTTGAGATATCTTCATAATTTGATTTTTAAGTAATACTAATTTTGTTCTTTAAAATTAACCATAAAGGCTTTTAACAAAATATTCTGCACTGATTATGGCTATGTATAAAGGTTAACAACAGAGCTGTATAGTTAATCCAATTTGGGATTCTCGGCACTGCAACATGGACATTTATTTTTGTTTTTAAAGCCCAAATTCATGACCACCTAGGATGTGTTAACTCATTTCATCAGTATGCCTAGGTCCTTTTACTACATGTTAGATGAGAAATCAGACAGATTTTTACATATCGGTAATGTAACAAATCAAAGGTGATTGTTGAACAACTTCCTATAATTTTATTTTTTACATATCGGTAATGTAACAAATCAAAGGTGATTGTTGAACAACTTCCTATAATTTTATCAGTAACAGCTATTCACACAAAATAGTGTTTGGGTCTGAGAGCAGCTCTTTCTTTAATGTTACTCCATTCGGCAGAACAAGAGTAAACGTTCACGGTTTACTGTAGTCAGTTATTGCCACAGATTTAATTACCAACAATCGCACATTTTACCTTCTATTGCTATTTCACACTTCACTAGGATTAAGTCTGCAGAGATCTTAACATAACTTAAAAGGCATTACAAAAGTTTTCCTTTGAAAAATGTGACTGCCTCCCGTTCCAACCAGGAAATTTGACTTTAAAATTTGTTGCTTCACAAACTTGTATTTTCCTCAACCCAATACAGAGGAAACAGATTCCCTCCACCTTCTGAGGGAGAAAGCAATCCTAACCTCCTTATAAAATGGCTTCTGTCTCTTCCAAGATGTACCCTTTGAGCTCCCTATTTTCCCTCTACAACATCCAATCAACATTTCTACTAATATTAACAGAATATTAGTAGAATAACTCCCCTTAAAGAAAAATTAATATGAATGCTGGAATCAAAACCTTCCTTAGAGAATCTTGTTAATTTCTTTTCAAGTGTAAGTGTGCCTGGATCATAAAGAAAAATCTGTTCCTTTTTTCTGCTAAGTTTAGCATAGCACGCAGCCTCACAACTGCAAAGGCTGTTTCAGGTCCTAAAAAATTCATGGGTAATAAAAATCGTAACTGTTTTTAATAGGCACTTCTGAAAACTGAACATAAGCCATTTCTCCTAAAGTAGAGCTGAGATGGTTTTCTTTTTTAATGAAAAAGATTCTATCAAATTTATTTATATTAAAATGGCTACTAAATTAGTCTTCTGGTTCTCCTTTCTAAACTTACTTTAGAATATGTGAATAGATAAACCTGCAATATTTTCACTGTTCAGCAGGGTTTTAATTTGTGTCAGATTTGCCATATGAAGAAATAGCATATAGGGGTAAGGATGGGACATTATATGGAGATCCAGACGATGAATCTACGTAGTTCAATGCAAAAAACTTATTCCGAAGGCTTTGTTATACAGTCAGAGCCACAGTTTTGATTTTTATGAGGGATGTTCCCACTTTGTTCTTCTGATATAAACTATAAGTACTTTGTTTCAACAACAACAAAAAAGGGAACTGTATCCAAATAAATCCTGACATTCAGAAACATATTCAACACTTGGAAGCTAAAAGAGTAGCAAAAAATAAAACCTGTTGGTCCTTAAAGCAGTCTCATAAACACCATATTTTGCTATTTTTAGGGAGCTGCTGTTATTGAGGTTACTTAGACCAAGGCTTTCACTCAATGGTTCTGAGTCACCATCCTAGATGGCACTGACCTCTAGGTTAATTCAGGCAATCAACATACCCACTCCAGTGAACCCTACTGAGGAGCAGTGGGAAGCGTGCTCTTTTCCAGATGTGTAGAAATTAACTTCCCATACAGCTTAAATTGGCTACAGCACTTCCAGCCTTCCAAGCCCCTTCTTGGTCTAAAACTGTATAGCTTTCAGTACAAATGCATATCCTTCATATTAAAAATGTTCTAACTGCAATTCCTGAAATTCTGTATTTAATTATGGTGGTTTTCCTCACGTTATTGTATAAGTCAATCACAAACACCCATTTAGTCATCACCTGTGCTCTACAGAGTATTAAAAATTCACTGAGCCCTGTACCATGGAGAAAAATGTATGGTAAAAAGATGAGAGGGTTAAACTAGCCTCTACACAATAAAAAGTAATAAAAATATAGAATGGTTTTTCTTTTCTTTAAACTTTCATACTTTAAGCATGACTGTTACCATTCTCAAATACATCCAGTACAGAACTGTAATACACTGGTTCAATGTGTGATGCAACATCTTACATTAACACTTCCTATCCTGGAATGCATTTATAATCAGTTGGCTCAAAGAGTTACACACAATTTTTTTAAGATCCTGATTTTATCTGCCACAGATAAAAACATTATATATTCCTATGTTTCTATACATTTATTCATTATTGTCTGGTCTAATTTCCAGCAGGAGGGTAATAAATAAATTCATTTACTCAGCCAATATTTATTGAGAGCATTCTACGAGTTAGATACTGTGCTTGAAGCTGGGATTTAATAGTGAGCAAAACAGACACAACCTCTACTCTCATATGTTTGCAGTGTACAACAGGAAGAAAATCTGTGCTCATATATAAAATTCATTTCAGAAGACCAAGACCATTTAAGGTCTTCCATTTAAGACTGGCCTGTCGCGACCAGCCTGACTAACATGTTGAAACCCCAGCTCTACTAAATGCAAAAAAAATAGCCGGGCGTGGTGGTGCATGCCTGTAATCCAAGCTACCTGGGAGGCTGAGACAGGAGAATCGCTTGTACCTGGGAGGCGGAGGTTGCAGTGAAGTGAGGTCGCGCCATTGCACTCCAGCTTGGGCAACAAGAGCAAAACTCCATCTCAAAAAAAAAAAAAAAAAGACTGGCCTAAACTTTGCCTGTTTCAATAGCGATAATTCAATCAATTAAAGGGGTTTACTAAGTCTTCCTATTTGATAATTAAGATCTAAAGAGTAAAAGACTTCAAAAACGTGTAAAATAAGAACAGGTTAACAGGAAAAAAATGTTTCTTCTAGGAACTGAAAAAAATTTCAGGATAACTATATGTAACATGAAGCAGGCACTCAAGGCCACTTGTATTACACAGACTTACAAATTATATTAAATGAGGTTATCTATGTACCACCAACAGAAATATTTAGTGAATATTCATGAAAATTAATCAATTAAAGAAAATATGTGCTTTATACCTACAAAATATATAAAAACATTAACCAAGTTAAAATGAAGTATGCTCTTGTATATCTACATAGAATACAAAGAGTAAGTTTTGAGTGTCAAACACTAACATAAATGAATTCAAAGAATGAATAAGTTAAAAGACAACAAGAAAATAATTCAAAATTTAATGTAATATTCTTATAGTGGTAGATTTCAGGGTTCACGTTTCTAAAGTTAAAATAAAAATATATAATATATAAGCATACGGAATAAATTTGGAAGACTGGCATAGTTGCCGAATATAAATCAACATAGCCCAAATTTTACTGCCATACTTTCATCTAGTCAGGTACCCACTAATTGTCTTTTTAAATGTCTCCATATTATTAATACACAAAAGTAAATAATTACATGAGCAAATGCAAGGGTACCCACTTTTATCCCTGTCAAACAAATCCTCTTCCATTAAAATGGTATCAAGCCTTGAACTAAAATTTACTTTGAAAACAATTTTACATTGATTTTCATTTCAAAATACTTATTCCTCCATAAACTAGTTAAAAATATTAGTAGATCTTTAAACTGTGAATGGATACATCTTATAATCTCCTCTAGATAGGTTTGTTTAAATGATAGAAGGAACCAGAACATTCAGTGTACTCATCAAAGCAGCGAATCAGGAATTCCTCAAATGAAATCCCTCCCTAATATCTTCCTTGTTGAAATCAACCGTCCTGGATTCAAAAACTCCTGAAATCACACTCATACACATACACGCACGCACAAATCCACATTTAGCGTATATTACTACAGAAATAGTGTAAGTATTGTAGTATTCATGTTGCAAAAGCAATATACCAAGAACATGAAGCAGTAGCAATTCTTGCATGATGTTCCGCTAATAAGAGGAAAAAAAAGTTCTCCACACTACCACCACTTTAGCAGTAAAATTGGTTTACACTTTTTCTCAGAAAATTATCTCCAAGTTCATTTTTAAAAGCACAGTGTTATTTAAATACACAGTATGGAATTAAGCATCCATGTAAGTGTATTTCCCTTAGACATTCAAACCTAGGCCCACTGAGAAACTCCCTGGGCTTTAACTCTTAGCTGCTGGGAAACTCAGAGCTGTCACTTTTCAGGCAAATAGGGTTGGCTGGAGAGACCTCAACTGCCCAGTTCACAATTAAACAGAAACAAAGACTGTCAACAGGGCAATAAAATAAAAAAAAAACACAATTCTTAAAACAAGTCTCTCTAAAATACGTGCGTTTCCCCTTAATTATACACTTAAAACACTCTTATTTCTTTTGTTCTTTATTTTCTTCTCAACCTTGAGAACTCAGAAAACATTCAACTGCCTGTTTTCAGCCACTAGAAGTAGCTCAAAATGAGAATTAAAAAAAAAAAAATCTTTACTTTCCAATTGCAGTTTGCCTCCTCCCTGGCTTCATTCCCCTAAGCCCAACTCTTTCATCCAGTGCTTTTGCCTTCTGCTTTTTATAAACATGTGCACATTTATCTAATTGAGTTTCAAAATGAAGACATAAAGAAAGCATGTCATGGGAATTAACTATTAGTAACTATGTGTGTGATCAGTATATTTTGTTCCTGCTTGTAAATGATCCAGTACATAAGCAGTTCATTCCCAAAGGCAATTGGTTCCTTGAGCCAGCAAATGGAATGCTCAAGATAAGAAAGAAAATGCATGCTTCTCACAAACACCAACTAACAGTACAATATTCTTTTCTTACAGAAATGTTTGAGAAACACATTTATTATACATGCAAATACCCAGAACACAAGTGCAGACATTTTTCAGGCCCGTTACTGCAAAGCTGTTTGCTCTTCCTGCCACAGTAGCTCAGGGTTCTGTCACTGTGGCTTGTATATGAACCCTGATCGCTTGATTCTGAACATCCTCCCAGAGATAATCATCAATAAATTTCTATTTGAGAAATGGCATTTTCTTGCTAACTTAGTGTTGAAGCAGAATTTTTTTTTCAAGACTAGAGGGAAATTTTTCCTGTATGCTTCCCGTTTTTCCTTCTCGCCCAGATTCCAAAGACATTAAAATGCTATCTGTTTTAAACAAAAGGTTTCTATTTGTTGCCAAGAGAGTAACTGAGAGACTGCACTGGTTTTCGGTAGTAACTATTGTGAACTGAGGCCTACATCTAGGTTGCCTCATTAAACAAAAGATACCGGTCGCTGTCAACAACCACACAGCACAACGCTCCCCTACCCTCATCTTTATCTAGAAGGAATGGTGCAGACGAGAATAACGCCTGTCACCATCCACTGGCCAACTCTTCTAGGCTCCCTCCTTTCGATGGTCTGGTGGCTAGAGAACAGCACTTGTGTGACACATTTGGGCTTGCCCTCCCGCCTCGCCCCCAGTACACAGACCCTTTCCTTGGAGGGCCAACCACTTGGCTTCCTCACCATGAGTGCTCCGGGAATCCAGCTGCGAGTCTGCCCACCGTTCCCCCATTCCCTCCTGACCCCATAGGGCACTGATAATGGATGCACACCGGCCACTCCACCGCAGGCCATCCCCCAACGTGCCCCGGCTCCGCTCGCCACCCGCTGGGCCACACACACGGCTCCCCACGCCACCACCCCATGGGGTGCCGCGGCCACGACACTGGAAGTTCAACCCCTCTGCCCACCTTTCCACCCCCGCGCCTCTGGTCGGAGTGATCTGCCATTTAGCAGATGCACAGCAGATAAGGTACAGCCCTCAGGGACACGAAAAGGAACAAGCCAAGGCACCGGGCAGGGCAGCCCCGACCCCTGTGCTGCGTGTGTGTGTCGCTGTGTGTGTGTGTGTGTGTGTGTGTGTGTGTGTCTGTGTGTAACGCGCCCGCGCGCCCGCGCGGGTGAAGGCAGTGGCCGGGGGCGCGCCCGGGAGGGTAGGGGCGAACCGCGGGCGCCGGGGGGCGGGGGCGCCGAAGGCAGCTGCCCCGCAGGGCCAAGGATGGTGGGCTGGGGGCGCAGAGGCCCGGCGGGGCCCCGGACGGTACTCACCGAGCAGCAGCAGCTTGAGCTCCCGGCGGGCGTCCCGCTTGTCCCTGCGGAGCTGCCGCTCGATCTCGTCGTTGATCCGCCGGGCTTCCTTGGCCTCCTCGCTCAGGCAGCACGCCATGATGGACTCCAGAGTCATTCTTCCAAAGTGCCTCCGCTGCAGCCCCGCCGGCACCCCCTGCTCACAGCGCGCACACACACCCTCCCGCCCTCGCTCCCCCGAGGCAGCGGTGGCCGCCGAGCCCCCGCCGCCCGGGCGCGCGTCCGGGACGAGCTCCGGGAACCGCCGCGGGGGCGGCGGCCAGGGCCGGGGCCACCAGGTGGGCCGGGGGCGCGGTGGGAGCGGATAGTCTGGGCCGACGGGAGAAGAGAGGCGGGCGCGGGAGGCGGGCGCTGGCTCGGGGGGCGCGTGAGAGAAGGCCGCCGCGCCCGGCCTCGCTCAGACGCCCGCGCCTCCTTCCCCGGGAACAGGCGGCCCGCCTCGCCCCCCGAGCCGCCGCCGCCGCCGCCGCCTGCGAGGCTCCCCTACGCCGTGCGCCTGGCGGCGAGAGCTCATTCACCGGGGTGTCCCCGCAGCGAGCGGCCGCCGACGGCTCCCCGCGCCCGGCGCGCCCGCTCCTCGCCGCCGCCTGACACGGCTCCCGGGCGCCCTCGGCCCTGTCCGCGCCCACCGCCCGGCTCGCGCGCAGACCCGGTTCCCGTCCCGCCCGGCAACCGCGCGCTCCTCCGCCTCCGCCTCCGCCCCCGCCCCCGCCAGACGCCCACCCCCTGCCCCGATTGCCAGGCGCGGAGCGGCTGCTCAGTGCGAGCCCTCCCCCTCGCCACACACACACATTTTCTTCTTTCTCTGAACTGGAGCACAGATCCGGGAGGGAGGAGGCGGCGGCGAAAGGAGGAGGAGGAAGAGGCGGAGGGGATGGGCGCGGGAGGAGGGAGCCGGGAGGCGGTGCCGCCCGGCCCCTCCTGGAAGGCTTTCCTGGGCTCGCGGCCGCCGCGGCGCGCCTCCCAGTGCGGCTCTCGCCTCGCCCGCGCGGCTCCCGGGCTGGGCCGGCCCCCGCGGGCTCTGCGGACGCCTACTGCTCCCGCACCCTCGGCAGAGTCCGCGGGCGCAGCAGTCACGGCCGCCCCCGGCCGAAGTCGGGGCCAGACCCGGCCGCCGACGCGCAGCCCGAGCCGGCGGCCGCCGTTGCGTGCCAGGGCCGCAGCCGACCTGCGGCTGCCGTCCGGCCGGGCGTGGTGAGACAGGAATATGGCGGCCTCTGCCTGCCTCAGCCCACCGGCCCGGGAGCGCGGCCGCGGCCCCTGCTGAAGTCGCGGGAGGCGGCCCCGCGGAGCCCCGCACGCGCTCCCTGCGGCGCCGGCGCTGGCGTCCGCCGCTCCCGGGCTGTGCCTGTCTGCTCCACGGGGTCGCTCCTCAGCCGTTTCTGTGTTTCCCGTTCCTATTTCTAAAACGCCATTCGGTTAGAAACTCTCACGTCACCTCTGACACCGGTGCAGTCTTAGAAAATAAGCTCCTCTATACTGTGTGGGGCTACTGGGGAAGGGAAGGGAAGGAATTGGCACCGGTGCCCAGAGGTGTAGGGGGAGATTCACAGGCGAAGCTGTTCGCAAAGTAACGTGAGATAGAAATCTAAATCCTGAACAGAGAAAGGAAGCTGCCCAAGTTTCCAAGAGCCTCCCGATAGGTTCCAACTTTTCATGCCTTTGTTTTTTTGGTGGTTGTTGGTTGTTTTTGTTTTTTTAAGTTGTTTTTGTTTTTGTTTTACAAGTTCTCTTGTTTCTGAGAAGGCACACGATGTTTAGCCGCCGAGTAATCGAATTTACTCTTCTAGACTGAGATTGAATTATGGATGACTTATGGGAAAATGTAAAATAATGTGGAATAAAAGGAAAGGAAAGAATGAAATAGAAGAGAAACTAAGGAGGCCCCAGCAAAACGGCATTCTAGTTTTTTTGATTTGCAATATGTGATTGAGGCAGTAAACTGTCGTATGCACATTTCATTGTGATCGTCTACTGATAAATAGCACACGAAAATAATCTTGTTTAATCAGGCCCAGGAGATGAAACTCATATTGCTTCCTGCCTTAAAGGAACCTGAGGTCTTCAAAGAAAATTGTCTTTTATGAAGAGAACCGCTTTTTCACGTTTCATGTGTTCTCTGAAGTGTCCCTGGTGCAACCTGCTGATCCAGAGTGTAAGGTACGGTCATGACTCTGCTTTTGCTACAGATCAAGAACTCATATAGGGTTCTTAGACAACAGGTGTGTAACTTCCTTCTTTCTTTCATTTGCCATTACTCCACCGTTTCACACACATACACACACTCTAAACCACGATTTAAATCAAGCAAGTCAAGATATAAAATATATATTTTAGGTTCTCTGTTTAAAACCTAGAAAATAATTAAATTTCACCTTGCCCTGGAGAGCAGAGAGGGCAAACCTCAACCCTTTTATGTGAATGCCTACAGAGAACAGCTAGACTTGCTATGAAATTAAAATTTAAAATCAAGTGACTAAAGAAATTAAAGATTGAAATTCAGTATGCAAAAATAGAAAGTGGCTTCAGAAGAAAAAATTTTAAGTTTGCATCCTCCGAATATATGTATGTATATGAGCTTTGGAGAGACACAGAACACTGGAAAACCAAATGACAGAAAGCTTGAAGTCTCTGGTTACCTACCCAGGGATCCTCTGAGACTTTTAAAAATGTCTTTTAAAATGAGCCATCAGGCTATCAGGTAATATGTTTTGACTGAATTGTCCTATTATTTGATGAATTCATCTGTTTCAGCGGGCTATAGAGTCAGAGTCTGTTTTGTCCCCCCTGTATCCCCCCAACATCATGAACACTCCCTGGCAACTTAGATACTTAAATGGATGCAATGAATCAATAGGAGAATGTTTCAAGTATTGGGGAGAAACCAGGAAGTAAGAAAAACCAACACTCTACAGTGATAAAGCCATATATGGGTGTCAAGAAGGAAACAGGAAAAGAAATTCCAAGTCTGAGCCCAGATCTATCCAAAAACCTTTTCATATTATCTGGAGAGCGTTTGCCAAGCAAATATTCCTAGAGACTAAGTCAAACAAATAGAACCCATGCAGAAACAACTGATAGTTGACCATGTTCTACAAGCACATACTCTAAAACATGCAACTAAACAGGGATTATGTTACAAAATCCCAGTTCATTCAGTCAACAAGCATTTATTCATTGCCTACTATGTGTAAATAACAGGTGAAGGTACAGGATAAGAGAGATACTAAAATGAATAAAATACAGTCCTTACCCTCCATAGGCTTATAGTCTTATAATGAGGCTCTAAGCAGCTATAATACAAGACTAAAATCAATTTGTATAAAATTTGGGGTGGAAGTAACAACATAAAGGTATAAAAAGGAAGGGGAGAACTGGAAAAGATACGGCAGGAAAAGGGGCATTGACATGCATGTTAAAGAATGAAAAGGTTTTCAATAAATAGGTACCTACATCACCTCAAAGTAAATGAGCAATTCCAAGTCACCCCACACAGAGAGTAAGATGATAAACCATTTTGAGAATTCAAGGACAATTACTAATGAGCTGAAAAGCAAATTGCAATACCCAAGGAAAATTGAACTTCAGAGAAAAATAGGAAGACTGTCACCTTTTCTATGGTATCCTGAGATGGATCTCCAACCCCACAATCATATCACCCTGTCCTTTGGGGACTGGCAAAGAAAAACAGTAAAAGGCATAGTTTAGTCTTAAGGAGTGGTTCTGCAGTCAAAGAATGAAAAGGCCATGCTCTTCTAAAAGGATCTCCTGGGGAAGGAAAGGCCCATAGAGGTCATCAGACACAGGCAATATACAGTACCTCTCTTATTCCCAGTCACTTAGCATGGCTGCTTCATATGCACCATACTACTGTCATTCTCTGTGTTCTCTTTCTCTCTGCCCCCTTCCCCTCTGAATTAGGAGCTTCTTGAGAGCGGGGACCATGTTTTTCATAACTGTTTTCAAGGCACCAGAAAGAGAGCCTAGCCTAGAACAGCTACTCAGTAAATAATGAATAAACAAAAGAATGCTACCACCTACATCATCAACAAACACACACTTACAGACTGCCTGTCCCAGGCAGTGTATTATGCCAGATGCCTGAGGCATACAAAGCCCTTAAAGGCTTCATAATCTATTTGGTGAGACAGGCCATGTGTTTCAAAGAATAAACAATACAAAATGAGAAACACTCGTTGCTAACATACAGTATGGAAAATGGATTGCTAACAAAGTTCAAGAGAAGCAGTTCCCTAAGCTGCCATTCAAATTAACCCAGAGTATGAGGAAGCACACGCTGGTCACCCAGAAGACCTTTTAGAAATCAGCCTGAAGAGCATCGCAGATCCTACAAGAGCTGGGAAAGAGATGTCTGGCCAAGTAATAAAGTGGACTTGCTCGTGGGGAAGAAAAAGAAGCCGACCTAGTGAGACGCTGAGAGCTGCAAATGGCGCCACCTACAGGAACATTCTTATAACAGCAGAAAAACTGAGATTCTTAATTGGAACTGTCCTGTTGAAAGAAGAGCAGGGCCAACATGTTGAAGATGAAAAACTAGGCACGAAGCACATCTTCTAAAAGAGAAAATACCCACATTACAAATCATATAGCAGATATTCTAGAATCTAAATGAAGCATAGTACCTCAGTGACATCTTTCCTTTACCAAGCTCAAAAAACGTACCCGGGTAATACTCTGATTCCAATCAAATGTATCTATCTTGTGCTTATCCAGGGTTAGCAATATCAAGGGAAGTACTGTACTTTACAGTTTGAAGGCCACCAAAGTCCCGGTAGACTGGAAGACTCTAAAAGGCTTGTCAGATGGGAGCTCATTTTAAGCTGAGTAGAATAGTGTTTCAGCCAGAGAAGCTAATGTTTGATGAATGAATAAGCAAATGAACCCATTACGTTCATTTCCTTTTGATGATTTCTCATGTAAAGCTCAATAAGGCTGAGATTTTTGTCTGTTTTGTTCACTCCTGAATCCAGCATCTAGAACAATGCCAGGAGTATAATAGATGTTTAATAAACATTTGTTAAATGAATGAAAATTAGATCTTCCAGTGAAAGAAGCCACATGTTGACCACATGACAGTCTCTCTCTCTCTCTTTTTTTTTTTTCCTTAGCCAGATTGTGTGCACCAAAGCTTGGCTCCCTCTGTAAAATGTTCTTCCACCCTGTGCTTCAAAATCTTGCCTCCAATGCGTTCACCAAGGAAAATTAGCCATCACTAGAGTATTCAGAAAGTTGGGAAGCAGTATTTTTGTTCAAAACCCAGATGGAAGCCTATATTAATTCCACCTAAATCAACTTTATAGGAGAGTTGATATTCCTATTACCAATTCATTTCAGACCACATGCAGGTTATACATTGAAGATCTTGACAAGATATATAGTCAGAGTTGTTAATTGCTCAGTGTGTGATAAGTTAACGAAACACAGCACTTGCTGATGGAAAACACGTAAGTAATTAAAGTGCCTGTTCTGCCTTCTCAATGATTGAAATGGTCTTCATATGAATTTTTTCAATTTGTTATCCTTGTAAATTTTTCAACCTCCCATTCTGAATTTTATCAAGATGTTAAAAAAGGTAATCGCTTTTAACTTTAAGATAAATATGAAATATCCTCTCCTAACCACAAATTTAGATATTAAAGTGTTCTTTATTGCTTTATTTTTTCTCTTGTCCTTTTCTATCTCTTAGGCCTACCAAAATCTATTTGAGCCACAAAATTTCCAAATACTTCTTCCAAACTTGTTAATGTTTTCCAGCTTTCCATTCTTATACAAATTCCTAAGCATCGGATTTGAGATGAGTGCATTGGACAATATGGA
Source organism: Homo sapiens (assembly GCF_000001405.40). Classification (NCBI taxonomy): domain Eukaryota; kingdom Metazoa; phylum Chordata; class Mammalia; order Primates; family Hominidae; genus Homo; species Homo sapiens. The sequence continues at coordinate 78,036,977 of NC_000009.12, forward strand.
ATAGGGCCTGGAAGAAGATGAGATGAGTGAGGATTTTTTTTTTTTTTGGCTTAGGCTTTGTCTGTTATGGCACAGAACTGTTAGTGATCTTGTCTCTATTTAAAATGCTGGGCTGGGCATGGTGGCTCACGCCTGTAATGCGAGCATGTTGGGAGGCTGAGGTGGGTGGATCACGTGAGCCTAAGAGTTCAAGACCAGCCTGGGCAACGTAGTGAAACCCTGTCTCTACAGAAAATTTAAAAATTAGCCAGGTGTAGTGGCACATGTGTGTAGTCCCAGCTACTCTGGAGCCTCAGGCAGTAGGATTGCTTGAGCCTAGGAAGCAGAGATTGCAGAGAGCCGAGATCGTGCCTCCAGCCTGGGCAGGTAGAGACCCTGTCTCAAAAAAATAAATAAATAAAATGTTGATTATTTGTTCATCACGGGGTTTTTGCATTACTATAGATTTTTAAAGTATTGCATTAAAATATTACCTATCCTGATTACTGAGATTTTTGATGCCACTTAAATTTTGCACCCAAGGCAAATACCTCACCCAGTCCCAGCTCTGGTATAGAAGTCATGCATGAATAGGCCTACAAACTGGAGAACTTCTCACTCTAGGGAAGGAATGAGCAGTGGGGGGTTATTTATTCTTTACAGCTTAAAAATATATATTATTGCTGCCTGTGGAACTAGAGCAAAAGAACTGGGTTGAAAAGCCATTGGTTGTCCAAATGAAAGCAGTAGAAGTTTCCACAGTCTCTCTAACACTCAAAAGAAAATGATGAGAAAAATATAGAAAGCATTACATTTAGGCTCACTATTTGGCTTACATTAAGAAGCAAAGATCTTAGACTAAAGAGACGTCAGAGGCTATGTGATTTGGGAATTTTTTAAATCTGGCAATCATTTATTAAAAATAAAGCCTACTGAAAAGCCAGTCTATAAAAGGGTAAAGGTGACATGGAATCCCCATGTCTTTCCTCTTTCCTCTTCTCTGAGGCCATTTTCAAAACCTCTGCACTAATCCGGCTGCCACAGAAGATCACACTTAGAGGGTCTATAAATTGATATAGGCCATGCAGCCAAGAAGTGGCAGAGGCTAGGTGTGGTGGCTCACACTGTAATCTCAGCACTTTGGGAGGCTGAGGTGGGAGGATCCCTTGAGCCCAGGAGTTTGAGATCAGCCTGGGAAACATAGACCTCATCCCTACAAAAAAAAAAAAAAAATTAAATCAGCCAGGCATGGCAGCGTGTGCCTATAGTCCCAACTCCCCAGGAGGCTGAGGGGAGAGGATTGCTTGAACTTGAGAGGTCAAGGCTGCAGGGAGCTGAGATCACACCACCACACTCCAGCCTGGATGACAGAGTGAGACCTAGTCTCGAAAAAAATAAAAATAAAAAGAAGTGCCAGACGTTGGACTAGGACATGGGTTATCTCACTCTGAATTTTCTTTTCCTGATGCCCCTTCCTTGGTCTCCAGCTTTCCCGACCTCCACATTTGTATTCATCTTTTTGAAAAGATCAATGTTCACTTAACCTTTTACCTATTCTCAGGAAGTCCGTAACTTACTGATAATAAATTACACTGCCCTTGTAGGAGCATTTGCAATTTCAATCAAATCAAGGCCCCAGATTAAAACAATGGTTCTGACCCCTGGCTGCACATTAGCATCACCTGGGGAGCCTTTAAACCATACTGGATGCCAGATTCTTACCCCAGATACTTGGATTTAATTGGTCTGGGGTAGAGCTTGGTATGTTTTTAGTATTTTTTTATGCCTCCAGGTATTCCAGTATGCAAGCAAGATTAAGAACAACTGAGTTACAGCAATAAAACTAATTACATGTGCACGCCTCAGCCAGGAAGCGGATGATGTAGCCATAATTACACATTCAGACAGGGAAGTAAAGGCAGTCCCATTTAGGACTAGGCCAGTACTAGGCTCAGTGCTCACTGGAACCAAGCTTGCTCCCCTTCCCCACCTGCTGTCCCATTAGACCTTGAGACATTTTTTATGTGCTTTCCCCCTCTGCATTATTTTCTTCCATTTTTTTTCAATTTTACACAAGAAGTAAGTCTCCCTCCCACCCCCAACCCACCTCTCACTTCCCCAGAGGCAGCCAGTGTGACTAGTTTCTTTGGCAGACTTCCAGAAATTCCTGTGCATAGATAGATATAACTATATCTTTTAGTTACAGAAATCGTTGCATACTATACAACCTATTCTGTAATTTACTGTTCCTACTCACAATGTATCAGAGATGGGTCCATATCATATACATTCTTTTTGATACTACGTAGTATTCTATTACAGATTCCCCACAATTTCTTAACCAGTCCATGGTTAATAATAATAATAATAAGTATTATTAAGATAAGATCTTGCTCTTTTTCCTAGGCTGGAGTGCAGTGGTGCAATTGTAGCTCACTGTAGCCTCCAAACCCCTGGGCTCAAGCCTCAAACTTCTGGGCCCAACCAGTCCATTATTGATAGATATTTGTTTCAAGTATTATGGTACTTTTATAGTAAATATTTATGCATTTAGTCCTTTGTTCTTCCCATGATTTTTTTTTATTTATTAAATATGCTTCCAAGATTATTTTAGTGCCTGCTTGGTGTTCCATTGTTTGAATTTATAATAATCTGTTCAAACAATACTGTATTGCTAGACATTTATGTTGTTTCCAATTCTTTTTCATTATGAATGATGCTGCAATGAACAATACTTGTATATCAATCTGTGTGTATCTTCATGTCCCTAGAATGAATTCCACAGAGTAGAATTATTGGGCCAAAGAACATGCACTTTTTTAAGGCTTTTGGTATATAATGCCAGTTGTTCTCCAGAAAGTTGGTAGCAATTTATACCCACCAGCAACATATAAAAGCTCTCATTCCCCCATCTTTGCTAAAATACAAGTACTGATTGTAAAATTATGAATGGGTTTGTGTCAAAATGCTTGTGATTTTTTTCTAACTAATTTTGGGAGGTTTTTCCGTCATTATAAACTACTCTGCGGCTTTAATAATTTCAGAGACTTTAATAAATCTATGTGTCTATCTACAAATCATTGTGACCAGGATTTTATTATAACTAAATAGTAAACCATATGTCTAAAGCTGAGTTTTTAAAAGCTGGAAGTCTAAAGCACGAGCTGCTCTTTATTTTGGGGAGTTCTAATAAAACCCATAATTCAGTGAAAAGTCTGCTTGACAGTACAATCCAAAATATTCCAGGCTTTCTTTTAACACAAATCCACCAGACCCTATAGTTTAGGAAAACCTTGAGCTTGTTCTGCAGGCATTTCCAAAACTTTATTCTGCAGATGCCCCATATACCCTTTTAACTCTTTGCATCTAAGAGTGTAGCTTGCCCAAAGCAAATAAAAATTCTACTGGCTAAACCTTCCCTTTCATTCATTCACAGGCAATTCAAGAAAAGTGCTCAGCTTCATGAAGATTAAACCTCAATGGTGACATCTTGCAGAGATCAAGAAAAGGATGTTACCAATTACTTGGGGGAAAAATTGCTCCCCAGGAAGATATAGAGTCCTCTTTAATATCTATCTTATTATTGTCACAGGTTACATGCTGTGCATTTGCTACTACTGTACTTGTAGGGGAAATCTTCAAATATGGTACATTTGAATTAATTTTAAAAACTAGGAGCTGGATTAAGTAAGAGTAAAGCAATTTCCTGGGAACTCTTTCTGACCGTTCACTGTTCAAGTCTTCTAAAAGTCATCACACACCATTTCTTCTGGACATTTTGTCCTGCCAAGTGATGAATATCTGAAGATTTGGAACCACTCAAATGCACCTAAATTATGATTAGAATTTACCTGAAGTACATGTCTTGCAAGATTTTTTAGTAGGGCCTGTCTGAAGAATTTCGAGGCATGTGGTGGAATGTCAATGAGATGGCAGATTGCTCAGATGCCTGTTGTTAGCTTTGAAATGCCATCTAAGCCATGTCATTGTGCCAAAGGTATTTATTTCAGTGTACATCTTTCTGCAGGGATGGGTGCAAGGCTGCCAATTCCACTAACTGCAATTCCAGGACTACAGATTCTAAACTTCTTCAAGGCAGGAGTAGAAAAAGAAAGGTTATCTGAGGATTCCAGGATCATTCTCTTCTCTTCATGAGAAATACCTCAATGTCGGGTTGATCTGCAGGAGGTTGGTGCCCTGACTATATAGAAGGCTGAATATTGGTAAAATGGAAATAACTTGTGTCTCCCCAGTGCAGCATATTCAAATGATTTAATGTTATTTATTCTCAGGCCACATTTGTCAACTTAGACTAAAATAGACATTTCTTTGCAAAGGAACCTCAACCTCTTTGACCTATGGGATTACTAGGACCCCGTAGACTTAGTATCAAGATAATGGGAGAGAGTTCAACAGGAGTCAGGGATCATGCTAGTTTGCCCACTGAGGCGTAACAAGATAGATCCTGCTGTAGATTCTGCCCATGGCAGTTCAGTATTACACAGTGTGTAAGAATTACAACCATATGAGCTTACAGCTCAAATAACCCCATTCATTCTTTTTATTATGCATGTATAAAGTCATTTTATTCATATATATACTCACCCATTTTATAACAGGTCAGAACATAGAGGAAGAAGTCTGTGATTGGAAGGACTCAAATAGTATCAAGAAAGTTGAGCATGGCCGGGCGTGGTGGCTCACGCCTGTAATCGCAGCACTTTGGGAGTCCAAGGCGGGCGGATCACGAGGTCAGGAGATCGAGACCATCCTGGTTAACACAGTGAAGCCCCATCTCTACTAAAAATACAAAAAATTAACCAGACATGGTGGCAGGCACCTGCTGTCCCAGCTACTCAGGAGACTGAGGCAGGAGAATGGCGTGAACCTGGGAGGCAGAGCTTGCAGTGAGCTGAGATTGTGCCACGGCACTCCAGCCTGGGCAACAGAGCGAGACTCTGTCTCAGAAAAAAAAAAAAGAAAAGGTTGGCCACAAGACAAAAAGGTTGGAACCTGGCTCTATTTCCTGGGACAAGCCAAATTCCCTAGGAGATTAAGTTCAAGGCAGGTTAGCAGAATAGAACTCACAGGTAGGGGCCAAATCTGGTGTACTACCTCAGAGCTGAGATACATCACAATGAATCTGATGCTGATCCCCAGAAAATAGGGCTAGAGTCAGCCAGTCCTGAATTGGTCATGGGAGCTGGAGACGGGCCATACCTGCACTGGGCACCAAATGGCCCCATGTGCTATTTGGAGGAAGCTGGCAGAAGGATCTGTGCTTGACAATTCTTTTCTTCCCTTTGCAAGCACGGTCAGCTTAGTAATTACCAGTTCTGGATTGACTTAAAACAAGTTTCCAAAGACTTTAGATTTGTTCAATATTAAACATTTATAATTTTTTTTTTGAGACAAAATCTCACTCTGTTGCCCAGGCTGGTGTGCAGTGGTGCGATCTCGGCTCATGGCAGCCTCCAGCTCCTGGGTTCAAGGGATTCAGGATTCTCCTGCCTCAGCCTCCTGAGTAGCTGGGACTACAGGCATGCGCGACTGTGCCCGGCTAATTTTTGTATTTTTAGTAGAGACAGGGCTTCACCATGTTGGCCAGGCTGGTCTCGAACTCCTGACCTCAAGTGATCCACCCGCCTCTGACTCCCAAAGTGCTGGGATAACAGTCATAAGCCACCGTGCCTGGTCCTCACCTTTTGTTTATTCTCCAAATAAAGACTTTTCTGAACTAAAAAATACCAAACCCAAATGGATATATTGTTCCAAAGCTTTACTCATAAGTGAGTTTTTTTAAAAAAACCGTGAAGTTTCAAAAGTATTGATATTGCTTCCAGGATATAAAATGCAACCCCAGAAAAACATTCCTGGAACTCTCCATATTTTATTCTGTATGATAATTGTTAGTATGTAATAATTTTTAAAATTTTTCTTGTGAAAAGTGGAGCAAGACAAAAAAAAAAAAAAAAAGGAAAGGAACCTGTTAGAAAATCTGATGATACTCGATTGTAAAGGAAAGGCAGACGGGGAATAAGTCTCAGCATAATAGTGGAGACCATATCCAAAGTAAATACCATATTTCTTATCATATTGCATAACAGGATTTTCTGATTAGAAATGGCACATGCTAATTACACAAACTTTGGGAAATATGGAAGTATTAAGGAGGAAATAAAATACACTGAAGACCATCATGGTCAGTATTTTGCTATATATATATATCACTTGTCTATCTTGTTCTATGCTTACAAAGTAAACATGAATTTTTAAAAATATAATTAAATACATATTTTGAATTTCTGCTCTTTTTACTCAGTAATCTAACATTTTTTTCTTATCTATCCATATTTTATAACATGATGTTATTTCATCATATGAGCATTTAATAACCTATATTTACCTTTCTCCCTTTGGTGCACATTGACTTATTCTTCTCACCTTTTTTTTTTTTTTTTTTTTTGAGATGGAGTTTCACTCTTGTTGCCCAGGCTGGAGTGCAACAGCGTGATCTTGGCTCACTTCAACCTCCTTCTCCCAGGTTCAAGCGATTCTCCTGCCTCAGCCTCCCGAGTAGCTGGGATTACAGGCATGCACCACCACGCCTGGCTAATTTTGTATTTTTAGTAGAGCCAGGGTTTCATCATGTTGGTCAGGCTGGTCTCAAACTCCCGACCTCAGGTGGTCCGCCTGCCTCGGCCTCCCAAAGTGCTGGGATGTGAGCCACCGTGCCCTTCCTCTTCTCACTATTATAAGTAGCACACACTATCATGAACATCCTTTGTTGTAAATCTTTTTTTTGAGACAGGGTCTTGCTTCCTCACACAGGCTGGAGTGCAGTGGCTCGATTACAGCTCAGTGCAGCCTTGGCCTCCCAGGCTCAGGCTACCCTCCCACCTCAGCCTCCAGAGTAGCTGGGACTGTATGTGTATGCCGTGCCCAGCTAGATTTTACTTTTAGTTTTTGTAGATGTGGAGTTTCACTGTGTTGTCCAGGGTGGCCTCAAACACCCAGGCTCAAGTCACCTTCTTGGCTCAACTTTCCAAAGTGTTGGTATTACAGGCGTGAGCCACTGCACCCAGCCCCTTGTCTTAAATCTTTGTGAGCATCCCCGAATTGATATTCCAGTCAGAACTGTAAAGAGTAGGATGGAGGATTCTCATCATAATATAGAATACTTTTATAGATTTATTTCAAAACTGGAAATTTACCAAAACAGAGGGCATAGTCCTGTTTCTTCATCTTAAACAAACTCCTTGATTCTTACCATCTGCCATGGCTTGCTGTGTTGGTCTTCATGTCTCATTCCTCCCACCTGGCCACTGCTGTGCTTATGGTGTTTACTCTGGAAGAAATGCCACCTGGTAGCACAGGGCAAACAGCAGAGGAAGCCAAGGCCCAGACCTACAACCACTGAAGGACACTAGGTGTGCACTGCAGGAGACGTTCCAGCTGCAGGACTGAGCATAAAGGCACAGCTGTGATCAGATTCAGCATCCCCCGGGCACAGCAGGAGCTGTGACCATACAGGGCTATGGGAGGGAACAGGAGCTTAATTAAGTAAAGGTAGCATTACTCTAGCAAAAGGAAGGAGCCGGCTGGGCGGAATCAAGAATGAGTACTCTGGAAGGAATAGGTAGACAGGAATTATACATAAGATCGTCCATAGGGTTAGCTGAGGCTAGAGTTCAGAAGCAGGGAGCCAGCCTGTACAAACGGGAAGTGGCTAGAGTTAGACATGGAAGCAAGGAAACAGGTTCAGGCCTGGGACCACTCTTACTGAATGAGAAAAAGTGCTGACTTGGGGCTCACATAAATGAAGAAATGACCTGGAGCACAAATCTCGGTTAGGGGGAGGCGTATCAGTTAGATTGGGCTAGGCTATGCTGCAGTAATAAATAATCCTGAAATCTAAATGTCTTACAACAAAATTGTACTTCTTCCTCCGCTGCCTGGCCACCGCATGTCACAGAAGGGCTCCAAACCACATTGTCCTCACCCTGGAATCCCAGGTTAATGATCTACATCATCTACAGTTGAGGCAGAGGGCAAAGAGGGGACTGGATAGTGCAGCGCCAACACTTAAATGCTCTAGTTGGAAGGGATGCATTCATTTTCACTCACATTTCCTTGGCCAAAGCAAGTCACATGGCCGTGCTTAACTTCAATGGACCATGTGACTGGAAATGGGAGAAATGAGAAATGGGAATTTCCATGAGCATTAGCAGTGGCTACCAGGTAATGACAAATGTTAAATTCTAAAGAGGAGATGCTGTAAAGGGGAGAAAATTCAAGGCATTTAACTATAGCTTACCTGGAGTCCAAACTTCTATTTCTCTGGAAATTCTGGTGGGGCTTAATTTTCAGCAGACTGGGAGTCCTGTTCCAACTGAGAGCTTGAGAAGGAGGAGCACGGACATGACAGGGCTGATTCTGTGGCATGATGTCATTACAGAAGCTCCACAGCAGTGGCACCTTGAGCTCATGACTGAATCCAAGGAATTCTAAGCGTGCCCTGGCTGTTAGGGTGGTCACCTTACCTCTTCTTCAAACTCGTACTTTTAGATACTTGTTGGCGAACTGACACTCCCCAAGCAGGGTCATTATAATTTAGCTCTCCTGGGGGTTAAAATCATTTGTGTGCATTCAAATACGTAATAATGTCAAACAGCTGAATGATATCAAAAGGCATGTTTATCTCAGATGAATTTGGGAAATTTAGTTTTAAGTAAGGTAAGTAAAAAGCCACCCTGTCAACTCTTCCTGGTGACAATGACAAAACCACAGACTCTTCATTTCTGGAGGGGCTTCTTGGGCACTTTATAATGCCCAAATATTTGTAGGGCATCTGCTGTGCTCCTGGGACTGTGCAGGGTGCAGCTCCTGACCTTCAGCAATTACGCAGTCATACCAGCAAAATGACAAGAGAAAGTAAGTGCTCACTTACCAAGGCATTTATTTTAAACATAGTTCAAATTTGGAGGATCTTAGGAAGTTTCAGAAAAATGCTGGTTTCACATTCCTGTTAACAAGAAAGAAGCTTGTGGCTTTTCTCTCCTTAATAAGCTTTTCTAAATGAAGAGATTTCTAACTTAAATGTAGTTCATCCAATCTAAAGAGAGGGGAGGGGAAGAATCAAGTAAATTCTGCAGAAATTATTTATTTTACTATAGCACCATGCAAATGTCATGTCAGTGCCAGCAGAAAGTATGAGCTATAAACATTCTCCAGCATGGGATGTATTTTGGCTAATTAACAGTATACAGTCTACAAGTCAAGCTTCTTAACTGATTTGCAAAAGGTTAGGGTTATGAAAACAGGCTTCATGGTCAACACTACACTTTTTTCTTGAATAGATTGTGGTGAACTGCTTGACCAGAGTCAAGTATGTGGTTCAGTTTCTGTCTGCATGGGATCATTTAATTAACTGTGAGCCAAGTAATAAGTGTTTGCATATTTTAACAAAGTGTGAGAAAATGAAGAGCCCTAGAAATGCACTTTGTTCTTTAAAATGTTTTATTCCCTTTCTTGCTCAGCTATAAGAACTGTTTATAAATTTTATCCTTTCAAAACAAGATGTATATGATATAAATGAAATATTTGACATTTATTAAAAATTTGAAGAAATACAAATGTATTTCCAGAAAAACTTTTGTGATGAATTTCTTGCAAATCTTAGGAAGTCTTTAAAAGGGAAGAAAATGCCTTCAGAGGCCTTTTTCTACTTGTCAACGGTCAATTGAGTTAATTTGACCAAAAGTAGAAAGTCTTATACTTTATAATTTACTTTGGTGACATTGTATCTTCATGTAACAAATATTGTTCATACTAGAAAAACAATTCTGGCATCATTTATTCTCAAGCAGGGACTGAAAATGATGATACAGCCATCTCATAGTAATTGTTGCAAAATTGGAGACAATGAAATCTTGTTTTATGTGTCACACCCGTATGCCCAATTCATTGAAAATGTAGTTGTAGTTAGGAGCATCAACAAGTTCAAAAGGCACTAACATTTTTCATGGCTCTGTACTTTAATGGCTCAGTGGTTTGTTGAAAAAGATACAGCTTAAAACATTGGAGATTTAAAAATATGGGCTAATTATAGCCAAGAAATTAAAAATTGAGTACATTTAACAGACTGATGCAGTAAGGCTTTCCTTAAAACTATGTTATTATTTAAAGGGGATAGTTCTTATTTTGCATATTCTCAGCTGAGGTTTTTAATTTCTTCCATGTTTTTGGTGCTTTTAGAAGATGATTATTTTAATTTTGATCTCTCGGTTCCTGGATATAATCTCCCGTCCTCCTATTCTCATCTTGCAAACTGTATCAATTCATATTCTTTGGTGGAGATTTATTTTTCGTTTTAAATTAATTGTCAAGCATTAGTGATAGTATGAAGAAATGGGCATGCTCTTGTCTTATAAATTGGCATTCCTTTTCTGGAGAGAAATTTGGCAACAGAAAAATAAAGCCTGAAAAATACACATATCCATTGACCTACCAGCGACATTTCTAGAAATTTATCTGAAGGATATAATCAGGATGTGAACAAATATTTATTTATGGAGTGTTTATCACAATTAAAACAGATTACACAAAATATGGAAACAACCCAGGAGTTAAATATTAGAGAACAGACTAAATACATTATACCATATCCATATGATGGAATATGAAGTAATTATCATGCCACATAAAAAATACCTAATGATAGTGGAAAAAGTAATATCAGATAAAATTCTTTGTTAAATAAAAAAGTAGGTGTCAAATGATGTGAAAGAATGATCCTAATTATGTTCTAAAAATTTGTATATACACATATACATAATAGGAGTACATACATGTGCTTAGATGGCTGTGCATCAAATATCAGCAGCTGTATTTCTCAGGAGGGGGATTGTGGGTAATTTTTACTTTATATTTTTTGCTCGTCTGTATTTTTATTTTCAAAATAAAACCATTTTACTTTTGAAATTTGAAAAATACCCCAATAATTTTTTTTTTTTTTGAGATGGAGTCCCACTCTGTCACCCAGGCTGGTGTGCAGTGGTGCGATCTAGGCTCACTGCAACCTCTGCCTCCTGGGTTCAAACAATTCTCCTGCCTCAGCCTCCCAAGTAGCTGGGATTACAGGCGCACGCCACCACACCCAGTTAATTTTTGTATTTTTAGTAGAGAAAGGATTTGGCCATGTTGGCCAGGCTGCTCTCGAACTCCTGACCTCAGGTGATCCACCCATCTCGGCCTCCCAAAGTGCTGGGATTACAGGCGTGAGCCACCGTGCCCACCCCCCCGAATAAATTTTTTAAAATATATTTGTCCAGGCATGGTGGCTCACGCCTGTAATCCCAGCACTTTGGGAGGCCAAGGCAGGCAGATCACGAGGTCAGGAGATTGAGACCATCCTGGCTAACATGGTGAAACCTATCTCTACTAAAAATACAAAAAATTAGCTGGGCATGGTGGCACGCGCCTGTAGTACCAGCTACTCAGGAGGCTGAGGCAGAGAATCGCTTGAACCCAGGAGGCAGAAGTTGCAGTGAGCCAAGATCGTGCCACTGCACTCCAGCCTGGGTGACAGAGCAAGACTCCGTCTGAAAAAAAAAAAAAAAAAAAAAAACAAACCCAAAAACATTTATTAGATGCACAACAAGGTGAATGCACTTAATGCTATAGAACTGTACATTTAAGAATGGTTAAAACGGTAACCATTCATATATATTTATCACAATAAAAAGACATTTATTAGAAAATCTAAGTGGCCTTATTGGGTTTGGTGATTATTTTTTAGATACAACACCAAAAGTGCGGTCCATAAAAGAAAAAATTGGACTTCACTAAAATTAAAAACTTCTCCTCTGAAGAAGACACTGTTGAGAGATGAAAGGACAAACCACAGGCCAGGCACAGTGGCTCACACCTGTAATCCCAGCACTTTGGGAGGCTGAGGAGGGTGGATCATCTGAGGTCGGGAGTTTGAGACCAGCCTGGCCAACATGGTGAAACCCCATCTCTACTAAAAATACAAAAAATTAGCCGGGCTTGGTGGTGTATATCTGTAATCCCAGCTACTTGGGAGGCTGAGACACGAGAATCACTTGAACCCAGGAGGCAGAGGTTGCATGAGCTGAGATCACGCCACTGCACCCCAGCCTGGGCGACAGGGCGAGACTTCGTCTCAAAAAGAGAGAGAGAAGAAGAAGAAGAAGAGAAGAGAAGAGAAGAGAAGAACCACAAATTGAGAGAAAACATTTACAAAACACATATCTGATAAAGGACTGGTATCCAAAAATATATAAAGAACTCTTAAGAATAAGCAAAAAGAGAACTCTGGGCAAAAGATCTGAACAGACACCTTACCAAAGAAGACATATAGATGCAAACAAGCATACGAAATGATGCTCCACATCCTATGTCATCAGAAAAACACAAAATAAAACAATGAGATGATACACACCTCTTAGAACAGCCAAAATCCAGAATGCTGACAATGCCAAATGCTGGCGAGGATGCGGAGTAATACAAACTCTAATTCATTGCTGGTGGGAACGCAAAATGGTCCAGTCACTTTGGAAGACATCTTGGCAGTTTCTTACAAAACTAACTCAAACTAACAATAGTCTTACTATATCCAGAAATTGCTCTCCTTGGTATTTATCCAAATGAGTTGAGAAGTTACGTACACACAAAAGCCGGCACATGACTGTTTATAGCAGCCTTGTTCATAATTGCCAGAACTGGGAAGTGAGCAAGATGTCCTTCAGCAGGTGAATGGATAAACAAACTCTGCTACCTCCAGACAATAGAATATTATTCAGCACTAAGAAGAAATGAGCTATGAAGCCATGAAAGACATGAAGGAAATTTAAATGCATATTGTTAAGTGAAAGAAGCCAACCTGTAAAGGCTACATACTATATGATTCCAAGTATATGGCATTCCAGAAAAGTCAGTATCATGGAGATAGTAAAAAGATCAGTGGCTGCTAGGGATTCAGGGGAGGAAGGGAGGGATGAATATGTGGAGCACAGGGTATTTTTAGGTTAATGTAATTTTCTGTATGATACTGTAAGGATGGAGAAAGATGTCATTATACATTTGTCAAAACCCACAAAATGTGCAATGCAAAGAATGAGCCCTAATGTAAGCTATGGACTTTAGTTAATAATACTATATCAATATTAGCTCTTTTTTTTTTTTTTTTTTTTTTTTTTTTTTAGACAGAGTCTCACTCTGTCACCCAGTCTGGAGTGCAGTGGCTGCAATCTTGGCTCACTGCAGCCTCCATCTCCTGGGCTCAAGTGATTCTTCTGCCTCAGCCTCCTGAGTAGCTGGGACTACAGGCGCCCACCACCACGCTTGTCTAATTACTGTATTTTTAGTAGAAGCGGGGTTTCACCATGTTGGTCAGGCTGGTCTTGAACTCCCGACCTCAAGTGATCCCCTTGCCTCGGCCTCCTGAAGTGCTGGGATTACAGGTGTGAGCCACTGTGCTCAGCTATTGGCTCATTCTTAAAACACAGAAAAAAATAGATTAAAATATTATCCTGAAAAAATATATTTATTAACCAAAACAAAGGTCATTGTTCCCAGCCACAGTTCTGCTTTTGAAATATTCATTTCCACAATTACCCCTTGGTTACTTCATGCTGCATGAAGTGCCTGACAGCAACCTCTAGAAATTTTCAAGCAGATCATTTTCATATTGTGTAACAGTAATTTGATCACTGATTCAGTAAAACTCCCAAGTCTCATCATTTTTACATTTTTACATTTTGATTAAATAATTTCACCATCCTAATAAATAATCCATATGCATTTTGGGGATCTAACTTCTCAAGATTCCAATAAATGTTTCAGTAGAATCCAGGGGCAAAAACAGTCACATGCATAAACCTTAAGAGTTCTGTCATTTCTGATGATAACACAGCATTAGGAAAAAGAAAAAATAAGATGCCAATAGTATTGTATTTATTTAACATGAGTATATTTATTATTCTTTGTGAAGACACATGCAGATGTGGTTTTCCCAACTTGAATGGGTTTGCTTGGAAGCATGCTGGGACTTCAGTATTGGCCCTGAGACTAGGAAGGACTCTGCTATTCATACTTTTTGCCCCTATTATTGGATAGAAGAGTCAAGAGTGATGTGGCTAATTCAGTATTGATTCAGACTTTCTCCCTCCAAGGGATCTGCTCAGGTAGTAGAAGAATATTACAGAAGGGGCATCCTGGCAGCACTATTACTCAAAGATACATGGGCTCACGAAGCTTCTGAATTTCAGCAGAATATTATTCATCACCTGGAACTATGACAGTTGGAGCTAACTTTTGAAGAAAGGAAGCTGGACAGAGCTGGGCACCAAGCAAATGGCATGGACTTAAGCCTAAGATCCAAGTCCCCTCAGAGGACCTAGAGTGGAATCAAGTAATAAAAGTAATGGAAAGTCAGACCTTTCTGTATAGCAAACACAGTAGCTCATGGGCCCACTGTTGATATGGATGGTGACTGTAGTGAATTCACTGTTGTGCTCCCAAACAACTTAGGGATTGCATGGGGCTTGGCTGAGTGAGCACTGACAATGCCAAGAAGCAGAGGACTGATAATAATATTGCCTTTGTTTTCACACACCTCTTTTTCTGGTGTTAAAATACTAATTTAGTCGATAGAGTAAAACAGGGACTTGTCTACTGTCATAAGAGCAATTAATCCCATTAGATGTCAGTCCTTGGATTCAGCCTTGCCCAGAGCTATACATTTTGAAATGTCAGGTACTTTCTCATAGAAGCTGGCAAGTCTTCCAGCTTGCTCTTTGATGTTGCAATCAGGTAGTTGATGTTTTAGATCAGTAGATACTCAAATCTTTATCCTACAGGGAGTGCTGACATTGGCATGAAGCTTGTTAAATGTGGCACTCCGCTGCACATTTGGCCTGCTAAACAAGTATTATACAGAGAAGATGCAGCATATCTTAAGATTATAGAGTTGTAGAGCTGGAAGAGATGCTAAATATATATACTTGCACTCTTATTTTCTATAAAGACTGTAAAATACTAGAGGGCAGGGATAATGTCTTACTTATTTTAACCTAATCAATAGGACTTGCTTCTTTGTACTTGGCAGGCAAAATAATTTAGACTCTTTACATTGTAACCCCTCTGAGAAGGAAACTCTCTTGTTTTGCAAGCATGTCTTTGCTCCCCAAGTACTTCATGCTAAGGCCAAAGACTCTAGGGTTGTGGTGCTTACTATGCTAAAGGGTCAATTTAGCTTACTATTGCCTCAGAAAGTAGAAAGGGAAAATCAGCCAGATCTCCATGGGTCTTTTCATTGCCCAGTGGTGTCACCGAGGGTACATGATGCCCACATCACCATTAATCACACTAGCCTTGCCTGGTTCTCCACAGGTGCTGGGATGCAGAAGATGGGCTGGGACTCCCAATGTGAAAGCTAATTTAGGGACAGTTTATAACATAGAAAGAATCAGTCCCCCCAAGATGTTCAGGAAGTGTTCTAGTAGTAGCCAAATGTGTACATAGAATTAGCTTCCACTAATCTCATCTATTTCTATTCTTATGGTCTTTTATATAAGGGGGCTTTTTGCCCCTTCTTGCACCTGGCCTTCATTAGGACCATCCAAGTTCATTCCAATAGTGCTTTAGTAATTCTGAGTCTCCAAGTAAAGAAGCCTGACTCGCAACCCCTCTTTTCCCAGAAAGCTCCTTGGTTTTAGGAAAATCTGCCCATCTCTCAGGCTCCTTGTGGTAGACAGCATTCTTTGCTCACAGTCCTTTGTCCCTGCCTTCCTTTGCTATGTGTGGAATATATCTCCTCATCCTTAAGGATGCTGAGCTTGGCCATAACTTGTTTTGGCCAGTGGAACAAAAGTAGTAGTGACAGTTTCAGCTCTGAGCTGAGGTTTTTATTTTATTTTATTTTATTTTTGAGATAGAGTCTTTCTCTGTTGCCCAGGCTGGAGTGTAGTGCCACAGGTCACTGCAACCTCTGTCTGCCAGGTTCAAGTGATTCTCCTGACTCAGCCTCCCAAGTAGCTGGGACTACAGGCACATGCCACCATGCCCAGCCAATTTTTGTATTTTTAGTTGAGATGGGATTTTGCCATGCTGGCCAGGCTAGTATCTAACTCCTGACCTCAAGTGATCCTCCTGGCTTGGCCTCCCAAAGTGCTGGGATTACAGGTGTGAGCACCATGCCCAGCCTGAGCTGACGTCTTATGACTCCTCCAACAGCTATGCCATCCATTCATAGGGACATGTCCTAAGTAGCTGTTACTCCTTTAGGTTAGCTTTTAGAATGAAAGATCAGTGGAGTAGACTTGAAACTTAACTGTGGCCTGGAACCAAGTCCAGCTAAACCCAATCAAGATCAACAATCCTAGCAAAGGCAAATTGATCTCCAGACTGATGACAATAAATAAATGTCTGTTGTTATATGCCACTGAGATGTTTGGAGTTGTTTGTTACTCAACATTAGTGCAGCAATAGCTGACCAATGCACTCCATAACTAGTGAGTATGGAGGAAAGAGAGGAAGGTACCTGATGGAGCTTAGTGTGCAAGATGCTTATTAGAGTTCCCTTGGGACCAATACCTGTGGATAGGAGATAAGGAAGCAGGATTGGGTGTGGGAAAAAGGTGAAACTAAAATGCCAGCCTGACAACAGCCTCAGCTGACTTCCTGGGAGCTCTAGAGATAAAATGGGTCATAAGTAATGTTCCACATTTGGCCAAATGACCAGGCCTTTATACACTTGCCATTATCAGTCAGTGGGTGAGAGCTCCCTCAGAAAGGGTGTGACTTTGGGTGAGGTGGCTTTTTGTGGCTGATGCAGTCTCTGAAGGAGCTGACAGCAGAACACTGACAACAGCACTCTCAGAAGCTGAGCAGCAAGTCTTTCCTTGAGAAGGACTGGGTAGCGCCTCATCCTGGCTACCACAGCTCCCTCTCTGAGCTGCCACCTGGGGCACTTGCTATGGCAGAACAGTTCTGGATATTTCCTTCCCCCAGAGCAGTGACTGTACGCACACCTACGTATTAAAAATTGCTCCTTCTGGTGAATTTTCTTATGCAAATGCAAAGCTGGCGAAATTTTTATTATTTCACAGTTTGGACCAAAATTCCTCATAGGAGGAAAATTGTCATGGAAAAAAATCTGATGAAAATCTGTTGGGTTAATGGCGAGACACTGAGAGCTAGGGTCAAGGGTATAGAGGAGATGGCTGAATTGCAGGGCATGAAAAAGGGAGAGAGAAGACGGCCATATAGGAACAACTCTGGTCTGCAGCTCCTAGTGAGACTGATGCAGAAGACAGGTGATTTCTGCATTTCCAACTGAGGTACGTGGTTCATCTCTGACTGGCTAGACAGTGGGTGCAGCCCATGGAGGGTGAGCCAAAGCAGGGTGGGGCATCGCCTCAACCAGGAAGTGCAAGTGGTCAGGGGATTTCCCTTTCCTAGCCAAGGGAAGCCGTGACAGACTGTATCTGGAGAAATGGTACATTCCTGCCCAAATACTGCACTTTTCCCATAGTCTTTGCAACCAGCAGACGAGGGGATTCCCTCCTGTGCCTGGCTCAGTGGGTCCCACACCCACAGAGCCTTGCTCACTGCTAATGCAGCAGTCCGAGATCGACCTGCAAGGCCGTAGCCTGGCGGGGGAAGGTGATCTGCCATTGCTGAGGCTTGAGTAGGTAAACAAAGCGGCCAGGAAGCTCAAACTGGGCGAAGCCCACCACAGCTCAGCAAGGCCTACTGGCTCTATAGACTCCACCTCAGTGGGCAGGGCATAGCTGAACAAAAGGCAGCAGGAATTTCTGCAGACTCAAACATCCCTGTCCGACAACTCTGAAGAGAGCAGTGGTTCTCCCAGCATGGTGTTCGAGTTCTGAGAACAGACAGACTGCCTCCTCAAGTGGGTCCCTGACCCCCATGTAGCCTGACTGGGAAACATCTCCCAGTAGGGGCCAACAGACACCTCATACAGGCGGGTGCCCCTCTGGGACAAAACTTCCAGAGGAAGGATCAGGCAGCCATATTTGCTGTTCTGCAATATTTGCTGCTCTGTAGCCTCCACTGGTGATACCCAGGGAGACAGGGTCTGTAGTGGACCTCCAGCAAACTCCAACAGACCTGCAGCTGAGGGTCCTGACTGTTAGAAGGAAAACTAACAAACAGGAATAGCATCAACATCAACAAAAAGGATGTCCACACCAAAACCCCATCTGTAGTTCACCAACATCAAAGACCAAAGGTAGATAAAACCACAAAGATGGGAAGAAACCAGAGCAGAAAAGTGGAAAATTCCAAAAGCCAGAGAGCCTCTTCTCCTCCAAATGATTGCAGCTCCTTGCCAGCAATGGAACAAAACTGGACAGAGAATGAATTTGACGAGTTGACAGAAGTAGGCTTCAGAAGGTCAGTAATAACAAACTTCTCCGAGCTAAAGGAGCATGTTTTAACCCATCGCAAGGAAGCTAAAAACCTTGAAAAAAGGATAGACAAATAGCTAACTAGAATCAACAGTGTAGAGAAGACCTTAAATGATCTGATGGAGCTGAAAACCACAGCATGAGAACTTTGTGATGCATGCACAAGCTTCAGTAGCCGATTTGGTCAAGTGGAAGAAAGGATACCAGTGATTGAAGATCAAATTAATGAAATAAAGCGAGCAGACAAGATTAGAGAAAAAAGAGTGAAAAGAAACAAACAAAGCATCCAAGAATAATGGGACTAAGTGAAAAGACCAAATCTACGTTTGATTGGTGTACCTGAAAGTGATAGGGAGAATGGAACCAAGTTAGAAAACACTCTTCAGGATATTATCTAGGAGAACTTCCCCAACCTAGCAAGGCAGGCCAACATTCAAATTTAGGAAATACAGAGAACACCACAAAGATACTCCTTGAGAAGAGCAACCCCAAGACACATAATTGTCAGATTCACCAAGGTTGAAATGAAGGAAAAAATGTTAAGGGCAGCCAGAGAGAAAGGTCGAGTTACCCACAAAGGGAAGCCCATCAGACTCACAGTGGGTCTCTCAGCAGAAACCCTACAAGCCAGAAGGGAGTGGGGGCCAATATTCAACATTCTTAAAGAATTTTCAACCCAGAATTTCATATCCAGCCAAACTAAGCTTCATAAGTGAAGGAGAAATAAAGTCCTTTACAGACAAGCAAATGCTGAGAGATTCTGTCATCAACAAGCGTGTCTCACAAGAGCTCCTGAAGGAAGCACTTAAATATGGAAAGGAACAACTGGTACTAGCTGCTGCAAAAACATGACAAATTTTAAAGACCTTCAATGCTATGAAGAAACTGCATCAATTAATGGGCAAAATAACCAGCTAACATCATAATGACAAGATCAAATTCACACATAACAATATTAACCTTTAATGTAAATGGGCTAAATGCCCCAATTTAAATGACACAGATGGCAAATTGGATAAAGAGCCAAGACCCATCAGTGTGCTGTATTCAGGAGACTCATCTCACATGCAGAGACACACAGAGGCTCAAAATAAAGGGATGGAGGAAGATCTACCAAGCAAATGGCAAACAAAGAAAGCAGAGGTTGCAATCCTACTCTCTGATAAAAGAGACTTTAAACCAACAAAGATCAAAAGAGACAAACAAGGCCATTACATAATGGTAAAGGGATCAATTCATCAAGAAGAGCTAACTATCCTAAATATATATGCACCCAATACAGGAGCACCCAGATTCATAAAGCAAGTCCTCAGAGACCTACAAAGAGACCTAGACTCCCACACAATAATAATGGGAGACTTTAACACCCCATTGTCAATATTAGACAGATCAATGAGACAAAGGTTTACAAGGATATCCAGGACTTGAACTCAGCTTTGCATCAAGCAGACCTAATAGATATCTACAGAACTCTCCACCCCAAATCAACAGAATATACATTCTTCTCAGCACCACATCACTGTTATTCTAAAATTGACTACATAATTGGAAGTAAAACACTCCTCAGCAAATGTAAAAGAGCAGAAATCACAACAAACTGTCTCTCAGACCACAGTGCAATCAAATTAGAACTCAGGATGAAGAAATTCATTCAAAACCACACAACTACACAGAAACTGAACAACCTGGTCCTGAATGACTACTGGGTAAATAACGAAATGAAGGCAGAAATAAAGATGTTCTTTGAAACCAATGAGAACAAAGCCACAATGTACCAGAATCTCTGGGACACATTTACAGCAGTGTGTAGAGGGAAATTTATAGCACTAAATGCCCACAAGAGAAAGCAGGAAAGATCTAAAATCGACAGTGTAACATCACAATTAAAAGAACTAGAGAATCAAGAGCAAACAAATTCAGAAGCTAGCAGAAGGCAAGAAATAACTAAGATCAGAGCAGAACTGAAGGAGATA
Organism: Homo sapiens; assembly: GCF_000001405.40. Lineage (NCBI taxonomy): Eukaryota > Metazoa > Chordata > Mammalia > Primates > Hominidae > Homo > Homo sapiens. The sequence continues at coordinate 78,057,387 of NC_000009.12, forward strand.
GAGACACAAAAAACCCTTCAAAAAATCAATGAATCCAGGAGCTGGTTTTTTGAAAAGATCAACAAAATTGACAGACCACTAGCAAGACTAATAAAGAAGAAAAGAGATAAGAATCATATAGATTCAATAAAAAATGATAAAGGGGATATCACCACCAATCCCACAGAAGTATAAACTTCCATCAGAGAATACTATAAACATCTCTATGGAAATAAACTAGAAAATCTAGAAGAAATGGATAAATTCCTGGACACATACACCCTCTCAAGACTAAACCAGGAAGAAGTTGAGTCTCCGAATAGACCAATAACAGGTTCTGAAATTGAGGCAATAATTAACAGCCTGCCAACCAAAAAACGTCCAGGACCAGATAGATTCACAGCCGAATTCTACCAGAGGTACAAAGAGGGGCTGGTACCATTCCTTCTGAAGCTATTCCGATCAATAGAAAAAGAGGGAATCCTCCCTAACTCATTTTATGAGACCGGCATCATCCTGATACCAAAGCCTGGCAGACATACAACAGAAAAAGAGAATTTTAGACTAATATCCCTGATGAACATTGATGCAAAAATCCTCAATAAAATACTGGCAAACTGAATCCAGCAGCACATCAAAAAGCTTATCCACCAAGATCAAGTTGGCTTCATCCCTCAGATGCAAGGCTCATTCAACATACACAAATCAATAAATGTAATCCATCACATAAACAGAACCAATGACAAAAACTACATGATTATCACAATAGATGCAGAAAAGGCCTATGACAAAATTCAACAGCCCTTTCATGCTAAAAACTCTCAATAACCAGGTATTCATGGAATGTATCTCAAAATATTAAGAGCTATTTATGACAAACCCACCGCCAATATCATATTGAATGGGCAAAAACTGGAAGCATTACCTTTGAAAATCAGCACAAGACAAGGATGCCCTCTCTCACCACTCCTATTCAACATAGTGTTGGAAGTTCTGGCCAGGGCAATCAGGCAAGAAAAAGAAATAAACGGTATTCAATTAGGAAAAAGAGGAAGTCAAAGTGTCCCTGTTTGCAGATGTCATGATTGTATATTTAGAAAACCCCATCGTCTCAGCCCAAAATTTCCTTAGGCTAATAAGCAACTTCAGCAAACTCTCAGGATACAAAATCAATGTGCAAAAATCAAGCATTCCTATACACCAATAACATACAGAGAGCCAAATCATGAGTAAACTCCCATTCACAATTGCTACATAGAGAATAAAATACCTAGGAATACAACTTACAAGGGATGCAAAGGACCTCTTCAAGGAGAACTACAAACCACTGCTCAAAGAAATAAAAGAGGACACAAACAAATGGAAGAACATTCCATGCTCATGGATAGGAAGAATCAATATTGTGAAAATGGCCATACTGCCCAAGGCAATTTATAGATTCAATGCCATCCTCATCAAGCTACCAATGACTTTCTTCACAGAATTGGAAAAAACTACTTTAAATTTCATATGGAACCAAAAAAGAGCATGCATTGCCAAGACAATCCTAAACACAAAAACAAAGCTGGAGGCGTCACGCTACCTGACTTCAAACTATACTACAAGGCTACAGTAACCAAAACAGCATGGTACTGGTTCCAAAACAGATATATAGACCAATGGAACAGAACGGAGTCCTCAGAAATAACACCACACATCTACCACCATCTGATCTTTGATAAACCTGACAAAAACAAGAAATAGGGAAAGGATTCCCTATTTAATAAATGGTGCTGGGAAAGCTGGCTAGCCACATGCAGAAAGCTGAAACTGGATCCCTTCCTTACACCTTATACAAAAATTAACTCAAGCTAGATTAAAGGCTTAAATGTAAGACCTAAAACCGTAAAAACCCTAGAGGAAAACCTAGGCAATACCATTCAGGACATAGGCATGGTCAAAGATTTCATGACTAAAGCACCAAAAGCAATTGCAACAAAAGCCAGAATACACAAATGGGATCTAATTAAACTAAAGAGCTTCTGCACGGCAAAAGAAACTATTGTCAGAGTGAACAGGCAGCCTACAGAACAGGAGAAAATTTTTGCAATCTACCCATCTGACAAAGGGCTAATATCCAGAATCTACAAAGAACTTAAACAAAGTTACAAGAGAAAAACAACCCCATCAAAAACTGGGCAAAGTATATGAAGAGACACTTCTCAAAAGAAGACATTTATGCAGCCAACAGACACATGAAAAAATGCTTATCATCACTGGTCATCAGAGAAATGCAAATCAAAACCGCAATGACATACTATCTCACACCAGTTAGAACGATGATCATTAAAAAGTCAGGGAACAACAGATGCTGGAGAGGATGTGGAGAAATAGGAAAGCTTTTACACTGTTGGTGGGAGTGTAAATTAGTTCAACCATTGTGGAAGACAGTGTGGCGATTCCTCAAGGAGTTAAAACTAGAAATACCATTTGACCCAGCAGTCCCATTACTGGGTATGTACCCAAAAGATTATAAATCATTCTACTACAGAGACACATGCACATTTATGTTTATTGCGGCACTATTCACAATAGCAAAGACTTGGAACCAACCCAAATGTCCATCAATGATAGATGGGATTAAGAAAATGTGGCACATATACACCATGGAATACTATGCAGCCATAAAAAAGGCTGAGTTCATGTCCTTTGTCGGGACATGGATGAAGCTGGAAACTATCATTCTCAGCAAACTGTCACAAGGACAGAAAGCCAAACACCGCATGTTCTCACTCATAGGTGGGAGTTGAACTATGAGAACACATGGACACAGGGCGGGGAACATAACACACTGGGGCCTGTCAAGGGGTGGGGGACTGAGGGAGGGATAGTATTAGGAGAAGTACCTAATGTAGATGATGAGTTGATGGGTGCAGCAAACCAACATGGCACATGTATACCTATGTAACAAACCTGCATGTTGTGCATATGTACTCTAGAACTTAAAGTATAATAAAAAAAGAAAAAGGGAGAGAAATTTGTTTTTAGGTCTTGAGGAAGAGGGAGCAGATAGGAGAGTCCAGAGAGAGGAGCCAAACAGGTGGCAGAAAATGGGCACTTCTTGAGATGAAGGGACAATGAGATGATCTTCATGGCTGACCTCAGATGTCCACAAAAAAATTGTCTCCATGGTGACTTGAATTCCCATTGCTTGATGCAAACTGTATGCCACTTTTTGGAAAATAATATTTCAACATAGCAAATGAATAAAGTGTAGAGAAGAGCATTAAATATACATGTACCTGCACAACCCGGAATTAACAACTATCAACATCTAATTCTATATTATTCTGAACTTTTAATCATTTTAATATATACCTTTTTAGAGAGCTAGTGAGAACCCCTCTGTTCTCTTTCCTGAATTCATTCTCTTCTCTCCCCAGAGGTAACCACTGAGATGGACTTGATCTGTATTCTCCCTATCCAGAGTTTTATACTTTTATGACAAATGTATGATTTCATAAACCATCTATAGTGGTGTTCTATGTGTTTTACCATTTACAGAAATACCATTGTGCTGTATGTATTGTTCTGAAAATGGTTTTTTCCTTTCAATTTTATGTTTTTAAGATATAGCCATATTCATATATATCTATATATTTCATTCATTTTACCTCCTGTATAGTATTCTACTGCACAGTTAAACGTCTGTTTATCTGGTACTTTAAAAATAAATAATTATGTTGTTTTAATTTTTTTTTCTCTTGCAACCAATTCTGCAGTGGATGTCCTTGAAGAGCTTCTCTAGGGCAGATACCTTGAAGTGAAATTGCTGGGTTCATGGGACATTATTTCTTCAATATTTTTGCTAACAAGATTCAAATGGCAATTTCCTAGCTTAAACCTTTTGAGTGCCACCTTACTGGGCCTTCCATTACATTTCTCTGCAGAGCTTCTTACACAGTTAATGACTAAGAATAGTCACCTAATAAATGTCTGTTAAGTGAATGAATTACAGATGGAAAAACTAAGGCCTCGACAGGTAAAGTGACTATCATAGTCATATAAGTAGTGGCAAAGATATCTCTAGAATGCACATTTACTGATTTCCTGGCTGCCCTATAAGGTCCAATTAGAAGTAAATATGGGCTCTTCACGGTGGCTCATGCCTGTAATACCAGCATTTTGTGAGGCTGAGGCAGGTGGATCACTTGATCCCAGGAGTTCAAGACCACCATGGGCAACATGGCGAAACTCCATCTCTACCAAAAATAAAAATACAAAATACAAAAATTAGCTGTGGTGGTGTGTGTCTATAGTACCAGCTACCCAGGAGGCTGAGGTGGGAGGATTGCTTGAATCCAGGACATTGAGGCTGCACTGAGCCATGATCATACCACTGCACTTCAGCCTGGGTGACAGAGCAAGACCCTGTCTCAAAACAACAACAGCAACAAACAAAACAAAACAAAACAAAACAAGAAGTAAGTATGCTCAGTTTCAACTCTATTCCCATTAAAAACTGAGAGTATCATCAGATAACCAGTTGCCCTCTGATTAAGCATTTGTTTCCACAACACATTTTAGGAGGTCAAGAATTATGAAAATTTCTGGCCAAGCGCCTTCACTCATGCCTGTAATCCTAGCACTTTGGGAGGCCGAGGCAGGCCTCCTGAAGTGAGGAGTTCAGGACCAGCCTGACTAACATGGCAAAACTCCATCTCTACTAAAAATACAAAAATTAGCCAGGCATGGTGGTGTGTGCCTGTAATCCCAGCTACTCAGGAGGCTGAGGCAGGAGAATGACTTAAACCCAGGAGGTGGAGGTTACAGTGAGCAGAGATCATGTCACTGCACTCGAGCCTGGGTGACAGAGCAAGACTCCATCTCAAAAAAAAAAAAAAAGAACTGTGAAAATTTCAGATTAAGCAATAAGAATGAGAGAACAAATAAACTTCCTCAGGACAGACTTTTCTGAGGCCTATTTGGGCCAATATTCATCTCCCATCTGAGTGTATATTTATATATTTTTAATTTTCAAATGCAAACCTGGGATTAAACAATAAGTAAATGAATAATAAATAGTGGTAGCTAGGCATCTCACGTAGAGGAGGCTAGAATAAACCATATGGTATTGAATTAGAGTTGAAGACATCAGCATGAACTCACATTTAGCTTAGTGTAACATACAGATGGATAAATATAGAAGTAACTATAGATATGTGTGTATACACAAGTTAGGACACACATATGTATTTTCAAGCTCTGTTCACTTGAAGGGCCTAGAAATAACACCCCAATAGCAACAAGCACATCTACTAGCCAGGTCTTGGTTTCTAATACCATTTTCCAATAACCAGGGCTCCTTGTAGAAATTACTGATTCTAGGGCTGGGGCAGAGAATATACAAGATAAGCCTGAAGCATCTTGCAGTGCCAGAAAGTAAGGAAGTACCAACAACAACAACAAAATGATGGGGGTATGTCAAAGGAACGTAGAAGCCGACTGAAAGAACTCCCAATAGCCAAGGTTGGAACAATTTGTGCAACAAAATAAATAAGGTAGTGTTGGATTATTACACAATCCAACCCAGACTATAAAATAAATACCCAGGAGTCCATACTCATCAAAATAAATGTTTGAATGAATGAATAAACAAATAAGGAGAATAATTAAATCTCTCGTACAGAAGAATTCCCAATAATTTATGTAGATACTGCCCTTTCAAGAAAGGATAGCTTAATTCTCCATCCCTTTACTATAGGCTGCACAGAGTGACATCCTTCCAAAAGGTGAAGAAAAAAGAGGCAAAAAAGAGTAACTTTTCAGTAGAGACACCTGACAGACACTACTTCAGCCATACGAACAACTTTCATATCATGAGTGATAAGCCATGTTGATAGTATGAACCCTTGATATGATGTGATAAGAATGCTACATTACCTCTGTGGTCTTCCTCTCCCAAACCCTAACCTCATTTTAGCCATGAGAAAAACATCAGACAAACGACAAAATAGACATCCTACATCATCTGTCACCAGAACTTCTCAAGACTGTCAAAGTCATCAAAAATAAGGAAAGTTGGAAAAACTGTCTGTCTTGGAAACCCTGAGAAAATATAACAAGTAAATGTAATGTGGTATCCTTGGTGGGATCCTAAGACAAAGAACATGAAATAAAAACTAAGGAAATGTGAATAAAATATGGACTTCATTCAGTACGTAGCATCCTAATGTAAGACGTTAACAATAAGAGAAACTAGATACGGAGTACATGAAAATTATCTATTATTTTTCAATTTTTCTGTACATTTAAACAATTCTTTTTTATTTTTGAAGTTAAATTTTTTTTTATTATACTTTAAGTTCTGGGGTACATGTGCAGAATGTGCAGTTTTGTTACATAGGTATACACGTGCTATGGTGGTTTGCTGTACCATCAACCTGTCACCTACATTAGGTATTTCTCCTAATGCTATCCCTCCCCTAGCCCCCATCCTGCAACAGGCCCAGGTGTGTGATGTTCCCCTCCCTGTGTCCATGTGTTCTCATTGTTCAACTCCCACTTATGAGTGAGAACATGCGGTGTTTAATTTTCTGTTCTTGTGTTAGCTGAGAATGATGGTTTCCAGCTTCATCCATCTAAAACTATTCTAAAACAAAAAGTTCATTTTTTAAAAAGCTAGGACTTAGGAAAGGAGGTGATTTGCTTTTGTTTTCCATTTGTTTTTATATTATTTTGCCCTTTACTAGGTAGAAAAAGGTTATTTGTCATCTACTTCTAGTTTATAAGATTGGTCACTGCAGTAGAAGAGTTCCTGTGTACAGCAGATGGAGTATTTACAGGTCCCCTGGATACAATGCTACGTTTTCTCTTGTCGTGTTGTTTCTCTGGCTCTTTGGCATTCAGTTGCCTTTGACCAGTGAATTGGCTGCCTTCCTGGATATGGCAGATTGCTAACTCTCCCAGGCCAATTCACAGCCTGAAGATTTCCGTAGCTAAATGGAGGAGAAATGCTGATGGTATCCTTGCCAGCCCCTGTTTTCAATCCATTGATATGTCCAAAGTATTAAAGTGACAGGGCCTCATTAGAGGAGTCTCTCATTAGCATTTAAAAATAGTCTCCCACAGACACTTTTGGGTGTGTTTCCTTCTCACAGTGATTTCCACTTCTCTGAATATATCTGCTGTTTTCCACTCAGAGGCCTAAAGGTGGGCATGTATGTCATTTTCATAGCATGTGACCCAGTCTCCCTGGCCATCACTGCTTGGTGGATTGTTGTTAGATTCTGTACATACAGAGCCAGTCAGAGGCTTTCCTGATCATTTGCAATAGGGGCTGAAATTTCCATTTCAGGACTGAAATGGCCTCTTGAGTTGGGGAGATGAAAATTATTGGGAGCTGTGGCACAATTATCTTTAGCCATGTTGGTTTTCTGATGCTTGTAACCAAAAGTATTCTCATCGATTTTTTTTAGAGTAAATCTCTTTCCAGCGAGCATAGAAGAGGGTGAGCAAGGAAGATAATATACTATTATATAATGATGCACCAAGTCTCATACTAGTCGATTTGTACTTATTATCCTGAGAATATTTGTGTCTTCTAAAATAAAAATTGGCCCAATGATATCATCATGGAATCTATGTCCTCTAAGAGAACTTTGATATGGCTTCAAGACTTAAATATCAGTGTGTCCATCAAATATATTGATAGAGTATAAGTTCCACTGTTCTCATTCTAAACCATTTCTGGAATTCTTATTGTCATGGATGTATATTGCTTTGGTTCCCCAGTGTTTGTTCATCAATCTTCTGGTGCCCAGATTGCTGATTTTCCTTGGGGAAACAATTCTCTCTTGATTTAGTCATGCTTACAGATAAGCTAACCCTAGCCTTTTTCAGTTACATAAGCCAAAAAAATTCCTTTTGTTGAAGCCAATTTGAGCTAGGTAGGCTTGTGCCACTTGCAATTGAAAGAGTCATGTTTAATGTACATACTCAAAGCACATATTGATGTTATCAATGGGCTCACTTATTTCCTCTGTAAACTCTTTGACTCAGACAGACCAACTCAACCCTTCCCCACCAAAACCAGTCCCCACCTCCCTTGTGTGTGTGTGTGTGTGTGTGTGTGTGTGTGTGTATATATATATATATATATATATATATATATATATATATATATATATATATATATGTATCTTCCAGCAAGGCATTGCTTTAGAAGCACTCATCACTTAAGAGACAATATGGCTGGTCATTTTTTAGGCTTAGTTTACAAAAGGTGTTTCGAGTGTTTGGTTAAAAAATCCTCCTTCTCAATTTCTACATCTCTCTTTCCTCAGAGCAGAAAATACTGTCAAAGACATGTTTGGGCATGAATCTTGGCATGTGATCAAAATGATAACCCACATTTTCAAAGCAAATATAGTTTATGGCATACTTTCCTATGTGTTATTTCATTTAGTTCTTAACAAGTAAAGGAGGTGTTGTCTTCATTGCCATGATGAAAAATGAGATTCAAAGAAAAGACTAGCTCATATATATATAATAATAGCTGAGAGTTACACAGGAGAATGTTTCCAATGTGCCAAACACCTTTTGTATTTTAACTAAATGTTGGACATATTATATTATACTTGCATTTTATAGATGTAGAAACTAAGAAAAATTGGTCAAAGAAGATGCCTGAGGTCATATCACAGGCATGGGCTATTTCATATTTGCTAATCAGCAAAACCAAAGCTTGAATTCTTCTGACCCAAGTCAAATGACTTTTGTAGAGTATTATCAAATATAGTAATGTGGCAAAGCATGACTAAATCCAGAGAGCATAGTCCCCGACATGCTCCCTTCATGCTGCCCTAGCAGAGGTTCTCCATTAAGGGCTCTGCCCCTGCAGCAGAGCCCCTGCTTGGACATCAAGGCATTTCCATACATGCTCTGAAATCTAGGCAGAGGCCCCTAAGCCTCAACTCTTGCCCTCTGCCCAAGGGCTTAACACCACATGGAAGCCACCAAGGCTTGGGGCTTGCACCCTCTGAAGCCATAGCTTGAGCTATACCTTGGACCCGATGCACAAAACCATTCATCCCTCCTAGGCCTCCAGGCCTGTAATGGGAGGAGCTGCCACAAAGGTCTCTGAAATGCCTTGGAGGCATTTTCCCCATTGTCGTGGCTATTAACATTCAGCTCCTCTTTACTTATGCAAATTTCTGCAGCTGGCTTGAATTCCTCCCCAGAAAATGGATTTTTCTTTTCTACCACATAGTCAGGCTGCAAATTTTCCAAACTTCTATGCTCTGCTTCCCTTTTAAATATAAGTTCCAGTTTCAGATAATCTCTTTGAACACACATGAGCTTACATGTTAGAAGGAGCCAGGCCACATCTTGAATGCTTTGCTACTTAGAAATTTCATCTGCCAGATACCCTAAATCATCTCAAGTTCAAAGTTCCAGAGATCTCTAGAGCAGGGGCACAATGCAGCCAGTTTGCTAACGCATAGTAAAGAGTGACCTTCACTCCAGTTCCTAATAAGTTCCTCATCTCCATCTGAGACCTCCTCAGCCTGGACTTCACTGTCCATATCACTATCAGCATTTTGGTCATGTGAAAGGAGAATAAATCTTGGGACCCCAAAATCACTAAGCTAAAGGCAAAAGTCAAGCTGGGAACTGCTTAGGGCAAACCTGCCTCCCATTCTATTTAAAGTCATCTCTCTGATCACTGAGATAAATGCATATCTGATTGCTTCCTTTGGAAAGGCTAATCAGAAACTCAAAACAATGCAACTGTTTGTCTCTTGTCTACCTATGTCCTGGAACCCCCCTCCCAACTTCGAGTTGTCCTGCCTTTCTGGCCCAAACCAGCGTACATCTTACATATATTGATTAATGTCTCATGTCTCCCTAAAATGTATACAACCAAGCTGTGCTCTGACAACCTTGGACACATGTCATCAGGACCTCCTGAGGCTGCGTCACAGGAGCGTCCTTAACTTGGGCAAAATAAACCTTCTAAATTGACTGGGACCCATGTCAGATATTTTGGGTTAATAGTCACAAACATACAACAAGTCTCTAGGAAGTTCCAAACTTTCTCTTATCTTCCTGTCTTCTTCTGAGCCCTCCAAACTGTTCCAACCTCTGCTCATTACCCAGTTCCAAAGCTGCTTCCAGATTTTCAAGTATCTTTATAGCAATGCCCCACTCTCCTTGTACCAATTTTCTGTATTAGTTCATTCTTACATTGCTATAAAGAACTACCTGAGACTTAGTAATCTATAAAGAAAAGAGGTTAAATTTACTCACAGTTCTGAGAGCTGTACAGGCTTCCACTTTTGGGGAGGCCCCACGAAACTTACAACCATGGCAGAAGGCAAAAAGGAAGCAGGCACATCTTCACATGGCCAGCAGTCGGGGCTGGGAGGGGAAGTTCTACACACTTTCAAAGAACCAGATCTTGTGAGAACTCACTATCATGAGAACAGCAAGGGGGAAATTTGCTCCCATGATCCAACCCACCATGTTCCTCCCCCAACATTGGGGTTTACAATTTGACATGAGATTTGGGTGGGAACACAGAGCCAAACCATATCAGGTTGCCTTTGTGGAAATAATATTTTACAAATAACATGACCTATGCATAGATAATTTTAAAATGGTATATTTCAAAGAGTAAAAATATATCCTTAAAAGGCTACTTGAACTAGAAGGGAGGGTAAAAGATGTGTGTGTGTGTGTGTGTGCACGCATGCATCTGTGTGTGCATGCATGTGTGTGTGTGTATGCATGTGTGTGTATAAAACTGCGCAGCTTTAAATTTTACTGGGCAGTAAGTGGCCTTAAGGCATAGATCTGGGCTTTTACTGATTTTTAAAATTGGATTATAAATAATGCCTGATGGTTAAACATCTTGACTTATAGTATCAACATTTCTAAAGATTTATTTGTTGTCTTCAGTCAAGCTTTTTATTATTTTTTGCTATATTTCTCATTTTTCCAATTATAAAATGAAGATGATACTGATTTTTGCACGCTAATACAAGAAAATGAATGTGTCATAAAAATCGATGTGGAAGTCTTACATAGGAATTCCATCATCCCAGAAAGAAAAGACTTGATGGCCTCTTGCTAACTTGATAGCCTCTTAGGTTACATGGTATTTTCCAACTCCTGCCCCAAATAGTAGAGGTCAAGGTGTAGGAAGACCCAATATCTAGGGATAAGCCCAGCATCAAGCGAGACAGAGAGAAAGGTCAGTTCAGTGAGTTGGGCAGAGAAGTGAAAGCAAGGTAGCAAACAAAAGAATATGATATGGGACATCAGAATTGAGCAAGCAAATTTTGAATGGAAGCTGCATGGAAGGAGGAGAGGCTTCTTTGAGCTGTGGGGCCCATAGGGACTTTTCTTAGAAAGAGCGAAAGCTGGCACAGAGTGTGGATTATGACATTGTTCTCTAGCAGAATTTTGCTTGAGTAAAAACAAGTAAATCTTTGTTTCCCATTTCCAAAAACATTTTATTTTGAAATTTTTCAAACACTCAGAACAGTAGGGGGAAGAAAATGATAACCCCCATGTATCATCACCTCGCTTCAACAATTGTCACAATTCTGCCATTCTTCTTTCATTTATCTTGTGCATACTTATTCATCTATTATTCTTGCTGGGGTATTTTAAAGCTCACCGCAGACATCAGGCATTTCATAGTCTTCATCATGCATCTTTAGCTGGTACTTTATGAAGTATCTCTAATTAATAAGTAAGTTGAAGAATTAACTATGATATTTAATGTTATGTTACACTAAGTTTATATTAAAATTCCATGATAATCTCAAAGGCATTGGTTCAGATCCAAACAAGAATCACATGTTGATTTTGGTAGTTTTGTTGCTGAAATTTCTTTTATTCTATAGTTTATTCTTGCCCAGCTTTCCTTTTCCCATGTCCTGGGTTTGTTGGAGAAGCTGAGTCATCTGCCCTGTAGAGCAACGTCCCATATTCCGGATAATGTCATTTAACTTGTTCCTCTATCTCTCTTATTTCCCCTAAACTAGAACGTAGATTTACATTCTGATTGAATTCAGATTAATTTTTAAGGCAAGAATATATCTTAGGAGGTGTTCTAAATAAAATTTTTATAATCCATGGGCTAAATCTGATCTATAGACATGGTTTTACTTGGCCCACCCAGTCTTTTATGTCTTATTTGACCCATAGAGTTGAAAAAAAAAGAAAATATTAAGTAGTCTATGAATCAATCTGGGTTTTGGTGGGAAACAGATGACACTCTCAAACAAGCTTTTCCTAAAGGTTTGAACAGAGTTAAGAGAAGACAACAAAGTATGGCAAAAACACTTTGGTGCTTGTAACTGCCAAGAGCAGTCACAACCTCCATGTCTGGAAGGGCTTTGGACAGAAGCCTTTGGTAGAGGAGACAGTCATGGCCAGCCCAGTCCAATCCAATGCCTTGCAGAGAGCGTCCTGCTTCAGTGTCCTCTACCCTTGCATGACCCATGACTGATGACTCCCACAGGAGAAGCCCAACAGGAAGCCAGGAGGCAAAGAAGTCCATTGATGCCATCCCTAAAAGCCAGCCTCTCGACACAGAGCTGGAGCAGAAACTGATCCAGAATTACAAATGCAAGTTTTGTTTTTTGTTTTGTTTTGTTTTGGGACGGAGCTTGCTCTGTTGTCCAGGCTGCAGTGCAATGGCACGATCTTGGCTCATTGCAACCTCTCCCTCCCAGGTTCAAGCAGTTCTCCTGTCTCAGCCTCCCGAATACCTGGGACTACAGGCACCCACCACAACACCCAGCTAATTTTTGTATTTTTAGTAGAGACAGGGTTTCACCATACTGGTCAGGCTGGTCTCGAACTCCTGACCTCAGGTGATCTACCTGCCTCAGCCTCCCAAAGTGTTGGGATTACAGGTGTGAGCCACTGCGCCCAGTCGCAAGCATTTTTATATAAAATTCTAGATCTCCACCTTCTCTCATTATATGAGATGACTGGGCAACCCTGAGTCCTAGTGCTGACAATTGGCTAGTCCTGAGCATTGCCAAATGGTACACTAGATCTCAGATCTTTCCTAGGAAGAAAAGGAGAGGAGAGAGTGTAGAAGCCTGCAACTGGACCAATCACTTTCTTGGAAGAAGCTGAAATTTTAACCTAGAAGGAGTTGTGTTTGCTTTGAATTGGTCAGATTACCTTTTCTTCTATTAGAAGTAATCAAAGCTCATATGAGTTGGGCTCAGTTTGATTGGAGAAAAATAAAGAATCACATTTTTGCACGTGTGTATTGCATTAAGATGATTATCATCATGGTAACAAGAAAAAGAGTACAGAAAATAAATCTTCATGTAGTTAGAGGTATGCTGAATACACATTTTGGCTAATTGCCAAATGGCCATGGGGTAAAATAGATATTCTGCTGAGGACAGCAATCATATTTCAGGATGAACCTCTGGCCTCTAAAAATAAATCCAAGAATATTAACTTAAAAGTCATTATTACGAAAATTTTGTTTTAAACAATCTTAGTAATCAAAATGTTTGACATTACAGTGTAGGAATGAAAGTTTCTCAGCACTGCCAGCCTGTCACTTGTCTGCATTTTTGACTCTGAACATATATGACCACCATATACAGTTGCACAGGTTATACACTACACAATACTAGTAGTGCCATTCACTATGTGGGGGTCTGTAAATAGGCATTTTCTCTGTTGCTTTCTTCTCTTCTTAATATTCTTTTTTGTTTTTTGAGATGGAGTTTCACTCTTGTTGCCCAGGCTGGAGTGCAATGGCACGATCTTGGCTCACTGCCACCTCTACCTCCTGGGTTCAAGTGATTCCCCTGCCTCAGCTTCCCGAGTAGCTGGGATTATAGATGCCTGCCACCACATCCGGCTTTGTGTTTTTAGTAGAGACGGGGTTTCACCATGTTGGCCAGGCTAGTCTCAAACTCCTGACCTCAAGTGATCCACCTGCCTCGGCTTCCCAAAGTGCTGGGATTACAGGCGTGAACCACTCATGCCCAGCCTTCTTTATATTCTTTATTACCTCTGGAATTAAAGTTGGCTCATCATGGGTGTTATTATATATAATTTAAAAATATTCCTATCTGTGAAATGTTGAAGTGTAAAGTCAGTATTCTACTTTTAGTTTCCCCTATAAGATGAGAATTCATAAACAAGAATCTCCCTGTATATATTCATGGCCCAAATGACAATGGATCGGATTACATCAAATTCTTAAGAATTTAAGAATGTAATAACTTAAGGTTATTTTCTGTAAAGTTATAAACAAAAGTATATCAAACAATTTTGCAGATATTAGAATTATGGTCTAATCTAATCTTGAATAACATGCTATTTATTATTTAAATTTTTATAAGATATATTGGCTCAAAAAGTATGATACTCTTCTTGGATGTTTCCAGCTATTTTCCTCTCTTAATATTCTTAAGCATCAATCTATATTCCTGTTCATCTAAGTATTTAAAAATTGTTTTGTGCTTTTGTATATAATTTTAGTGACATTAACAGTTGTCTTTAATTCTCATAGCATGTTAACTTACTGTAATAAATATGCATCTATTTCAACTAATAAAACTCCAATATATAAAGCACATAAGGGTAATTTTCACTTTAAGTTACATGTTGAATGAAAGAAAATATTTAGACAGTCATAAAAATATCTGAGTGGTAGATCTTATTGGCATAACTGAAGTTGTTATGCTGGTTATGTGTGATGGTGGAGTACCTGAATATATGATCATTGGTCATTGACGACGTTAAAAATATGAGGAATGAGAGTGAAAAGAGCAATCAGCTTTCTAGCTTTCCAAAGGCAAAGATTGAAACCAGAGCCAAAGAGCAAATTTTGGCAGAATATCAAGGCAGAAGTCAACATAAGTGTATCTATACTCATTGTCTGAAAATATTACTCTTCTGCATAAACTTAAAGATAAGTGCAGTGTGACTATTATGTATCTATAAAAATTTTAAATAAAAATAATAAGTGTATTATTCTGTAAAAACTCATAGACATTAGGGCAGAAGAAGTAGCTAAGATGTACTGAGAACTTACTATCTGGTTAGTATGCTGAAAATTTTACTTTTCATTATCCAGTTTAATCCTTTGACAACCATGAAGTCTGTATTATTATTATGCCCAGCTCATCGATGAGGAAATTGGAAAATAAATTTTAAAAAGATTATACTCATTGTGGGAGATCCATTCCAGTTTAGTTTAATCTGTGTGAGATGAGTCAACCCACTGAGATCAGGAATTTGCCATAGGCACCAGGTTTCCACAGAGAGAAGGGAGAGAAAAATGAACGTGTATCCACATCAGGGCTCATAATCTAACCTAACAGCTAGGAAGTGTGGGGCAGAGTGAAGGCACAGGGAATGTAGGTCAAAAGCAAGAAGTGGGATTGATGAGACCAGAGAGCAGGAGACAGAGTTAGGAAGCAAAGCTCCAGTTTCCTGAATAGATGTTTTTCACATTCCTGCAGCCATTACCTTGAGTTCTGCTGTTCTTATCTCTTTCCTGGACCATTGCTCAAGACTAGAGATGAGAATCTTAAACTTAGGTGGAGAGGCTAGAGAGTATATAATGCAAAGGTCTCAAAGAGTCAAAATGACTCAAACATTTCCCACCTAGCACAGCATATATGGTTTCGCATATGCAATCTAACTAAACATGAAAGTTTGAGAACTACTGAGCTAACATCAAAGCAGGAAGAAAAAGAAAGTCCATATGTCCGAGTGGTCATGCCAGGCTAGCTTTAAGATGACTATCAATTCCCATGTGTTGATGGCAAATAGGTGGGGAGTTCCAAAGTGTTTATTTGGTTTCATTAATATTAAACCTCTGTACCTTTAATGCATGCTAAGAGATTTTTTCTTTCTTGTTCTGGTTGTAAGGATTAAGAAGTCACATCTTACAAGGGGATTCAGTTGTAAAGTCTGAGCGTAAATTAAACTAAAGTTGCTGTTCTCTCAACTGTCTGAAATTTTCTGTCTAGAATGCAAATCTGATTACATCAAATTCCTGTATAAAATCCTTCCATTGACTGAGCTGCTGATCTTTGATGTCATTGCCAGAAATTACAAGGGACAATAGATGGATCAAAAGGCCAACCCCATCCCCAGTGGAGAGATGTTCCACGGCCCTTCCTCCCCGACATATAAACATGTGACCTGAGGGGCACTGCTGGGTCATAGTCTGGGATGTGGATCCCTTTACATTAGTTAAGCTACATGGACAGCTCAGCTAATGGCTACAGCCTCAATCACCATAGACGGTATAGTCCAAGGTGCCCTGACATCAGGAATAGTATATGAATTTGTATGGCTCATATTGAAACAAGGGTGTGCCAGTCCATGTGTTTGTACACTTACAAGAGAATTTGGTGGGGTGTGGGTCAGGAGTTGTTCACATTTGGGAACAGCTATTGATGGTGTCAGGCGTGAGCCTTTTTAAAATCTGGCTCCTGTCAACTCTCTGACATCATCCTCTGCGCCTACCCACGCTCATCGTTTACTCTCACCACGTGGAGCAGCCTGTGCCCTGGACAGCTCCTCCATTCCTTCGCACACTCAGCACTTCCTTCTGCAATTCTCTTCCTCGGTCTTCCCTTTAGAACTTTTATTTGATGATCACCTCAAATGACTTTTCTACCAATTGTTCTTTCCTGATCTACTGCTCCTCTCTAAAGCCCGGTTTCTTCTTCTTTTGACATCTCACTTAAGTCAAAAGTCATTTTTCTTAACTGTAATTCAACTATTTGCAGGAAGGAAGGAAGAAAGCAGGGGGGATGGTAAGAGGGGAACTGGAACAACAGGCGGAAGGAAGTGGGGAGGGAAAGAAGGAAGCTAGGCGGGAAGCAGGGAGGGAGGAAAGGTGGAGAGAAATAGTTTAGGTTGGGGGATAAAGACTATTTTAAGTGTAATCTGTGAGGCTGGTTTCTCTACGGGTAGATCAGAGGGTCAAAAAGATTATTTCTCCAGCTATAGCTCTTCACTGTCCAGAAGTCCATAAAGTTTCCTCTAGAACATCTGAAGTCATGCATCACTCATTTCTCAAGGGTTTCTTACAACCTGTTCCCATGTCTAGTCAGGTTTGCATTTTCAACTTTTTTTTAATTTTCAGAAGTTTGGCTCTATTCTCTGTGAACATTGACCCTGGCCTTATCAAGACGAGAGAGAGCTTTCAACTCCACCCTGCCCTGAAATACTCATAAAGCCTCCTACATGACTTTAACTGTGAAGGTAACCATGTTCTTTCCTCCTCTCTTCATCTTCCAGGAATGGGCAATAAGAGGATTTCTTTGGCAGAGCAAACATCCCTTCACTTATTTATGAATTCACACATCCCCTCATCCATTCACTCACTCACTCAGCAAACATTCATGGAGTTGTCCTAAATGGAAGTCATTTGCCAGGAGCTGCATCATCAACTTAGCTTAGAGATATGAATCATGCTTTGAATCTTCCTTTCAAAGACACTTTTCTCTTGCCCTCTTCCTGTCACAAAAACCCACATAACTGTTTGTTATCTTATTTCCTTTGCTGGTCTTTGTCTTTTGTTTCGGAACAATTTTTGATTAAAAAGAAAAATTTAACCAGACAACAATGGCCTGGGATTTGGATCCCTTTACATTAGTTAAGCCACATGGACAGCGTAACCTAATGGCTGCAGCCTCAATCACCACAGATGATGTAATCCAAGGCAACTGATGTGGCTGCAAAATAGAGGACTACTGGCTGCAATAGGCAGCCATGTCAGTTGTGGGAGCATCTATTTAGTGCTGAATATACTTTTCAAACTTTAAAGCAAACTTTTGCTAAGTATCCCTTCTCTAAGCCAGTGCTTTAGAAACGTTTTGCCACACCCATTGGCAGGAGTGCTTTGTTCCTTCAGTTTTCTATTTTAGGTTTTTGTCTCCCAGAAAAAGTGCTGTCATGGGATGTGATTTCAGGTAGTCTGTTTGAGGTGATTCCAGGATCCATCAGTAAGGGAGTGAGAAAGTGAGACAGTTAAGGGAAGGAAGAAAAAAAAAAAAAAAGGCAGACTATGTAACTGGTGGCCACCTGATGTGAAATCTCACTGGGGGATTCCTTTTTTAAAAAACTGACTGCAGGTGGAGCCAAGATGGCCGAATAGGAACAGCTCCAGTCTACGGCTCCCAGTGTGAGTGATGCAGAAGATGGGTGATTTCTGCATTTCCAAATGAGCTTTGAAGAGAGTAGTGGTTCTCCCAGCACGCAGCTTGAGATCTGAGAACGGACAGGCTGCCTTCTCAAGTGGGCCCCTGACCCCCGAGTAGCCTAACTGGGAGGCACCCCCCAATAGGGGCAGACTGACACCTCACACGGCCAGGTACTCCTCTGAGACAAAACTTCCAGAGGAATGATCACGCAGCAACATTTGCTGTTCACCATATCCACTGTTCTGTAGCCTCCACTGCTGATAACCAGGCAAACAGGGTCTGGAGTGGACCTCCAGCAAAATCCAACAGACCTGCAGCTGAGGGTCCTGACTGTTAGAAGGAAAACTAACAAACAGAAAGGACATCCACACCAAAACCCCACCTGTACGTCACCATCATCAAAGACCAAAGGTAGGTAAAACCACAAAGATGGGGAAAAAACAGAGCAGAAAAACCGGAAACTCTAAAAATCAGAGTGCCTCTCCTCCTCCAAAGGAACACATCTCCTCACCAGCAACGGAACAAAGCTGGATGGAGAATGACTTTGACGAGTTGAGAGAAGAAGGCTTCAGATGATCAAACTACTCCGAGCTAAAGGAGGAAGTTCGAACCCAGGGCAAAGAAGTTAAAAACCTTGAAAAAAAATTAGATGAATGGCTAACTAGAATAACAAATGCAGAGAAGTCATTAAAGGACCTCATGGAGCTGAAAACCAAGGCATGAGAACTACATGATGAATGCACAAGACTCAGTAGCCAATACAATCAACTGGAAGAAAGGGTATCAGTGATGGAAGATCAAGTGAATGAAATGAAGTGAGAAGAGAAGTTCAGAGAAAAAAGAGAAAAAAGAAACAAACAAAGCCTCCAAGAAATAAGGGACTATGAGAAAAGACCAAATCTACGTCTGATTGGTGTACCTGAAAGTGACGGGGAGAATGGAACCAAGTTGGAAAACACTCTGCAGGATATTATCCAGGAGAACTTCCCCAATCTAGCAAGGCAGGACAACATTCAAATTCAGGAAATACAGAGAATGCCACAAAGATACTCCTCAAGAAGAGCAACTCCAAGACACATAATTGTCAGATTCACCAAAGTTGAAAGGAAGGAAAAAATGTTAAGGGCAGCCAGAGAGAAAGGTCAGGTTACCCACAAAGGGAAGCCCATCAGACTAACAGCT
This sequence comes from Homo sapiens, assembly GCF_000001405.40. NCBI lineage: Eukaryota > Metazoa > Chordata > Mammalia > Primates > Hominidae > Homo > Homo sapiens. The sequence goes on from NC_000009.12 coordinate 78,076,748, forward strand.
GATCTCTCAGCAGAAACTCTACAAGCCAGAAGAAAGTGGGGGCCGATATTCAACATTCTTAAAGAAAAGAGTTTTCAACCCAGAATTTCATATCCAGCCAAAATAAGGTTCATAAGTGAAGGAGAAATAAAATACTTTACAGACAAGCTAATGCTGAGAGATTTTGTCACCACCAGGCCTGCCCTACAAGAGCTCCTGAAGGAAGCACTAAACATGGAAAGGAACAACTGGTACCAGCCACTGCAAAAAGATGCCAAATTGTAAAGACCATTGAGGCTAGGAAGAAACTGCATCAATTCACGAGAAAAATAACCAGCTAACATCATAATGACAGGATCAAATTCATGCATAACAATATTAACCTTCAATGTAAATGGGCTAAATGCTCCAATTAAAAGACACAGACTGGCAAATTGGATAAAGAGTCAAGACCCATCAGTGTGCTGTATTTAGGAAACCCATCTCATGTGCAGAGACACACATAGGCTCAAAACAAAGGGATGGAGGAAGATCTACCAAGCAAATGGAAAACAAAAAAAGGCAGGTGTTGCAATCCTAGTCTCTGATAAAACAGACTTTAAACCAACAAAGATCAAAAGAGACAAACAAGGCCATTACATAATGGTAAAGGGATCAATTCAACAAGAAGAGCTAACTATCCTAAATATATATGCACCCAATACAGGAGCACCCAGATTCATAAAGCAAGTCCTTAGAGACCTAAAAAGAGACTTAGACACCCACACAATAATAATGGGAGACTTTAACACCCCACTGTCAACATTAGACAGATCAATGAGACAGAAAGTTAACAAGGATATCCAGGAATTGAACTCAGCTCGGCACCAATAGACATCTACAGAACTCTCCACCCCAAATCAACAGAATATACATTCTTGTCAGCACCACACTGCACTTATTCCAAAATTGACCACATAGTTGGAAGTAAAGCACTCCTCAGCAAATGTAAAAGATCAGAAATTATAACAAACTGTCTCTCAGACCACAGTGCAATCAAATTAGAACTCAGGATGAAAAAACTCACTCAAAACCGCTCAACTACATGGAAACTGAACAACCTGCTCCTGAATGACTACTGGGTACATAACGAAATGAAGGCAGAAATAAAGATGCTCTTTGAAACCAATGAGAAAAAAGACACAACATACCAGAATCTCTGGGACACATTCAAAGCAGTGTGTAGAGGGAAATTTATAGCACTCAATGCCCACAAGAGAAAGCAGGAAAGATCTAAAATTGACACCCTAACATAACAATTAAAAGAACTAGAGAAGCAAGAGCAAACACATTCAAAAGCTAGCAGAAGGCAAGAAATAACTATGATCAGAGCAGAACTGAAGGAAATAGAGACATAAAAAACCCTTCAAAAAATCAATGAATCCAGGAGCTGATTTTTTTGAAAACATCAACAAAATTGATAGACCACTAGCAAGACTAATAAAGAAGAAAAGAGAGAAGAATCAAATAGATGCAATAAAAAATGATAAAGGGGATACCACCACCAATCCCACAGAAATACAAACTACCATCAGAGAATACTATAAACACCTCTATGCAAATAAACGATAAAATCTAGAAGAAATGGATAAATTCCTCAACACACACACCCTCCCAAGACTAAACCAGGAAGAAGTTGAGTCTCTAAATAGGCCAATAACAGGCTCTGAAATTGAGGCAATAATTAATAGCTTACCAACCAAAAAAAATCCAGGATCAGATGGATTCACAGCCAAATTCTACCAGAGGTACAAGGAGGAGCTGATACCATTCCTTCTGAAACTATTCCAATCAATAGAAAAAGAGGAAATCCTCCGGAACTCATTTTATGAGGCCAGCATCATCCTGATACCAAAGCCTGGCAGAGACACAGCAAAAAAAGAGAATTTTAGACCAATATCCCTGATGAACATCAATGCAAAAATCCTCAATAAAATACTGGCAAACCGAATCCAGCAGCACATCAAAAAGCCTATCCACCATGATCAAGTGGGCTTCATCCCTGGAATGCAAGGCTGGTTCAACATACGCAAATCAATAAACATAATCCAGCATATAAACAGAACCAATGACAAAAACCATATGATTATCTCAATAGATGCAGAAAAGACCTTTGACAAAATTCAACAACCCTTCATGCTAAAAACTCTCGATAAATTAGGTATTGATAGGATGTATCTCAAAATAATAAGAGCTATTTATGACAAACGCACAGCCAATATCATACTGAATGGGCAAAAACTGGAAGCATTCACTTTGAAAACTGGCACAAGACAGGGATGCCCTCTCTCACCACTCCTATTCAACATAGTGTTGGAAATTCTGGCCAGGGCAATCAGGCAGGAGAAGGAAACAAAGGGTATTCAATTAGGAAAAGAGAAAGTCAAATTGTCCCTGTTTGCAGATGACATGATTGTATATCTAGAAAACCCCATCTTCTCAGCTGAAAATCTCCTTAAGCTGATAGGCAACTTCAGCAAAGCCTCAGGATACAAAATCAATGTGCAAAAATCACAAGCATTCTTATACACCAATAACAGACAAACAGAGAGCCAAATCATGAGTGAATTCCCATTCACAATTGCTTCAAAGAGAATAAAATACCTAGGAATCCAACCTACAAGAGATGGAAGGACCTCTTCAAGGAGAACTACAAACCACTGGTCAATGAAATAAAAGAGGACACAAAAAAATGGAAGAACATTCCATGCTCATGGGTAGGAAGAATCAATATTGTGAAAATGGCCATACTGCCCAAGGTAATTTTTAGATTCAATGCCATCCCCATCAAGCGACAAATGACTTTCTTCACTGAATTGGAAAAAACTACTTTAAAGTTCATATGGAATCAAAAAAGAGCCCGCATTGCCAAGTCAATCCTAAGCCAAAAGAACAAAGCTGGAGGCATCATGCTACCTGACTTCAAACTATACTACAAGGCTGCAGTAACCAAAACGGCATGGTACTGGTACCAAATCAGAGATATAGACCAATGGAACAGAACAGAACAGAACAGAACAGAACAGAGCCCTCAGAAATAATGCCACATATCTACAACCATCTGGTCTTTGACAAACCTGACAAAATCAAGAAATGGGGAAACGATTCCCTATTTAATAAATGGTGCTGGGAAAACTAGCTAGCCATATGTAGAAAGCTGAAACTGGATCCCTTGCTTACAACTTATACAAAAATTAATTCAAGATGGATTAAAGAATTAAATGTTAGACCTAAAACCATAAAAACCCTAGAAGAAAACCTAGGCAATACCATTCAGGACATAGGCATGGGCAAGGACTTCATGTCTAAAACACCAAAAGCAATGGCAACAAAAGCCAAAATTGACAAATGGGATCTCATTAAACTAAAGAGCTTCTGCACAGCAAAAGAAACTATCATCAGAGTGAACAGGCAACCTACAGAATGGGAGAAAATTTTTACAATCTACTCATCTGACAAAGGGCTAATATCCAGAATCTACAATGAATTCCAACAAATTTACAAGAAAAAACAAACAACCTCATCAAAAAGTGGGTGAAGGATATGAACAGACACTTCTCAAAAGAAGACATTCATGCAGCCAAAAGACACATGAAAAAATGCTCATCATCACTGGCCATCAGAGAAATGCAAATCAAAATCACAATGAGATGCCATCTCACACCAGTTAGAATGGCGATCATTAAAAAGTCAGGAAACAACAGGTGCTGGAGAGGATGTGGAGAAACAGGAACACTTTTACACTGTTGGTGGGACTGTAAACTAGTTCAACCATTGTGGAAGTCAGTGTGGCGATTCCTCAGGGATCTAGAACTAGAAATATCATTTGACCCAGCCATCCCATTACTGGTTATATACCCAAGGGATTATAAATCATGCTGCTATAAAGACACATGCACACGTATGTTTATTGTGGCACTATTCACAATAGCAAAGACTTGGAACCAAGCCAAATGTCCAACAATGATAGATTGGATTAAGAAAATGTGGCACATATACTCCATGGAATACTATGCAGCCATAAAAAATGATGAGTTCATGTCCTTTGTAGGGACATGGATTAAGCTGGAAACCATCATTCTCAGCAAACTATCGCAAGGACAAAAAACCAAACACTGCATGTTCTCACTCATAGGTGGGAATTGAACAATGGGAACACATGGATATAGGAAGGGGAACATAACACACTGGGGCCTGTTGTGGGGTGGGGGAAAGGGGGAGGGATAGCATTAGGAGATATACCTAACGTTAAATGACTAGTTACTGGGTGCAGCACACCAACATGGCACATGTATACATATGTAACTAACCTGGATGTTGTGCACATGTACCCTAAAACTTAAAGTATAATTAAAAAAAATTTTAAAAAACCAAAAAAAAACTGACTAATAAAAATTGCATATATGGCTGGGCACAGTGGCTCATGCCTGTAATTCCAGCACTTTGGGAGGCCGAGGCAGGTGGATCATCTGAGGTCAGGAGTTTGAGACCAGCCTGGTGAACATGGTGAAACCCTGTCTCTACTAAAAATACAATAATTAGCTGGGCATGGTGGTGGGCGCCTGTAATCCCAGCTACCTGGGAAGCTGAGGCAGGAGAGTCGCTTGAACACAGGAGGCAGAGGTTGCAGTGAGCTGAGATTGAGCCATTGCACTCCAGCCTGGGTGACAAGAGCGAAACTCAGTCTCCAAAAAAAAAAAAAATTGCATATATTTATGATATACCACATGATGTTTTAAAATATGTATACACTGTGGAACCGCTTAATAACGTATGTATTACCTCACACACTTACCATTATTTTTTGAGTAAGAACACTTAATATTTATTCTCTCAGCATTTTTCAAGTATACAATATGTTAACTGTAGTCACTATGATATACAGTAGATCATTTAGACTTATTCCTTCTGTCTAGCTAAAATTTTGTATCCTGTGACAGTGTCTCCCCAGTACCCCCAGCTCCAACCACTGGGGAATTCTGGGAAATATTGTATAACATGTACCTTAGAGGTGTGAGTGCTGGGGTAGTCATTCTCACTTTTGGTTTTGGTTGAGGGCTGCTTCTAGGGACATCAACTCCTGGCACTTTGGCTCACCCTGTGGTTGAGGCATGGGCTGACAGGCTCCTGAAGCCAGAGGAAGTCCTTGGGCGAAGTCACAGGAGCTTGTAATTAGGAGCCATGAGTTGGTGTGCATTAGGATGGAAAGTGTTAAGTGAATATAGGCTCTGTATTGTATGTTTACGATAGTGGCTGCTACAGTTTGAATGTACGTGTTCCTCTAAAATTCATGTTCTTGAAGTTGAACCCCAAGATGATGATATTAAGAGGTGGGGCCATAGGAGGTGATTAGGTCCTAAGGGCTCTGCCCTCATGAGGGATTAGTGCCTTATAAAAGGGCTCGAGGGAACTAGGTAGGCCCTTTTGCCTTTCCACTCCTTCTGCCATGTGAAGATGCAGTGCTTGTCCCTTTTGCTGTTCCCCCTTCTGCCATGTGGGGATGCTGCCATGGAAAGACATCACTGATAGAACAGGCCCTCGTCAGACAGACACTGAACCTATCGGTGCCTTGGTCTTGGACTTCCCAGCCTCCAGAACCATAAGAAATAAATTTATATTATTTGTAAATTACCCAGTCTGTAGTATTTTGCTATAGCAGCAGGAATGGACACAGTTCCCAGTTCCCAAAACGGGAGTTGGCTGTTACACATGAAACATTATTATTATTATTTTCTTGTCATCATTCTAGCTATAATATATATTACAAAAATCTGTAGTCACTTATTTTTCTTTTATTCCCTTCACTTTGATCAATTAATTTTTTTCTTTCTCCATTCATCTTACTGTACCTTTATATTTATTTATAGTCATTTTCCCCATAAAAGTTTTGTTTTCTTTCTTCTTCTTATATTTATTTCTAAAGTTTTGTTTTCTTAGTCCCTCTTCTTTGCTGGCTTCACCTCCTCTGAAGAATATACACTGCCTGGGATAAAATCCTGGCTTTATTCTTTATTAGTAATATGGTCTTGGAAAAGTCATTTAACCACTTTGTGCCTCAGGTTTCTCCTCATAAAATGGAGATAATGAGTGCCTATCTCAGGAGATTTTGTGAGGACTAAGAGATTAGTATGTAAAGTGTATATGTACTAATTGTGGTAAGCAGAGAGGTTCAATTGCTGAAAAAGACTCATAGGACCCAAAATGACCAAGCTTGCACATCTACAGTGTATTGCAATAGAAGAATACAACATAGCAACAGCATTGAAGATATGCATTACAACCAAAGGCTACCTTACAGAGGGGTTTGGAGAGGCCAGGTGTGAGCTCCTGACCTCCCTCCATGAAAGCCAAGGTAGGCTCTTTCTCTCTTTGATTAGGAATAATTAGCATGTGCACAAAACACCCTGAGGACAGGAACACCAAAATGGAGTCCTGGCAGGGGCTTCTTATACCCTGCTGGTCACTTAGGCTTTGTATTGTTTTGTTTTGTTTTGTTTGTTACTAAGCAATTCAACAGCAAAGCCCTCTTGGGTGGCTGATATTGTTTGGCTCTGTGTCCCCACCCAAATCTCATCTTGAACTGTAATCCCTGCATGTTGAGGAAGGGACCTGGTGGGAGGTGACTGCATCATGGGGATGGTTTTCTTCATGCTTTTCTCATGATAGTGAGTGAGTTCTCATGAGGTCTGATTGTTTTATACAGGGTTCTTCTCCTTTGGCTCTCCCTCTCCTACCACCTTGTGAAGAAGGTACCTGCTTCCCCTTCCACTGTGATTGTAAGTTTCCTGAGGGCTCCTCGGAACTGTGAGTCAATTAAACCTCTTTCCTTTATAAATTACTCAGTCTCTAGATAGCTGAATAGGAACAGCTCTGGTCTGCAGCTCCCAGCATGATCAACGCAGAGGATGGGTGATTTCTGCATTTCCAACTGAGGTACTGGGTTCATCTCAATGGGACTCATTGGACAGTGGGTGCAGCCCAAAGAGGACAAGCCAAAGGAGGGCGGGGCATTGCCTCACCCAGGAAGCGCAAGAGGTCAGGGGATTTCCCTTTCCTAGCCAAGGGAAGCCATGACAGACTGTACCGGGAAAATCAGGACACTGCCACCTAAATACAGTGCTTTTCCAAAGGTCTTAGCAAACGGCACACCAGGAGTTTATATGCTGGGCCTGGCTGAGCGGGTCCCATGCGCATGGAGCCTTGGTCACTGCTACTGCAGCAGTCTGAGATCAAACTGCGAGGTGGCAGCCTGGCTGGGGGAAGGGTGTCTGCCATTGCTAAGGCTTCAGTAGGTAAACAAAGTGGCCGAGAAACTCGAACTGGGTGGAGTCCACCACAGCTCAAGGAGGCCTGCCTGCCTCTGTACACTCCACCTCTGCGGGCAGGACATAGCTGAACAAAAGGCAGCAGAAACTTCTGCAGACTTAAACGTCCCTGTCTGACAGCTCTGAAGAGAGCAGTGGTTCTCCCAGCACAGTGTTTGAGCTCTGAGAATAGACAATCTGCCTCCTCAAGTGGGTCCCTGACTCCCATGTAGCCTAACTGGGAGACACCTCCCAGTAGGGGCAGACTGACACCTCATACAGCCAGTGCCCCTCTGAGATGAAGCTTCCAGAGGAAGGATCGGGCAGCCATATTTGCTGTTCTGCAATATTTGCTGTTCTGTAGCCTCCACTGGTGATACCCAGGCAAACAGGGTCTGGAGTGGACCTCCAGCAAACTCCAACAGACCTGCAGCTGAGGGACCTGTTAGAAGGAAAACTAACAAACAGAATCAACATCAACAAAAAGGACATCCACACCAAAACCCCATCTGTAGGTCACCATCATCAAAGACCAAAGGTAGATAAAACCACAAAGATGGGAAGAAACCAGAGCAGAAAATCTGAAAATTCTAAAAAACAGAGGGCCTCTTCTCCAAAGGATCACAGCTCCTCGCCAGCAATGGAACAAAACTGGATGGAGAATGAGTTTGATGAGTTGACAGAAGCAGGCTTCAGAAATCAGTAATAACAAACTTCTCCAAGCTAAAGGAAGATGTCCAAACCCATCGCAAAGAAGCTAAAAACCTTGAAAAAATATTAGATGAATGGCTAACTAGAATAAACAGTGTAGAGAAGACCTTAAATGACCTGATGGAGCTGAAAACTATGGCACGAGAACATGATGCATGCACAAGCTACAGCAGCCAATTCAATCAAGTGGAAGAAAGGGTATCAGTGATTGAAGCGATAAGAGAAATGAATGAAATGAAGCGAGAAGAGAAGTTTAGAGAAAAAAGAGTGAAAAGAAATGAACAAAGCCTCCAAGAAATATGGGACTATGTGAAAAGACCAAATCTACGTTCGATTGGTGTACCTGAAACTGATGGGGAGAATGGAACCAAGCTGGAAAACACTCTTCAAGATATTATCCAGGAGAACTTCCCCAATCTAGCAAGGCAGGACAACATTCAAATTCAGGAAATACAGAGAACACCACAAAGATACTCCTTGAGAAGAGCAACTCCAAGACACATAATTGTCAGATTCACCAAGGTTGAAATGAAGGAAAAAATGAAGGGCAGCCAGAGAGAAAGATCGAGTTACTGACAAAGGGAAGCCCATCAGACTAATAGCTGATCTCTCGGCAGAAACTCTACAAGTCAGAAGAGAGTGGGGGCCAATATTCGACATTCTTAAAAAAAAGAATTTTCAACCCAGAATCTCATATCCAGCCAAACTAAGCTTCATAAGTGAAGGAGAAATAAAATACTTTACAGACAAGCAAATGCTGAGAGATTTTATCACCACCAGGCCTGCCTTACAAGAGCTCCTGAAGGAAGCACTAAACATGGAAAGAAACAACCAGTACCAGCCACTGCAAAAACATGCCAAATTTTAAAGACCATCAATGCTAGGAAGAAACTGCATCAACTAATGGGCAAAATAACCAGCTAACATCATAATGACAGGATCAAATTCACTCATAACAATTTTAACCTTAAATGTAAATGGGCTAAATGCCCCAATTAAAAGACACAGACTGGCAAATGGGATAAAGAGTCAAGACCCATCAGTGTGCTGTATTAAGCAGACCCATCTCACATGTGAAGACACACATAGGCTCAAAATAAAGGGATGGAGGAACATTCACCATGCAAATGGAAAGCCAAAAAAAAAAAAAAAGCAGGGGTTGCAATCCTGGTCTCTGATTTAACAGACTTTAAACCAACAAAGATCAAAAGAGACAAAGAAGGCCATTATATAATGGTAAAGGGATCAATTCAACAAGAAGTGCTAACTATCCTAAATATATATGCACCCAATACAGGAGCACCCAGATTCATAAAGCAGGTTCTCAGAGACCTACAAAGAGACTTAGACTCCCACTCAATAATACTGGGAGACTTTAACACCCTGCTGTCAATATTAAGACAGGTCAATGAGACAGAAAATTAACAAGGATATCCAGGACTTGAACTCAAATCTGCACCAAGCAGACCTAATAGACATCTACAGAACTCTCCACCCCAAATCAACAGAATATATATTATTCTCAGCACCACATTACACTTATTCCAAAATTGACCACACAGTTGGAAGTAAAGCACTCCTCAGCAAATGTAAAAGAACAGAAATCACAACAAACTGTCTCTCAGACCACAGTGCAATCAAATTAGAACTCAGGATGAAGAAACTCACTCAAAACCACACAACTACATGGAAAATGAACAATCTGCTCCTGAATAACTACTGGGTAAATAACGAAATGAAGGCAGAAATAAAGATGTTCTTTGAAACCAGTGAGAACAAAGACACAACATACCAGAATCTCTGGGACACATTCAAAGCAGTGTGTATAGGGAAATTTATAGCACTAAATGCCCACAGGAAAAAGCAGGAAAGATCTAAAATCCACACCATAACATCACAATTAAAAGAACTAGAGAATCAAGAGCAAACAAATTCAAAAGCTAGCAGAAGGCAAGAAATAACTAAGATAAAACCAGAACTGAAGGAGATAGAGACACAAAAAACCCTTCAAAAAATCAACGAATCCAGGAGCTGGGTTTTTGAAAAGAACAGCAAAATTGATAGACAGCTAGCAAGACTAAGAAAGAATAAAAGAGAGACGAATCAAATAGATGCAATAAAAATGATAAAGGGGATATCACTCTCTATAAACTAGGTATTGATGGAACATATCTCAAAATAATAAGAGCTATTTATGACAAACCCACAGCCAATATCATACTGAATGGGCAAAAACTGGAAGCCTTCCCTTTGAAAACTAGCACAAGACAGGGAAACGATCTCTCACGGCTCCTATTCAACATAGTGTTGGAAGTTCTGGCCAGGGCAATCAGGCAAGAAAAAGAAATAAACGGTATTCAATTAGGAAAAGAGGAAGTCAAATTGTCCTGTTTGCAGATGACGTGATTATATATTTAGAGAACCCCATCGTCTCAGCCCAAAATCTCCTCAAGCTGATAAGCAACTTCAGCAAAGTCTCAGGTACAAAATCAGGGTGCAAAAATCACAAGCATTCCTACACACAATAACAGACAAACAGAGAGCCAAATCATGAGTGAACTCCCATTCACAATTGCTTCGAAGAAATAAAATACCTAGGAATACAACTTACAAGGGATGTGAAGGACCTCTTCAAGGAGAACTACAAACCACTGCTCAAAGAAATAAAAGAGGACACAAACAAATGGAAGAACATTCTATGCTCATGGATAGGAAGAATCAATATTGTGAAAATGGCCATACTCCCCAAGGTAATTTATAGATTCAATGCCATCCCCATCAAACTACCAATGACTTTCTTCACAGAATTGGAAAAAACTACTTTAAAGTTCATATGGAACCAAAAAAGAGCCTGCATTGCCAAGGGCATCAAGCTACCTGACTTCAAACTATACTATAAGGCTACAGTAACCAAAACAGCATGGTACTGGTACCAAAACACAGATATAGACAAATGGAACAGAAGAGAGCCCTCAGAAATAACACCACACACCTACAACCATCTGATCTTTGACAAACCTGACAAAAACAAGAAATGGGGAAAGGTTTCCCCCTTTAATAAATGGTGCTGGGAAAACTGGCTAGCCATATGTAGAAAGCTGAAACTGGATCCCTTCCTTACACCTTATACAAAAATTAATTCAAGATGGATTAAAGACTTAAATGTAAGATCTAAAACCATAAAAACCCTAGAAGAAAACCTAGGCATTACCATTCAGGACATAGGCATGGGCAAGGACTTCATGACTAAAACACCAAAAGCAATGGCAACAGAAGCTGAAATAGACAAATGGGATCTAATTAAACTAAAGAGCTTCTGCACAGCAAAAGAAACTACCATCAGAGTGAACAGGCAACCTACAGAATGGGAGAAAATTTTTGCAATCTACTCATCTGACAAAGGGCTAATATCCAGAATCTACAAATAATGCAAACAAATTTACAAGAAAAAATCAAACAACCCCATCAAAAAGTGGACAAAGGATATGAACAGACATTTTTCAAAAGAAGACATTTATGCAGCCAACAGACATATGAGAAAATGCTCATCCTCACAGGTCACCAGAGAAATGTAAACCAAAACCACAATGAGATACCATCTCATACCAGTTAGAATGGCGATCATTAAAAAGTCAGGAAATAGGAATGCTTTTACACCATTGGTGGGATGTAAACTAGTTCAACTGTTGTGGAAGACAGTGTGGTGATTCCTCAAGGATCTAGAACTAGAAATACCATTTGACCCAGCCATCCCATTACTGGGTATATACCCAAAGGATCATAAATCATGCTACTATAAAGACACATGCACACGTATGTTTATTGCGGCACTATTCACAATAGCAAAGACTTGGAACCAACCCAAATGTCCATCAATGATAGACTGGATTAAGAAAATGTGGCACATATACACCATAGAATACTATACAGCCATAAAAAATGATGAGTTCATGTCCTTTGGAGGGACATGGATGAAGCTGGAAACCATCATTCTCAGCAAAAGATCGTAAGGACAGAAAACCAAACACCACATGTTCTCACTCACAGGTGGGAATTGAACAATGAGAACACTTGGACCCAGGGTGGGGAACATCACACACCAGGGCCTGTCATGGGGTTGGGGTGATGGGGGAGGGATAGCATTAGGAGAAATACCTAATGTAAATGACGAGTTAAGGTGCAGCACACCAACATGGCACACGTATACATATGTAACAAACCTGCACGTTGTGCACATGTACCCTAGAACTTAAAGTATAATATAAATAAATAAATAAACAAATTACTCAGTCTCGGGTATGTCTTTATAGCAGTGTGAAAATGGACTAATACAGTGGTGGTGAGCGGGATGGGGTGGGTATCTCACCAAGATTAGATACACATAATTTATCTCATTATTAGCAATAAACAATGCTGACAAGCCATGCCCCAAATTCCTCAGACCCATAATTACAAAAAAAAAAAACAAAAACAACTCATGCCTGGGGCAGGCATTAGCATTGTGCAAGTTTATTTCCTATTTCAGTAAAACAAGTCAGGGCAATTTCAGTCTTGCTGGAATTCACCGTCACATCACAGTCTAGAACATGGTAAGTCCTCAGCAAACATAAGCTATTACGATTATCATTATTGATATGATTATCTCACTATTAGGTTGAGCTATATGAAATTGCTGCTTTTGTAAATAAAAAATGGCTGACTATCAGCAATATAATATAGTTCAATCTAACACATTTAGTATTTTAACTGTTGTGAACAGTGCCCTGAACTCCTTGTTTTCTTTATTGTCCTGTCCCATTGGAAGGGGACCGCTCAATATAATCCTTTTGGGTTTTAAATTGAAAGTATTTCTTTCTTGTGAAGTCCCCAGGGGTACATAGAATTCTCTCACAACAATGATCTTTGGAAACAGAATGAAAAACTACTTATTATGCAGATGATATTCACAAAATCAAGACCAACTAGAGTTCTTAGACATTATCCAGAAACCTGGCTTTACAGATGAGGAACTCAAGGTGCACGTGGCTTAACTGATTATCCTAAGGTGTTATCCCTGAAGGAATCATCTTGAATCCAGCTCTAGAGTTTAACCCAGGATTCCACACTGCTGTGCAGAGCAGGATCTCATGGTAATTAATTGATGTAGTACAGGGTTCATGCTGCTGACTGAACCCATAGGATAATTTTTTATGCACCAAGAGTGGAGTTCTACTGGTTTAATTAACTGTAGAGACGTTTAGGGACAAGGTTCACATCCTCTCAGTAAGATGTCGTTGGGAGGAAGAAAGGAATTCAATTTGGACCCTCAATCCCATAATTGCTTTTAATTAAATCTGATGTCATAGAAGAGTGATGGCTTTGAGGCTAGACAATCTGGGATTCAAGTTTTCTTACTGAATCTCTGTGGTTTTGAAAGTCTATTGACTTCTCTGTTCTCATTTTCCTCATCCGGAAACCCAAAGTAGTAACGTCTAACTTCTAGGGCTGTTTTCAGGATTAGCACAATTCCTAGCACATTGTAACTGCTCAAAAAATACTTGCTGTAATTATTATTATTTAAAGGTTTTTGACTTATTAGCCATATGTCAGAAAGACCTCGTGCAATGGGAAGAAAGCAAAGCTTATACAATGGTGAGAAACCCTCACCGTTGGGATCTATTCTTGGTCAAGACGGGATGGGAGCTCTGTGTACAAATTTGATCCAGGTATATACGTTATTGGGGTGAAAAAATCTCCAACGAGCCAACAAAAACCCAAAGTGAATTAAATAAATGGATGCCCCACTAATTTCAAAGCTATTCCGGGTTCTTTGTATGGCTAAGGATGGGAACAGAGAGCGAGTGACTCTTGCTATTTTGAATGTGCGAGTGTGGGCCTGAAAACCAATTTAGACTCAGGGGTGCTGCTAGGGGAGGGAGGTAGTTGGCGGTGCCACTGCTTTATATGAAACAATAAATAGACATTTGGGGGTTGTGCTAGGGCAGCTGAGAAGAAAGAGGAGAATGACTAACGTGGTGGAGAGTCATGGCCTGGGAGAGATATCTCTGGTGGAGAACAGCCCATTGGTGTTGAGAGACAGTTGATCCTTTTCTATGAAGCAGACACATTCTGCTCTCTCACCTCTCAAATCTAGAGCTGTGCTTTAGAGAAACAAAACTAGCAGGACAGTTGCCATACAGTAGCAAGGAGTAATCTTAAGAGGGGGCTAGGCTTTGCTGTGGCCTGATTTGGGAGCAGATGTGAAACAAATCACCTTAACACTATAGACACTAGAGAAGGAACAGCAGCCACCTGGAGTAAACCTATCTTATCCACTTTCAACTTCAGAGATGTTTGAAATGAATGCAACTCAAAGTTTTAAGTATTAACCAGAAGTGGCTCAAGAGGTAGTTCTTTCCGTGATAGTGCTTTCAGAAGTCTACTTCCAAATCAGAACCAAAAAATGGACGGGGGTGGTATTTTTCAGTTTTACTAGCTCTGGTTTGCCTGCACAGGGCTCTAACCGGTGCTGAGAAGCATCCCAAGGGCACAGCCAGGGTCCTCCAGGCCTTCTGGAGGGCAGGAGTGGCCTGGGCCTAGAGCCTACTCCTCTTTCCATCACCATGGGGAAACTGCATCCTTCTGTAACCATACTGCTCTGACCAGACACGATTACTTTAGAATTGGAAATATATAGGCTCTTTTCCATTTATTTTTTTACAGCTTTTCTGTCTCCATAAAAATAAAAATATTTCTTGTAGAAAACTCACAAAAAGACAAAGAGAATAAAATAAAAATATTCCAACACCTTATTATAGTATTTAGAGATAATCACTTTTAGCATTTTGGTGTCTATCTTGCCTATGTATAGATAGAAGTTATATCTACTTTTTGTAAAAAATTAGAATCACATGGTATATCTTAATGCATAACTTTGTTTTTATACCTTATCATCGCTGATTTTCACTTAAAAAAATTTTTAGGCCAGGCGTGATGGCTCACGCTTGTAATCCCAGCCCTTTCAGAGGCCGAGGTGGGCGGATCATCTGACGTCAGGAGTTCGAGACCAGCCTGGTCAACATGGTGAAACCCCATTTCTACTAAAAATACAAAAATCAGTGGGGCGTGGTGGCACATGCCTGTAATTCCAGCTATGTGGGAGGCTGAGGCAGAAGAATCTGTTGAATCTGAGAGGCGGAAGTTGTAGTGAGCCGAGATTGCACCACTGCATTCCACCCTGGGCAACAAAGTAAGACTCCATCTCAAGAAAAAAAAAATTTTAAAGATTGACTTTTAAGACTTCAGTTTATACACTGTATAACATTTTATTAATGGTATTTGACATCTGCAAATAGAGCTATTAGGTTAAAAAAAAGTGGAGCATTTATTTACCCTTTAAAAATAGGTACACACACATAAACATACTAGTCAATATCTTCTGGACCTCAGAAATTCTCTCTAGCTTAAGAACTAGAAAGGACCACTTCTTAAAACAAGAATTTCTCAGCAGTTTTATCTCCAGATTGGCCTTTATAGGGTGTGAACACGTTAGAATTTGATTCATAGGAACATTTACATTGACCTTTTGCTAAGTTTGCTTTGGAAATGCACAAGATATGATGGATCTTAGCATTAGTAAACGCTTTTAATAAAAAATAAATTCCATTTCTCCTGGGGATAAGAGGTCATATTCTTTATTTGAACAATGTTAGGTAGCTATAAGTAAATCACACAGAAATCACTGATTAAAAAAGAACTTAAATCCCCTTCCCACTCTTTGAATGTGCCAGTCCACATTAAGAGACTCCCTCCCTCTCGGATGAAAGGCTGATGTGAGACAGTCACAATCTATTCTCTGTTGAAAAATACTCACTTTTCTATAGTGACACACGTGTTGTAAAACACTGTCAAACATACCAGATTACTGGATTCTTAGAAAAACCCCGTGAGTTGGGCAGGCCCAGGGTTAATATTGCATTTTATAGAGGGGTTTGGCATGTCAACTTCTCAGATTGTCCCCCCAGGGATGCCCACTTTTTGGCATTTATGTCCTTGTGTAATTCTGTCCCCTTGAGTGTGGGCTGGGCCTAGGGACTTATACCTAATGAAGAGAATATAGCAAAGGTGATTGGATGTCCCTTTGATGATTAGATTAGAAAAGACTGCGCTTTGTATCGCAGAAGCAGATTCTCTTCATTGCTTCTCAGCTTGCATTCTTGCAGGAAGCAAGCTACCATGTTGGGGAGGCCCGCATGACAAGGAACTGAATGCTACCAACAACCATATGAGCATAGAAGTGGATCCTTCTCCAGTGAAACCTTGAGATGACTACAGCCCAGCCAAGTACTTGATTACAGCTTGTGGGAGACTCTGAAGTACAGAAGCCATCTAAGTCCTGTCTAGATTCATGACCCAAAGAAACTACACGATAATAAATGTTTATTGTTTAGTAAACATTTAACAAATGTGTAAATTTGTGGCAATTTGTTTTGCAGCAATAGATAAGTAATACCAGAGGTAAACTGAGGCAGAGTGTAACCTATCTGTGGAAATATTAAAACACGGTAAAAAATTCTTTGACACTCTTGCCATCCAGGAGTGAGTTCTATGTCCCCTTTATTTGCATCTGGGCAGGCATTTTATTGCTTTCATCAATAGGTTATCCTGGAAGTGATGCTATGTGACTTCCAAGGCTGAGTTGTAGAAGACCATTCAGCTTCTACCTTGATTAAAATACTCACTTTTGGGCTAGGCATACTGGCTTTTGCCTGTAATCCCAGCACTTTGGGAGGCCAAGGCAGGAGGATTGTTTGAGTGCAGGAGTTTGAGACCAGCCTGGGCAATGCAATGAGACCTCATCTCTACAAAAAATAATAATAACAAAAAATTACCTGGGTGTGGTGGTGTGCGCCTGTGGTCCCAGCATCTTAGGAGGCTGAAATGGGAGGATCACTTGAGCCTGGGAGGTTGAAGTTGCAGTGAGCCATGATTGTGCCTGGGTGACAGAGCAAGACTTTGTCAAAAAAAACAAAAAATGAAAGAGAGAGAGAGAAGGGAAAAAGAGGAAAGAAGAAAGAGAGGGAGGGAGGGAAGAAGGAGGGGAGGAAGGAAGGAAGGAAGGAAGAAAGAAAGGAAGGAAGGAAAGAAATAGTACTCACTTTTGAAGCCCTGAGCTGCCGTGTAGAAAGTCCAGTTATCCTGAGGCTGCCATGCCATAAAGAAGCCCACGCCATTGAGGAACCAGTACACAGCCCAGGGTTCTCACAGTTGAGCCCCAGCCCAGGTAGCCAACAAGTAAGTGAAGAAGCCTCTAGATGATTCCAGTCCCAGCTATTTAAGTTTTCCCAACCAAGACCTCAGATATTCTGGAGCAGAGACAAGCCATGCCTACAGTGAACTATTTGAATTCCTAACCATGGGATTTCTGAGCATAATGAGATGGTTGTTGTTTTACTTTACTGATTTTGGGGGTAGTTTTTACACTGGAGCAGGCAGCCGGATCACTGCCTAATGTCAGGCAGCTTGTACGTAGAATTGGAGCTTAGATCCAGGTTCTCTTCAGCATTCTTTCCAGCACACCAGATGTTGCCTTTATGTTTCTTTCCACTTGTTATGAGAGAATCTCTACTACAGCAGTGATCAACGTTGGCAGCATATTGGAATCACCTGGAAAGCATTAAAAATACTAATGTCTGGGTCCTGTCCCCAGAGAACCTGACTATTTGATCTGGGGTAGAGCCTAAACACCTGATTTTTATAAAACTTCCTAGGTAGTGCTAACATACAGCTACGTTTGAGAACCACAGCCCTATAACATGCTAAGCAATGCAAATGATCATACCTGGCAATATTAAATCAATTCTCAATAGTCCATCCTAATGGAATAAAGCAGAGGCACATAGATTCCAAAAGAGCAGCTTATTTTGAAATCATGGTTCTATTATATACAGATTATGTGGGAGTGTGTGTGCACAAATGTGCATGTGAGCACCACTGTGTGTCTTTTGGAGGCTGAGGTTAGTTTTCTAATATGTGTATTCCAGGCAGTGTGCTAAGCACCAGGGGTTACCATAGCGCTAAAGCCTAATATGTTTACACTACAGGAACTTACCTTCCAATAACAAGAGAAATAAGAGAGCCTTGGAATTTAAGATGTCCTAGACTGTGGAAGTATTATTATTCCACTGCTCTAGATTGAATGTTTGTGTTCCCCTAAATTCACAAGTAAGGCCTAATCCCTAGTGGGATAGTATTAGGAGATGAGGCCTTTGGGAAGTGATTACATGAAGAGTGGAGCCCTCATGAATGGGATTAGTGCCCTTACAAAAGAGACACCAGAGAGAGCCCTTGCCCCTTCCACCATGTGAGGACACAGCAAAAACGTGGCCATCTATGAACCAGGAAGAGGGCCCTCACCAGACACTGAGTCTGCCACCACCTTGATGTTGGACTTCTCAGCCTCTAAAACTGTAAGAAATAAATTTATGTTGTTTATAAGCTATGAGTCTATGGGATTTTTTTTTTTATAGCAGCCAGAATGAACTAAGACACCTACTTAATAGGAATCATCACATACGGCAATTGTAGCAAGTAGAAAACCATGAGGTCATGTTGAAACAACAGTGCTGAGCATTGGTTAATCTCACTGATTACCTAAATGATTTGATTCTGGATGCCAGGCTCATAACTCTCAAAAGTCAAAATTGTGTGTCAGATAAAATGATAAATAGTTACAGGTCACAGACTTTCAGGGTTCAGGGTTGCTTGTAAGTTTTTGTTTGTTTGTTTGTTTGAGATGGATTCTCACTCTGTCACCCAGCCTAGAGTGCAATGGTGCCATCTCGGCTCACTGCAACCTCTGCCTCCCAGGTTCAAGAGATCCTTCTGCCTCAGCCTCCCGAGAAGCTGGGATTATAGGTGTGAGCCACCACGCCTGGCTAATTTTTGTATTTTTAGTAGAGACGGGGTTTCACCAGGTTGACCAAGCTGGTCTTGAACTCTTGACCCCAGGTGACCCCCTCCTCCTCAGCCTCCCAAAGCTTGTAAGTATTTAGAACCACAAATATTAACATTCTTGAATACTGAGGGTCTACTAAATCCTGTGAACTATAATTCAATGTGTAATTTAGCAGTATGCTCTCAGAGAAGGGACACTTGCTTTTTTTTTTGTGATTTGTTTTAAACAAGAAGTTTTAAAAAACATGACTTAATGCTGGGTGCCGTGGCTCACATCTCTGATCCTAGTGCTTTGGGAGGCGGAGGCAGGCGGATCACCTGAGGTCAGGAGTTCGAGACCAGCCTAGCCAACATGGAGAAACCCCGTCTCTACTACAAATACAAAAATTAGCCAGGTGTGGTGGCACATGCCTGTAGTCCCAGCTACATGGGAGGCTGAGGCAGGAGAATCGCTTGAATCCAGGAGGCAGAGGTTGCAGTGAGCTGAGATTGCACCACTGCACTCCAGCTTGAGCAACAGAGCGAGACTCCATCTCAAAACAAAATAAAACAAAACAAAACCATGATTTAGAGGGTAAATGATCTAGGATGCTTTCTTTTATCTTAGTGTGCCTATGATATATAGAGAATTACTCTACATGAAAGCTGCATATTAAAAAGCTATAAAATTGTTCATATTTTCAGAGATAAAAGAAAATCATTGAAATTTTGTAATCAAACAACGTAAACTGTCAAGCAATGGGAGAAAATGACTTACTGTACTTAGTGGTTGAACAAATATGCTTTGAGGGGAGAAAGGTGGTATTATCACAGAAACTCAATCTCAATTTGATTAAGTCACAGAATGACCATATAGAGTATACATATATGTATGTGTGTAAGTACACAAGTGTATGTGTGTGTGTGGCCATTTCTAAGCTCATATATTTATGTACCATGAAGAAATAGGAAGGAGAAAATTCTCCTGCATTAGCTGAGATATGGCCCAACTAGATCATGGTGTCTAATTGTAAGTGGACTGCTGTTCATGGAAACATGGTCCTAAGATAAACAGCAGGATCTTCTTTTAGTGGATGCCACCTGTGTGCCAATGGAACACATTGGTTCTATCTTCACCTCCCGCTTCCAAGTCTGCAAGCCTCTGTGTTTCATTGACTAGCTGCCCATTAAATCATAGTTTGTCATTTACTACATGCTTTCCCTAGGTGTTAGCCTTAAATTGTGGCCAAGAATCATTCTACTTTACCAACTTTAAACTTTGACATCTTTAAGCATTTAAGAAAAATGCAATTATTTCTCATTTCCAACTTCAGAAGGACTGTTCAAGTTCACAATGGTGAAATGGGAAGCCATGAATCTCACCCTACTGCTTGAGCAAGCCTTCACAGAAAATATACTTTTTGAGCTGGTCCTCGAGGAAGCCCGCTGGAAACTATCAGAATTTTCTAAAACACACAGTGCAAAGCTTTAAGAAAGTTTGTATCATAGTTAGGGAATTAAGTAAAACTGGTAAAAATTAAATCCCATTACAAGACAACTATATATGTCAAAAATGCTTACATATTTGGCAAGTGCTTGGTATACGTAACTTATGCTATGAATTTGGAAAAGAGAGATACCTCCATCAGATGGAGTGGAGTTGAAGCACACAGACTCTAGCAGAACGTTGAACTTTGTGGAAACTTACAGGGGAAGAGGAACTGCAGTAGAAGTAAAGAAAAAACAAGGTCTAAGAGCACAATACACCCCTGACAGAGCGGAAGAATCATTCAAAAGAGTGGGGATGGCTTGATATCACCACCTTGGAGTAGATTCATAGAACTTAACAAGCTATACAATTTGCTAATCCATAACCATCTACTCCAAAGTCAATGGCAGTATTCTGCTTTTTGGAGGCTGCCACTTTCATTTCTATTCATCAGTTCCTCTTCCGTTAATTTGCCTTACAGCTGCATTTCCACAAGAAAGGGGGTTTGTGAGCATCAGGCAGGAAAAAAGAGAGAGAACTGGCTGGTTATTGCTGCTAATGACTCATTGTCTTGCTGTTAAGCAGAAAAGAGATGCCCTGATCTGTTCATGCCTTTCAGCTTTCTATCTACGCTAAATTCGTTTCCTATTTTTCTAGGCAATTTCTTTGACAGCTGTGCAGCAGTCAAATTAAGAGGGATATTGTTGTGATAATTAAATGCTTTTTGGTTCCTATTGCTCCTTATTGCACCTCCTTCTGTGGCAGTACACAGTGCGGAAGGTGGAATTGCTCTGGAAGCTGGAATTAGTCTGCTTTCCATGAGAAGTGAGAACAAGCTTCATAAAAATCATTTGTGAAGCAAGTGAAACTTAAATACACACATATATACATAAGCCACAAATAATTAAATACATGAAAAATTTGGAAGAGGTGTTGGGGAGCAGGATAAAGCAACAAATTTGATTTTATTTTCAGTTTGCAGGGACCTTAATCTCTAAAAGTTTTTTTTACCTCCCTTACAGGTCCTGATGTTCTGGTTTGGAAAAGAAATGTGTGGTCAATGGAATCCACAGACATGTGCTTAGGGCTGGTTCAGATAACCTGCTCTGCAGATCTTTATGGGATGACAGGGACCATTGCTTTGATGTATCATTGATTAATAAAAGAAAGCTGCAGAGCAACAAGTGTAGTATGACCATTTAAAAACGATTAAAAACAAAACTATATGTATGTATGTATCTGCCTATCTATCTATCTATCTATCTATCTATCTATCTATGTAGCAAGCATAGCAAAATCTGGAAGAATGCCACCTAATTGCTAATAGTGGTTAAAACGGGAGAGAATTTGGTAAGGATGGGATGGAGACAATGAGGAAGGATGACATATTTTATTTTACATATTTCTGTTTTGTCTGAATTGTTTGCAATTCATTACCTTTGAAATTTAAAGATGGCTCCTAAAGATAATAAGTAAATAAATCATCAGTTAGCATCTAAAATACAAAAGTGAATTGCTTTAAATGACAGCATAATGATTTTTTTTTTTTTTTAGACAGAGTCTTCCTTAGTTGCCCAGGCTGGAATGCAGTGGCGCAATCTCGGCTCACTGCAACCTCTGCCTCCCAGGTTCAAGTGATTCTCCCGCCTCAGCCTCCTAAGTAGCTGGGATTACAGGTGCGCACAACCACAGCCCAGCTAATTTTTGTATTTTTAGTAGAGACCGGGTTTCACCATATTGGTCAGGCTGGTCTTGAACTCCCGACCTCAGGTGATGCACCTGCCTTGGGCTTCCCAAAGTGCTGGGAGTACAGGCGTGAGCCACTGCACCCAGTGATTTTTTTTATAATGATAAATTAACTGCCTTGATCTCACTATGATGTGTTTATAAAAGCTTATGAGGAAAAAATTACAAATGTGTGTGGTCGTAACAATAATTTCAATGGCAAATGTCTTGTTTATTGGAAATGACTTGGAAAGAATAGGAGATAAACTATGAAGATGATGGTGTGCACAATAAAAGACTTGGGATATAACTGTAATATTATCGCAAATGTGCATCTGAGGTGATTAAAAACAAAAACAACTGGCTGGGCACAGTGGCTCATGCCTGTAATCACAGCAATTTGGAAGGCTGAAGTGGGAGGACGGTTTAAGCCCAGGAATTCAAGACCAGCCTGGCAACATAAGGAGACCTTGTTTCTATAAAAAAGAAAAAACAATTAGCTGGGCATAGTGATATGTGCCTCACTCTGGGTGACAGAGTGAGACCCTGTCTCAAAAGAAATTAAAACAACAACAACAACAACAAAAACTGCCTGCTTGACTGGATATTGGGTGCATTGCTTCAAAATGTAAATTCAATTTAGCAGACATTTGTGATTGCCTATTTTTATGGACTGAATTATGTTCCAACCCCCATCTCCCACCTCCAAAATCCATATGTTAAAGCCTTAAACCCTCACCCTCAGTGTGACTGTTTGGAAATAGGGTCTTTAAAGAGGTAATTAAGGTTGAATGAGAGCTCAAGTGTAGGGCCCTAATTCAAAAGGACTGTCTTTTTTTTTCTTTTTTTTCTTTTTGAGATGGAGTTTTGCTCTGTTGACCAGGCTGGAGTGCAGTGGTGCAATCTCGGCTCACCACAACCTCTGCCTCCTGGGTTCAAGCGATTCTCCTGCCTCAGCCTCCCGAGTAGCTGGGACTACAGGCATGTGCCATCATGCCCAGCTAATTTTTGTATATTTAGTAGAGATGGGGTTTCACTATGTTGGACAGGCTGGTCTCAAACTCCTGACCTTGTGATCCGCCCACCTCAGCCTCCCAAAGTGCTGGGATTACAGGCGTGAGCCTCCGCGCCCAGCCTTGGACTGGCATTTTTACAAGAACAGGAATAGGTATCAGGAGTCATCATGCACAGAGGAAAGGCCCTGTGAGGACACAGAGAGGAGGCAGCCATCTCCAAGCCAGGAAAAATGGTCTTCCCAGAAACAAGCCCTGCTGGCACCTTAATTTTGGACTTCCAGCCTCTAAGACTGTGAGAAAGTACATTTCTGTTGTGTAAGCTACCCAGTGTGTGGCATTCTGTTTCAGCAGCCTGAGCAGAGTAATACATCTACCACACCACTTGCAAGTTATGGTGCAGGAGTTGGCGAAGGGTTATAGAAATAAACAAGGTAAGGCTGGATTCTGTCCCCTAGAGAAGCATAGGAGCACATGTGAGACGAAGAACATGACTCTGGAGCTAGATTGCACTGTGTGACTTTGAGCAAGTTACTTAAATTCTCTGAGCATCAATTTCCCATCTCCAAATTGAGGATGATAATAATATGTAGGTATGTTATGAGGATTAAATGCTTACTGTTTACAGAGGACCTAGAACAGTGTCTGACACACAGTAAACACAATATAAGTATTTGATTAACAAATAGATGAAAGCTTTGTACATTGGAAAAAAGGACACGAGGTCAGAAATATGAAGAATAACGTTAAATAATTATGACTTGCTGATAATTTTCATGTAATATATCAGATAAGATTACATACTCCCTTCAAAAAATGATAGCACATCTCCTTTAATGTAAAACCAAACTATAATGTTACAAAAGAAAATAAAATTAATAATAATATATCAATATTGGTTTATTAATTGTGACAAATATACAGGAAAAAATGTTAGGAGAAATTGGGTGTGGGGTGTATGAGAACTCTGTACTATCTTTGCAAAAATTAAGTACATTGAAAGATATTCTAAACTAAAATTCTATTTTTTAAAAAAGAATATATGGCTCATGACTGTAATCCCAGCACTTTGGGAGGCCAAGGCGGGTGGATCACAAGGTCAGGAGATCTAGACCATCCTGGCCAACATAGTGAAACCCCGTCTCTAGAAAAATACAAAAATTAGCTGAGTGAGGTGGAACGCGCCTGTAGTGCCCAGCTACTCGGGAGGCTGAGGCAGGAGAATCGCCTGAAGTGGAGGTTGCAGTGAGCTGAGATCGCATCACTTCACTCCAGCCTGGCAACAGAGCGAGACTCCCTCTCAAAAAAAAAAAAAAAAAAAAAAAAGAATATGAATTAAGGAGTAATTATTTACTTCACAGAAATGTTGATTGTTAAATGACAGAATTTAAGAGCTGAGTCACAGTAATCTTGAATTCACCTTGTCTATTTTACAGAGGAGTGTTGATTTAGGCTTGCTTCACACGTGGCTAATTTTCAAGATCAAATTCACACAGGAAAACAAGGGGGGCAGAAAGACAAAGCACTAACCTAGAAGGTGAGGTGCATCATGTTTCACTCAATGTGGCCGTGGCTCAGGCACATCACAGTAACAGTTCTGGACCTCAGTTTTTCATTGGTTACTTTCACTCTAACATTCTTGATTCTAAACTTGATGTGCATCTACATCACAACATAAGGCAGCTCTGGGGAGCAGGCTCTAACTGATGCTTTCTCCAAGCCCCTAGAAGCTATGCATATGCAGTTTGTGTGCCAATTTCTGAGTGTGTGTGAGGAAATGCAGGGGTGAATCGATGGACAAATAACTAGACAAATATATTTGTTTTAAAGACTCAACATTGAGGACCAAGTTTTCATAGTGAATACCATTCAGCAAGTCGATTAATCAGATTTGGATAGGAGTAAATGTGGGCAAACCTTGACAATAAAATATTTACTGAAAGTCTGCAAGGGGAAGATGACATTCTAAATAGGTACATGCTATATGTTATTAACAGATCAAATTTGATTTAGAAAAGGAGAGATCTGGAATTTCCTATAAAAGCAAGAAAGACTATGAACTAACGCAAGAAATTTTGAAGCTGAAGGAAAGAAAGCTTATAAAGAGTTCAAGATAATGGGGCCTGATGCTGGCTGATGTTGAAGAAATGCTGTTACCAATAGCAGGCAGACCTGGATCTGACAGCCACCTGTTGAGAAAGCCCTGAAGAATAATGGCAGCTATTCAGTCAACAAATTTGGGGAGAAACTCAATTGCCCCAGAGGCCCTTTTCAATTCTGCTACTAGTTTTCATGAACAAATTGTCATTCTTATTGTAATGCTTACTTTACTGTGAAAGTCATGATATTTTTCTTCTGTAAAATACTATCCTAACACAGTCAATAATAATTAATGAGTGGTAACCCAGTGATTCATGGGCTATAATTTTTTTTACCAAGTAAATCATAGTCTCATCTTAGCAAGTTATTAAATGGATAAAAGTCCTTCAAATCCTGCAAATCATTTGATTTAAGACTTAATTCATGTTCAATGAAATTTATTTTTTTAACTATTTTAAACAGCATTGATTGAGACAAAAGCTCAAGAAAATGGGTAGTTTCTACATTGCTTTGAGATTGATGCTATTTAAAAGATTTGTGCTTGAAATATTGAAAACTAATGGCCACCCTAATTGTTCTTCTAAAGCTAAAGCTATTAAATAACCATCTTCAGAAGTATCCCTTGGAGCAGGTTTACTCGTGAGCATAGTATTCATGTTCTAGAAGCCAATGATGTTTTTTAGGTGGAACAAAAGGGATTTTCCTCTGCTTACATTTTATCTGGAAATATGTTTCATCAAGCAGACAGCCAGATGGAAATAGCAAGATTTTTTTTATAGTCAATAAATAACTCTGCTGCTAGAATAACTCAGACTTGACAGCAATCTACGCAACAGTTTATTCTTCTGCTCTCTCAGGATGTAAACACTGTTGTCAACAACCAATCAGATGCACTAAAGCTACAAATAGCATGTTTAGTTTATATGTATATGCAATCAGCTAAACAAAATTTTGAACATCAATGGGACCCATTTCTAATCACTTTGTTCTTGTTCAGGTCCATCACACTGCATAACTTCAGGGGGCACCAATCACATTTTAGTCAATATATAACTAATTGTAGATAATATGAATGGTGCCCCTGAGTTGTACAGTAGTTTCCCTCCTACAGTTCATAAACATTACACAACTTTTAAAAATCAGTAAATCTCAAGTCACTGAAGTCTTTCTCTCACTTTTAGCTAAATCAAACTTTCAAAGGCCATCGTTTTTTGTTTGTTTATTTGTTTGTTTGTTTGAGATGGAGTCTCACTCTGTCGCCAGGCTGGAGTGCAGTGGCGCGATCTTGGGTCACTGCAACCTCTGCCTCCCAGGTTCAAGTGATTCTCCTGCCTCAGCTTCCCCAGTAGCTGGGACTACAGGTGCGCGCCACATGCCCAGCTAATTTTTGTATTTTTAGTAGAGACGGGGTTTCACCATGTTGGCCAGGATGGTCTAGATCTCCTGACCTCGTGATCTGCCCGCCTCGACCTCCCAAAGTGCTGGGATTACAGGCGTGAGCCACAGCGCCCAGCCTCAAAGGCCATAGGATTTTAAAGAGAGATTTTATCGTAGATTTTTTGTTTTGTTGTGTTCATTTGCCTTCCCATCATTTCCTTCTTTGGGACAAGATTTCCATGAAATTTTGTTGAGGCTCTCAATCACCAATGGTTACAGTGATGGGCATGATGTCCAGGCCTGATCAATCATGGTGCTATATTGCTTGGATAATAGTGATTGGTCCAAGGGAAAGCATATGATCCTAGCATAGCTAATCAGTGTTCTTCCCTGAGATTTGATATGTGGATAGAGCTGTGATGATGAAAACGTGGGAAAGCTGGCAGCCACTTTCCCCACTCTAGAGCAATCCTGCTGCGTAAAATTAGACTGAGAAATTAAAGCCCACTAGAGAAGGGGAGAAAAATAGTCCTGAGAACATTACTTGAGTCCCTGGATTCACCTCTAATGTCCCAGTATGTGTGCAAATAACCTTTCATTTTTTGCTTAATGTATGTCGAAATGAGTTTCTGTCACTTGCATTCAGTGGAACTCTTTTCACCGCAGAGCCCATGACCACAAGTTTTTCATTCCGTTCAGGAAACTACTCTGAGTCTAGTCCATCTAAAGCCATATCGTTCTAGATCCTCTCTCAGAAACAGAAACCAAATGCTTCCTTATTTTAAACAGCAGATGTCTGGTGATATTAACTTACTTGATCCATGATATGAAGGCAACATTTCCAGGTTGTACTTGAGGTTACGAAGCAGACTTTTAAAAATATCTTCTTCATTATGTAACCTTTCAGAGAACAATTATTGAGAATGAGGAAGGAAGACTTCTTTCACCACCACCAAGTGTTGCCGAATCCTCACCCTTTGCCCCATTAAGCAAGTGGCAGGCACCTCACCTTTTACCATGGGGTAAGTTACTGCTCACATTAAGTTCATGAAAATGAAGATGTGAGCATCAGTGCTAATCCTAGTTCAGGTAATAATTTACAGTATCGGGTGAACGTGGGCAAATTATACAACTTCCCTGAGCCTCAATTTCCTCACTGGAAATGGAGAAAATCAAAATAGAGACATCAAAATAAATCTTATGTGTTTAGATTTGCTGTTTCTTGTAGTTGTTTCTTATTCATCTTATGTATTTTGATACCTCACACAAATCCTGGCATATAATAGACATTAATAAATAATTGTTAGGAAAATGGATGAATTAATGAACACATTTGCCTCCTGGGTGGTCATGAAGAATATATGAGACAACACAAATAAATTAAATATTACAGTGTTTAACTCATCCTAGCTGCTCTTATATATCAGCTCCCTTCTTCCCTCCCTTCATCTTCCTGGTGTTGGGACATGGGTCATTTTGTGTGCCCAATGCCTTGTCCACAATTTCTCACACTGAGCCATCTTTGTTCAAAACCTTCCAGAATTTTCCATAAGACATCATTGATTATTAATCATCCAAAGTCGGCCTCACTGTGTGTGCCTTAGCATTGTGTTATGAAAATTTGCTGTGTTTTGCATATCCCTGTGTTTTTTTGTATTTGCTTGTCTTCTCTCCTAATTAGATTCCATTTCCTACACTATCTCTACAGTGTGCAGCACAGTGAATATTCATTCAATGGGATAATAATGAATCTATGACTTTAAAAAAGTGTACCTGCTTGCAGCAAGTCAGAGTCTTCTGTTTTTTATGTAGACTAACTTAAGGCACAGGACCTTTTATTTTGAATTTTCTTTCTTCTGCCTATGCAGGGCTGATTCTGAACACCTTGTTTCACTTGAGGATAAGCCATTTCAACTAGAATAATAATTGCTATCAAGGCCATAAAGCTTTGCGGGTTAAAATGGTCTTTCACATACATTATTTCACTTGGTCTTTACAACAGGATACTAAGCAGCATGATTTTGAAGTCCAACAAATCAAATTGGACTCATGGCTATATCACTTAACAGCTATGTGATTTTAAGTGTTATCTAAACTCTCTGACCATCAGTTCTTCATTTGTAAACCTGAAAAAGTATTAGAACCATGCTTCTTAGGAAGAGTGTGAGTGCCAAATGATATATCTGACCCATATAGCATGGTCAGAATTTAATCAATGGGATGGAAGCCACCCAATAAATGGTAGTTATCATTATTATTTTTAAGCAAGAAAATCAAGGAATAGAGTACAAAGGAAGCAATCAGAAGGCTTTGAATAAAGGAGTTCTGATTCTAAAGCCCATGTTCTACTTCTCTGCCCTCTCAGCAGAGCAGCCTGCACAAGACTTCTTCACACTTTCTTTAATTTGATCCTTGTAACAACCCTAAGAGGTTTATGCAGAAAATTACTCTTTAGCTCTGTGGGGAAGTGAATTTTAATGGATGAGTTTTAATAGCTGTTCAAGCTAATTGAAAATGTTGGCCAGCATTGCAACCCCAACAAGGAGAGAAGTAGAGCAGAAATACAAAAGAATAATGCCTATGTAAACAGAGATGATCTGTCCTAGTGAATATGAGACTGATGGTGTGAACCCAGGACAGAAGTATTTCACAGCAACTCCTGGAAACTAGAATCTAAACTCACTATACCTATTACTCTAGAGTGCCTCCCCTCCACCCCGTCCCTTTCTTTGTTATTTTCCTTAATTGTCCCAAAGGACAAAAAGAGGCTCCAGAAACAAGCAAAGAAAGAGTTTTCTTATTCCTCCAGCTCTCTTCATGCTCAGAAGGCCAGACTGCTATTTTTATTATTTTATTTAGAAATGGTACTAGAAAATACAATAGGTAGCACTCATTGAGTATCTATTTGTACCAAACGTTATGAAAGGTATTTCAGCTCTAATTCTTTCAACAATCTTGCACTGTAGGTATTATTATCCTCTTACAGGAGAGAAAGATGAGAAGTTTTCTGGTTATTAAGTAGAAAGTGAGGGCCATGGGCAGAAAGGAATCCCTGTTTCGCCTGTGGCAAGAGAGACACCCCAGCTCCCCAAGAGGGAATATTCTCTCTCCCTAGCTGTCTCTCTCTGTGAGTCTCCCCATTTCTCTATTTCACAGTGGAAGGATTTTTTTTTTCCACTGCTGTGGAGTGAGACAAGTAAATAATTACCCAGAATTCTGCCTTAAATTACAATAGTCGTTGATACAATTTGTCTCTTTGTCCCCACCCCGAATCTCATGTCGAATCAGAATTCTCAGTGTTGATGGAGGGGCTTGGTGAGAGGTGCTTGAATCATGGGGGTGGAGTTCCCCCTTTCTGTTTTCACGGTAGAGTTATCATGAGATCTGGTGGTTTGAAAGTTGTGGCTGGGCGTGGTGGTTCATGCTTGTAATCCCAGCACTTTGGGAGGCTGTGGCGGGCAGATCACCACATCAAGAGTTTGAGACCAGCCTGGCCAACATAATGAAACTCCGTCTCTACTAAAAATACAAAAAATTAGCCAGGTGTGGTGGCGGGCACCTGTAATCCCAGCTACTTGGGAGGTTGAGGCAGGAGAATCACTTGAACCTGGGAGATGGAGGTTGCAGTGAGCCGAGATCATGCCATTGAACTCCAGCTCAGGTGACAGTGCGTGACTCCATCTCAAAAAAAAAAAAAAAGAAAAGAAAAGAAAAGAAAGTTGTGCAGCACCTCCCCCTTCACTTTCTCTCTCTCTTGCTCTTGCCATGTGAAGACCATGCCTACTTCCCCTTTGCCTTCTGCCCTGATTGTAAGTTTCCTGAGGCCTCCCCAGCCATGCTTCCTGTACGGCCTGTGGAACTGTGAGTCAGTGAAACCTCTTTTCTCTGTAAATTACCCAGTCTCAGGTATGTCTTTATAGCAGTGTGAGAATGAACTAATACATCCATCTTAAATGATACTTTGTGTTATCTAGATATAAAGTCCTCAAGGTCTCCAGGCAGCTCAAGTAACCCTTGGTTATACTTGAGATCTCCTGGGTAATGGTGAAATGTCCCATACCTCCTGTGAATTCTGGAGAGTGATTAGCAGGGTGATGCACTCACATTTCCTTCTGAGCGGATGTTCTGGCCTCCCCTTCATGCCCTCTGCTTGCTTCTGGGCAGCTCTGTGTTTCCATGTTCTTTCATTCCCTCTCCATCAGGCCCTGAAGCACAACTATCACCATACTCTGTGTGCTTCAGGTTTTATTAAGAGTAGGGATAATGGAGATGAATTGTACCTCAGGATAAGAAACAACCAACAGTGGAGAGTGGACATCACTGGTCTTAAAATCCTTGCCCTTCTCTGACAGAGAGAATCTCTTTCAGGCTGCCACTTTTCATATCTCTGTCAACTGCTATGTTGGCTATGTGTTGGGATCTATCATTTCTCCCTTCCTTCCTTCCTTCCTTCCTTCCTTCCTTCCTTCCTTCCTTCCTTCCTTTCTTTCTCTCTTTCTTTTTCTTTTTTTTCAGGGTCTCGCTCTGTCACCCGGGCTGGAGTGCAGTCACACGATCATGGTTCACTGCAACCTTGACCTCCTGGCCTCAAGCATTCCTCCCATCTCAGCCTCCTGAGTAGCTAGGACTACAGGTGGGCACAACCACACCTGGCTAATTTTTGTATTTTGCATAGAGATGGGCTTTTGCCATGTTACTCAGGCTGGGAACCGATCATTTCTGTTGTGAGCCTTTGCCCCAATTATTTCTCTCAGAGTACCAGGGTCCCATCTGGATTTCACTATTATGTTATCATGGAGAGGAATTGAGCCTCTTTTTTACGCAATATCTCCAACTCTGCTAGTCTGGGCCCTCTCTTTCACCACCAACAGAAACATGGAAGCATCTTTCTAAAGGAAAGATAAAATTTCCCCTGAGATAGTTCCTGTTTCTCTTCCCAGAGAGTTTAAACTGCTATCAGTTTTCCTCTTCTTGTAACTGCATCTTATTGTTCCCACCACACTTACATTATCTCTCTTTTTTTTTTTTTTTTTACTGTGAGTCAACAGGCATAAGCCACTTCAGTTTATTTCCATTTCTAATAACATTGTTATTGGGGCAATAACAAGTCATGTAAATTAGCCTACATATTAGAATAATATATAGTCTACAATATGTAGTCTGATTTTCTTCATTCATTATCTCTTAAACACAAAGACCAGAGATCTCATTATACTATAGAAATGAACACTGTAATGAATAATCAAGGAAGAAAATATTGCAACGTGTTTTTCTAGAAGGCAGGGAAGATGCTCCTCCTGGCATATCTCCATGAGCTCTCTTTAATATTTGGGCAGCTTTAAGGCACTCATATTGATGGCTGTGAGAGAAAAAAAACGTTTGGGGAGTTAAGGTGAAACTACCTACTGTATTGAAATCTCCATCAGTCAAATAGTCTCAGCCATCATTTCTGAATAGGCATTTGTTGAATCAATATTCACTGAGTGTATATTTTGTGAAGACTGAAAATGTCACAGGCACCATTAAGCACCATTACCCTAATGGTCAACAAAAGATGAAAAGCCTTTGTGATGGATAAAATTTTAGAGTTCTGTTCTAAGGTCTGTGGAAAATGAACAAGGGAAGCTATCAACTGTGGCTGAAGAATTCAGTGAGTCTAATTTGGTATTGTGAAGTTTCTTCCTTTTTATGACATTATTTTGCCCCAGATGTTAAACCATACTGTGGTTTGAGGGATGCCTTGGCTATGTTGGAATTCTCATGTATTAGAACTCTGGTTTGGTAGTTTTTGGAGAGAAGAGAAGAAATGGTGCTCCCTGGATTTGAGCAGCATGGTGGCCCCAGGATCCTGCTCCAGGAACATTTGCTTACATCATCGATTTCTCATAGAAAATTGGAGTTGATGACCAAATGTTATTATGCAAGAGGTCGTGATTCTATTCAATACTAGAATAGAAAGATTCTAGTATTGACCCTCAAGAGACCTGGATTTTATAACTCTCAAGAAACTCACTAACTGGATAGCAACAGTGTGCCTCAGTTTTCTCATCAGTAAAACAACAGATTGAGTGACTAGATGATTTTTTGTAGATGTATTTTGGATAGAAGATTGTGAATCATTACAGCATTTAGAAATATTACTTTTAACTACTTATGAAGTTGACATGAAGAATTAGCCAGTATCATTTAGTGTTTGATTCATTCATTTAATAATTCATTTTTTCCTAGCTTACTGTAGATAAGATCATTACTTTTATGGTCAAATAGACTTTGATTCAAGTCTTGGTTTCTCCACACACTAGATAAATGACCTTGGAAAGTTAAATTATTGACCTATTTGTGGCTCTGTTTTCTCATTTCTAAATGAAAACAATAATATTATCTTCATCATAGGGCTATTGAAGTGTGTTTTAGATTTCTCTAGAGAATCGAAAGAATGTATATATATAGTGTGTGTGTATATACACATGAAAAGAGAGAGAGAGAGGACATAGAGAGAGGCAGAGAGAGACAGAGAGAGATTTATATTAGGGAATTGACTCTCATGATCATGGGGCTGGAAAAGTCCAAGCTCTACAGGGTAGTCCAGCTGGCTGGAGACTCATGGAAGAACAGATGTTGCAGTTCTACCTAGGGGTAGATCAGTCTTTTTCCTAAGGCCTTCAACTGTAGATGAGGCCAACACACGTTGTAGAGGTGAACCCATGTTTGTTACTCAAAGTCTACTGATTTGAATGTTAATGTCATCTAAAGAATACCTTCCAGCAACATTCAGATGTGTTTGACCAAATATTTGGGCACCACGGCTTAGCCAAATATACACATAAAATTAACCATCATGAAAGCAGTACTGATAATGCAGGTAGCAATTTTCCCACAGTGTCTAACACGGGAAATAAATAATAAAAATTAGCTATTATTATTGATGTAGTTGCTATTTTTTTTTTTTTTTTTTACTTTTTAATGAAAATTTCCACCCTTTCCAAACATACCCCCAAAACACACTGGAGATAGTGGTTAATGATCTGCATCAGTTAGCCCTCAGAGCTGCAGGAACCTCCACACCCACTCCCTAACCTATGCATGTTAAACCATGTTGTAGATAAGCTCTTCCCTTTGGGGAACCCCATTGTCTTTTACTTTTTTATTTTTTTTTATTTTATTATTATTATAGTTTAAGTTTTAGGGTACATGTGCACAATGTGCAGGTTAGTTACATATGTATACATGTGCCATGCTGGTGTGCTGCACCCATTAACTCATCATTTAGCATTAGGCATATCTCCTAAAGCTATCCCTCCCCCCTACCCCCACCCCACAACAGGCCCCAGAGTGTGATGTTCCCCTTCCTGTGTCCATGTGTTCTCATTGTTCAATTCCCACCTATGAGTGAGAATATGCAGTGTTTGGTTTTTTGTTCTTGCGATAGTTTACTGAGAATGATGATTTCCAATTTCATTCATGTCCCTACAAAGGACATGAACTCATCATTTTTTATGGCTGCATAGTATTCCATGGTGTATATGTGCCATATTTTCTTAATCCAGTCTATCATTGTTGGACATTTGGCTTAGTTCCAAGTCTTTGCTATTGTGAATAGTGCTGCAATAAACATACGTGTGCATGTGTCTTTATAGCAGCATGATTTATAATCCTTTGGGTATATACCCAGTAATGGGATGGCTGGGTCAAATGGTATTTCTAGTTCTAGATCCCTGAGGAATCGCCACACTGACTTCTACAAGGTTGAACTAGTTTACAGTCCCACCTACAGTGTAAAAGTGTTCCTATTTCTCCACATCCTCTCCAGCACCTGTTGTTTCCTGACTTTTTAATGATTGCCATTCTAACTGGTGTGAGATGGTATCTCATAGTGGTTTTGATTTGCATTTCTCTGATGGCCAGTGATGGTGAGCATTTTTTCATGTGTTTTTTGGCTGCATAAATGTCTTCTTTTGAGAAGTGTCTGTTCATGTCCTTCGCCCACTTTTTGATGGGGTTGTTTTTTGTTCCTTGTAAATTTGTTTGAGTTCATTGTAGATTCTGGATATTAGCCCTTTGTCAGATGAGTAGGTTGCGAAAATTTTCTCCCATTTTGTAGGTTGCCTGTTCACCCTGATGATAGTTTCTTTTGCTGTGCAGAAGCTCTTTAGTTTAATGAGATCCCATTTGTCAATTTTGGCTTTTGTTGCCATTGCTTTTGGTGTTTTAGACATGAAGTCCTTGCCCATGCCTATGTCCTGAATGGTAATGCCTAGGTTTTCTTCTAGGATTTTTATGGTTTTAAGTCTAACGTTTAAGTCTTTAATCCATCTTGAATTAATTGTTGTATAAGGTGTAAGGAAGGGATCCAGTTTCAGCTAGAGAGCAGTGGTTGCTATTATCCTTTATTGAATATCTACTTTTTTTGGTTAGGTTAGATTCTGAAGGCATAACAACTCACAAGATACAATCTGTCCTTGTCTAAATGTAGATCTGATAAGCTACCTGATCATTACAATAGACTGTCCTGAATACCATAAGAGGGAAAAATATGGGTGCCATGAGAATACATAAAAAGGGCCTCAAATGAGAATAGGTTGAAGGGTAGAGATAGCTCAGCTAAGATCAAAACGATAGATGGATGAAAGAAGATGATGATGCAACTGTATGTTGAAAAAACAAGTACAAGGAACTAAAATGAGAAAGAGCATGGCCTACTCAAAGAACTGTAAGTAGTTAATCATTTTCTGGGGTATAGAATGAAAGAGGGAGGTGAAGACGTAAAAGTTGAGAGATTGACAGGGTTACGCCCAGAAAAGGCTCTTACCAAGGCAAGCAGTGTGGATGTTATCTTGAAGCCAATGATGACCTAAAATATAACAGTGATGTTGAAAATGGAAAAAAGAGACAGATTTGGGAGATATCAATAGGTGAAATGAGTAAGATCTAATGATAGATTAAATCTTAGGCATGGGGAGATACTGAAACTGAGGAGTGAGCTGGGCTATGTTGAGATGCTCCTGTAACTTTCTTGGATACAATGAAGAATATTTTAAAGACCGTTGAAAGATCTTGAACCAGTCATTTACACTTTCTGTTCATTTCACTTATCTGTAAAATGCAGATGTTGGACTCAATGCTCTTCGTAAGGTCTTGTCTTACTTTAAAATTCTACACTCCTGTGACTGCTCTTTAGTTTTGTATGTAAATATATTTTTTTGGAAATGTTTTTTGTACCACCAAGTTAACAAACTGTAAAGCAATAAATGGCATCATCATATTGGTATTTAGCGATGATTTTGCAATTATTACAGGATGTCACAATGAGAAAGATCAGGAAATTAGATAACACATGCTAGTATCTTTTATAATGTTTGAATTGTAAGAAAAATAGGGGTGGTTGACACTGCAGATGTAAAAAGATTAGTCAAATTTTAGATAAATTGTTCTAACTAGAATCAAAGTTGATAAGCAAATTTCTATGAACAGTGAAACAGACAGTTCGTGAAAAAAAATACATGGGAAAGAAAAACAAGCAAACGTATTGTTTTTTCTAATGTGTGCTTGCAAAAATTGTTGAATGCTCTGGTTTCTAGCACTTGATTTATCTTTTATGATACTTTAAACCTCATGTTTGTTCAACAATTTAAGTCTATTTGGTCAGTTAATAAAGGTCCTGCAGCATGTGAGGGAGAAGATGAAATTAAATGAGAGTTTGAATGGAAAACCAGTTCAGATGGTCATGGTGTTCCTCCTCAAACTGAGCTTGAATCATTATTTAGGAGTCTTTTTGAACAAGAACTGAATAGAGAAGAGATTTTTCAGAGATAACCTGGTACAAACCAGTTGAAAATGGGTTGATAGGCTGCTAGAGTTCTTTTGACCTGAAACACTTCAGGAACTAAACACAAGGCTATGATTCAACTCTCTGATCTTCTAGTAGTATCCTGGGAGCAAATATATTGCATCTTTTTTATTTTTTTTCTTTTGAGACAGGGTCTGTGCTCTGTTGCCCAGGCTGGAGTGCAGTGGTGCAATCTCAAGCTCACTGCAACCTCCGTCTCCTGGTTCAAGTGATTCTCCCACCTCACTTGATTCTTGTGCTTCAGCCACCCATGTGGCTGGGATTACAGGCATCTGCCACCATACTAGGCTAATTTTTGCATCTTTAGTGGAGACAGGGTTTCACCATGTTGGCCAGGCTGGTCTCAAGCTCCTGGCCTTAAGTGATCCGCCCATCTCGGCCTTCCAAAATGCTGGGATTACAGGTGTGAGCCATTGCACCCAGCCTATATTGCACCTTAAATAACACATTTGGGGTTAGTTATCATTATTTAGTTGGGCCTACAGAAAATCATTAGAAGACATTTTGTCGAAAATTCAGAATGCATGTTAATTTAGGTGAAACTAAAGGGGGAGGAGAAGTATACCTTGCTAGATGGCATCTCGAAAATAATCAGTAAATTTAGTTCCAAATGGTTTTCTCTCATTTCATTGCACCTAGTTGTGTAAATAATCATCACAGACCATATTAGTAGCTCTAATTTTCTTGGTTTTAGGAGGAGAACCTGTGTTCAAGCTTCACTTTGACCAAGTGTGTCATGTAATTATCAATGTCTGTTGTAAGGGCTAAGAGATTCATCTAAGGGCTAGATGAATTTGATAAAATTTTTTGATCCCACAATAATAACCACAAATAGTATTATCTGCTGGGTGTGGTGGCTCATGCCTGTAATCCCAACATTTTGGGAGGCCGAGGTGAGATCACTTGAGGCCAGGAGTTCAAGATCAGCCTGGGCAACATAGTGAGACCCTGTTCCTACCAAAAACAAAAACAAAAACCCCACAAAACCCAAATAATATTATATTTGTCATTTCATTAAATTAATAATTGAATGCTGATACACATTCTCTTCTGATTTAAATCTAAATTTGAGAATTACCTTTTCCTTAAAAGTGTTTTCAAAGAATCCTTTCTGCTATACAGCTATAACTCTTTTTTTGATGTGTTGAAATTACAGATCAAATTTTTTTCTAATAAATGCTACCACAATGCCAGTTTACTTAAGCATTTAATTAATTTTAGCTATCTTATGACTCCAAGGCAATAAATGAATTCAGATAACACTAGGATTGGCAAACCAGGTTAGATTTACCCTGAATAAGAATTGCTTTACATGTTCTAGAGCAGGGTTTCATGAAAAAGGAAAAAGAAATTGCTTTACATGATTTTGCTGATGTCACACGCAATCTTTTATTTTGATATTTTATTGTAATCCTTTAAGGACAGAGACAATGCTTATTTTTCAAAATTTGCTACAAGTATTCATGGAATTTGAAGTCCCTATTGGTGTCTAAATCAAGAAGAGTCAGCCAAGCGAGGCATTTATCCAGGTGCATTCATGCCAGCGTCTGAGGTCAGGGAGAGGGGAACAAACTAGAACTGAAGTTGCTTCCTGAGTTGACAAGGAAAGGAGAGGCTCAGAAGTGTAAACCCAAACTTAAGTCGTGAAGAATGTAGAGGAATGTCAGGGAAATCAAGGTAAGTGAGCAAGTCCAAAGAGCAGGAATAAGGAATAAGACAAACAGAAAAGGACAAATCCAAGGCAAAAAGCTGAACTGAATGGGAGCCAAGTGGGAGCAAAGGCAGACCCTGTTTCAAAGGTGGGGCACATCTTTTCAAGCATAAAAAGGAGCTTAAGGACTCATGTATCTTTATGAGTT
This sequence comes from Homo sapiens, assembly GCF_000001405.40. Taxonomy (NCBI): domain Eukaryota; kingdom Metazoa; phylum Chordata; class Mammalia; order Primates; family Hominidae; genus Homo; species Homo sapiens. The sequence continues at coordinate 78,115,105 of NC_000009.12, forward strand.
CTAAGGTAAAACACTCCCAAAGAGGTCCAAGAGTGTGTTTGCCTCACTTCTATCTTATTTATAATCCCTTTTCTCCTTCCACTAGAACTCTGTTCCCTAGTACAGTGACTTAAATTCATCCTTGGTGTCCATTTTTTCCTTGACCTATATCCACCTATAATTTGTCCTTGACCTATATCCACCCCTAGGGGGGGATAGTGAGGTGGTGAGGGAAGATATAAAACTTTCAGTGCTCCCTAGGGGTTTGCATGTGGGGCTAATGTTCCCTTCTATTTTGATCTTTCCTGGACTAACCCAGCTGCACTGTAGACCAACCGGAGTTGACCTTGTTGCTACTACCCCACAAAGGAATATCAGCTGAATGTCAGAAGAGAACAGCTTTTTCTAACCTGTACCATCGGTCTCCTTGTTTATCTGACACCAGCGGCTTGGACAACTCAGGCTCTCAAGTCCATATGTGAATGATGCTTTAATGTATCTGAAATATGCTTTCGAATGTGACTCACTTCAAGTCACATTATGGACTTCAAGCCATATTATGCACTAAACAAAGGAGGCCCCCCAGTCTCTTTCCCATCTATTAAGCATAACAAAAAATTACTTTATTAGATTTTATAGCGAAACAATACATTGTATTCATGAGTATGATGCTATAGTATTAAGATAACTCAGTAACACACCCACACATACATGTCATTAATGATTCCATTTCTCTTTATCATAGAAAAATAAAAGTTTTACAAAAGGCAGAGGAGTTCCATTTAAACACCAAATTTTCTTCTTGGAACAGCTCTAGCCAGGGGGTCCTTCCATTAGAAACAAGTAGCTCTTTCAGAATCTCCAGTGTTAGAGAATTCCAATTTTAAGTCTCTCATGCATATCACTTTTCTAAAAGTTCACAGTATCAACTGAACACATAAAATATCATAACAACCCATACCCATAAAATTTAAACAACACAAAATTAGCCACAGCATAAGTATGAATCTCCTTAGACCAAAGTGTTTCAAAATATGTTCTATAGAAATTAAGGAATTGCTTAACAAGGATGATATGGTAGCTACAAGCAGAGTGGCATCCCCCCAAAACTAAAGTAGCCCCATATTTAAAAAGCATTTTTTTATATTGGGGCTCCTCAGAAGATTTCATTTAGAAAATAGGTTTCACTCCCTTTGCAAAACTTTGAAAACTGTTGCCTTATAAAACGGTGTTTTCCAAGTTGAAGTAGTGTTCCCAGACTCCAATAAATGTCTCATAATTAAGAATCACATTGCTGTTATAGCTGTTGACCTTGAAAGGGAGGGAGTGTGAGAAGGAATAGGCAGAGAAAAATGAAGAGAAAAAAAAGAGGAAAACTTCTTGGTTTTTATTCACCAAGTGCTATCAGTCAAAGCCATTTGCCCAGTGACCATTACCTGTGAACTTAAAATGCAAGTGGCTACCAAGCAATTTCACCCCTAAATATTTATCTAAGGGAAGAGAAAAACTAAGTCCACAAGAAACCTTGTATGGGAATGTTCATAGTAAATTTTTTCGTAACAGTCCCAAACTGGAATCAGCCCAGATGTCCATCAGAAGGACAAACTAATACATCTATACAATGGAACAATTTAGCAATAAAGAATAAAATACTGATACACGCATCAATATGAATACATCTCAAAACTATTGCATTGAGTGAAAAAAGCTGGACCAGACACAAAAGAGTACATATTGTATGATTCTACACATTAATTTCTGGAATAAGCAAATATGTTAGAAAAATATCTGAACAGTTGTGGCTTCAGAGAATGGGGTTACTGGGAAGGGGTACAAGGAAAATTTCTACAGTGATGGAAATGTTCTGTATTTTGAGTGAGGTGTGGATTACATAAGTATATATTTGTCAAAACTGATGAAACTGTACTTAAGGTTTGTGTATTTCACTGTATGAAGGTTTATCTCAGTAGACAATTTTAGGGGCAATTACTCCACTGAAAAACTATATATGGAAAAAATAAGAAAATCTCTTTATGAGCTCAGAGTAGAAAAGTATTTCTTAAACAAGACAAAGTTCTATATAGAAAATATTGAGAAATATCTATCAAAATTAAAAACTTATGTGAGAAAGAAACTTACAGAAAAGGCCAATTCAGAAATGAACAACAAACATTTAAAAGGATGCTTGATCTCACTAGTAATCAGATGAATGCCAGTTTCTAAAAAAATCTATTTCATACCTATTGTATTGGCAGTAATTTCAGAGTCTTGTGATCTGGTGAAGCTGTGGGACTGTAAATCATACTGTGCTGTGGGATTGTCAGTTGGTTCAGCCATTTTAGTAAAAACACACATCCTACTACCTAGCCACTGAATTTCCATTATGTATCCTAGACAAACTCTTACATGAGCACAAGGAATGTGTACAAGGATGGTTATTGTAGCAGCATTTGTACTCCTGAAAAATTGATTCTACCTTAATGTCCATCAATTAAGAGATGGAAGTAGTATACTCATATATTGCAATATTATATGGCAGTTAAAAGGAATAAACTAGATCTATGCATATCAAGATGAATAGAGCTTAAAACATGTAAAAATAAATACTATGTTATATGTATTTAGTGACACAATTTTTTTTTTTTTTTTTTTGAGACAGAGTCTCAGTCTGTCACCCAGGCTGGAGTGCAGTGGCCTGATCTCAGCTCACTGCAACCTCTGCCCCCCGGGTTCAAGCGATTCTCCTGCCTCAGCCTCCCAAGTAGCTGGGATTACAGGCGCCTGCCACCACACCTGGCTAATTTTTGTATTTTTAGTAGAGACGGGGTTTCACCATCTTGGCCAGGCTGGTCCTGAACTCCTGACCTTGTGATCCAACCGCCTCAGCCTCCCAAAGTGCTGGGATTACAGGCATGAACCACCATGCCCAGCTGACACATATTTATACCCAAATGTGTAAAAGCTGCATCAGAAGGATATGCACAAAAATCTCGAGATTGGTTATGCCTGGGGCGCAAAGAAAGGAAAAACAAGTGGAGTAATATTGGAAAAAGACCTTATATGAAATATATTATCAAGAAATAACTGGAAGAATTAGACAAATAAATGAATTTTGATTCATTTCTCACACCATGTACAAAAATTAACTCAAAATGAATCAGAAACAGGTGTTGATTCTGAATGTGAGCTTGGATTAGGGAAATAGTTTCAGATCTGATACCTAAAGCACAGCCATAAAAGAAAAACAATCAATAAGTTGAACTTCATCAAAATGCAAAACTTTTGCTCTATGAAAGACATTACAAAAAGACGGGCCAGGCATGGTAGCTCCTACCTGTAATTCCAGCACCTTGGGAGGCTGAGGCAGGCACATCACTTGAGCTCAGGAGTTTGAGACCAGCTTGGCCAACATGGCAAAACCCTGTCTTTACTAAAAATACAAAAATTAGCTCAGTGTGGTGGCATGTGCCTGTAGTCCCTGTAGTCCCAGCTACTCGGGAGGCTGAGGCAGGAGAATCATTTGAACCTGGGAGGTGGAGGTTGCAGTGAGCCGAGATTGTGCCACTGTACTTCAGCCTGGGCGACAGAGTGAGACCCTGTCTCAAAAACAGAAAAGAAAAAAAAAAGAAAAAGAAAAAGAAAAGAAAAGATAAGCCACAGACAGAGAAAAAATATTTGTAAAGCACTCTTCTGACAACAAACTTGAAGCCAGACTATATGAAGAACTATCAAAACTCAACCAAAAAAAGACCAAGTTTTTTTTTTTTAAATAGCAAAGTTTTGAACAGATACTTCACCAGAGGAGATATATTGGTAGCCAATAAACATATGGAAGGTGCTCAACATCATTAGTCATTACGGAAATGCAAGTTAAAACCATGATGAGACAATGCTACACTTACTAGAATAACTTTAAAAAAGAACCTGACAATAATATCAAGTGCTGTTGATGATGAGAGGCAACTGGAACTCTCAGATATTGCTGGTGGGAATGCACAATGGTACAACCTCACTGGAAAACCCTCAGGCAAAGAAATGCAGGTGCTGCTGTTGAAATCAAACAGCTTATGAGGAAGTGGTAAGGGCAAGAGAATATGGGTGGAGTACCCATAGTATCTGTTAATACTCCCACGTAATGAGTTCTTCAGTTCTGAATTTACTGAGAGCTCTGTCAGGTTCTTGTAAGTTGGCCAAGTCAACCATAAAAATTCTATTGCTTTGCATTTTTTACAGTGCAAGTCAGTTTCTCAATCCTGACTAAGAAACACAAGAAAGGAGGAAAGATGGGGCATTTGCCTGCAATGTCAGATACAACCAAGCCAAAAGCCTACACCCCAAAGCCCTGTGTATTTGGAGGTGAGCCTGCCCTGGTCCTCCAGGAGGATATCCAGGGTCGCCCAGACCAGATTTTGCTTTCTCACCAAGGAATGTCGCCCACCACGAATAAAAGATGCCTTTGCAGATTGAGGTTCCGGAGTGTGAGTTTATCAAAGAAGGAGCAGGAAGAAGGAAAGAAGGGAAAAAAGAAAAGCCCCCACATTTCTGCCAGCGCCTCATGCAGCTTACTAGCTCCTCTCCCAGGGCCTCCAGGAGGCTCTCTTCACATGGAAGGAGGCTGAAGAGCAGGTCTTCCAGCAGTTTAAAGTCTCTGGAGGAACTTGTGCCACAATCCATGCCTCCTCTACCAACTGAACTCTCAACTGGGTCTGTTGCCTTCTGCCAAATGTTATTTACATCTCCAGGAGACATAAATATTGGTCACAATGCCTGTGAATCTTGAAATTCTATTCTATTCTATTCTCCCACCTACTATAGTAAATTCCAGACAGCGATAGGCAAAAAAGAGCCCTAGGCAAGGGCCCACTTTATTCCATCTCTTTCCTTGGACAATTCTATTAGGTAACAAAAGAATCAACTTTATTAGGTATAATAGGCATGCAAGAAAAACATTTATTTAAAATGCACATCAGGCTGGGCGTGGTGGCTTACGCCTGTAATCCCAGCACTTTGGGAGGCCAAGGTGGGTGGATCACCTGAGGTCAGCCTGACCAACATGGAGAAACCCTGTCTCTACTAAAAATACAAAATTAGCCAGGTGTGGTGGTGCATGCCTGTAATCCCAGCTACTCGGGGGGCTGAGGCAGGAGAATCGCTTGAACCCAGGAGGTGGAGGTTGCAGTGAGCTGAAATCGGGCCATTGCACTCCAGCCTGGGCAACAGGAGAGAAACTCTGTCTAAAAAAATAATAAAATAAAATACAATGCACGTCAATGAGATTTAACAAATATATATCTCTGCATATAAGTCCCACTACAATTAAGTGATAGAGCACTTCCATCATTCCAGAAACTTTTTCTCATGCCCTTTGCAGCCAACCTCTGTCCTAGGAAACAACTGCTCTGCTTTCTGTTACTATAGCTTAGTTTCAACTTTTCTAGAATTTTTCATCTAAATGGAATTATATAGTATTATGCTTTTGTGTCTGACTTCTTTTGCTCAGCCTAACTTTTGGAATTCATTAATTTTAGTGTGCATTAGTAGTTCTGCTCCTTTTTACTGCTGTGATATTCCACATCATTCTTTAATATAAAGACAACTTTTCACCTCTGGATTAAGAGCTAGACCTGCAATAGCAAACTTAAATGCCTAGAGAAGACAGGCCCATAATGCAAACGAGAAAAGGGGTCTGGTATAAGAAAATTTATTTTTAAAAACACTACTCCTCTTGTTATATCCTCATTTTCTAAAGAAATGCTTCGTTTTCTTCAACTTTAAGGAAAATAGGAGTGTATGTATGATGATAAATAGCAACCGACACCTGACTTTGGGGAGAACAATAAAGAATGAAGGGGATGGTGGCAGATTCCAGAGTCCACACCCATCTAAAGGAAGCAGCTTTGCCGTATAGGAACACGGGGCCAGGTTTCACATCTTCTTATTGTTCCAGAGAAGCAGGAAATCTGGGTTTGTATGTGAAATCTCCTGAGTTTTAAATGTTGAAAACAAATTCAAATTTTATTAAAGCACTGGATGGGCCAATTCTGTTCAGGTCAAATAAAACAAATCTGGGGGCCAGATGTGGACTGGCAGGCATCACTTTGTGTCCTCTGATGTCGACAAACTAAAAGCAAGCCCAAGCCGCCCTCTCCACTGTGCTTTTTGTAGAAACATCTTGGTCCTGCTGGGACCTCCCAGTCCAAGGAAGCACCAGGGATGGCTTACCTCACTGGCTACATGGAAGAGAGGAAAAAAGGAAGAGCAAAACTCATTTCAAGGTCCCAAGAAGAAGAGAGGAAGAGAATATTTACTCCAGGCTAGTTATTATTTTTACCACCCTCCTGCCCCATACTAGAGCATCATGAGAATACATATATTCGAATCACCTGGGGTGGGAAAACAGGTTCCCTTCCGATTTATTTGATCTGTTGGGCCTGCTGTGGTCTTGCATTTTAACAAGCTCCTCGAGTAACTCTTATCCACACTGAAGTTTGACACTCGCTGCATTGGGTTTTCCAGTCTTTGCTACAAAATGGTTCAGTTGCCAATGAGAGTTCATTTTGTCCTACATCTAAATTTGAGTTCCCTTTTGTAGGAAAAGTAATGGGGAAGAAGGGAAGGCTTTGAGCGCCCCCTTGGGGCTAGCTTGGTGAGTGAACAGCTTTATAGTGATAAGTGATTTTTCAGAGATGTTAGGAATAAAAATAATAAATAGTATACTATTTATTATTATAATAGCCCATACTAGCATTAGGTATTGTGACTGGCAATTCACATATAGTATCTTATTTAAGCCTATCAGGCAGACACTATCATTACCTGCATTTTATTTTACTTTATTTTTATTTTTATTTTTGAGACAGGGTTTCACTCTTGTTGTCCAGGCTTGAGTGCAGTGGCACAGTCTCGGCTCACTGCAATCTCCACCTCCCAGGTTCAAGCGATTGTCCTGCCTCAGCCTCCCGAATAGCTTGGATTGCAGGTGTCTACCACCATGCCCGGCTAATTTTGTATTTTTAGTAGAGATAGGGTTTCGCCATGTTGACCAGGCTGGTCTTGAACTCCTGACCTCGGGTGATCCGCCCGCCTCGGCCTCCCAAAGTGCTGGGATTACAGGCATGAGCCATTGCGCCCAGCCTTTATTTTATTTTTTAATGAATAAAAAGCTTTTAATTGGAAATTCTTTAAACAGGATACCCCAATATCCAAATAACATATGACCTGAATTTTATAGAGGAGGAAATTTACCTGCAAATCCAATGGCATGGCTGATCACCCTCTTCCTTAATATATTTTTTTAACTTGGCGCCCAGGACACCACACTCTTTCTCATTTGCCTCATATCTCACTGATTCTTCCTTCTTGGTCTTGATTGTAGTCCCCTCTTCTCCCAGATCAGTTCATTTGGATTGCCCCAAGAATCAGTCCTTGGTTTTCTTTTCCCTACAGTCACTTTCTTAATAAACTCCTTTGTCAATATGCCAATGAACCCCAATTTTTTATATTGTAACTAACATCTCTCCTGAATCCCTGACTCATATACGCAGTTGCCTACTTGATATGTCCACTGAGATTTCTCGGAGACCCCTTAAACTTAACATGTCCAAAAATGGGGTTCTCATCTTCTCCCACAAATCTACTCTATTAGAGGGTTTTCCCATTTCAGATGATAGAAGCTCCCAATTGCTCATACTAAAATCTTTGGTGTCATTGTTGACCCTCTCACTCATACCTCTGGCCGCCACTCCCTCCCTGGGTTGAGTCATCACCCTCTCTCGCCCGGAGTATTGCTACAGCCTCCTTTTGGTCTTTTTGCTGTCAAACTCGTGTTCCAAGAGACTATTCCTAACATAGAAACCAGAATGATCTTCTTAAAATGTAACTCAGATCATATCATCTCTCTGCCTATAATCTTTCCAAGGCTTCCCATTTCACTCAAACTAAATGCCAAGTCCCTCAGATGGCCAATAAGGCCTTCTACAAGCAGGGCCCCATCACCTCTTTGACCTCAACTCCTGTTATTCTCTCCCTTATTCACTCCACTCTAGCCATACTGGTCTCCATGCTCTTCCTGACATGTGCCTGGCTTGTTTCTGCACTGGCTCTTTCATCTGCCTGGAGCACTTTCCCCAGGAGATTCACTTAGCTTACTACTTCACCTCCTGCAAATCTTTTCTTGGATGTCACCCTCTCAATGAAGCTACTCTGTCTCCTCTACTTCAAATTGCAACCTGTTGCTCTCTCTCTACCAAACTTCTTATCATGCTTCACTTTTCCCATGTCATTTTATGGCTTTCCAACACATTATATAATTTAACTATTTATTACATTTTTAGTTACTTTTTCTCCCCCAACTAGAATATGAACTCCAAGGCAGCAAGAATTTTTGTATTTTTGTATGTTTCTGTAACATATTCCAAGCACATAGATCAGTGTCTGACATGTAAAAGCAATTGTTGTTGAATGAACAAGACATGGAGAGATTACACTTCAAGCCATAAGTATTTCAATAACTCATTTGAGAAGAAAACCTGAATAACCAACAGTTGTTTTCTCCTTATAGAGAAGCAAACTATAGCTCCGTGAAGCCTGTGCTTGGGCAGCTTCTACATGCAGCAGTGCTGAATACCAACACCTACATTTCCCCAGAGAAACAGCGTACAGCAATGTGCTGTCCTCATCCACTTCTTCTGAAGTCAAGTCCCCAGCAGTTGTATCACCTGCAGAGTTGCAATGCACAGATTTGGGCATTGTCTTATTTACCTAATTTACTTGGGGGAAATAATGCTGACTTAACAAGTGGTATTTTTCCTTACAGTAAGAAGCAATACATGGTCTGTGGTGTATGTTTTTATATACTACTTACATGTAAAGATGAGTCCTCTGAAGTTGTAACTCACAAAATGAAGCAGTATAAAATTGTGTGAGATGAATGTTCTGTAATGAGATTTTGCTGAGTAAGGCTGACTTGTCATCAGATATGCCTTGATAAGAGATGCAATAAATGGTCCTGCTTTGTGCATCTTGAGTTGCCAGCAATTGTATTTTTCAGAGAAGCAAGCCTGAGAGTTCTTTGCAGTGAGAACGTTGGGGACTCAGTGTGGAGAGCAAAGCTGATGTGCTTGCAGTTGTGTCTAACCAGGATGAGCAGCATGGTGCTCTAGGCCATGTGTTCTTCATTTCCTTTACTTGGCTAGACAAACCCACGTGGATGGATGGCAGAACCTATCCCAACCCTGATAGTAGATTGCTCCCAAAGCTTCAGGCTTCCAAAAGAAATCCAGATCCTCTTCTTCCCACCTATTGTCACCAACCCCAAATCCCACACAGGCTCCACCTCTAGTCTTCCCCAGCCATTACAGGCATGGCTGCTCCTAACCTGCTTAGAAAAAGTAAGAAATTAAAGACCAGATTTCACAGAGATAATGAATGAGCAATTTGAAATATTAATTTGTTTTTACTGTTGAATAAACAGAGAATTCCAAGAACCACTGTCAGAGAATAAATGGAGAGGGGTAGGAAAAAGAGTGCCTGCACTGCACCTCTGGAAACATTTATCAAATTTACCCATACAAATTCCCAGCAGTCTGACCACACATATAACCACTCAGATTTATAGCTCCATCTCTCAGAATTGGAGGATTTGCTTCAAGGAAAAATGTCAATTACACAGAACACTAGAAGGTGAAAGAAAATATTCCAGTCCATTTCAGTGATTACATTGGGTCAATGCTGTATTTTTTGGTTGCCAAAATAAAATCAGCTCAAAAGTGTATATGAAAAAGAAAATAAATCTCAATCTTAGTGACCATCTTTTCTGGTTGGAATTGTTTCTTCATAAGGTCAAAATGTAGCATAGCTTATCATAGCCAGTAGTTCCTCCTTCACAGTGGATTCTTGGTGGTAATTGTAATGACAAGCTGGCTTTGTAGCAAAGAAACCTGAACTTATTGAAATACTTGCTTCCCTTGACATCCAGGGCATCACACTGTCCAGGATTTCCTCTAACCTATCTGGCCACTTCTCTCTCATTACGGGTTCCTTTCATCACCCAGACTTCTAACCATTGGATTGCCATAGAGCTCCATCCTTGAACCTTTTCTCTACCTTCATTCCCTCCATTGATGAGCTCAGTCTTTCTGATACCATCTGTATGCTGACGATCCCTGCATTTCTATCTCCAGACCAGGACGTTCCCCTGAATTCCAGACTCCTCTAAAGAAAGGCTTACTTGACACCTCCATTTGGGTATCTTTAACAGGCATAACAAATTTAACATTTCCCAAACTAAACTCCTAAATTCTTTCTCCACACCCCAACCATCTTTCTTGTCTATCTCAGTAAATGGCAATTGTATTCATCTAATTGCATAATCTAGAATTCTTGATTCATTTCTTTCTCTCATAATGCCCCATATTTGATCATTTGGCAAATCTCATTGGCTCTATATTTAAATTGTATCCTGAATCCAATCACTTCTCACCACCTCCTCTGCTACCACTTGGTTTATCAAAGCCATCATCATCTGGTTTATTGCAAATAGCCCCTTAAGTGGTTTCCCTGCTTCTACAATTGCCCCTTACAGATGATTATCTACACCAGTGGTCTTTACCGGGTGGCGCCAGACCAGCAGCATCAGCATCATCTGGGAGCTTGCTAGAAATGCAAATTCTCCTGGACCACACCTGACCTAGTCCATCAGAATCTCTGGGGTCTAGTAATCTGTGTTTTAATAAGCCCTCCACTATGATTCTGATACATGTTCAAGTCTGAGAACCACTGCTGTATAGAGTGGCCAAATAATTCTTTTAAAAATTCCTTCAGATCATGGCCATTTCTCCCCTCAAAATTTCCCAGTGATTTTACCAGCTCATTTCAGTAAGATCCTCAGTCTTTCTCATGGCCCACAGGGCCCACTGTGATCCCTTTCCCATTCCCGTAAGCCCCTTTCTCTCTATTCTCCCTTCACTCACCGTGCCCCAGCCATCCTGGCCCCTTCACTTTGCCTCCGGGCCTTTGCACCTGCTTTTTCCTCTGTCTACAACACCTTCCCCTCTCCCTCCTCCCACCTGACCACAGGGCTCACTCCCTCTTCTCCTTTTGGTCTCCACTCAAAATGTTAGCTTGTTAGAGGGGGCTTTCTCCAGCCACTACACTTAAAATAACAGTCCCTACTTTCCACCCCCTGTGCCTGTGCCCCTCTCCTCCCTTTACTCTGTATTGTTTTCCTGTATATCACCCATCACCACCTGGCACAGGGTATACTTTGCTTGTTTGTCTGTTTATTGGTCACTGCACCCTTCAAGAACATATGCTCCGTGAGGCTCCGCAATGTACCTGTTGGGTTTCCTGCTGTATTTTTTTTTCCAGAGCCTGAACAATGCTGGCATCTGGTTGAGGCTCTGTAAATATTTGCTGAATAGATAAATATTCAATCAATGATGGCCAAGGCTCTCCTCTGGGGAGATGATACATTTATTCCAAGGATACTGCCATTGCTCAAAATATGTTTCTGGCAAGAGTAGAAGCAGGAAAATCAGTTAGGGGACTACTTTCAATAATCCAGGAAAAATATGATGGTGATGGCTTTGATATGACCAGGTGGTAGCAGAAGAGGTGGTGAGAAGTGATTGGGTTCTAGATACAATTTGAACATAGAATCAATGGGTCAAGATCACGTTACAAGTCACATATGGAAACCAGGCTCAGTATTTAAGAGAGTCCACTTCTTTAAAAAAAAAATTTTTTTATCACATACATCATTTACTAGTCCTAGGATCATATGACATTTGGCTACTAAAGAACTCAAATTTCTCCCTGAAAAGTGAAACTCAGAAGCATTGAAGACATTCATAGGCTCTGAATGCAATTCCCTATATGATGAAAGAACAATTCTGGTTTTTACAGAGAACATTTTTATATTTGTGTGATTTAATTCTCACAGGAATTCTCTGCAGTTTGTGTTATTAACCCCATTTTTCAGATGAAGTAAATGAGGTTCGGAGAGGTGAACAAATTTCCTCAAGAGCCTCCAGCTGCAGAGGGGGAGGATTTAAATCCAGGCTGGCTCATGAATTTCCTTCATGATCAAGAGGTGTTGGGAAAAAACTTACATGCTTCCAAGAGAACATTCATTTGGGGCATTTCAGTTATGTCTTATTTTTAGCGTTCTTTCTACTTCATGCTCCCATTTCATGAGCACAACTCCTCTGGATGGTCAGACCCCTGCAGCAAATATAAGGTGTAGCCAAGATGTCTGGGCCAGTTCTGTTTTCCTACAGCTCAGGCTGAGACTGGAGCTTCTGTCCAATGGCTGAGGCCCTGGTCAGGTGGTGCAGTTGCTCCTCCAGACACTGTTTCAGTGTTGCAGGGGAGACCATTGCCATTGCCATGGGGATTTGATGCTTTCCAGTACCATGCAGCCAGCATTGTCTCCCAAACAAGAAACCATTGTTTGAGTAGAAATAGAGGGTGTTTCTCACTGGGGATTTAGGCTCAAATAAGGATCCACACTTCAACAATGCCTCCTTTTGTACTGAATGATTTATTTTTTTCAGGCTTATTTGACTTTTTTTCAAATCAAATCATAACTCATAACAATTGTCTTTCCTATAGTGTTTCTTAAGAACTGTTGGTATGTGTTCCTGGGTGTTACACACTCATGGAATCAACATCTCATAGCACATTTATATTAAGGCTCCATGTTGTCCTGGGCAGACTTGGATTTCCATGGCAGGCTGGTGCAGGGGGCAGACAGGCCACGGGGTCAGAAGAGATGATGATGGGTGGGAACCAGCATTTACGGTGAGCTCCTTATGTGGCAGGCACTTTAGATACACTGTTTTACTTGGTCCTCACAGTCACCTCAGCAGATATAATCCAAGTTTTACAAATAAGGAATGTAATTAGGTAAAGGGAGCAAGATCACACAGCTGATGAGAGCAGAATCTGGGATCGGTTCCCAGGTCTCATTCCAAACCTGTTCTCTTTCCATTTCCTGTTCCATAATCCCTTGCTGATCTTTCTAAACTTCAGTTTTGTCAAACAAGCCAGGTGGTTGAAAGTACACACGAGATGATGCACGTGAACACCTCTAACACAGTGTGTGTCACATAATAGATGTTCAATAAAAATAAAATTTTCTCCTTTTTCCTTTTTTGTACCATTCCATCTTCCCCTTTTGATTTTTCTTTCTCTTTTCCTTCTCTATCATATTCTTCCAACTCCTGCTTTCTTTTTTCTTCTTTTACCCCTTTCTCTTCAGAAAAATAAATTCTAGAGATCTCATTCCCAATGGCAATAGAGACTTAAAAACAATCCCCTAGAACTATGCAAGGTCTGCATGAAGAAAACTATAAAATCTTATTGAAGATATAAAAGAAGACATGAAAAGACAGAAAGCTATATATGTTTCCAGATGAAAGAGTCAATATTCCTAAGATGTCACCTTTTCAAATTAATCCATAAATTCAATTCAATCCTAATAAAAATCTTAACAAGAGATTTATAGAATTTGAAAAGCTGATTTTAGAGTTCAAAAGAGAGAATACCTCAGAACAAGCAACAAAATTTACCAAAAAAAAGGAAAACAAGGAAAAACCTGACTTTTCAGTTATCAAAATATACAAAGCTTATATTAATTAAGCAGTATTTTATTGGCTCAGAATAAAGACATGGACAAATGGAACCAAAAAGGACAATTCAGGAACAAAGCTATGCATAAAGGAACATTTAGAATATAAAAAGATAGCATTTCAACTTAGGGAAACCCTGTCTCTACAAAAAATACAAAATTAGCTGGGTGTGGTGGCTCGCACCTGTAGTCCCAGCTACTTGGGAGGCTGAGAGGGGAGGATCACTTAAGACTGGGAGGTCAAGGCTGAAGTGAGCCATGATCATGTGGCTGCACTCCAGCCTGGGCGACAGAGTGAGACTGTGTCTCAAACAAACAAACAACAGTAAAAAACCCACACACAATATTGAGAACGTTGTAGATTCTGAAAAAAAAATTAGATACCTATATCACACCATAAGCAAAAATCCAAATGGATTAAATTCTAAACATCAAATAAAAAAAAACAGCAGAAAGGAACCAGAGTAAGATATTGCACATCAGTTTTGATAATTTTGGGGGTTGATAAAGGCTGTCCGAAGAAAGACACAAATTCCAGGAGCCATTGATAAAAGACCAACAGATTACATGCCAAAAAAAAAAAAAATGAAAAGACCTGCATGACAAAAGACATCAAAATAGAAGGTACCAGTGAAAGTCTTTGTAGTATATAGAAAACCAAATATAATATACAAAATATACTAAAGGCACCTGAAATTATCATGAAAAGATATAAAATATAAAATTAGCATAAGAGACAAAGAGACAATTCACAAAAAAATAAGAAATAAAATATGAAAAGATGTTTAATTTCAAAAGTGACAAAGAAAACGCAAAATAAACAGTGAGATATACTTTATTACCAACTAATCAGTTCGTTAAAAATTCAATAGATTGCTACCAGTATCATCAGGTGGAAATGGGCAGTTTCACACACAGCTTCCAAGGGTGTAAATCAGTACAAGCTTTTTTTAATAATTTAGAAATATCTATCCAAATTTAAAACAAGCATATCCTTCAAGTCCTTAAATTCCATTTCTAAGAATTTTAAATATTCACACATGTTTATAAAGTAAATAAACATGGATGATCATTGCAGCTTTATCTTTAGTAAAGAAAAATAAGAGTGGGACAGAAATTTGTCTCAATCAGGAAATGGCTAAATGAATTATCGCTTATTTATATTATGGAATACTGTATTGAAAGTAATACAGTATTGAAAAAAATTATTTTAAAAATGAGGTAATTTCTATTGACTATGGAACAGGATTCCAAGACATATGTCAAGTGAAAAAAAGCAAAAATTAAGTACTATGGCCAAAGAGTACTTAGTTTTCTACTCTCTATGTTTCACATTATTTATATTATTTATGACAAGCGCATTTTGCTGTATGAATAAGAATAAAAGGAATCTTTCTTAATAGGATCCAGGAACCATAGCGGTGTTATGACTGTTGTCATGGGTCCAGTAAGCTTTCCTAGGGGGCGCCTATGGGCTAAAAGAGATCCTTGGCAATGCCCTTCCTCCCAAGGCAGGGGTGGGTCAGAGGCACTGAGGGCAGGAGGCTGCCAGCCAAAGAGAACAAAGCTGAGCCAATGCTAGCACAAGAGAGGAGTGTGGAGTCATAGCTTCGCCTCGACTCCCTCTTTTATATTCTAGCTACCAGCAAGATATTTGAGATTCAGCTTAAGCAAGAGTCGCTTACTTAATTCCCTCTTCTGCTTTGGGCTTCAGTGGAAGTCCTTCCAGCAATGAGAACTGCTTAGCCACAATCCAACAATAAGGCATCTATTTTCTATTTCTTGGTAAATTCCCTCCTGTAGCAGGAGAAAAATAACATTAGGTCTCTTTCTCTTCCTTCCTCTCTCCAAAACTTTCATTCTTGTTTAGGTGAAACATTTAGAAGAAAAAACAAAACTTTAAATGTAGTTTTTTTTTGGTAATATATACAAAGATATATATATGGAGAACATATATTAGACTTTGCATCTAACACCATTTTTCCTGGCAATATTTCTTCAGAAAATCAAAAAGAAAACTGTTTATCATTATTCATAACAAAGTCGTTATTCTCCTACAACAGTTCTTTGGATAGGTATTCTAAATTATTTTGCACTGTTTATGCACTTTTTTCAAAATGTTTCTCTTCTGATTAGGTTTTCTGGCTTCTAATTAATTTGCACTATTTTCACATTTTTTCAGATGCATATATTGATCTAAGATTCCACATAATAGCAAGCTGGAACTAAAACTGTAAGTGATCAGAAAAATATGAAAGCAGGAGAAATAATCCTGCATGTACCAAAGAACAATCAAAGTATTGTACATGAGCACTGCATGCAGAATAAACTGTGGTCTGGAAATCAAGAGACTTTGCCATCCTTCAGGTCATTCTGTGTGACCTTGGACAAGTGTGTGGCCTCTTGAATATTTTACAGAAACATGAGTTTCTTGATCTGTAAATTAAGTGGATTGGGGGATAAGATTTTTAAACTCCTTTCCACTGATAAGATTCAAAGACTTCCACTGATTATTGGGAATGTAGAATAATTCACAGATAGAACTTAGCAACAACAATAGCAACAACATCAACAACATTAACAGCTCCCATTAAATAAGGATTTATGGCTAGGCGCAGTGGTTCGTGCCTGTAATCCCAGGACTTTGGGAGGCTGAGGCGGGCAGATTGCTTGAGCCCAGGAGTTCAAGATGAGCCTGGGCAACGTGGAGAAACCCCGTCTTTACAAAAAATACAAAAATTATATGGGCGTGGTAATGCGTGCCTGTAGTCCTAGCTACTAGGGAGGCTGAAGTGGGAGGATGGCTTGAGCTCAGGAGGTCGAGGCTGCAGTGAGCCATGATCATGCCACTGAACTCAAGCCTGGGCAACAGAACGAGATCCTGTCTCAAAAGAAAAAAAAAAAAAAAGCACTTAGTCCCTGCCAGGAGCTGTCTGTTTTTTATGTATTATCTTCTCCGATTCTTATAACAACTACTTGAAGTAGAGATTATTTCTTCCATCACGTAGATGAAAAAACTGAGGCTAAGAGAGAGTAAATAACTTTTCCTAGGGCCCACAACTAAAAGTGGGGAGGCTGGATTTGAATCCAGGTCTAATTTTGAGGTTTGTGCTTTTAATACAAGACCAATTCATAACCTTTGGTACATGGAATTCTGGGGGCTATCTTCGCATTATACCATTGCTGCTGTTGGGTAGGGTAGCAAAGGAGAGGAGACAGATAGACAAGAGGCCGTTAAGAGTTCTTTTTGTTTCAGAAAATGAATATAACTAAAAGCTTCTTCCACTCCCTAGAATAGTCAGTTGTGGTGGGCCAATGAATTTCTATACCATGTTGGAAATTTATAGCTGTGAGGGCATTCTGAAAATTTCCACTAGACAAGAAGTGATTTGAGCAGCCTAAGACAGATGAATCTCCCAGTTGAGGCTTAGAACAGACAGCTCCAGATCTGGCTTTCTGGCTAGCCTGGATGCCAGTGATTCACTCATTGTGTGATTAAGTGGCAGGCTTATGTTTCTAGAGCTAATGATTCTAAAGCTTTCTGTGGTATTAAACTAACACACATAAAAAAACTAAAGGCAATTAGAAGCAATCAAAACATTTGGAAAGTAAGATTCAATTTCTGCATTTGCTAAACTCTTCATCAAGAAAATCAGTAAATTTTTTTTAAAAGCCATGAACATGATACACAGAAAATTAAAAAAGCAATCAGTTTTAAAATGTACATGCGCTTTCCAGAATGCTTAGGACACTTAGGACTGAGCCATTTTTCACTTGTCTTATTTTGCTGCATTTATTCAGACATGTGAACACTCTCTTGAATAACATTCCTCTTTCAATTTTGACAGATGAATGGGTATGTAACTCCTCAAGTGCCAGAAAAACCCTTAGAAGCATCAAAGAATAAAAGCCACACTGAAATATTTATACAAGAATTTCCAGCAAATAGTAGTGGGCAGGCTTCCCTTATTCGGGCTTAGGTGTGTATGATGTTTGAAAAATCTGTTAAGTCACTTTTGACCAGGTCAGTCTCAACGTTTGTCAATGTACCATCTCATTTGGCCTCTAAGAACCTACACAGTGATATAGAAGACAGGATAGGAAGTTATCTTTCCATCCAGGAAACCATTTGACTTCTTCAGTTAGCACTTTCACTTTCATTTTTCTCAGGGCAAAATTCAATACCTTTTAGAATACAAAGTAGGGCCTTTTAACGTTTCAGTTGAATATCCCCTCTTGGCCAGTCATTAATCATTCATATCTTTGGCTCTGAAATCTTTAATGACCACTGAATAGGTTAAGCTTTACTAAATGTGAAGAGATCTAGGTGTTGGTCAATGTGTGTGTATGTAGATGTACATTTTGTGTGTTTTGGAAGGGGTTGCAATAAATATTCGTGTCTTAAAGAATGTGAAAATAAAGGAAACCAAAGTGCCACTTCTATTTTTAAATTCCCACAGATATTTACAATTCCACTTGTATTCTCTACAAATGAAATAGTTATAGAGGTTGGGATGACCTTGCAAGAAGTAGAAAAAAAAAGAAGGATAACATTGAAAATTTGAGGTTGAATTGAATTGAAACTTACTATTTAGCCAAAGTAATACCAGGACCTGCGCAAGCACTAGCGGCAGTCTGAAATACTCAGTCAATTATTTTGCCATCATTTATTTGGGTTAGTTACACTCAAAATCACTAGATAATTGTTAAATTCTTCTACTGTTTGAAAAATTAGACTTGACAGGCTGGGCGTGGTGGCTCACGCCTGTAATCCCAGCACTTTGGGAGGCCAAGGTGGGCAGATCACGAGGTCAGGTGATCGAGATCATCTTGGCTAACACGGTGAAACCCCGTCTCTACTAAAAATACAAAAAATTAGCCGGGTGTGGTGACAGGTGCCTGTAGTCCCAGCTACTCGGGAGGCTGAGGCAGGAGAATGGCGTGAACCCGGGAGGCGGAGCTTGCAGTGAGCCGAGATCATGCCACTGCACTCCAGCCTGGGTGAAAGAGCGAGACTCTGTCTCAAAAAAAAAAAAAAAAAAAAAAATTAGACTTGATAGTATGGTTTGAATATACAGGCTAGAAAACTGAACTCTAAGTTCTAAATTGTAGTATCTTAGACCTGAAAGAGTCTTTAAAGACCTACTATTTTGAAACTCTGGCTTTACAAATGAGAAAGCCAAAACCAGAAAACTCGCCAAAGGTGACACATTTGGTTTGTGGAAGGATGACTCAGACCCCTGGTTTTCTGACCTTTGGTCCAGTAGCTTTTCACCTGCAGTCTCCTGAGAAGGCTGTGACCTCCCAAGAAGCAAGTCACCACTTTTCTTATAAAGCCACCATGGTGCCTTCCTTACAGGTCCCTCATAGCATTCTTGTGGTATTTGACAAAGTCTAAATTTCCTAGATGTAAAATCCAGTTTTCTCTTCTTGTGCCCTCAGTAAAGAGCTTTTTAATATTTAGGTCTGAAAAATAGCTCATCTTCCCAAGTCTTGCCCCTGCCAGTCCCCATAAACTCACACAGCCCTTAATACACTTATGCCTGCAATGCTCAAAATTCTATCTTCCTATGTTGGTGCTGGATTACCATTTTGGAAACTAAATCTTAAGTTGATTTCACCATTAAAGGAAAAATTGTATTTTAGTATTAATTTTTATAAAGATTACCTCCTTCATCCATCTGCATCTTTCCCTGAAAAGTGCTTAGTTCTCTATTATTGGGGCAGAATGGGTAAGAGAAATGTACAGACGGTGCCAAGCCTCACTGTAAACCAGCTTTCAGGCTCCCCTCTATGTGGGCCTTTTAAGCAAATAACTCACAAGTAGAAGATATGACAAATTCAAGTTTGAGGCTCCAGCATCAAGTGGAGGTCATCATTAAGACCAAAAATCAAAATATAATAGTCCAAGGAGTATTACCTTAGGAGTTGAATTATTTTGGTTTTCAGCCACTTACTGTGTGATCCGGAATGAATCAACCTCTCTGAGACTCAGTAACATAATCTGTAAGATGAAAATAATTAAACCTACTCTGCCAACCATGCTCCTGTACTGAACTCACTGATGGATTCCCATAACACTTAGAATAAAATACAAAATCCTTTGTGGACTAGAATGGCCTGCCTGAGCTGGCTGTCTTTCCTTCTCTATCTGTCTTAAGGTCACTTATCATGCCCTAAGCACATCTTTTTCAGTTTCTCTAATTTGCAAGGTTTTTCCTGCCTGGGGCCTTTGTATCTTTTGTTACCTCTGTTTGAAATATTTCATACCCCTACTTCCTTTTCCAGCTGACCTATTCTTTTTTTTTTTTTTTTTTTTTTTGACAGCATCTCACTCTGCCACTCAGGCTGGAGGGCAGTAGTGCAATCTTAGCTCACTGCAACCTTTGCCTCTGGGTTCAAGCAATTCTCCTGCCTCAGCCTTCCAAATAGCTGAGATTACAGGCGCCCACTGCCTCGTCTGGCTAATTTTTTGTATGCTTAGTAGAGATTTCTACTAAACAACAGGGTTTCACCATGTTGGCCAGGCTGGTCTTGAACTCCTGACCTCAAGTGATCCACCGCCTCAGCCTCCCAAAGTGCTGGGATTATAGGTATGAGCCTCTGCGCCTGGCCGGAGCTGACTCATTCTTTAGTTTTCTTTGGAGAGAACTTCCTTATCATCCCCTTAAGAAAGTCCCCCTAGCCCTCCCTACTTGGTTCCATTACTTTAAAAATCATATAACATCATTTATTTCTTTTATAGCATTATCACAACTGTAATTGTAAATGTACAAATACATACACTTATTTTCTTTTGTTATCTCTAACTTTCCCCAACAGACTGTAAACTTCTTGAGGGTAGGAACCAGGTCTATCTTATTCACTGTCGTATTCCTGATCTCAAGGTGCACATATATAATGTTGTTTCCAACTCAAACACTGATATATATATAAAGACAAGAAAACAAAGCAATATATCAATATCCCTCATGCATATAGGTGGAAAAATTCTTAGCAAAATATTAGAAAATGAGTCTCAGCAACAGAAAGTTAACAAGGATATCCAGGAATTGAACTCAGCTCGGCACCAAGCGGACCTAATAGACATCTACAGAACTCTCTACCCCAAATCAACAGAACATACGTTCTTTTCAGCACCACACCACACGTGTTCCAAAATTGACCACATAATTCGAAGTAAAGCACTCCTCAGCAAATGTGAAACAACAGAAATTATAACAAACTCTCTCAGACCACAGTGCAATCAAACTAGAACTCAGGATTAAGAAACTCACTCAAAACCACTCAACTACATGGAAAATGAACAATCTGCTCCTGAATGACTATTGGGTACATAACGAAATGAAGGCAGAAATAATCATGTTCTTTGAAACCAACGAGAACAAAGACGCAACATACCAGAATCTCTGGGACACATTCAAAGCAGCGTATAGAGGGAAATTTACAGCACTCAATGCCCACAAGAGAAAGCAGGAAAGATCTAAAACTGACACCCTAACATTATAATTAAAAGAACTAGAGAAGCAAGAGCAAACACATTCAAAAGCTAGCAGAAGGCAAGTAATAACTAAGATCAAAGCAGAACTGAAGGAAATAAGAGACACAAAAAAACCCTTCAAAAAAATCAATGAATCCAGGAGCTGGTTTTTTGAAAACATCAACAAAATTGATAGACCACTAGCAAGACTAATAAAGAAGAAAAGAGAGAAGAATCAAGTAGATGCAATAAAAAATGATAAAGGGGATATCACCACCGATCCCACAGAAATACAAACTACCATCAGAGAATACTATAAACACCTCTATGCAAATAAACTAGAAAATCTAGAAGAAATGGATAAATTCCTCAACACACATACCCTCCCAAGACTAAACCAGGAAGAAGCTGAATCTCTGAATAGACCAATAACAGGCTCTGAAATTGAGGCAATAATTAATAGCTTACCAACCAAAAAAAAGTCCAGGACCAGACAGATTCACAGCCGAACACCACCAGAGGTACAAGGAGGAGCTGGTACCCTTCCTTCTGAAACTATTCCAATCAATAGAAAAAGAGGGAATCCTCCCGAACTCATTTTATGAGGCCAGCATCATCCTGCTACCAAAGCCTGGCAGAGACACAGAAAAAAAGAGAATTTTAGACCAATATCCCTGATGAACATCGATGCAAAAATCCTCAATAAAATACTGGCAAACCAAATCCAGCAGCACATCAAGAAGCTTATCCACCATGATCAAGTGGGCTTCATCCCTGGGATGCAAGCCTGGTTCAACATATGCAAATCAATAAACGTAATCCAGCATATAAACAGAACCAATGACAAAAACCATATGATTATCTCAATAGATGCAGAAAAGGCCATTGACAAATTCAACAACCTTCACGCTAAAAACTCTCAATAAATTAGGTATTGATAGGACGTATCTCAAAATAATAAGAGCTATCTATGACAAACCCACAGCCAATATCATACCGAATGGGCAAAAACTGGAAGCATTCCCTTTGAAAACTGGCACAAGACAGGGATGCCCTCTCTCATCACTCCTATTCAACATAGTGTTGGAAGTTCTGGCCAGGGCAATCAGGCAGGAGAAGGAAATAAAGGGTATTCAATTAGGAAAAGAGAAAGTCAAATTGTCCCTGTTTGCAGATGACATGATTGTATATCTAGAAAACCCCATCGTCTCAGCCCAAAATCTCCTTAAGCTGATCGGCAACTTCAGTAAAATCTCAGGATACAAAATCAACGTGCAAAAATTACAAGCATTCTTATACACCAATAACAGACAGAGAGCCAAATTGTGAGTGAACTCCCATTCACAATTGCTTCAAAGAGAATAAAATACTTAGGAATCCAACTTACAAGGGACGTGAAGGACCTCTTCAAGGAGGACTACAAACCACTGCTCAATGAAATAAAAGAGGATACAAACAAATGGAAGAACATTCCATGCTCATGGGTAGGAAGAATCAATATTGTGAAAATGGCCATACTGCCCAAGGTAATTTTTAGATTCAATGCCATCCCCATCAAGCTACCAATGACTTTCTTCACAGAATTGGAAAAAACTACTTTAAAGTTCATATGGAACCAAAAAAGAGCCTGCATTGCCAAGTCAATCCTAAGCCAAAAGAACAAACTGGAGGCATCATGCTACCTGACTTCAAACTATACTACAAAGCTACAGTAACCAAAACAGCATGGTATGGTAGCAAAACAGAGATATAGACCAATGGAACAGAACAGAACAGAACAGAACGGAACAGAGCCCTCAGAAATAATGCCACATATCTACAACTATCTGATCTTTGACAAACCTGAGAAAAACAAGCAATGGGGAAAGGATTCCCTATTTAATAAATGGTGCTGGGAAAACTGGCTAGCCATATGTAGAAAGCTGAAACTTGATCCCTTCCTTACACCTTATACAAAAATTAATTCAAGATGGATTAAAGAATTAAATGTTAGACCTAAAACCATAAAAACCCTAGAAGAAAACCTAGGCAATACCATTCAGGACATAGGCATGGGCAAGGACTTCATGTCTAAAACACCAAAAGCAATGGCAACAAAAGACAAAATTGACAAATGGGATCTAATTAAACTAAAGAGCTTCTGTACAGCAAAAGAAACTACCATCAGAGTGAACAGGCAACCTACAGAAAGGGAGAAAATTTTTGCAACCTACTTATCTGGCAAAGGGCTAATATCCAGAATCTACAATGAACTCAAACAAATTTACATGAAAAAAACAAACAACCCCATCAAAAAGTGGGTGAAGGATATGAACAGACACTTCTCAAAAGAAGACATTTATGCAGCTGAAAGACACATGAAAAAAATGCTCATCATCACTGGCCATCAGAGAAATGCAAATCCAAACCACAATGAGATACCATCTCACACCAGTTAGAATGGTGATCATTAAAAAGTCAGGAAACAACAGGTGCTGGAGAGGATGTGGAGAAATAGGAACACTTTTACACTGTTGGTGGGACTGTAAACTAGTTCAACCATTGTGGAAGTCAGTGTGGCGATTCCTCAGGGATCTTGAACTAGAAATACCATTTGACCCAGCCATCCCATTACTGGGTATATACCCAAAGGATTATAAATCATGCTGCTATAAAGACATATGCACACATATGTTTATTGCAGCACTATTCACAATAGCAAAGACTTGGAACCAAGCCAAATGTCCAACAATGATAGACTGGATTATGCAAATGTGGCACATATACACCATGGAATACTATGCAGCCATAAAAAATGATGAGTTCATGTCCTTTGTAGGGACATGGATGAAGCTGGAAACCATCATTCTCAGCAAACTATCACAAGCACAAAAAACCAAACACCGCATGTTCTCACTCATAGATGGGAATTGAACAATGAGAACACATGGACACAGGAAGGGGAACATCACACACCGGGGCCTGTATTGGGGTGGGGGGAGAGGGGAGGGATAGCATTAGGAGATATACCTAAAGTTAAATGACGAGTTAATGGGTGCAGCACACCAACATGGCACATGTATACATACATAACTAACCTGCACGTTGTGCACATGTACCCTAAAACTTAAATTATAATTAAAAAAAAAGAAAATGAGTCTCAGCAAATATAAAAGTGATTATATATCATGATTAAGTGCATTTATCCCATAAATGCCATGTTGTCTTAACATTTGAAAATCAGTTAATGTAGTATACAATAACTAAATTATGAACAAAAGCTTTCAGTATTTTGAACAAGCTCTACTCAAGAATATTTTTTAAAATATTGTATTAGTCTATTTTCACACTTTCACCTGAGACTGGGTAATTTATAAACCAAAGAGGTTTAATTGACTCACAGTTTTGCACGGCTGGGGAAGCCACAGGAAACTTACAATCATGGTGGTTGATGAAGGGGAAGCAAGGTATGTCCTACATGGCAGCAGGAGAGAGAAGAGAAAGCAAAGGAGGAAGAGCCCCTTATAAAACCATCAGATCTTGTGAGAACTCACTCAGTATCATGAGAACAGTAGGGAGGAAGCAGCCCCCATCATCCAATCACTTCCCACCAGGTCCCTCCCTCGACACATGGGGATTATGGGGATTATAATCCAAGATGAGATTTGAGTGGGGACACAACCAAACCGTATCAAATATTCACTGTTTCTTTAACTTTTATTCAGTGGGGAAATTATTCCCTTAATTCTCAGGCAGCTCCCATGATTTTTCTGGTCATTCCTGGGTAATAAAAATGCAAAGATCGTATTTAGTGACAAACACATTCTCACCTTAAAATTATGTCTTCTCTTCTGCTACTAGAGTGCCTGGCTGTAGCCAAGGAGCAAGAGTCTTATTACGCAGTTTTCTTTCTTTTAAGCCAAAATCTACTTTCTGGTTTCTCCCAGGCCTAGATGCTACCTCTGTTCTCTGGAGATATTCTGAAGTTCCATCCCTTTTTTTCTGATGCAGTTCCTCACATAATTAGACAGAGCAACCTTAACTTCTTTCATTCTTCATTTCTTTAAGCAAAAATTATCTCTTCTTTTAATGGTTTCTCAAGATAAAATTTTCCCTTTAAATTTGCAAACCTACCAAAAATGTGAAGACTAGTACAATCAGCACCTATATGCCCTTCACCTAGATTTTATACATATATAAGATACATATATAAAATGTTTGCTGAATCATTTGAAAGTAAATTGCTAACATCATGCCATTTCATGCTAAATCACATCAATGTGTGTCTTCTAAGAACAAGGACATTGTCTTCAAAACCACAATATCATTATCTCACTTAAGAAGATTAACAGTAATTTAATATACTTAATAATACATAAGGTACAGACCATATACAATTTTCCTATTAGGCAAATAATGCTTTCTGCTATTTTTTAAATCTAGAATAAAATAAAAGATCTCACATTTGCATTTGTTTTTCATGACTCTTTTATTTAGAATAGTTCCTCCATTTTTGTATGAATTTTATGGCATTGCTCAAGTTAATGTTTATTTTTTATTTTTGTTTTTTGGAGACAGGGTCTCACTCTGTCACTCTGGCTAGAGTTTGGTGGTGCAATCTTGGCTTACTGCAACTTCTGCCTCCTGGATTCAAGCAATTCTCGTGCCTCCTGGGTAGCTGGGAGTACAGGCATGCACCACCATGCCTGGCTAATTTTTTGTATTTTTAGTAGAGACTGGGCTTCACCATATTACCCAGGCTGATCTCAAACTCCTGGGCTCAGGCAATCCAGTGCCTCAGCCTCCCAAGGTGCTAGGATTACAGGCATGAGCCACCATGCCTGGCCTCAAGTTAGTGTTTTAATCCAGCTATTCTGCCCAACCTCAGCCTCACAAGTAAGAGCCTGCAGCCTCTTCCAGACATAGGCAAAAATATTTTAAAGAGAGATGAATTCCTGTTTTCTTTGGAAAGCTTTTTGGTGGCTACACAACTGGTTCCTGTGGTCAATCTGATTATACCTCAGGCCCATTTCTTATGAACAACAGACAGCTGGATCTTCCCCATCATGGAGTCATGTCATTCCACTTTTGAGTGTGCCTACAAAACCTTCCTCATTGCTGGGTGTGGTGGCTCAAGCCTGTAGTTTCAGCTACTGGAGAGGCTGAGGTGGGAGGACCACTTCTACCCAGGAGTTAGAGCCCAGCCTGGGCAACATAGTGAGACCTCATCTCTTTAAAAAAAAAAAAAAAAAGAGTAAACTTTCCACGTGGAGTCTTTTTTGTTGACTTATGACCTAAGTAGCTGGGTAGGCTGATAAGAACAGAAAAAGTGAGCTATTTTGCAGGCTAGTTTTCACAGATAACTCATGAAAACTAGTTGAAGTCATTTTAAAGATTGAGTCTCCCATTAATTTATATCAGCTGTCATTCTGATTTGTGACAAGCACAGCTTCATAATGGTAGAGAAGAGCTGGACACAAGAGTTACTACTGGGTAGGACCAACACAGAGGTGATTGAATGTTGAGACATGTTATGGGAAGTCAGGGACCCCGAATGGAGGGACCCGCTGGAACTGTGGCAGAGGAACATAAATTGTGAAGAGTTCATCTTAATATGGACATTTATCAGTTCCCAAATAATACTTTTATAATTTCTTATGCCTGTCTTTACTTTAATCTCTTAATCCTGTTATCTTCGTAAGCTGAGGATGTACGTCGTCTCAGGACCACTGTGATAATTGCGTTAACTGTACAAATTGATTGTAAAACATGTGTATTTGAACACTACGAAATCAGTGCACCTTGAAAAAGAACAGAATAACAGCAATTTTTATGGAACAAGGGAAGACAACCATAAGGTCTGACTGCCTGCGGGGTCAGGCAAAAAGAGCCATATTTTTCTTCTTGCAGAGAGTCTATAAGCAGATGTGCAAGTAGGAAAGATATTGCTAAATTCTTTTCCTAGCAAAGAATATTAATATTAATACCCTCGGAAAGGAATGTGTTCCTGGAGGGAGGTCTATAAACGGCCGCTCTGGGAATGTCTGTCTTGTGCAGTTGAGACAAGGACTGAGATAAGCCCTGGTCTCCTGCAGAACCCTCAGGCTTCCTAGGGTTGGGAAAACTCCACCCTGGTAAATTTGTGGTCAGACTGGTTCTCTGCTCTTGAACCCTGTTTTCTGTTGTTTAAGATGTTTATCAAGACAATACGTGCACCGCTGAACACAGACCCTTTTCAGTGGTTCTCCTTTTGCCCTTTGCCCTGTGATCTTTGTTGGACCCTTATCAGTGGTTCTGCTTTTGCCCTTTGTCCTGTTCCCTCAGAAGCATGCGATCTTTGTTAGATGCTTATTAGTGGTTCTACTGTTTGCTCTTTGAAGCATATGATCTTTGTACCTACTCCCTGTTCTTACACCCCCTCCCCTTTTGAAACCCTTAATAAAAACTTGCTGTTCTGAGACTCAGGCAGGCATCATGGTCCTACCAATATGTGATGTCACCCCTGGTGGCCCAGCTGTAAAATTCCTGTCTTTGTACTGTCTCTGTTTATTTCTCAGCCAGCTGACACTTATGGAAAATTTAAAGAACCTATGTTGAAATATTGGGGGTGGGTTCCCCCAATAGAGACAAATACAGAGTCTCGGGTTAGCAAGGAAAGAATGATGACCTAGGGTTCCAACCACTTCTGTTTTATTCCAGGCAAAGGGCCAGCAAGGAGATGGGAGACAGAAGATTCCAAGATGGTACTGATGTCTTCACAAGTGGGCGGTAAGCTGGATGTGGAACATCAGAATCCGGGAGGCAGGTAGACAGCAAAGGGACATTGGGACCCATGGAAACTGGGATCTTGCCCCCAAGCAAAGGTTCAGGGACACATTTCCTGTCCCAAGAAAAGGAGCTGCTTAAAGCAAGATAAGGCTGCTGTGAAGAATAGAAAAATAAATAGGGAGCAAGAACTGGCTTTTTGATAATGGAGACACAAACAGTATGTGAAAAGGAGTCACATCTAAGGGACTATGGCCTGGGCCATCAGCAGAGTACCACACCCTGGGTCCTACATCCAAAAGATTATACCCAAAACCAACAGTAGTTTTAGGGATTGTGTGTGCATCTGTGAAGGAGATAATGCATATAGTAGTCCATTTCCAAGACAAAGTGCCTTAAATCAGTTTAAGTCAGCAAACTAAAGAAGAAACAGGATATACTAGGCCCCTGCTTGCATAGCCAATGCCTGTTTGTCAGCCCCCAGCCCCCACCTTAGTTGCTGTCACCCGAACCAAAAAAGTTTAGTCTAAGATAAAAGTTTACTAGCCTGCAAATAGCTCACTTTTTCTGCTCTTATCAGCCTGCCCAGCTACTTAGGTCATAAGTCAAATACTTAAAGAGCCCCTGAGCTAACTAGGATTGGAATGCATTGTGGGCTGCAACAAAATGCAGCAAGACAACCCTAAAGAAAACATCTAAAGCCCCTACCCAACAATCAATAAGCAACGTCCGGAAGACTGTGACCCCATAGTATTCAGCCTATAAGGAACAGGGGAGGGATTTGCACACTAGGGGATAAATTGCTTGTTAAAACTGTGCTGGGTATGCCTGCCCATCAAACACCCAGTCTTGCAAAACTGTCATTAAAAGTCTCACTTTCACTGTTCTCTGGGTCTCTGAGTTCATTCTTTGGTTTTAAAAGGGTGAGTTTGTTTCTCACAATCTGTCACCATTTATCTTCTTCCTCAATTAAGTAGGTTAATCTTTACTTTATCTCCTTTTGGCCCAAAACCTAGCTAAAAAACAAAGCAAAACAAACAAAATCTCAAATCTCCCCAAATCCTTTTCAGTAATATAATATAACCTCTGTTTTATTTGACTTCATCAGCCCTTTATTTTTCCAGTTGGGGTAAAAATAAATAATATATTTGCTATTCAGGGGATTTCTGAGGCTGTGCTTTTACAAACAAATTCTCACATGTATCTTACTCCTGAAATTCTGATGGGCTGCCCCAGTACTTCCTGTAATACACTTTCACTGCCATCCCCTGAAGCCTGTAGATTCTTCTTGGTAATGAGAAGTGCTCTATTCTCATCACCGTGCTATTGATTTTGCAGGTTGTAAGAGCCAGGAGAGGCTAGGTGATATGGTTTGGCTATGTCCCCACCCAAATCTCATCTTGAATTGTAATCCCCAGATGTCTAGGGAGGGACCTGGTGGGAGGTGATTGGATCATGGGGACGGTTTCCTCCATGCTGTTCTCATGGTAGTGAGCAAGTTCTCATGAGACCTGGTTGTTTGATAAGTGTCTGGCATTTCCCCTGCACTCACTCTCCTCCTGCCGCCTTGTGAAGAAGGTACTTGCTTCTCCTTTGCCTTCTGCCATGACTTTAAGTTTTCTGAGGCCTCCCCAGCCATGAGGAACTGTGAGTCAATTAAACCTCTTTTACTTGTACATTACCCAGTCTCAGGTGGTATCTTTATAGCAGTGTGAAAATGGACTAATACACTAGGTTATGCTTCAGTAACAAATAATCCCCCAAATTGCAATGCCTGGTAACAAAGATTTATTTCTCACTACATTTCATGATTATTACAAATTGTTGCAGCTCTGCTCATATTCCTTTCACCCTGGGACACAGGCTGATGGACAGGCCTCTATCTAGAACATTACCAGTCTTGTGGTTGAGAAAAGGGAGAAATAGCAAACCACACACCAAGTCTAAAAGTGACTCTCTGGAAATGACACATGCCACTTCTGCTTACACTTCACTGGCCAGAGCAAATCTCATGGATTGGCCTCGAATCAATGGTGCAGAAAAACATTGTCCTCTCTAGGATGTGAGTATTCAGGGATGATCATTAAGTTCACCATATGTGTTGATGCTATCAGGAAATACGTAGCTCTTTATCAGGGTATATGTGCCTATCAGGACATGTCTGCTTCTCTATCAGGATATATGTGTCAGTGCAAAGGGACAAGAAGCTTCTGAGTCATTGGCTAGGATGGAGTTGCTGGCTAGTGTATTGACCTCTGGGATTCTCTCCAAGCCAGGCTTCCCAGCATTTCTCCTTCTCCTCATCCCATCACAGAACCAATCCATTGTGGAGTCTGGGCCTGCTATAGCCTGACTAGGCTTAGGTCAGGCTCGACAAAGAATAATTGTGGTCTGCTTCCTTTTCCTCTCCTATTAGCAGCTGGATCAGAGGCCTTCCTTTTTGGCTCATGAAGCTTCTTCCTGAAAAATTTTTGATTGATTTATTGATTTTTCATCGTGGCCAGCCATTTCATAGTACACTGCCAGAGGATTTAATTTGTCTTGTGTTTCTTCCTGAAGTGACTTTTTTCTTTAGCACTTTTTGGAAACCCCAGTTCATGCTGGGTTTTAGTCTGCCTGGCACTGTTGTCACAGATTCCTGCAATTTTTTTCATCTATCTCTCTGTAACTCAAATTTCCTCAGGCCTCCGAAGGCTGTGAGGATAAATAAGGTCACATTTACCGTAATAACTCAAATTTCTCTGACCCATCTTGCCCACGTGCTCCTGTAAGACCTCTTGACCTCCCCAAAGGTCTCTCCAGTCATTTCTGGGCATGTTAGGGGTGAGTTGAGAGCTGGGAATAGGGGTCCCCTCACATGTTTCTGTCTAGGCCCCCATCCCATGGATGTCTGCAGTTATTAGGCCCAAACTGGCACTTGGATTATTTAGGATTTCCTGATTGCAAGTCACAGAAACCAACTGGAGCTAACTTAACCAAGATTGAGAGTTTACAATAAGGATGCTTGGCTATCTCTCAGAATAGACTGACTATAACTGCCCCTCAAAAAAGTTCTACTAGATTAGAAAAAGCAAAAATCTTAGAGAACTTGCCCAGTCGGTTTTACCTGCGTATTCCTAAGTGTCTGCTCCATGAGATCACCTCCGATTTTTCTACTCCTGGGCCCACATTGAGGAAATTCCCTAGCTCTCTCTGAATCCTAAAACCAATTTCCATCTGAGAGGATCCCATTCTTTAAGCTTTAGTAATGAGCCCAAGCCTAGATTTTAAGTAAATGTTAAGGATGAAGGTCACATAGTTTAAAAAAAAAAAAAAAAGGATACTGAAGTCTCACTTAGTGTATTTGGCAGAGTTGGCTGGAAATGGGGGAGAAAAGATTTTTCTTGAGCTTGGCAGTGGTTCCAGTAATCTGTATATGTTAGTTTGCTAGAGCTGCCATAACAAAGTATCACAGACTGAGTGACTTAAACATCAGAAATTTATTTCTCACAGTTTGGAAGCTAGAAGTCTGTCTTAGTCTGTTTGTGTTGCTAAAAAGGAATACCTGTGGCTGGATGATTTATAAAGAAAATGAGTTTATTTGGCTTATGGTTCTGCAGGCTGTATGGGAAACATGTTGTTAGCATCTGCTTCTGGTGAGGGCCTCAGGGAGTTTCCACTCATGGCAGAAGGTGAAGGGGAGCCAACATCACATGGTGAGAGGAAAGAAGCAAGGGAGAGAATGAGAGAAGGAGATATCAGGCTCCTTCTAATAGCCATATCTTGTAGGAACTAAGAATAAGGACTCAATCCCACAAGAATGGCACCAAGCCATTCATGATGACCTCCAACATTGGGAATAAAATTTTTTTCTTTTTTTTTTTTCTTTTGAGACAGAGTCTTGCTCTGTTGCCCAGGCTGAAGTGCAGTGTTGCTCGATCTCGGTTCACTGCAACCTCCGCCTCCTGGGTTCAAGTGATTCTCGTGCCTCAGCCTCCTGGGTAGCTGGGATTACAGGTGCATGCCACCATGACTGGCTGATTTTTGTATTTTTAGAAGAGATGGGGTTTTGCCATATTGGTCAGGCTAGACTTGAACTCCTCCTGACCTCAAGTGATCCACCCGCCTCAGCCTCCCAAAGTGTTAGGATTACAGGCGTGAGCCACTGCACCTGGCTGAATTTCTTGCTTTTTATTTTTTGAGACAGGGTGTTGCTCTGTCACACAGGCCAGAGTGTGGTGGTACAATCATAGCTCACGGAAGCCTTGAACTCCTGGGCTCAAGCATCCTCCCACCTTAGCCTCCCAAGTAGCTAGGACTACAAGTGCATGGCACCATGACCAGCTAATTTTTAAATTTTTCTGTAAAGATGGGATCTTGCCATGTTGCTCACTCTGGTCTCAAACTCCTGGCCTCAAGCAATCCTCCTGCCTTGGCTTCCCAAAGGGCTGGAATTACAAGTATGAGTCACCATGCTGGCTGGCTGGGCATCAAACTTCAAAATGCAATTTGGAGGTGATAAATATCCAAACTATATCAAAGTTCAAGATCAAAGCATTGGCAGGTTTGGTTTCATCTGAGGCCTCTTTCCTTGGTGTGCAGATGGGTGCCTTCTCAATGCGTCCTCACATGCTCTTTCTTCTGTATTCACTCATCTCTGGTGCCTCTCTGTGCACCCTAATCTTTCCTTCTTATAAGGACACCAGTCAAATTGGATTAGGGCCCACCCAAATAGCCTCATTTTAACTTAATTACCTCTTTAGAGGCCCTATCTCCAAACAGAGTTACAGTCAGAGGTACTAGGGGTTAGAGCTTCAACATATAAATTTAGGGGACACACTTTTCAGCCCATAACATCTATTGTTACCTAAAAAATCACCTCAACAAATGGTGTAAAATACAAAATTTTACTCTGCTCACGGTTTTTGTAGGTCAGAAGTTTGGAAAGAGCACTGTGTGCCATTCTTTTCTCTGCTCCATGATATCTGGGTCTCAGCTGGGATGGATTGAATGGTGGGGTGCTGATAAAGAGCTGGGTTGGAGGATTCACCTCAGAGATGGCTTCTTCACTCATGTATTCTATGCTTGGGCTGAAATGGCTGCAGGATGTGCTTAGATGGCACTGTTGACCTAACAGCTAGATGAGTAGCTTCCCCTGTGACTTGGGTTTCTTCAGGTAAGATGGGCCTCTTACATGGCAGCTCGGGGCTCTAAAAATGAGTGTTCCAGTGAACAAGGAACATAGTGTCACTTCTGTTGTGCTCTATTGGTTGAAACAGTAACAAGCACAGATAAAAAGAGGGTCAAAGAATGTGTGGCCATATTCTAGAACTGCCATAACAGGCACACTCCAAAGTGTCTGCTACATCACTGTTCCATGTGCCCTCTATGTGAAGAACAAGTCCCTCCCCAGATTGTTGCTTCATGATGCTTCCAAAAGTGTAGCAAGCTTTTTATCTGTTTGACTCCTATCAACACCAATGTGCCAGTAGCCTCACTCAAGTTATTTTCTAGACATGCATGTTACATTTGCACTATTCCCAGGCTTTCTCATTCTCATGTCTCTCTCAATTTGCTTGTGGGTACATGAGTCTGTCAGGCTCTGGTGGGAAAGTCATGCTTTCATTATCTTTTTCCTGAGCAATGTTGTTCAGTTAAAAGAAACTGGGGTGTCAAATTTTTGTTTGGACTTTCACCCAAAGGTCTTCCCGATTTCTTCTTTTGCCAATTGCGGATGAGAAAGTTACTTTTTCAAAATCTTCAAGTCCCTGAATTTCTGAACTCTCTCTATTCTCTTTTATTCTTCTCATAAACTGAACTCTTGCCTTTATTTAATGGTTTCTCAAATGCATTTAATAATAATTAATATGGCAGGCACCTGTAATCCCAGCTACTGGGGAGGCTGAGGCAAGAGAATTGCTTGAACCCGGGAGGCGGAGGTTGCAGTGAGTCGAGATTGCACCACTGCACTCTAGCCTGGGTGACAAGAGTGAAACTCCTTCTCAAAAAAATAATAATAATAACGATAATAATTAACAAATGCCTTCTGTTTTTCAACCTCTTCCCCAGGCCTATGAACTAATTCAGAACATAAATCTGCCTTCCAAGTTTTCTTAGGTAACAGTTAACCAAATATTTCACCCTCATATAAATCTGGAAAGCATTCTCCCAGACTCTGGTAAAAAAAAAAAAAAAAAAAAAATTCCTTGCCTCTCCTAAGCATGTATGTAAGTAGTATCTATCTACATACGTACACTGGTATATAATTCTTTAAATGGCACCCCCAGCAATTCTAGGTACCATCTTCTTTATTATCCTGGAAAATAAAAATTATACAGTGGCATCAAACAATCCTAAAATCTCAGTGGCTTCAAACAGCAAGAATTTATTTCTTATTCATGTTCCATATCTATTTAGCTCAGAAGGAAACTTTGGAGTCTATCAAAGCTCATGCTGACAGAGCAGCCATAATCTCAAAATTGCTGGTTGTTGGCCTAGGGATAGGGAGCGTCCTGGAGCTCGTTGCATGGTCATATAAGCTTTCCCATAGGGAAGTGATATCACTTCTCTCACGACTCAATGGCCATAATTAGTTACATGGCTCCATCCAATCACAAGAGAACCAAGAAGTGCAAACCCATTATGTGCTTGGAAAGTGGGAGCTGGGAATCTTTGATGAACAGCACTAATAACTACTACAGAATGTGAGGGGAGTAAAAGGTAGAAATGAACAGAATATTTTTAGAAATTTTAATCAGCTTTATTGGGTATAAACACATTTAAAAAACCATAAAATTCATGTTTTTTTTTTTTTTTTTTTTTTTGGAATGAGAAAACATTTATTCCATCTCCAAACAGCATCCCAGGGCGGGGCATCTCCCCTAAGGCTTTATAATACATTCAGCACAGACAGAGTCTGGGAGCCATGGGGCACCCCTGCCCTCCTCACGCTTCTTAAGTAACAACTGCATAATATTTACATAAAGCTGGGTGTTGTCAGGCAAAGCTCTTCCCTGCTGCCAGGAGTGGGAGCAAGGAGGAAGTGTTGTGGGCACCGGCCCCACCCCCACACCATGGGAGGCAGCCCAGAGACCACTGGCACAGGGTGGTGGCCCCCAGATCATACAGCAGTGGGGATAGGGGGAGCAAACCTGAGTGAGGACGCAGGAGCCTGGTCCCGCCCCACTGCACAGGGCAGGTGTGAGGGCTCCCCCGAGTCTTTGGCAGAGAACGCAGATAACAGCGACTCCCACAGCCTGACCTGGGCTGGGGGGAAGCTGAGGCACTTGTCAGTAGCACATGGGTGCCTGCTGGCTTCTAGCCACTCCAGGAGGGGCCGGGGTCATTAAAAGCAAGGAGAAACACTAGCTAAAAACCCTTTCCTAAAAGTGTCATGGAAGAGTGAGTGGCTGACTGAAGCCATCTGTGTGCGGGCACTTGGGGTGTGGCTCTGCCAGACCCCGAGGCTGGGAGGCTCCTTAGCTGTGTGTCAATCGCACAGGACGTGACAGGCGAAGGAGGGGGGCTGGCAGTTCCAGGAGGCTCGTGGGAAAGTCCAGGGCAGAGGGGAGGGTCCTCTCTGCCCCCCTTCCCACCCCAAACGGCACTCAGCCACTCAGTACACAGGGGGCGGCTGGTAGCCCTCAGTGGTCTCCGCATTCTGGGTGAAGGGCAGATGCTGGTAGTTGTCCACAGATGCACCTGGGTAGGAGGCGTAGGCAGTGTTGGGGTCCAGGGTGGAGTCGACGTAGTTCTGGATGAAGTCCACGCCAGCCTTGTAGTGCCGGTAGGCCAGGAAGGCCAGCACGCCCCAGGAGAAGATGGAAAAGAAGCTGAAGGTGATGGCTGCCTGCGCGGAGTTGGCCCCCACCAGCACGTCCTCCGGTTGGGTGGCCGCCCACTGGTTAGTGAGGAAGTAGAAACCAACAAACCACAGGAAGGCTCAGAGAGCTGAGAAGAGCAGGTCACCCACGACCAGGTACTTGCGGTCAGTGGCATTAATGATCTGGGGAAAATAAACGTCGACCACCAAGGAGGCCGAGGCCTGGAAGGCCAGCACCCTGATGGCATTGCGGTAGCGGAAGGCGTCCTCGTTATGGTTGAAAACGCAGTACCTCTGCTTAGACTTGCTGTAGCCCTTGTCATAGATGCAGGAGAACACGATCAAGGCGAAGACCCTGCACGCAGCGCTCACCACCACCTGCGGTTGCGTCAGGAAGCGCCCGCAGGTGGAAGGAGCCGCCCGCCTTTGGCAGCGCCATAGGCCCCGCTCTCCATGTTGCCGTCGCCGCAGCCAAATTCATGTGTTTTAAATGTACAGTTTGATGAGTTTTGACAAATGCATGTAGTCATGTAACCACCACCACAATCAAGGTATAGAATATGTTCATCACCCACCATAATTGCCTTCTGTCACATAACATTTGACCCTGTTTTCACACCTCCACTCTTTGGCAACCACTGATCTGATTTCTGTCACCACAGTTTTGCCTTTTCTGGAATGTCATAAAAATAGAATCATATGGTATGTAGTCTCCTGAGTCTGGCTTCTTGCACTGCGCTTAACGGTTTTGAGATTTATTTGTTTGTGCAAAAATCATATTCTTTTTTGTTGTTGTTTACTAGTATTCCATTTTGTGGATAACCAAGATTTGTTTGTTCATTAAGCCTATTGGACATTTGGGGTGCTTCTAGTTTGGAGCTACTATGAATAAAGTCCATTGTGAACCTTTATATTCTTTTGTATGAACATCTGTATGCATTTAAGTCAGGTCAATACCTAATAGTGAAATTGCTGGGTGATGTAGTAAGTTTGTGTTTAAATATATGAGAAATGACTAATCTGTTTTCTGAAGTGGCTTTGCATTTCCACCAGCCATGTCTGAGAACTCCAATTGCACCATATTCCTGCCTATGTTGTTATTGTCAGCCTTTTAAATTTTAGTCATTATAGGCTTGGCGCGGTGGCTCACGGCTGTAATCTCAGCGCTTTGGGAAGCCGAGGCGGGCAGATCAGGAGGTCAGGAGATTGAGACCATCCTGGCTAACAAGGTGAAACCCTGTCTCTACTAAAAATACAAAAAATTAGCCGGGCATGGTGGCAGGCGCCTGTAGTCCCAGCTACTCAGGAGGCTGAGGCAGGAGAATGGCTTGAACCTGGGAGGCGGAGCTTGCAGTGAGCCAAGATCGGCCACTGCACTCCAGCCTGGGTGACAGAGAGAGACTCCATCTCAAAAAAAAAAAAAAAAAAATTTAGTCATTATAATGAATATGTAATGGTATTTCATTATGGTTTTAGTTTGTATTTCTTTAATAACTAAAGAAATTGAGTGTCTTTTCACTTGCTATTTGTATAGCCTTTGTGATGTGTATGTTCAAATCTTCTGTACATTAAAAAAATTGAACTAGTTTCTTCTTGTTATTGAATAATAAGAGTCCTGCATACTTCTGGATACAGATTCTTCATCAGATATATGTTTTGTAAAGATTTCATGCCTGTTTGTGGTATGCCTTTCCATGTTTTTAACAGAGTCTTTTCAGAAGCAAACATTTAAAAGTTCAACTTATCCATTTTTTTAATAAAGTTTATGCTTTTTGTGTCCTACCAAAAATCTTTGCCTAGCCCCAGATCACAAAATCTCCCTCTGTAGTTTATTCAAGAATATTTATAATTTTATTTTATTTATTTATTTATTTTTGAGACAGAGTCTTGCTGTCACCCAGGCCGTAGCACAGTGGCATGATCTTGGCTCACTGCAACTTTTGCCTCCTGGGTTCGAGTGATTCTCATGCCTCAGCCTCCTGAGTAGCTGGGATTACAGGTGTGCACCACCACACCCAACTAATTTTTGTAGATTTTAGTAGAGACAGGGTTTCACCATGTTGGCCAGGCTGGTCTCAAACTCCTGGCCTCAAGTGATCCACCTGCTTTGGCCTCCCAAAGTGTTGGGATTACAGGCATGAGCCACTGCACTCGGCCTATATTTATAATTTTAGTTCTAATATTTAGGTCTATGATCTATATGGAATTATTTTTGGTATATGGTGTGAGGATAAGGGTTGAAGCTCATTTTTTTGGCCTAATTATTATTACCACTTGTTGAAAAACTCTACTTTTCCCATTGAATTACCTTAGAACATTTGTCCCTCCAAAAAATCAATTGTATAAGTCTATTTCTGGAGTTTCTATTCTGTTCTGTGAATAGTTAGATAGATAGATAAGTAGGTAGACAGATAGGTAGGTAGGTAGGTAGGTAGATAGACACTGATTGACAGATATGTATGTATTCTGTTCTGTGAAAACTCTATTCTGGTCTGTGAAGATGTACAGATATAGATAGATATATAAATATTTAGACATATACATATGTCTATCCTTATGGCAATACCACATTGTCTTGGTTACTGAAGCTTTATAGTAAGCCTTAAGCCAGGTAATATATCTCCAACTTTGTTCTTTTTCAAAATTGTTTTGCTTATTCTGTTTTTTGTGTTTCCATATAAGATTTAGATCCAGCTTAATATCCCTACCAAAAATTCTACTGCTGTTATTATTGTGATTGGAGAGAATCTGTTGATCACTTTAGGGAAAATTGGCATCTTAATAATACTGAGTCTTCTGATTCCTGAACATAGTATATCTCCCCTTTTCCTTAGGTCTCTTAACTTAGTAATTTTTTGTGATTTTAAATTTATTGGTATAAAGGTATTCATAATATTCCCTTATTATAATTTTAAGGTAATTAGCATCTGTAGTGATGTCTCCTTTTTCATCTGTAATACTGAAAAATTGTGCTCTCTTTTTGATCAGTCTGGCTAGATATTTATTTCATTGATTTTTTCAAAGAATCAACTTTTGGTATACAGGTCTTAACATATTTTATTACATTTAACTTTAAGTATTTCATGTTTTTGTGCTATAGTTAATGCTATTTTTTTAGAAATTTCAATTTCTAATTGCTCATTGATCTTATATTGAAATAATATTGATTTTCATATACTGACCTTGTGAAACTCATACGTTTTGGTGCATTTAAAAAATTTTTCTTAAACTATCCCTGTTTGTGGACAACATGATTCTATATCTAGAAAACCCCATAGTCTCAGCCCGTAAGCTCCTGCAGCTGATAAACAACTTCAGCAAAGTTTCAGGATACAAAATCAATGTACAAAAGTCATAACCTTTCTATACATTCACAACAGTCAAGCTGAGAGCCAAATCTGGAACACAATCCCATTCACAATTGCCACAAAAAGAATAAAATACCTAGGATTACAGCTAATCAGGAAGGTGAAAGACCTCTACAATGAGAATTACAAAGTGCTGCTCAATGAAGTCAGGGATATCACAAAGAAATGGAAAAACACCCTATGCTCATGGATAGGAACAATCAATATCATTAAAATGGCCACATTGCCCAAAGCAATTTATAGATTCAGTGCTATTCCTATCAAATCATCAGTGACATTCTTCACAGTACTAGAAAACAAAAACATTTAAAAATTCATATGGAACCAAACAAGAAACCTGAATAGCCAAGGCAATCCTAAGCAAAAATAACAAAGTTGGGCACATCATGTTACCTGATTTCAAACTTACTACAGGGCTACAGTAAGCAAAACGGCATGGTACTGGTACAAAAACAGTCACACAGACCAATGGAACTGAGAGCCCAGAACTAATGCTGCACACCTATGACCATCTGATCTTCAACAAAACTGATAAAAGCAAGCAATGGGGAAAAAAATCTCCCTATTCAATAAATGGTGCTGGGGTAACTGGCTAGCCATATGCAGAAGATTGAAACTGGACCCATTTCTTAACTATATACAAAAATCAACTCAAGGTGGATTAAAGACTTAAATATAAAACCAAAATGATAAAAACCCTGGAAGACAACCTAGACAATATTATCCTGGACATAGGAATGGGCAAAGATTTTATGATGAAAATGCCAAAAGCAGTTGCAACTAAAGCAAAAATTGACGAATGGGATCTAATTAAACTTAAGAGCTTCTGCACAGCAAAAGTAACTATTAATAGAGTAAACAGACAATGTACAGAATGGGAGAAAATATTTGCAAACTATGCATCTCACAAAGGTCTAATACCCAGCATCTGTAAGGACCTTAAATAAATTTACAAGAAAAAAACAAACAACCCCATTAAAAAGTGGGCAAAGGACATGAACAGATACTTTTCTAAAGAAGATATACATATAGCCAACAAGCATGTGAAAAAAAGCTCAATATCACTGATCATTAGAGAAATGCAAATCAAGACCACAGTGAGATACCATCTATCACCAGTCAGAATGCTATTATTAAAAAGTAAAAAAAAAAAAATAGATGTTGGTGAGGCTGTGGAGAAAAGGGAACACTTTTACACCGTTGGCAGGAGTAAATTAATTCAACCATTATGGAAAGCAGTGTGGCTATTCCTCAAAGAACTAAAAACAGAACTACCATTCAACCCAACAATCCCATTAATGGGTATATACCCAGAGGAATATAAATCAGTCTACCATAAAGACATATGCACATGAATGTTCATTGCAGCCCTGTTCACAATAGCAAAGACATAAAATCAACCTAAATGCTCATCAATGACAGATCGAATAAAGAAAATGTGGTACGTACACATCATGGAATACCATGCAGCCATATAAAAGAGCAAGATCATGTCTTTTGTGGGAACATGGATGGAGTTGGAGGCCATTATCGTTAGCAAACTGAGACAGGAATAGAATCCAAATACCGCGTGTTCTCCCACTTATAAGTGGGAACTAAATGATGAGACCTCATGAACACACAGAAGGGAACAACAGACTCTGGGGTGTACTTGAGGGTGGAGGGTGGGAGGAAGAAGAGGAATAGAAAAAATAACTGCTAGGTATGTAGGCTTAGTATCCGGGTGATGAAATAATCTGTACAACAAACCCCTGTGACACAAGTTTACTTATGTAACAAACATGCACACGTACCCTCAAACCTAAAATAAAAGTTAAAAAAAATTTCCTATTATTAATTTTAATTATATTTATATTTTTATAATTATTTAACATTAATTTTATAATGCAATATATGATGTTTTGCTCATATATGACAATTATAAATTGTAATTTATAACATAAAATCATACTTTATATTAAGTAATGTATTTTCTTAATTTTTAAGATTCTTTAGGAGCATCAAGATATTTGCAAATAATGACAGTTTTATTCTTTCCTTCCAAGTTGTATGCCTTTTTTTCTTTTTCTTGTTTTATGGCATTAAGACCTCCTATACCAAATTGAATTAAAATGGTAAAAGCAGACATCTTTACCTTTCTCCTGTCTTGGGTGCAAAGCTTTCAGTTTTTGCCACTAGATGTAATATTAGCTATAGGTGTTTTGTAGATGTCCTTTTTCAGGTTGAGGAAGTTCCCTTCTATTCCTAGTTAGCTGACAGTTTTTACCATGAAGGGTGTTGAGTTTTGTCAAATACTTTCTCTGTATATCTTAAGGTAATCACATGAGTTTTGAAATCTATTAACCTGGTAAACTACGCTGGTTGATTGTCAAACATCAAACAAACCTTGCATTCCTGGA
The DNA here is from genome assembly GCF_000001405.40 of Homo sapiens. Taxonomy (NCBI): domain Eukaryota; kingdom Metazoa; phylum Chordata; class Mammalia; order Primates; family Hominidae; genus Homo; species Homo sapiens. The sequence goes on from NC_000009.12 coordinate 78,156,506, forward strand.
ATAAACCTCATTTGGTAATGAACTATTATTTTTTCTTTTTTTGATTTAGTTTGCTGATATTTTGTTAGGGAATGATCATGAGGAATATTAAACTGTAGTTTTCTTTTCTAGTCATATTGCAGTCTAGTTTTGATAACAGGGTGATGCTAGCCTGATAAAATGAGTTGAGAAGTGTGCCTTCTATTTTTTGGAATAGTTAGTGTAGGGTTGGTGAAATTTTTAATGAAAATATTAGGTAGAATTTACCAGCAAAGCAATTTGGGGCTAAAGTTTTCTTTGTATGAAGGTTTTTAAACTATAAATTTAATACCTTTAATTAATATTGGGCTACTGAAATTATTCTTTTTTTCTTGAGTGAGCTTTAGTAGTTGTGTGTTTCAAATGATTTGTACATTTCATCTAAGATATTGAATTTATTGGCATAAAATTATTCATGATATTCCTTTAATATAATTGTAAGGTTGTTGGCATCTGTAGTGATGTCCCCTTTCTCATCTACGATATTGAACAATTGTGGTTTCTCTCTTTTTGATTAGTCTGGCTAGATGTTTATTTCACTGATATTTTCAAGGAATCAACTTTTGCTTTAGTTCAATTTTTCTATTATTTTTCTGTCTTCTAGTTCATTTGGTTTTTTCCCTTTATTATTTTTTAACCTTCTTTCTTCAGGTTTAATTTGCTCTTCTTTCTCTAGTTTCTTTAAGTAGAGGCTTAAATAATTGATGTTAACCTTGTTTTCTATTCTAATATCAATAGTTCATGCTAAAATTTTCCTTTAACAGGGTTTTAACTGTATTGCATACATTTTGGTAGGTTGTGTCTGTTAATATTCAGTTCAGAATATTTGCTAGTTTCCCTTGTGATTTCTTCTTTGAACCACAGGTTAGTAAAAGGGTGTTGTTTTATTTCCAGATAATTTTAAAGCTATCATTCTTTCATTGATTTCTAGTTTAGTGCTTTGTAGTCAGAGAATCTGCATTGTATGGTATCAGTCTTTAAAAAAATTTTAAGCCTGTGTCATGGCCCAGGAAATGTTATTTCCTGATGAATGTTCCATCTGATTTGAAAATAATACATATTCTCCTGTCATTGAGTAGAATAGTCTATGAATGTCAATTAGGTCAAGTTGTTAACAGTGTTCTCCTATAGCCTTTTTGATATTTTGCTTGTTTTATTACTTAATTATGAAAATATCCAACAGAATTGTGGATTTGTTTATTTTTCTTTCAGGTCTGTCAGTTTCTTGTTCACATCGTTTAAGGCTCTAACTGTAGGTGCATAGTCATTAATATTACTAAGTGTTTATGTTGATTAGATCCCTTTATCATTATAAAATGTTCCTTCCTATCCCCAGAATTATCTTTGTCGGAAATGTACTTTCATATTAATATAGCCTCTCCAAATTTCTTTTCATTAGTGTTTATATGGTTAACCTTTGGCAAATTTTTGCCTTTAACTTATTTGTATATTTATACTTAAAGTAGTTTTTATGTAGATATCTATGATTGGATATTACTTTTTTATGGGGTGTAAAATCTCTGATTTGCAACTGAAGTTTTAAAATCATTTACATTTGATTATATGATTGCATCGAAATCTACCATCTTGTTATTTGTGTTCTCTTTGAATATGTTCCTTATTTCTTCCCTCTTTTCCAGCCTTCTCTTGGCAGCACATTTTTGTTTAGTATTTTTATGATTCCACTTTATTTCCACTATTGCATTATTAAACATAACATTTTGTTTTATGTTTTTAGGTTTGTTCTAGGGTTTACGATAAAATATTTATCTTGTCACATTTTACCTTCAAATATCATACAACTTCCTGCATATAGCAAGAGCCTCACAAATGGCAGTGAATTATCTCAGCTTTTGTTTTTCTGAAACTTTCTTTATTTTGTTTTCATTTTGGAAAGATATTTTCACTGGTTATAGAATCTCAGTTGACAGTGTTTTACTTTCTTTTAAATATGTTGCTACAGCGTTTCCTGGCTTGCAAAACATATGAGGAAATATCTGAGGTCATTCTTATCTTTGATCCTTGGTACATACAGAGTCTTTTTTTTTCTAAAGCAGCTTTTTGGATTTTTTTCTTTATCATTTGTTTTCAGCAATTTGATTCTGGTGTGCCTCAGGGTAGTTTTCTTTATTCTGTTTGCTATCCACTGATTTTATTAAAATTATAGTTTTTAGTTTTCATAGTTTGGAAATATTTTGACTAAAGTTTCTTTCAATATTTTTTCTTCCTTTTCCATTCCTCTTCTTTTTGGAATCCAATTATATATATATATATTCATCTTTTTTATATTTTCCAGGGCTCACTGATGCTCTGTGCATTTTTTTCCTGGTACTTTTTTCTTCTCTGTACTCTCTGTGCTCCAAAAAACTTGCTTGCATTCAAGTTCACTGATTTTATTTTCTTCTGCAATGTCTATAATCCGTTAATTTTATCTAATATAGTTTTCAATGTGATTTTTTATTTGATCTTATTTATAGTTGTTTCATTTATTTATTTATTTTTTTTGAGACGGAGTTTCACTTTTGTTGCCCAAGCTAGAATGTAATGGCATGATCTCGGCTCACTGCAACCTCTGCCTCCTGGGTTCAAGTGATTCTCCTGCCTCAGTCTCCTGAGTAACTGGATTACAGGTATGCGCCACCATGCCCAGCTAATTTTGTATTTTTAGTAGAGATGGGGTTTCTCTATGTTTTTCAGGCTAGTCTTGAACTCCAGACCTCAGATGATCCACCCACCTCAGCCTCCCAAAGGGCTGGGATTACAGGTGTGAGCCACCATGCCCGGCCTCATGTTTTTTTTAGTATTATCAATTTGTCTCCTAATCATGTTTTTGTGTTACCTTTTTTAACATTGATCATTTATAATAGCTATTTTAATCTTCTACTCTGTTGATTATATTATCTCTACCATTTATGGGTCTATTTTTAGTAAATAATTTTTCTCACAGGTCCCATTTTTGGGCTTCCTTATATGTCTAGTAATTTTGATTGGATGCTGGACATGGTAAATTTTATATTGTTAAGGCTGAATGTTGTATTCCTTTAAAAATGTTGAATATTTTCTTGCTGATAGGTTATTGGCAGTTTGGCTTGAACTTTTTGAGGTTGTTTTAAGATCCACTCTTTCAGAGTGGGTCTAGAAGAGCCTTCTTCTGGAAATAATTTTTTTCATCCCATTTCTGAGGTGCATCTGAGTGGTACTAAATGTACTCAGCAGTGTCTCTCCAGTTTGGTTGTAAAAAACACTAATAATTTATGTGTGAGTCTGGGGATTGTTCATCTAACAGCTCCCCAGTAATTGTTTCTTCCTCCAGAGTTGTTCTTTCCCAGCTCCATGGGCTCTCATCATATACTTCTGCAGATAAATATTTTATCAAAATGTGAGGAAACATCTATGTGAATTTATAGAGTTTATTCTCTGTGTATATCTGTCCTCTTGGGTACTCTGTTCAACAAATTCTAGTTGCCTGAAATATAATCTCTGTCTCCTTAATTTCTGAAGATTGCCAAACTCTTTCTGTGTCACAGTTCAAGACCTATCCCAGGAGAGAAAAAACCTAGGCAATGGTAGGGTTCACTTCTTTTATTTCTCTTTTTTCAGGAGTCAAAATTCATTGCTACTTTTGTTTAATGTCTGAATATAGATATTTCCTAAATTTCATTCATCTTTCTAGTTGTTTGTGACGAAAGGTTAATTGCAGACTCTTAGTGCCTCGTGGCTGGAAGAAAAAATGAGCAGGATATTCTAATAACTAGTAAAAACTCCTAACCTAAGAAGTTTAGCTACTGCAATTATGTACTAATCTATGTCTCACCTTCCTGGAATTCAAGCATTATAAGGGACATAACTTCTGTACATATTCTTTTTTTTTTTTTTTTTGAGACAGAGTCTCGCTGTGTCACCCAGGCTGGAGTGCAGTGGTGAGATCTCGGCTCATTGCAAGCTCCGCCTCCTGGGTTCATGCCATTCTCCTGCCTCAGCCTCCCGAGTAGCTGCGACTACAGGTGGCCGCCACCATACCCGGCTAATTTTTTGTATTTTTAGTAGAGACGGGGTTTCACCGTGTTAGCCAGGGTGGTCTTGATCTCCTGACTTCGTGATCCGCCTGCCTCAGCCTCCCAAAGTGCTGGGATTACAGGCGTGAGCCACCGCGCCCGGCCACATATTCTTTTAAACTATAAACTCACAATTGGCTTTCTATACCATCAAGTACATTTAAGAACTTTCTTTTGCATTAAAAACATTCCAGATTAGAGAGAAAAAAAATTATTTATAGAATCCCTTATTCTCTGGGCTTTTATCTTTTTTTCTATATTTTTAAAACTACTTTTTTACAGTCTTAAGGGATACGCATGATTATTTCTCAGCTTTCCCGTCCTTCATCCTGATACTCTTCACATTGATAGTACTCAGAATTCTATCATTCTACTTCACGATAATTTTTTCCTTGTTCTTAAGAATTAGGTCCAAGTTAGTCTTTGCCCTCACTTCTTCCACAGCACACTTTGAAAGAAAGTGATCATCAGGGCAGAATTTACCAGTGCTCTGTTTTTAGAAGAATGGGACATTGAGCAGACATCTATCTGCTCGTGAGAAGCTCCCCATCCTTTTTATATCTTGTCTCTAGTCCAATTTTGTCATCTGCATGAGGGAAGCATTTTTGAGGCAGTTTGTAAAATATATTCTCTTATAACATTCACCCTATTTGTCTCTTTATTTAATTTCATCCAAATGGCTTCTGAATTCATTTTACTGATGTTTACTGATGGAATAGACATATGTAAATAGCTTTAGTATAGAATAAAGCTCTTTCTAGATAGTAATGTGTCATCATTGAAGACATAGTTGAATAATGATTATCTGTTATTTTCCTCAGAACCCTTGCCTTTTATTATATTACGTGGCAAGAGTAAGGCAGCAAAATATAGACAACAGTGCCAACAGCCATCACCCCGTTGATTAGGAGGAAAAAGTCTCAGGCTTTACGAAAGATGGTTTGTTAATGTAAATGGAGGAAAACAGGAGTGGAAGCAGTTGTTTTTGGGCATCTGGTAAATATAAACAGGGCCCATGCTTCTATTGTTGATTAGAATTTTGAAAGTCTTAATGATTTGAAAGCTGCATTAGATTTTCCATGACCGTAATTTTATATCAGACACATATTGACTCCTTCTGGGGATGTATATAAAGTTTATAGAAAAGGAATGTGTACATCTGTATTAAAAAGTATCTGGTTGTGTGTGTCCTATATATCAAATGTGAAAGGACCAAATGCTGACAGGCAGATTGGAAGACTGGGGTACAGAAAGCAGTCAGAGCAGAAAACTAAAGTGGGTACAAAAATACGGAGTTTTTTTTTTTTTAAAAAGCACATAAGACCAGCAACCTTTACACCTCTTGCCACACACACATAATCAATACTGATATTTAAGCATCCTAGGTGCTAATTTGGATATTTTAAAAGCCAAACAGGGCCTTTAGTCTGTCTTTCGATTTTTTTTGCTCAAACTCAGAAATATGTTCAATATATGGAAAGCTCTCCATGTGTTTGAGCAAAGTAGTGAAATTAGTAGCTTTCGCCATTCCTATATCATTAAGGACATGTTCATGATTGATTTTAATTACTGAGTGTGAGGTTTTTTTCTTAGATAAGAGATCATTTTTTTCCCTAATGCTTAATGAACTGAAATTCATTTCTCCCTCTTCAAGGAACGTGAACATTATCTCCATGATACTATATAACAGATGTGAGATTATTATTTGATATTCTGTAACTCAGTGGCTATATTCAAATGATTTGGTAGCATTTCCCAGACCATTGTGCATATGTAAAACACACACACACACACACACACAGAGAAGAACACCATGGCTTATTAGAGACTAGACTAGCTATATACTTGAAATAAGAATGAATTTTATAAACATCATCCTAGTGTTCAAAAAGTATTGACATATTATCTTGGGAAATGCTTATGATAAATGATACATTTTAAAAGCAGGACACTAAATTGTATTCCTCAATATGATTAAAACTGTGTAAACCAAACTCAAAAGCATATGGAATATTAGACGAGACTTCAGTTAAATATTATAAACTGAATGCGAGCATTTTCCTATGCTGCCTCCTGAACCCAGAGTACAATAACAATAAAATAGTTGTTTTAAAACAAACAAACAATAAACCAAGAAGTCAAAGAAAATGTGGTTATAGATGCTAGAAGATGAGAGGCTTCATTTAAATTTTAGATTCTGGAAAGCAGATACACAAGGGTAACTGAATTGAAAAACCAGAGAAAGCTGAGGAAATAAGGGAGAAATAAGAAGGAGGCCAGTTCATGCCTCCACACTCTATAAAAGACTGAGGAATTGACAAAGCTGATCATCTTTGATGGCAGAGGTTCAGAATTGCTTAAAAGTCTATTTTAAAAACATTTAGACCCTTTATGTATCCTTGCTACCTTCACAGTCAGGAGACAATCCCTAGTAAAAGACAAGATTTATTGAGAAGGAAGTTAAACTAGGGGAAGTCAAGGTATTCAGATAATTTATTGAATGGGTCATAGTAGAAAAAGAGAGCTGTTAAGTGACTGAAAGATCACTCCTGTTTTATTTTCTTCTACTTATCTCCAAGAACACAGTTTGTCAGATCATATACTTTTTTAAGACTGAAGGCTGAATTCCTCTCTATTCTGGCTTATGAAAAAAGGCCTAAGATATTGACAAGTGGAGATTCCCTCACAGAACAGCCAGGCTGTCTTCTAGGAAAGCCCATCACCCACTTTCACAAAAAGCTTCCAGTCAGCTTTTGAGACCTTCACATATTAACATGTTTGGAAAGCCAAGAATCACCAGCCATTTGACAACAACCCCTGCAGTTAAGCATAGAGACCAGATCAAATGGGAATAAAAAGAAACACCAAAAGTAGTCAATACCAAAACCAGAAGAAGACTCCAAATCATTAACATCCTCAGAGATATGAGAAAAGTTATTACATTCAAAAGTGGGTCAGGTTGCTGTACTGAATTTAAAGATATAATAGCTGATATGTAAAAGTCAATAGAATGGCTGCAGAATAAGTGAGGATATCTTCTAGAAATTAGAACAGAAAGACAATGAGATGGAAATGAAGAGAAAAGATAAGAAAATTAGAAGATCAGACAGGAAGATCAGACATTTACATCTAACAGAAATTCTAGAAAGAGAGAACAGAGAAAGTAAAGAGGAGAAAATTATTAAGGAATTATCCAAATAAGAATTTCCAGAACTGAAGGATAGAAATTCAGAGGGAAAGGGCCCAGCATAATAGATGAAAAATATGTTCCACACCAAAAGATATCATCACGAAGTTTTAGATTATCAGGGGTAGAACTACAATTCTAAAAGCTTTCAGAGAGAAAAATCAGGTCCATACATACAAATGGGAATTAGAAGGCAGCTAGAAAACGATGAAACTATGGCTTCAAAAATCTAAGGGAAGTGACTTTTCAACCTAGAATTTTATACCCATCCCAAATAGCAATTGAAAGGAGACCAGAGAGTCTAGATTGGATGTGGAGGACAAAGGGCTTCAGGAAGGGTGACTCCAAAAAACAACAAAATAAGGAAAAGAAAAGAGTAAAGGAAAAAAAGCAGATAGATTTTCCTGATGTAATTAATTAAATTCAGATTTTGCTTCTTTCAGATAATTTGAGAATAAATTTTTAATAACAACATAGAACATGAAGCAAGCAGAAGATCAAGGAAAATATTTACACTGTGTAATACGAAAAGTTGTACAATAAAGAAAATGTAATCAAAGTTAATTTCATGGCTCAGTTGTGAATATTATTTGTACAGTCATAATATACTTATGGAATATATGTATTGAGTTGTGATATAATTCTGTGGGGATAATTGAGGGAGGAGAAGTGCATATTTGGGAGGCAAGGGGCAGGAAAGAAACAAAGGTGTGAACTTTCGTCTTCCGTAGGAGAAAGTCAACAGATAATATCTAACCTTTTTTTTTAAATAGAAGACAAAAAGTTAAATTTAGAATAATTGCACCTGGGGAACAAAAATTGGGAAGTAGAAGTGTGGGGAATAGATGGCCGTTTTTATAAACATTATAGAGGTTTTATTTTATTAAAAAAGTAAACAGTCTTTTATAAAAAATAAAAATAAAATTCTGGACAAATTCAGTGTCTTCATATCATGTAAGAAATGGATGATTATTTTTCTTTCTAATTACAAAGTTTCTATAACTTACATGAATACATTTTTAAGAGGAAAAATAACATACTTCAACCTTTTAAGCGACTGTATTTTACTTATCTGGGCAAAAAGTATATCTTTAAACTGTTCACTAAACAAACTAATTTAAAGTATTAATAATGGGACATACCACATGCTAATGAATATAAGAACATAATATATATAAGGTGAAAACTCCTATTTTTAAACCATTGAAACAACATGAATATGGAAATGAACTATTCACAGTTAGCCAAACACAGTGCTTTTACATCTTTTTTTTTAAATTATTATACTTGAAGTTCTAGGGTACAAGTGCACAACGTGCAGGTTTGATACATAGGTATACATGAGCCATGTTGGTTTGCTGCACCCATCAACTCGTCATTTACATCAGGTATTTCTCCTAATGTTATTCCTCCCCCAGCTTCCCACTCCCTGACAGGTCCCGGTGTGTGATGTTCCCCGCCCCGTGTCCAAGTGTTCTCATTGTTCAATTCCCACCTATGAGTGAGAACATGCGGTGTTTGGTTTTCTGTCTTTGTGATAGTTTGCTAAGAATGATGGTTTCCAGCTTCATTCATGTCCCTGCAGAGGACATGAACTCATCTTTTTTATGGCTGCATAGTATTCCAGTGCTTTTACATCTTAGCTTGGACCTATACAAAAACTTTCAAAAGCTCCTTCAACTTTCAAAACGCCATTAAGGGATGTGAGGGCAATCTGGCTGTGACATCTGTCACCTCATTGATTGGCAGGGTTGATTCAGCTGATCTGGCTAGCTAGGTGGGTGTCCCCTTTCTACCTCACTGCTCCAGGTGCATCCTAACCAAAGCCCTGGGATTGATCAGATCCTTCCTCCATAGAAGAGGACTGTTCTTCTGTCAAGGGTGTACAAGTAGCTGTACTCCCTTGCTAGAACCTCCAAACAAGCTCTTAAAACATCATTAAGCTTAAGAATATTTATTTATTTATGAGATGGAGTCTCACTCTGTCACCCAGTCTGGAGTGCAGCGGCATGATCTTGGCTCACTGCAACCTCCGATTCCTGGGTTCAAGTGATTCTCCTGCCTCAGCCTCCCGAGCAGCTGGGATTACCGGTGTGTGCCACAATGCCCAGCTGATTTTTTGTTTGTTGGTATTTTTAGTAGAGACAGGGTTTCACCATGTTGGCCAGGCTGGTCTCAAACTCCTGACCTCAAGTGATCTGCCCGTCTCAGCCTCCCAAAATGCTGGGATTACAGGCATGAGCCACCGTGCCCAGCCTGGATTAGGAAAATTTAAAGGGAAAATAATCAAAGCCTAACCAGCTTTGAGATCATTCATATTTACCTCCGCTATCTTTTATCAATGCATAAACTCACGGTTTTACTTAGTCATATTCTGTGTATACCTGTGTAATCTGGTTGTCGTTGTTGTTGTTGTTGTTTTTTCCTAGAAGAGGTCTTGCTAACTGTAGAATTGGTATGAGGTGTAAAGTCCCAGAAAGGGAAAGTGGCAAAAATGCTCTATTTCCCTGAAGCTTCCATTTCCTCATCTATAAAATAAATCCAGTAGCTCTCTTAAAGGAGTAATTGAAATAATATATTTAAATCACCTACTACAGTGCCTGACTTAGAGTAAGCATGTAGTAGGTACTTTTCCTCCCCTTATCACACTTTCATACTTTTTTAAAGCATTGAGAATCATCCTTTGCATAGGATAGATAGTGAGCAGATAACTGTGACATAAAAATGTCATACTGTTGAAGCATGTTATTAATCTGATCTTTAGTTTTCTTTTACTCAAGCTAAGAAATTTCAGATGCTTATAAAAGATTTTATAAAGGACTTAATATTTCTGGATATATTTATCTCTGGATTCTCTCCTCCAAGTTATCTGCTCTTTGTGCTCATGATGCCCCTTAGTGGGAAGAGACTGCTTTTTACCACAGATGGAAGATGCCAAATATTGTTTCCCAGCATCCCTTGCTGTCAGAGAATGGGCAAGTGACCCAATTCTGGCTAATGAGAACTGAGAGGAATGTGGTAGGAAAGCTTCTAGGAACGATTTTCTTCTTCAATAACGTAGAAGGTCTCCCCTTCTTCCTGCTTTTTTCCCTGACAAAAGCATGAGGCTTGGAACTACAACAGCTATCTTGAGGCCATGAGGACAGGCCAAAAGAATAGCAGAGAAGCTGAAGCTAGTGCTACTTACCTGCACATTCTGGTTATGTAAGAATAAACCTCTATGATTTAAGCCATTTTAGTCAGATGTTCTGTACCTTGAAGCCATAGAAACTTTTCAGTATATCCGTGGTAAGCTTATAGTGTACAGCCTTGTAATAAACACAGCAATCTAATAATCAATGCTAGTAAAATGGGAATATTAATGCCCACTTTTCTATTTTGTTTTTATTTACCAGCTAATCAAGAAATTTTCTTTCTGGTTAAGCTAAATATCATATTACCCATTCTCTGTATTGAGTTGGGTGACAGTGGTTGCCTTCCAAATTTGAGACACTTTTATTTGTCTGATTTAAAACAGAAACCTATTATTGTTCAAAAAAACAAAAAAGAAAAGAAAAAGAAAAAAGTCATACAATTCAGAAAGTTTTACAAACAAAAGAAGCAAAACTCCTTCTTAGTTCTACTTCTTAGAGAAAACAATAGTTAACATTTTGCTGTGTTTCCTTCTGGAGTCTTTGTATCTGCATTGGCTTTAGTTATTGTTGCTACTTACTTATGTTATGGCAGGATCAGATTACTCCAGAGAAAACACTAGTGTTGCCAGGTGGCTGTTGGAATCCTGAAGTTCTTCTATTGACATAGTCTGAGGTGCCACAGCCTGTTAGCATACCGGGAAGCCCTACCCCGGTGATCTGACATGGAATCTGTCCAGCCCACTTTGGAGAAGTAATCAGGCTTATACTTGATGCACTGTTTTTTTGTTTTTTTGTTTTTTCTTTCCTCACTCTTTTCAAATCTATTCTCAATACTCAAGAGAGCAGTGTTCACCAGGGATCTGGAAGTTCCCACTGAAAAGGATATTTATTTATTTATTTATTTATTTATTGACAGAGTCTTGCTCTATTCCCCAGGCTGGAGTGCAGTGGCGTGATCTCAGCACACTGCAACCTCTGCCTTCCAGGTTCAAGTGATTCTCCTGCCTCAGCCTCCTGAGTAGCTGGGATTACAGGCACCCACCACCACTCCTGGCTAATTTTTTGTATTTTTAGTAGAGACAGGGTTTTGTCATGTTGGCCAGGCTGGTGTCAAATTCCTGACCTCAGGTTATCTGCCCACCTTGGCCTCCCAAAGTGCTGGGATTACAGGTGTGAGCCACCGCACCCAGCCGATGCTGAACATTTTATAGAGATCTTTAAAAGATAAATATTACAGGACTTGCTAATATATTGGTATCCAAATATATATATTACATCCAAATATTGGTGTCTGCAAGCAGGTAGATGGTATATGAGGAGACACTAGGCTATGTCCCAGTAACAAATGACTCCTGGCATGGACTGAATTGTGGTCCCCCATCCAGCATCCAAATTCGCAAGTAGAAGTCCTAACTTCCAGCTTCCTGGGATCATAGTGGAAAAGTGTGGGAAGATGGAGCTCAGTGGAAATCAGATCAAAAACATAAAGTGCAAAGAAATATGGGGAAAAGCGTTTAAGGGATCCCATCACATTGGACTAAGTCCTGCGATGAAGATTTTATGAGACATATTTGTCTACATAATAGCCCCCTCCCCCTTTTTTCTATTAACACCAAACAGAGTTCCAAAGAATGTACTTTGGGAAACATTCCTGTTGACAAAGTAAAGACTGTGCATTAAAGAAAGTCCACAGTAATATCTTCCATCTGTACTTAAAACCACAGAATTTTGAGGACTGCTTGAGAGCAAGTAAATAATCTTGTGTAGGGGTTTTCAAACTTTATTTCATACCAAATGTTACATAGAACACTAATATAAAAAACAAAAGTCCAGACACGGTGGCTCATGTCTGTAATCCCAGCACTTTGGGAGGCCAAGTGGGGGACGGATCGCTTGAGGTCAGGAGTTTGAGACCAGGCTGGCCAACATTGTGAAACCCCGTCTCTACTAAAAATCCAAAAACTAGCTGGGAGTTGTGGTGGGCGCCTGTAATCCCAGCTACTCGGGAGGCTGAGGCAAAAGAATCACTTGAACTCAGGAGGTGGAGGTTGCAGTGAGCCGAGATTGAGCCACTGCACTTCAGCCTGGATGACAGAATGAGACTCTGTCCGAAACAAAACAAAACAAAACAAAAAAACAAAGACAGGCAGAGCTGTTCTGGTTTCACCAGGCCTGAGATTAGTGCCCCATCTTCATTAGTACTTCTAACGTACATCTCCCACAGTCACCCCCGAGAAGCCTACGAATTAGAGAAACATTACCTAAAAAACCACAATCTAAGACAAGCTCCTTGTTCTTGGATGGGAAGATGACAGCATAGAGAGTTAGACAACTAATGGCACAGCTGGGTCTACAGTACAGGTCTCCAGCCCCAGCAAGCAGAGCGTATTTTCTATTGTATTATGTGGCCCGTGTCCTCGTCCTTCCCTGGCTTGTGTATCTCCCTATGATTGCTGTGTTTCTCTGTTGATTCCTAATGTCACAGCATCGGTGAACATAATGAATTCTGTTCTTCTCAAGAATCTCCCTGGGAGTAAGTGTTACCCAGAGAAGCATTTAGCTATTACTGGTGCACTAAATAATAGTATCCCAAATGGCATGAACAAGTTAATGTTTCTACCCAAGTGTCAAACATACTGAAAAAAAGTGATTTGGCTACATGGCAGATTCTGCCTCATAGATTAACAGCCTTTTCAAAAAGCTGGTTTATTGCAACTTCAGAATAACATAAAAATGATTTTGAGAACAAAATTCGCAGCAGATTCAACTTTTGAAGATTTGGATACGCACGGGCACAGGCAGCACATTTTTGCCCACTGACCCTGCTAAAAGGTTTCAGAAGCATTTATGCAAATATCAAAGAAGTACTAACAACATCCAAGCCTGTGCAGGTCGCTTGGCTAAGCCCTCATCTACTTTATCAATGTGCCCTTGGGAATGGTATTACCATAAAAGCCAAAACTTGTATATTAGGTTTTATAAATAATGGAAAACAAGTAAATGGAATAGCAGTGCCAATAGCCAAAAAGTGCATTGCTCACAGCTGCTTGAAAGCTCTCATACTGTAATGCAGGAATTGCCTTAGTAAATGGACCCACTTAATATCAACCAATGTTTTTCTTTTACACACATTTACAGAGGTTTGTTTTGCTTGCTTACAAGAAGGAGGGTCATCTGATTTTATAAAAATAATATCATTCTATGCTTGTTATTTTGTACCAGGCTTTTTTCATTTAAAAAGATCAGAAACAGATCTCTAAATATGAAGCTACCTCATTCTTTTAATAACTGCATAATATCTTGTAGCATGAATCTTTGCCGATTTATGCAATGATTTCTGTATTTGTAGTGAGGTTGTTTTCTTGTTCTGTGACAGCACTGGATATTTGCAGTCCTTACAATCTTTGTTATGAGGAAAAATACCTTGGTGCTTTAATTGGCATTTCCTGATCAACAGCAAGGCCAGCTAACTTCTTCTGTTCCTTGGCCGTTTAGAATTTTCTTGTCTCTAAATTGATTGTGCAAATATTTGTCTATATTTCTATTTAGGCAATTTAATTTTTGTCAATGGGTAAAAACAGTTTGCATATTAGAGATTAGCCACAAGTCTATCTTGTCTTTTAAATTTGTTTATATTTTCCTCTATCATCAAGGAGTTTTGAAGTTCAGTATTGTCAAAATTTTCAATCTTTTCTCTTTTGTTTCTGTATTTTATTTAGAAATCTCTTCTGATCCAGAGACCATAAAGATTTTTTTCTAAAAGTCTTTGAAATTTTGTTTTATCACATTTTACATCTTTGATCCCTCTGGCATTTATATTTTTAGATGGTATGAGGTAGGGATCTGGCATTATTTCGTTACATGAGAAAACCAATTTTCCTTTCATCTCAATTCTTTTCCATCTTTAAAGGGTTTTCCTCAAATGCATCTTCTTAGCTGGGTTGCAGGCATATCTATATTATAGTTCACAGGAAGAAGAAAAGGAAACTACCAAGGTAAAAGATTTTATTTTAACTAAGTAAAGCCAATGTTGCACACACCACTTCCATTCACATTACAATGGCCAGAACTTAATGACAAGGCCATAGAAAACAATAAAATATGGTAGGAAAATAACCGTTAGCTAAGCAGCCATGTGCCAAGGAAAAGGTAAGATTGGATTTCAGTAAACAGCCAGAAGTCTCCACCGATATTCATTTCTCCCATCTTTAATAATAGAAGCAAGTTTTATTTAAGAGAGCAATACCTTTAACTGAAATTTTAAAAAGCTCTCTTGCTGCTTGCTATGGTCATGTAATTATATGTAGACTATATGTAGACATTGATAGGAGAGATTTCTGGGACAGATGCTTCAAATATGTGTAGATGTCTTGGTATACCATTTTGTCCCTCCCACTCCATTTCTTCCAGTTACCAGGCATGTGTACACTATTGCTGGTGTTCCAGCAAGTATCTTGGGAACATGAGAATATTGAGAATGAAAATCAAGCACTCAGGAACTATAACACATAAAATGATAACTGTTGTAAAACAAAACAGTTTCATGAGCTTGAGGTGGGCAAAAACTACGATTTATAAATGAAAATATTGATGATTGGACCTATTAAATTTAAGAACTTCTGTTCATCCAAAGACACTGTTAAGAGTAAAAAGCAACTAATATACAAAATATGTAAGAAACTCAATTCAATAGCAAGAAAACAAATAACCCAGTAAAAAAATGGGCAAAACACCTGAATAGACATTTCTCAAAAGAAGACATACAAATAGCCAACAAATATATGAAACATGCTCAACTTCATTAATCACTAGAGAAATGCAATTTAAATCCATAATGAGGTATAACCTCACACCTGTTAGAATGAATGGCTATCATAAAAAAGATGAAAGATAATAAGTGTTAGCAAGGATGTGGAGAAAAGGGAACCCTGGTACACTGCTGGTGAGAATGTAAATTAGTGCAGCCATTTTGGAAAACAGCATGAGCGTTCTTAAAAAAACTAGCAATAGAATTACCATGTGATCCAGCAATCCCACTTCTGGGTATATAGTAAAAGGAACTGAAATTAGAATGTCAAAGAGATATCTGCAGTTCCATGTTCTCTGCAGCATTATTCACAATAGCCAAGATGTGGAAGCAATCTAAATACCCATCAACAGATGAATATATAAAGATAATATGATATATACACATAATGTAATACTATTCAGCCTTAAAAAGAAGAAATTTTGTCATTTGCAAGCACATATGAACCTAGAGGAAATTATGATAAGTGAAATAATCCAGGCACAGAAAGACAAATACTTGGTCTTATTTTCATGGGGAATCTAAAAAAAGTCAAATTCATAGAAGCAGAGAGTAGAATGGTGGTCACCAGAGACTGGGGGTGAAGATGGGGAAAGGAGAGAGGTTGGTTAAAGAGTGCAAAGTTTCAGTTACACCGAAGGAATAAATTTTAGTGATCTATTATGCAGCATGGTGACTAGAGTTAATAATAATGTGTCATATATTTCAAAATTGCTAGAAGAGTAGATTTTAAATGTTCTCACCACACAAAAAAATAGTAAGCTGGTGAGGTGACGGATGTGTTAATTAGCCTGATTTAATCATATCACAATATATTCATATGTAAACATCATATTATACCCCATTATATCTATCTATCTATCTA
The DNA here is from genome assembly GCF_000001405.40 of Homo sapiens. Classification (NCBI taxonomy): domain Eukaryota; kingdom Metazoa; phylum Chordata; class Mammalia; order Primates; family Hominidae; genus Homo; species Homo sapiens. The sequence continues at coordinate 78,172,572 of NC_000009.12, forward strand.
TCTATCTATCATTACTATTTGTCAAGTAAACAAAATAAATAAATAAATAAGTAAAATGTTTTTAAAAAGAGTAAAAATAAACTGTTTTCTCTGCTTACATGTTGGTGATGGCCATGACGCCCACGCTGAAGGTTGTGGGTTCACCGGAATGAGGGCAAGGAACACCTGGCCCAGCCAGGGCGGAAAACTGCTTAAAGGCGTTCCTAAACCACAAACAATAGCATGAGTGATCTGTGCCTTAAGGACATGTTCCTGCTGCAGATAACTAGCCAGATCCATCCCTTTATTTCAGCCCATCCCTTTGTTTCCCTGTAAGGAATACTTTTAGTTAATCTATAATCTATAGAAACAATGCTTATCACTGGCTTACTGTCAATAAATATGTGGGTAAATCTCTGTTCGAGGACCTCAGCTCTGAAGGCTGTGAGACCCCTGATTTCCTACTCCACACCCTATTTTTCTGTGTGTGTCTTTAATTCCTCTAGCGCCACTGGGTTAGGGTCTCCGTGACCGAGCTGTTCTCGGCAATTTCTTCAAACTTTATTGATTTTTGTCCTAGATATGGTTCAAACATTCCTACTTCTTCACATGAGTAGAAATTTTGCATTGTATACTGGATTTCAGCTATTTTCTTGAGTATCTGGATTTTGTTGATTCCTCAACAGGGTTTTGAGCTCTGTTCTGAAAGGCAGGCAATTTACTTGAGAATTAGTTTAATCCTTCCAAGTCATCTTTATAAGATTTGTTTGGGAAAGTCTTAAGTGGTGCTTCCCTCCTTCATGCTAAATTAGCCATCTTCCTAAATTATAGCCTTTCTCAGGCCTCTATTGTGTACTCTGGGTGTTCAGTACATTCTCTCTGCTCGGGGTGGTCAGGACTCAAATGTCCCTGACCCTTTCACTAGCCCTGGAAATTGTTCATCTCACAGCACACTGACAGTCATTCTTTCCCTGGTAATAGTTCTTTCCTGGGCAGGTGCAGTAACCCTGTGCATGACCAGTTCAGTGTCTGGCCTACTATGCAGATTTCTGGATCTTCTTTTCAACACCACTCTCTTCTTCCAGGAAAATTCTGGGCATCTCAGGGTTCTTGAATTATGGCCTCTTTCTCCTCACCTCCTTGAGACTGCTGTGCTCTGTCTGGGCCACCTATCCTCACACCAATATGCAGAATGTGTGTCTGTGCAGAAATCCGGGGTGTTTATGGGTCTCACTGTATTTATTTCCCTTCTCTCAGGGATCACAGTTTTGGAATACCTATTGAAAATGTCTAAAAACAGTCACAATAAATTTTATTTTGTTTTGTTTTTAACCATGAGAGTATAGTTAGGTACCAATGATCTCATCATGGCTGGAAATTTCTCATGTTTCATTGGCAAGAGTCCCTCTCCCACATGAAGTGTATCTTTCCTGAGATCAAGAAACCTTCATTCAACATCTGAACAAAATCAGCATTCTAATGAGATTTTTCAAAAGAAGGCCAGTGGTATGTGGAGTCAGGAAGATACTTGTTGGTGAGGGGGCCATTATATTTTTCATCATAGATAATCCTACTTTATTCTCTGGTTACTTTTAAGGTTTCCCTCTTTTCCCTTTTACTATGATGTAACCATTGAGGAAGTATTTTTATCCTGCTTAGGATTCGTTATTTCTCTCTCATCTGGATATGGATGTATTTAATTAATTATTGAAAATTTCCCACTATTAAATAAGCAAATATTGCCTCATTATTCTCTTTATTTTCTTCCTTTGGAGAGCCTAGATGTGAATTAGACCTTTTCCTTCTATCTGTCGGTTTACGACTGTCTTTCATATTTCTTTTATTTCAGGCTGCATTTTGTGTGAATTCTCAGATCTGTCCTCTGTTTACCTAGTTGTCACTTCAGTTGTGAGTAATCAGATGTTTAAGCTGCCCAACAAGTTTATAACTTCAACACCTCACATTTTTCATTTCTGTAAGTATTATTTGGTTCTTTTCAAACTTGCCGGTTCTTTCCCCCCAACCCCGCCCCTATTATCCTCTTTTTCCTGGTATAATTTATCAGTTGGTTTGATCTGGGCTTTAAGTAATAAAAGACCAAGTGCAAATTATTTAAACCATAAGTTTACTCCACACAATAAAAACTTCAAAGATAGGGCAGCTCCAGAGTAGTTAAATTCAGTGGATCAATTATATCATCAAGGACTCAGGGTCTTTCCATCTTTCTGTTCTCCATCCTTAATGTTTGGCTGTGCCTTGGGCCTTTCCTCTCATGGTTCACAAGATAGCTGCAGCAGCAGCTCCAAGCACCTCATCCTCACATAGATTGTCTAGTGGCGGAAAGAGGATATCACTTCAAATGTCCCTGTATATGAACCAAGAAGACTTTTCCATAAACTTCACAGATTTTTCCTCATGTCTTGTTGACTACAATTGTGCCACACACTGTTCTTAAATTATAAGGAGATGGAGTTACCATGACTGATTTACACCAATCACGATCTGTCTCCTCTGACTGGGCAGGAACCCAGGCTCCCCTGAAGCTCTAGCTGCTTTAAAATCTAAACAAAAGTATAATAACGTCTGTGATAAGCCAGAAATTGGGAGAAATAACTGTTTGGTAAGCAATCAATAGTATTTATTATAGCATTTATTCCTTTAGAAAAATCTATATAAATACTAACAAATACTTCTTTTAAAGAATTGTTCAGATTATTTTATTACTTAGGGTCATATTCTTAAGGTCATAATCCTCCTACATTATCTTTTGACTGTCTCAGAGTCAATCACTTCCCCATGAGGCATGTAATTTTCTTATAATGAGCTAGCAATTGTTTTCCCTGGTGGGAATTTTATAAGCACAGAGCCATAAAAGTGGTCTGTGTTTTTATTATGTTTGTTTAAATGTTTACTTCAGCTGAGGTTTCCCTAATCCAAAACCTGTTTTATTTATTTGTTTTTCTGAGATGGAGTTTTGTTCTTGTTGCCCAGGCTGGAGTGCAATGGCATGATCTCCTCTCACTGCAACCCCCGCCTACCGGGTTTAAGTGATTCTCCTGCCTCAGCTTCCCAAGTAGCTGGGACTACAGGCGTGCGCCTCTATGTCTGGCTAATTTTGTATTTTTAGTAGAGGCGGGATTTCACCATGTTGGCCAGGCTGGTCTCAAACTCCTGACCTCAGGTGATCCACCCGCTTCAGCCTCTCAAAGTGCTGGGATTACAGGTGTGATCCACCACACCTGGCCTGAAACCTGTTTTTATACTAACATTTCAACGTAAGGAATGTCATACTAAATGTGTAATATACATTTTTATTCCACCCTATGCATGGTCCAAATGTGGGGCTTTGATTTCTTACAGTAGACATGTTTAATTTCTACCTGGAGGCTCATAGGGTCAAGTGCTCTTTTGGTCACCCAGAACCAGGTACATAGTTTTTTTCCGTTCTCCTTTTCCAGAAGTGGCAGCCCTTCCAGAATCCTGGTTTTATCTAGAATTATCCTTCTCAACAAGGCTGTTTTCTTGCCCAAATCTAAGGAAATCTGATCCCCATGGGAGCTGTGCTATGGTGGCCATTCACATCATATTGTAGCTCCTCTAGGCTGGTGGGTGCTTGTAGCCTCTAGAAACTGTATTCCATCTGAGCTGTCTGGAGAATTTCCTCTTTGTTTTGAGCTGTTAAGTATTGACATTTTTTTTAACCCATATTTTATCCAGCAGTTCAATGTGCTTGTGATTGAGGGAGAGGGGTCCATATTAGTTCATTTACCATATTAACAAAATGTTTTTAAAGCTTTTTTGAAAAACTTCATTTAATCCACCTAATAATTATTTTTTTCAGATGATAATTGGGGGTGTGGATATTTAGAAAAGCTACTTAGAAAAGTTTTGTCTGTTGATTTTGTATTCTGTGTATCTTGTGGAACAAATAAAAGTTCAATTTTTGGGGGGTTGGTTTTCTGTATAGTCATATTGCCTGCAAATAATAATTTTGTCTCCATTTTCCGATGTGTGTACCTCAAAACAGTTTTCTTTTCTGCTTTATTTCATTGTCTATGATTTTCTATGATGAATAGTAGTAGTGTTAGCAATCAATACGTCTACCTTTACTGGAGGCGATTCTAAGTTGCTTTTTTTTTTTTTTTAATCAAATTGTGATGGGTAGGAGATGCACCGCCCACCCCCTTCCAAGGAATGACTTGCTGCTACAATTCCTTCGGGGTTTTCCTCAACTACAGGGAGCTGCCTCAGCCAAGAGTACACCCTTCCTGCAGTGCTGGGCATCCAATTATTGATCGAGGCAGGGGTATAAAAGCCAGATTTTATAGGTTCAGTGCAGGACACCGCTGATGGGCTCTCTCTCTCTTTCTGCCAAATCCTGCTGCCTTCTCCCTTCCACAGGGAGTGAATCCTAATAAATATCTTGCACATTGAATGCTGTTTCAGCATCTGCTTTCAGATAACGCAGGCTGAAGTTTTCTTTTCCTCCAGGTTGTTTAGAGTTTATAAAACAAAAAAGAATCTCACTGAATTTTATCAAATGTTTACTAGGTGTCTAGTGAGATAATCATAAATTTCACTTCTATTGGTCAAAAATGTAATGAATTATACTGTTAGATTTCCATTCTTAAATTCTTGGTGGAAAATCTACTTATTTAATTAGAAGCATTTTTAAAAATATTCTGCTATACTTTAGTTGCTAGAAAGTTATTAAGAATTCTTGCCTCTCTGTTCATAAGTCATACTATTCTGTAATTTCTGTTTGTTTATTTTAATTCTATTGTCTTTGTGAGCTTTGGTAGCAGGGTTATGCCAGCCTTGCAGGATAATTTGGGGGAACTTTGTATTTTTAATAATGTTCTGAGAGAGCTTACAAACACAGAGGTTACCTGGTTCCTGAATGTTTGTTTGCACTCAGCTATAAAACCATTTATGTCTGGGGTGTTTTATTAGAAAGAGGATGAAGTTTTGATTATCATGAAGGTTTTTGTTTTGTTTTGGTTTTCTTTTCTCTTTTTTTTTTTTTTTTTTGAGACAGAGTTTCGCTCTTGTTGCCCAGGCTGGAGTGCAGTGGCGCAACCTCGGCTCACTGCAACCTCCCTGTCCCCAGTTCAAGTGATTCTCCTGTCTCAGCCTCCGGAGTAGCTGGGACTACAGGCATGTGCCACCATGCTTGGCTAACTTTTTGTATTTAGGAGAGATGTGGTTTCACCATGTTGGCCAAGCTGGTCTTGAACTCCTGACCTCAGGTGATCCACTCACCTTGGTCTCCGCAAGTGCTGGGATTACAGGCATGAGCCACTGTGCCCAGCCTATCTTGAAGTTTTATCTGTGGCCTTTCTTTTGTTTTCCTTGGTGATTAATATTTTTCTAGATAATCATCTGTTTCCTCTAAATTTTAATATTTATTTTCATAAAGCTTAACATATTATTCTTTTTAATTTTTAAATGTTCTTGATTGTATTTATATTCTATTTCCCTTCCTAATGAGTTTATGTGTGTGTCCCTTCTTCCTTTTTTTCTTGATCAATCTTAACGAAGTTTGTCTATTTAGTTTTATTATACTCAAAGAATAAGCATTTAGTTTCCTTTTAAGAACTATTAATTTCCACTGCTCTGTCACCTGCCACCGCTGCCCAAGCCTGAGTGGTTCACTACACCATGAAGACAGATTCCAGATGCCGGCAACTGGTGCTTCCAATCCTAGACGCTATGTCCAGCAAAGACTCCATGGTTCTGGCCTACAGTGGGGCCTGGACACCTCCTGCATCCTCATGTGGCCGAAGGAACAAGGCTATGACATAATTGCCTACCTAGCCAACATTGGCCAGAAGGAAGACTTCGAGGAAGCCAGGAAGAAGGCACTGAAGCTTGGGGCCAAAAAGGTGTTCATTGAGGATGCCAGCAGGGAGTTTGTGGAGGAGTTCATCTGGCCGGCCATCCAGTCCAGGGCACTGTATGAAGACCACTGCCTCCTGGGCACCTCTCTTGCCAGGCCCTGCATTGCCTGCAAACAAATGGAAATTGTCCAGCAGGAGGGGGCCAAGTATGTGTCCCACGGTGCCACGGGAAAGGGGACCGATCAGTTCTGATTTGAACTCACCTGCTACTCACTGGCCCCCCCCCAGATAAAGGTCATTGCTCCCTGGAGGATGCCCGAGTTCTACAACTGGTTCAAGGCCTTCAATGACCTGATGGAAGAATACACAAAAGCAACACGGGATTCCCATCCTGGTCACTTCCAAGAAGCCATGGAGCATGGAACAGAACCTCATGCACATCAGCTGTGAGGCTGGAATCCTGGAGAACCCCAAGAACTAAGTGCCTCCAGGTCTCTACACGAAGACCCAGGACCTGGCCAAAGCCCCCAACACCCCTGATATTCTCGAGTTCCAAAACGGGGTCCCTGTGAAGGTGACCAACGTCAAGGATGGCACCACCCACCAGACCTCCTTGGTACCTTGGTACCTCCTTTTCATGTACCTAAACGAAGTCACGGGCAAGCAGGGTGTAGCCATACTGACATCGTGGAGAACCGCTTCATTGGAATGAAGTCCCAAGGTATCTAGGATACCCCAGCAGGCACCATCCTTTACCACGCTCATTTAGACATCAAGGCCTTCACCATGGACCTGGAAGTGCGCAAAATCAAACAAGGCCTGGGCTTGGAATTTGCTGAGCTGGTGTATACCGGTTTCTGGCACAGACCAGAGTGTGAATTTGTCCGCCACTGCATTGCCAAGTTCCAGGAGCGAGTAGAAGGGAAAGTGCAGGTGTCCGTCCTCAAGGGCCAGGTGTACATCCTCAGCTGGGAGTACGCACTGTCTCTCTACAGCCAGTTGCTGGTGAGCATGAAAGTGCAGGATGATTATGAGCCAATTGATGCCATCAGGTTCATCAACATCAATTCCCTCACGCTGAGGGAATATCATCGTCTCCAGAGCAAGGTCACTGCCAAATAGACCCCTGTACAATGAGGAGTTGGGGTCTCCTCAATTTGCAGATCCCCCAAGTACAGGCGCTAATTGTTGTGATAATTTGTAACTGTGACTTGCTCTCCCCGGCTGGCAGCATAGTGGGGCTGCCAGGCTCCAGCTTTGTTCCCTGGTCCCCCTGAAACCTGCAAACGTCATCATTGAAGGGAAGGGGCGGGGCAGATGGAGTGGGGAGCTATAAAATTACAATTAAAAGGAAAAAAAAGAACTATTAATTTCCTTTTTATTTTATTGATTTCTTCTCATATCTTTATTGATCACTTCCTTTCTTTGTCTTGTTTTCCTTTTATTTTTTAATCATTACTATTTAGTAATAAATGTGTTTCTCTCTGTATCTTTGGCCATATCCTATTGATAGCACATGGGCTTCTGATAATCATTTATTTACAATTAACTGGTAATTGAGCTTTTTAAAATCTGCAAACCATGATTTGCTTAGAAAACTATTTTTAAGTGCCAGTTGTATGTCTGACTTAAACATAGACATATAATACCTTTTAATATTAATTTTTAAGTTATATTTGATTATTGTCAAAGAACGTAACTTAGTATATTTCCCTAGAATCTACTGAGTTTTTTAAATAGCCCAATGTTTGGTCCAGAGTTATATATTTTTCAAGGCTATTCAGAAAACAGCCCAGAGGTCTTTTTTTCTTTTTTAACACCTATTATGCCATGAATTCATAGGGAATAGGTTCCAGCAGCTCATAGCTCCTTCCCATTGGTTCTCACAAAGTGTGCTTCTCTGGGTGGAGCAGGCTGGCGCTTCATTTGAACCCAGGTACCTTCTCTTTGGCTTCTTTCTTTTTCTGATCATTTTCCTTCATGCGTTTCAGGGAGCTCTCTCAGCTCTCAGAGTGCTTAATGTGCTCAATGTGCACATTAATTCTCTCGGCAAGAATCTTGCCCTTAGCTTGTTTGTTTATAACAATGCCAACAGCATGCTGGGGAACATTGTAGACTCTTCCAGTTTAGCCATGGTGACACTTGTGGGGCATTCCTTTTTGAACAGTACCCATTCCCTTGATGTCAACGATATCACCTTTCTCGTAGATTCACATATACATGGCCAAAGAAACAACTCCACATTTTCTAAAAGGCCTAGAGAACATATATCGGGTGCTTCTCCTCTTTCCCTTTGTGTTCGTTGTCAGGCCTCTGAGCCCAAGCTAAGCCATCATATCCCCTGTGACCTGCACATACACATCCAGATGGCTGGTTCCTGCCTTAACAGATGACATTCCACCACAAAAGACATGAAAATGGCCTGTTCCTGCCTTAACTGATGACATTATCTTGTGAAATTCCTTCTCCTGGCTCATCCTGGCTCAAAAGCTCCCTGACTGAGCACCTTGTAACCCCCACTCCTGCCTGCCAGAGAACAACCCTCCTTTGACTGTAATTTTCCTTTACCTACCCAAATTTTATAAAATGGCCCTACCCCTATCTCCCTTCTCTGACTCTTTTCGGACTCAGCCCACCTGCACCCAGGTGATTAAAAAGCTATATTGTTCACACAAAGCCTGTTTGGTAGTCTCTTCACACAGACACACATGAAATTTGGTGCCATGACTCGGATCAGGGGACCTCCCTTGGGAGATCAATCCCCTGTCCTCCTGCTCTTTGTGCCGTGAGAAAGATCCACCTACAACCTCAGGTCCTCAGACCAACCAGCCAAAGAAACATCTCACCAATTTCAAATCTGGTAAGCAGCCTCTTTTTACTCTCTTCTCCAACGTCCCTCACTATCCCTCAACCTCTTTCTCCTTTCAATCTTGGCACCACACTTCTATCTCTCCCTTCTCTTAATTTCAATTACTTTCATTTTCTGGTAGAGACAAAGGAGACATGTTTTATCCGTGGACCCCAAACTCCAGCTCCGGTCATGGACTGGGAAGGCAGCCTTCCCTTGGTGCTTAATCATTGCAGGGGCACCTCTCTGATTATTCACCCAGGTTTCAGAGGTGTCAGACCACGCAGGGACGCCTGCCTTGGTCCTTAGTGGCAAGTCCCACTTTTCTGGGGGAAGGGCAAGAACCCCAAGCCCTTCTCTCCATGTCTCTATCCCTTCTCCACTTTTCTGGGGGAGGGGCAAGAACCCCTCAACCCCTTCTCCTTCACCCTTAGCGGCAAGTCCCACTTTTCTAGGGGAGGGGCAGGAACCCTGACCTCTTATCTGTGTGCCCCGATCCCTTATTTCCACACCCCAACCTCTTATCTCTGTGCCCCAATCCCTTATTTCTGCACCTCTACCCCTTGTCTCTGTGCCCCGATCCCTTATTTCTGCACCCCGACCCCTTATCTCTGTGCCCTGATCCCTTATTTCCATGCCCTGACCCCTTATCTCTGTGCCCCAATTCCTTATTTCCATGCCCCGACCTCTTATGTCTGTGCCCCAACCACTTATTTCTGCACCCCAACCGCTTCTCTGCTTTTCTGGAGGGCAAGAACCCCCCACCCCTTCGTGTCTCTACTGTCTTTTCTCTGGGCTTGCCTCCTTCACTATGGGCAAGCTTCCACTTTCCATTCCTCCTTCTTCTCCCTTAGCCTGTGTTCTTAAGAACTTAAAACCTCTTCAACTCTCACCTGACCTAAAATCTAAGTGTCTTATTTTCTTCTGCAATGCCGCTTGACCCCAATACAAACTTAACAATGGCTGTAAATGGCCAGAAAACGGCACTTTCGATTTCTCCATCCTACAAGACCTAAATAATTTTTGTCAAAAAATGGGCAAATGGTCTGAGGTGCCTTACATCCAGGCATTTTTCACACTTCGTTCCCTCCCTAGTCTCTGTTCCCAGTGCAATTCCTCCCAAATCCTCCTTCTTTCCCTCCCACCTGTCCCCTCAGTCCCAACCCCAAGCGTTGCTGAGTCTTTCTAATCTTCCTTTTCTACAGACCCATTTGACCTCTCCCCTCCTTGCCAGGCCGAGCTAGGTCCCAATTCTTCCTCAGCCTCCGCTCCTCCACCCTATAATCCTTTTATCACCTCCCCTCCTCACACCCAGTCCGGCTTACCGTTTCGTTCCATGACTAGCCCTCCCCCACCTGCCAGCAATTTACTCTTAAAAAGGTGGCTGGAGCTAAAGGCATAGTCAAGGTTAATGCTCCTTTTTCTTTATCCCAAATCAGATAGCATTTAGGCTCTTTTTCATCAAATAAAAAAATCCAGCCCAGTTTATGACTCGTTTGGCAGCAACCCTGAGACGCTTTACAGCCCTAGACCCTAAAAGGTCAAAAGGCCGTCTTATTCTCAATATACATTTTATTACCCAATCTGCTCCCGACATTAAATAAAACTCCAAAAATTAAATTCTGGCCCTCAAACCCCACAATAGGACTTAATTAACCTTGCCTTCAAGGTGTACAATAATAGAGTAGAGGCAGCCAAATAGCAACATATTTCTGAGTTGCAATTCTTTGCCTCCACTGTGAGACAAACCCCAGCCACATCTCCAGCACACAAGAACTTCCAAAAGCCTAAACTGCAGTGCCAGGCATCCTCCAGAACCACCTCCCCCAGGAGCTTGCTACAAGTGCCAGAAATCTGGCCACCAGGCCAAGGAATGCCCACAGCCTGGGATTCCTTCTAAGCCGTGTCCCATCTGTGCGGGACCCCACTGGAAATCGGACTGTTCAACTCACCTGGCAGCCACTCCCAGAGCCCCTGGAACTCTGGCCCAAGGCTCTCTGACTGACTCCTTCCCGGATCTTCTTGGCTTAGCGGCTGAAGACTGACGCTGCCCGATCGCCTCGGAAGCTCCGTAGACCATCATGGACGCCGAGCTTTAGGTAACTCTCACAGTGGAGGGTAAGTCCGTCCCCTTCTTAATCAATACAGAGGCTACCCACTCCACATTACCTTCTTTTCAAGGGCCTGTTTCCCTTGCCTCCATAACTGTTGTGGGTATTGACGGCCAGGCTTCTAAACCTCTTAAAACTCCCCAACTCTGGTGCCAACTTAGACAATACTTTTTTAAGCACTCCTTTTTAGTTATCCCCACCTGCCCAGTTCCCTTATTAGGCTGAGACACTTTAACTAAATTATCTGCTTCCCTGATTACTCCTGGACTACAGCTACATCTCATTGCCACCCTTCTTCCCAATCCAAAGCCTCCTTTGCGTCCTCCTCTTGTATCCCCCCACCTTAACCCACAAGTATAAGATACCTCTACTCCCTCCTTGGTGACCGATCATGCACCTCTTACCATCTCATTAAAACCTAATCACCCTTACCCTGCTCAATGCCAATATCCCATCCCACAGCATGCTTTAAAAGGATTAAAGCCTGTTATCACTCGCCTGTTACAGCATGGCCTTCTAAAACCTATAAACTCTCCTTACAATTCCCCCATTTTACCTGTCCAAAAACCAGACAAGTCTTACAGATTAGTTCAAGATCTGCACCTTATCAACCAAATTGTTTTGCCTATCCACCCCATGGTGCCAAACCCATATACTCTCCTATCCTCAATACCTCCCTCCACAACCCATTATTCTGTTCTGGATCTCAAACATGCTTTCTTTACTATTCCTTTGCACCCTTCATCCCAGCCTCTCTTCGCTTTCACTTGGACTGACCCTGACACCCATCAGGCTCAGCAAATTACCTGGGCTGTACTGCCACAAGTCTTCACAGACAGCCCTCATTACTTCAGTCAAGCCCAAATTTCTCCCTCATCTGTTACCTATCTCGGCATAATTCTCATAAAAACACATGTGCTCTCCCTGCTGATCATGTCCGGCTAATCTCCCAAACCCCAATCCCTTCTACAAAACAACAACTCCTTTCCTTCCTGGGCATGGTTGAATATTTTTGCCTTTGGATACCTGGTTTTGCCATCCTAACAAAACCATTATATAAACTCACAAAAGGAAACCTAGCTGACGCCATAGATCCTAAATCCTTTCCCCACTCCTCTTTCCATTCCTTGAAGACAGCTTTAGAGACTGCCCCCACCCTAGCTCTCCCTGACTCATCCCAACCCTTTTCATTACACACAGCTGAAGCACAGGGCTGTGCAGTCGGAATTCTTACACAAGGACCGGGATCGCGTCCTGTAGCCTTTTTGTCCAAACAACTTGACCTTACTGTTTTAGGCTGGCTATCATGTTTCTATGCAGTGGCTGCTGCCGCCCTAATACTTTTAGAGGCCCTTAAAATCACAAACTATGCTCAACTCACTCTCTACAGCTCTCATAATTTCCAAAATCTATTTTCTTCCGAACACCTGACGCATATACTTTCTGCTCCCCGGCTCCTTCAGCTGTACTCACTCTTTGTTGAGTCTCCCACAATTACCATTGTTCCTGGCCCAGACTTCAATCCGGCCTCCCACATTATTCCTGATACCACACCTGACCCTCATGACTGCATCTCTCTGATCCACCTGACGTTCACCCCATTTCCCCATATTTCCTTCTTCCCTGTTTCTCACCCTGATCACACTTGGTTTATTGATGGCAGTTTCACCAGGCCTAATCGCCACACACCAGCAAAGGCAGGCTATGCTATATAGTACAAGCCACTAGCCCGCCTCTTAGAACCTCTCATTTGCTTTCCATCGTGGAAATCTATCCTCAAGGAAATAACTTCTCAGTGTTCCATCTGCTATTCTACTACTCCTCAGGGATTATTCAGGCCCCCTCCCTTCCCTACACATCAAGCTCAGGGATTTGCCCCGACCCAGGACTGGCAAATTTGCTATTCTATTACTTCTCAGGGATTATTCAGGCCCCCTCCCTTCCCTACACATCAAGCTCGAGGATTTGCCCCACCCAGGACTGGCAAATTAGTTTTACTCAACATGCCCCGAGTCAGGAAACTAAAATACCTCTTGGTCTAGGTAGACACTTTCACTGGATAGGTAGAGGCCTTTCCCACAGGGTGTAAGAAGGCCACCACAGTCATTTCTTCCCTTCTGTCAGACATAATTCCTTGGTTTGGCCTTCCCACCTCTATACAGTCCGATAGCAGACCAGCCTTTATTAGTCAAATCAGCCAAGCATTTTTTCAGGCTCTTAGTATTCAGTGAAACCTTTATATCCCTTACAGTCCTCAGTCTTCAGGAAAGGTAGAACAGACTAATGGTCTTTTAAAAACACACCTCACCAAGCTCAGCCACCAACTTAAAAAGGACTGGACAATACTTTTACCACTTTCCCTTCTCAGAATTCAGGCCTGTCCTCGGACTGCTACAAGGTACAGCCCATTTGAGATCCTGTATAGACGCTCCTTTTTATTAGGCCCCAGTCTCATTTCAGACACCAGACCAACTTGGACTGTGCCCCAAAACACTTGTCATCCCTACTATCTTCTGTCTAGTCATACTCCTATTCACCATTCTCAACTACTCATACATGCTCTTGTTTACACCGTCAGTTTACACTGTTTCTCCAAGCCATTACAGCTGATATCTCCTGGTGCTATCCCCAAACTGCCACTCTTAACTCTTGAAGTAAATGAATAATCTTTGCTGGCAGGACTATGCTGAATATCCTTAGGCACTCTCTAATTAGATGTCCTGGGTCCTCCCAATTCTTAGACCTTTAATACCTGTTTTCCTCCTTCTCTTATTCCGTTTAGTTTTTCAATTCATACAAAACCGTATCCAGGCCATCACCAATAATTCTAAATGACAAATGTTTCTTCTAACAGTCCGACAATATCACCCCTTTCCACAAAATCTTCCTTCAGCTTAATCTCTCCCACTCTCGGTTCCCACGCCACCCCTAATCCCACTCGAAGCAGCCCTGAGAAACATCGCCCATTATCTCTCCAAACCATCCCCCAAAATTTTCGCCATCCAAACACTTTACCACTATTTTGTTTTATTTTTCTTATTAATATAAGAAGGCAGGAATGTCAGGCCTCTGAGCCCAAGCTAAGCCATCATATCCCCTGTGACCGGCACATACACATCCAGATGGCCGGTTCCTGCCTTAACAGATGACATTCCACCAAAAAAGAAATGAAAATGGCCTATTCCTGCCTTAACTGATGACATTATCTTGTGAAATTCCTTCTCCTGGCTCATCCTGGCTCAAAAGCTCCCCGACTGAGCACCTTGTGACCCCCACTCCTGCCCGCCAGAGAACAATACCCCTTTGACTGTAATTTTCCTTTACCTACCCAAATCTTATAAAACGGCCCCACCCCTATCTCCCTTCTCTGACTCTCTTTTTGGACTCAGCCCGCCTGCACCCAGGTGGTTAAAAAGCTTTATTGCTCACACAAAGCCTGTTTGGTGGTCTCTTCACATGGATGCGCATGAAGTTCGTCATTTTGGCGAATTACTGGAAGATGGTGGTTCTGGCTGAAAGGCAAAAAAAACAAAAACATAATTTTCTGTTCATTGAGAACATAGTTAAGAATATAGCTGTTAAATCATTCTTACTAATTGGATATTTTAATTTGCAATGTCTTATATTCTTATTTAAATTTTGAGAACTTGAAACTGGTATATCAATTTTCTTTTCTTTTTTTTTTTTTTTTTAGATTGAGTCTCACTCTGTCACCCAGGCTGGAGTGCAGTTGCACAACCTCGGCTCACTGCGACCTCTGCCTCCTGGTTGAAGCGATTCTCTTGCCTCAGCCTACCGAGTAGAGTAGCTGACACTACAGGCATGCGCCACCATGCCCAGCTAATTTTTGTATTTTTAGTAGAGATGAGGTTTCACCATGTTGACCAGGCTGGTCTTGAACTCCTGACCTCAGGGGATCTGCCTACCTCGGCCTCCCAAAGTGCTGTAATTACAGGTCTGAGCCACTGCACTCAGCAGATCAATTCTGACAGATATGTTACAGTTTGCTACAATTGCACATTTGTCCTCCCTTTTTCGTTTTCTCAAAGCATTCCTAACAGTATTTCCTTTATGTATTTTGGCTCTATGTCACTTGGGGCATGAAGGTTTGTAACTTTTATCTTCTTGGAGGATCCTACTTTTTCTCAATGAACCCTTCTTAGTTCAATTCTTTGCTTTTTAATTTTTATATGTTTAACTAAATATTGTAACACATTTGTTTTTTGTTAGTCTTTACCTAACAAAATAACTTTGTCCTTCCTTTTATTTTAACTTTCTGTTTTGTTTTGCTTTTATGTAACCCTTTTGGAAAGCCAGTATGGACTTTCATTATGTACATTTTATTCTTCCTGCTTATAGAATGCCACCTCCTCTTTACATCTGTACAAAGTGGCCTTGAAAAGCAGGGAAATTAGAAAAGAGAAGAAGAAACAAATTGGCATAAGTAAGAGTTTGTCTTTTCACAAGAAATTAGAGAAGTTTTAAGTGGCCCATTTGTCTTTATTTCAAAAGGGCTGCTAAGTCCATTTACAATTTGGACAATTGGGCTGAGGCAAAGACATCCTGGAAAGAGACCTAATCTAAAGAACTTTTCAAGAGCTGTGCTCAGTAGGCACGCATCAGGCTGTGGGAAGAGGCCTGGGCAGCCTCCCAACTTCCCTCCCTTCTGCCTTGAAGACCAGAAACCAGAAGTGAGAATAAGCAGGTTAAAAAAAAAAAAGTAAAGGGAATGTGGGGAGAGCCTGAAGTCAGAGTAAGAATACAAAGGAGGTCAAGGAAAGAAGAGGTTTAGACAAAAAACAAAAAACAAAAAACAAACAAACAAACAAGAAAGAAAGAAAAGAAAGACGGCCAGGCACGGTGCCTCACGCTTGTAATCCTGCCTGGCCAATATGGTGAAACCCTGCCTCTACAAAAAATACAAAAATTAGCTGGGCGTGGTGGCACATGCCTGCAATTAATACCAGTTCTCCATTTTAGGGCTCTGACAAGCTTCTGAAAGCCATATGGTTGTTGTTGAAGTCTCTCACAGAAAATACTAAAGTAAACCAGTTTGTTAGAATACTAAATAGTATTTAGTATTAGAATACCAGAGAGTATTTAGTATTAGAATACCAGAGAGTATTTAGTATTAGAATACCAGAGAGTATTTAGTATTAGAATACTAAAGAGTATTTAGTATTAGAATACTAAAGAATATTTCTTCTGGATGCCAGTGTCCAGTCACTTTCCATAATGCCAAATGGCCTCTCTACTAAAGAATATTTCTATGAAAGAAGTCTCTCATAGAAAATAGTAAAGTAAACCAGTGTATTAGAATCCCTCATTTTCCCTCATACTTCTTGTATGTGTGGTCCCATGTCCTCAGTTTCAGTTTGACAAAAGGCAGCCAGGAGTAAGTCAGGACTCTGGGCTTGGCCTCTTTGTTTTATTTGTACACCGGCAAAAAATTGCTGCTGAGTACAGATTCAAATACCTTTGTATGGTTGAGTGCTTTTTTTGTGTTCCTGGATGACTGAGGCCTATTTATTTTGGGAGGCATATTGTTATTCATTTCCATTAGAAAGTAGCAGAAAGAAGCCAGATCAATTTTGTCCCACAGAGGGGGAGCAATAAGTATTTCCAAAAAATATTTAGGAGGGAAGCTCAGTGATAAGCAGGAACATGTCAAGGAATATTGCATATTCTGTCTCCGGACGTTTGGAAGTGCTTAACGCCCAAGAAATCAGAAAAGCTTCTTGTGTGGTAAAGAAATGGCAATTTGAAAATAATCTATTTCTAAGTCTCAGTGTTGGTACCGTGAACCTACCAAGGGTCAGACATCTAAGTACAAAGGAAAGGGGAAATGAAAAATACAGAAGGAAAAGAACCCAATTTAGAAAAAAAGAGAGCCTATTCTGCTGAAGAATCACTGGACACAGATCTTGTATTAGGCAGCACACGTTTTCATTGAGAGTTGTTTGAATTACCAATAGGTTCCCAAGTGGAAGATCAGTTATAAACTGAGTCACATAAAACAAGAGATCTAAAGTAATGTGGTATACCCAATTTGTAGGGGATTGGCTTATGATTTCATTCTGAGTTTTAAATTTTTTACAGCCACTTTACTAAGCTAGAGAAACTGGTGGCTCCAGTGTGATTTTGTTTTTGAGCATTTCTTCAATACTCTCAACTGCGTGGTGATTAAAATAAATCTACCCCAAAAAAAGACAAAGTTCTCATGAATCCTAGACCAAAGGAACTTACATGAACTTCAAGCCAAAAGTCAGATGGATATATGACTCATAGCAATTCATGTGATTTCTGTGGACAATGACTGCCCAGTCTCTGACCACACTCCTCGAACGCTCCTCGAACAGTCTGTTCTCATGCTGCTGATAAAGACATACCTGATACTGGGTAATTTATAAAGAAAAAGAGGTTTAATGGACTCATAGTTCCACGTGGCTGGGGAGGCCTCACAATCATGGCAGAAGGCAAAAGCACATCTTTCATGGCAGCAGACAAGAGAGAACGAGAGCCAAGTGAAAGCAGAAAGCCCTTATAAAACCATTAGATCTCGTGAGGCTTGTTCACTACCATAAGTACAATATCGGGGAAACTGTCCCCATGATTCAGTTATCTCCCACTGGGTCCCTCCCACAAGTGGGAATTATGGGAGCTACAATTCAACTTGAGATTTGGGTGGGGACACAGCCAAACCATATCACTCTCCCTGAGATATACTTCTCCCTGTGCCAAGTATAAATCTGTTCAATTAAATTGAAACAGCAATCCTACTTTGAATAATCTATTCTATGGAAATAAAAGCACTAAGATTTAAGTCCAATAATGTTTACTGAAGCAAAGTTTATAATAGTAACAAGACTGGAAATAACCAAATAACCAATGGCCATGATTAGGAATGGTCAAATGAATGTTGGTACTTCTATTCTGTGGAATATTATGCAGCTATTTTAGAAGAGTTAGATCCTTACCTATTGATGGCAGTGTTGTGCATTTTACAGTTTTATAAGGTGAGAACAATTATTTCCCCCATTTTACTTTATAGATAAGAAACCTGAGTACAAAGATGGTTAAATAATTTGCCAAAGATACCAGAGCTAGTAAACAAGGACCCAGAATTTAAGCCCAATCAATTTGACTCTAGAACCTGTGCTTTTTATCCAGCTTACAAGTTTCAGAGAAATAGAAAGTAACGCAACATTCGAATAATAAACAACCCTCCAAATCATACAGTGTGTTTGTATAAATTTATATGACTGTGAAGAAAGGTGTGGAGAGATGCAACCAGATTATTAACATGGATTACCCTGGGGAGGCAGGTATGGGTGGGGACGAATGGAGTGGGAGAGCTTGTGAACTCTTTAAACATCTTTGCATTGTTCTCCAGGTTATAGACAGCACAAGTCTAATAGTTGTGTCTCTAGTCTAATTGATAAGGTTCTTTGTGCCCCACAATCTATTCCAGAATTCATTAATGCATCCCCAAAATATTTATTGAATATCTGCAATGAGGCCAGGAATAGTGATAGATGTAAGATATCTAGAAGAGCTTTACCCAAGTATGGAGATGGACAATAAAGTATGTGATAAGTGTTAGGACAGCAGTTTAAAAATGGGGGCATAGAGTTAACACAGGCAGGACTGAAGTATGGGGATAGCAACATTCTGGAACATTTCCCAAAAAAGTGGCACCAGACAGCTTTGGCTTGGCAAGCACCTATCATCACCTTGACTTGACTCATATTACCTCCTTTTCTTTCATTTGATCTTATTTAATTTCTTTTCAGTTTAGTTTCTGGCTTAGACAGGCAACAAGGTAAAGAGTCTGAGCTTTGGGGTCGGAAAGACCTGAGTTTGAAATAATTAACTAGTAAATTAATCTGTAATTTACTAGTTGTGAAGAACTTGGAACAAGGTGTGCTTATTTTCTCTAAACTTCCTATCCTTCATCTGTTAAAGGCTGATAATAATAACTACTTGTAGGCTAGGGTGAGTGTCCTGGGTTTTACTGCATTAAAACCCTTTCAAAATTTACAGGCTTAAAGCAACTACATTTTATGCATACATGTTGCTCATGAATCTGCAGGTTGGGTTGGGCTCAGTGGGGATAATTTACTCTTGTTATTCATACACAGCTTTAACTGGTATGGTTTGACTAGGGCTTGAGGATCCACTTCCCAAATGGTTTATTCTCAAAGCTAGCAAGTTGATACTCAGTCCTTTCCACATGGGTCTTTCGATGCTACTGCTTGGGCTTTTTACAATATGGTGGCTAGACTCTAAGAGCAAATGTTCCCCAAAATGGGAAATATGGGCTGCTAACGCTTTCCAGCCTGGGACCAAATAATACATGGACTCACTGTTGTATATGCCGTTGCTCAAAATAGTCACAGAGCCCATCCACCTTCAAGAGAAGTACACTGGAATATTTTGAGGAATACAACTGTATACAATCATGGCCAGAGAAATTTCCCAGGCAAAGAAATGAAGATGCTGGCAGTAGGAAGTTGGGTCTGCATGCACTGAAGAGTTAAGCTTGAGGGAACATGGACAGGGCACCGACATGGCACTACTGCCACCTGATCCATCCCAGAGTGTGAGCTCCTTCAGTTATAGAAATCTTGGACAGTGGGACAAAATAGGTGTTCAAGAAGTGATTCCAGAATGAATGAATGAATGAATGAATGAATGAATGAATGAATATAAGAGTATTCACCCTAAATATAAACAGAAAAGAAAACCTAGCACCTACCATGTCATTGAGCAAGGGTCAACAAACAATGATCAGGGGGCCAAATCTAGCTTACCACTTGCTTTTGTGAATAAAGTTTTATTTACAACAGTACCTATCTGTTTGTGTGTTATCTATGGCTGCTTGTATGTTACAATGGTAGAGTTGAATCATTGTGACAAAAACCTATGGCCCACAAAGCCAAAAATATTTATAGCAACCCTTTACTAATCCTTTACAATAAATGCTTGTAGACTCCTGACATAGAATATTGAAATCTGAGCAGTTTACATCCATATTTCTTATCATTTCTCCTTTATTTTCCTATTACTTTTGCCTTTTTTTCTTTTCTTTTTATTCATCTATTACTGTGTGCCCAAGGCTTAGGTATAGCTTAAGGGACAAGAAGAAATTTCACCCTAAGATCCAAAAAAAAAAAAAGAGTGATACCACTCTTATTCTAACAGATACAGCAACCACAATAGGGAAGAAGTGAACAGAGAAGGAAAAATCAGGGATGAAATGGAATTAATCAAATATGGTGTTGCTATTCAACAATTAGCTTGACTGCCCTTTTTGCAACAGGGCCTGACAGTGTCATATTTATACCACATTTGGTTGCCACTTGGCTAAGGAGCCTCAGCGGGGTACCAATTAGAGTTCTTAGTGGCAAACAATAGAAACACATTTTGGGCAATTGAGTCAGAAACTAATGTATTAAATGATATTTGGAAGCTTTCTTCATATCCAGGAAAGCTGAAGAAGCAGATCTAGAGGCTACGTAGCAAGAAACATCCAAAGTCCACAGAAGTGATCCCACATAGTCCACACTGCCCCCACTACTGGATAAGAAACTTAGCCAGTGGTAGTCTCATCACCCCTTCTGGACCTTTGACCTGGCTAAAGAAAACATCACTACTGCCTCTGGAAGGTGGAGGGGGCTCTCCCAGGATCAATCCCGATAATTGACTATGCACAGTCGCTGATTTCCTGACTCTTTGTGTTGCTAGTTACTGAGTCAAAGTCTGACTCCGAGCACTTGATTGCTGAGCTGTAGGTCAATGTTTGTGTTCTAGTTGTAAGGGAACCAGGGAAGGTGAGAATCTGGCTTCCAGAGTTGGAAGTATCTGTTCCCAACCCAGAAGATCCTGAACTTTTGAATTTTCCTTACTTTCTTAATGTTTTCATGTCCAGATTTTAGCAAGAGCTTTGAAAGGTGATTCAATGCTTAATTTTTTTATTCATCCTTAGCAATATTTACTAAGGGTGGGCTGCATGAAAGCAATAACCTATGCTTTGCTTGTGGCCACATATCTGGTCTGTGTCTGAGCATGGGCTCACCTCATCAACTACCACATATTAATGGAACACTTGTTGGCTGTGTTAAATTTGCCATTTCTCAACTAACTTTAAAAAGCTTCACTATTATATGAAGAAGAGAATAAGGATGTGAGATCAAGAAAAGGGGCTTTTTATTGTGTTTTTAATTTTTTTTTATTTGCTAAACAGTTGGAGGAAATACGAGCATGTTTTCCCACTCGTAGGAAAGACTCTGCATAGAGAGAAAGGTTGATGCTACATGGATAGAGGAGGAGCTATGGCTGGAGGCAAAGTATTCATGATATTATGATGGTACTATAGCCCAGGAACAAGGAATACCCATGTCATAGCTTGATATTCATCACTCTTCCCTACAGAATTCCCAATGGAGGTGTATTAGTCTGTTTTCACACTACCGATAAAAGCATACCTGAGACTGGGTAATTTATAAACAAAAAGAGGTTTAATGGACTCACAGCTCTATGCGGCTGGGGAGGCCTCTCAATCATGGCAGAAGGCAAAAGGTACATCTTACAGGGCAGAAGGCAAGAGAGAATAAGAACCAAGCAAAAGGGGTTTCCTCTTATAAAACCATCAGATCTCGTGAGACTTACTACCACAAGAACAGTATGGGGGAAACCACAACCATGATTCAATTATCTCCCACCCAGTCCCTCCCAGGACACATGGGAATTATGGGAGGTACAATTCAATATGAGATTTGGGATATCATAACAAGAGGGAACCAAATATGAAGAATAACCAGCAAAAGGGAAACCTATTATTCCTTCTTAAATCATTACACAGAATAGACAATGCAAGGCTTTCCCAAAACCTATGTTCAAAATCATGGCTAAGACCTGGAAACCTAAGTGAGACTTCCTGCTTCCTCACATGTAAGCAACACACTCAAGTGTATTTGCAAAGGAAGTATGGCCCATACCCCGGTTCACTTACATACATATTCTCATGGCATAGAAAAAAGCGAAGAGCAGTGTTTCACAATTGGCACTAATGACATTTTGGAGCAGATAATTCTTTGTTGGGGTAGGTGGGGAAGTACTGACCTGTTCTGTGTAGGATTTTCAGCAGCATACCTAGCTTCTACCCACTAAATGACAGTAGCACACCCACCTCTCCCAGTTGTGATAACCTAAAATATCTCTAGACGTTGACAAATGTCCCCTGGGGGCCAAAATCCCCCCGCGAAACTAGAGGAGAACAGAATGGTTGGCGGGTCTCTGGGAAGTAGATTCCACTTTGTTCTGAGGCAGGAAAGCAAGAGAATAGTTCCTTTGTGGGTGCATAGTTTTAGAATGCAGTACTTCTACCCACAAGTAAAAAGACCCTTGATGATGGCCGGGCACAGTGGCTCATGCTTATAATCCCAGCACTTTGGGAGGGCCATGGCGGGCAGATGACTTGAGGTCAGGAGTTCGAGACCAGCCTTGCCAATATGGCGAAACCCTGTGTCTACTAAAAATATAAAAATTAGCTGGCATGATGGTGCACGCCTATAATCCCAGCTACTTGGGAGGCTGAGGCAGGAGAATCGGGAGAATTGTTTGAACCTGGGAGGTGGAGGTTGCAGTGAGCCAAGATTGCAGCACTGCACTCCAGCCTCCAGCCTGGGTGACAGAGCAAGACTCCATCTCAAAAACAAAACAAAACAAAACAAAACAAAACAAAACAAAACAAAACACCACTTGATGAAAGCCCAGGGGGTCTTACCATGTTGACTAAAATCTCTATTCTTGGCTAGGCACGGTGGCTCATGCCTATAGTCCTAGCTACCCAGTAGGCTGAGGTGGGAGGATCCCTTGAGCCTAGGAGGTTGAGCCTGCAGTGAGCTCTTATGGTGTCACTGCACTCCAGCCTGGGTGACAGAGCAAGACCCTGTCTCTCTCTCTCTCTCTAAAAAAAATAAAAATAAAAAAATTTGAAGAAGAAGACCATGAAAAAACCCCTCCCTTTATCCTTCTGAGGGAACAGGTGGGCAGAGATAGCTAAAGAGTCCCCTCCACGTTCATCTTCATTTCCTATTGCCTCTCATCCCCCAGGGATGGCAAACAGATTAAGGTCCATGGACAGTGGGATATCCTCCACTCATACAGGGATAGGGTGAGGGTTCCTGGGACACTAAAATTAAGAAAGTCCCAGGCGGCTGGGCGTGGTGGCTCATGCCTGTAATCCCAGCACTTTGAGAAACCGAGGTGGGTGGATCACGAGGTCAGGAGTTTAAGACCAGCCTGGCCAACATGGTGAAACCCCATCTCTACTAAAAAAGTACAAAAATTAGCTGGGCGTGGTGCCGCATGCCTGTAATCCCAGCTACTTGGGAGTTTGAGGTAGGAGAATCTCTTGAACCCAGGAGACGGAGGTTGCAGTGAGCCAAGACCGCGTCACTGTACTCCAGCCTGGAGACAGAGCGAGACTCCATCTCAAAAAAAAAAAAAAAAAAAAAAAGGAAAAAGTCCCAGGCAAACAGGATCAGTTGGTCAGAGCCCTACAGTATTGTAAAGTAGCTTGGTTCCACCAGACTTGGAGAAATTTCCCCAATATTATACCTGGCTTCTACCCACTAGATGACATTATATTATGTCGTCTCTTATCCCTTAGAACCCTCCTAGAATCTGTTTAACTATTGCCCCCAGAAGTCCCTGAAGTGAGTCACAACAGTATATTAAGTTAACTTAAAGGTTGCAGATTATTTAAGGGAAAAAATTCACTCCTATTCTATTTTCTATTTCCTGTGCACAATCATGATGTTCAGACTGGCTCACTGGAGTTTATTCCACAAGCCTAAGTAATGCAATAAAGAATGCCCCAAACTTGAAACAATATGAACATTCTCCCATTTAATTCACTAGAGAGAAATTAAAGCTGAGAAACAGAATCTATCTCCTTTGGTTGAAATTAAAATCTAAAAGAAATTATGGTCTCTTATTCTCACCATCCTCACTTCTTATTTTCTTTGCTCTCAGCTGGAGTTGCTAAACTCAGATGGAGTTTCAATTCCTTTTTCAGAAGCTGTGGCCTGGAACATCTTCCGCTGGGATGGGTGGAGCTCCCTCAAACACCTCTAAAACAGGACTAATCCAAACCCATTTGTCTCACCACTCTGGTTTTCTGACACTCATAAGGATCAGCAGAACATGCAAGAACATCAGTGGGTTAGCCTATGCCCACAAAATAAAGCAAATAAGGAGTCATGACAGCAGTTTGCTTCCAAGCAAAGTTATTCCTCTAGATTTCAGCAGATGGTATAATCGAGACCGCCTTGCTGTTGGCAGTCAAAGAACATAGCAGACACTCAATGTTTTCTTGGGAAAGGTGGGTAGACAAAGAAAACAAGAGAGAGAAAATAGAAGACATGTTTCAGATTCTGCCTGTCTTGACTGTATGACGAACACCTGTTTCATGAGATGATCACATTCCATTTTGGGGTTTGAAGCAAACCTGCATCCTGGAGGCACAGTGTTTGGGCACAAGCTTTTAAATTTCCTCTTCAGCTCTTGAATTTTTAAGAATGACACTGAGTTTTTTCCTCTACATCAACCTGACTAATATATGGGTTTCCAATTCTCTTTACATATTCATTATTTAAAACAAGATCACCCTTATGCCAACCCCTAGCTCCAGCCCACCACAATTGATCCCACAGACTGGACTCACATCTAAGATTTGAGCTTATGAAATGAACAAGTTAGAACCGGCACGAGACCATATGCTGGTGGAGACCATGATGGGGAGGGGCCAGGTGGTAAATTTCAGGACCTAGGGACAAGCCACTTGAATCCAAAGCTGAATTCCACAGTGATTTTCTTTTCCTTGACTTCTCTTCAAAACAGCAAAAAGAGAAACTAGATTTGGAACTAACATTCTAGTGTACTGAGAATTTAAATTCCAAATATTTTACACATTAGTGTTCTCAAGTTCTTAGGAATGAAATGACTTTTACAGATTAAAATACTGGCCCACCATCCTGCCTGAGAAATACAATAAAGGGGAAAAAAAGCTCTGGTGAAAAATTCTTTAAAAATTACTCCTCTTGCCAGACCTAAAACATTTATATATGGAAGTTCCGTTTTGAGATGAGCATTTTCTGGCTCCAAAGTCTCTCTTTTCCTAAAAACTAATATTAATTTGAGTTACAGTATCAGCTGTCACAGGTGCACCAAGGACCTCATTCTTCCCTATGTGATACTTTGCCCCCAATACTCATTCTTATGTAGATATCCACATGACCCTCACTGGTAGTCAATATGTATGGGCTTTGGGAAGGAGGGATTTTGTATGCTGTAATGATGGCATTACTGCCAAGAATCAAAGGGTCCTTTCTGGATGCTCACTTCTCCCCCTTGTGGGACTTCAGACCAAATATATGCAAGAAGCAATAACCAAATAGAAAACAAAATAATTTTCTATTATTGTTTTGTTGTCCAGGCCTGGAGTGCTTGACGTCAATATAAATAGAAGCAAGAATCATATACAACCATAAACCTATACTTGTGTATTGTGCAGGCCTGAAGATATGCCACCATACTTCAAAAACCCTCAGGGATTTCTGGAAGATCCAAGAGGGAAAAGATTGATGACAAAACCCATGAGAGCTGAGCAACTCTCAACTTCCTATGAGAAAAAAAGTGAATACTACAACAAGAGCCTTGGAATATTCCCAAACTCAGAAATAGTTGTAGTTAAGAGAAAGAGTTACTCATGAGAAAACTGATTGCATGAAAGAGGCTCTAAACTCAACAAATACAACTAATCTTCATGGACGTAGAGTCAATACGGAGAATAGATGAAAAATATAGACAGTAACTTTAGATGAACTTGGCAAGACATGCTATCAAGGAAAAGAAGGCTATTGTGAAAAATAAGCACTCAGGAATTTTGTAAATTAAAGACATAATTGCTGAAACACAAAATTATACTCGATGAAGGGCTGAGTAGCAGGAAGGACACTGCTGAAGACAGAATTAGTAAAGTGGAATGTCAATCTACCTTATTTGTGCAGAATGTGTAAAAGATAAAAAATGAAAGATGTTAGAGAAAAGATAAGAGACTCAGAGGATAGATCCCTGGTGCTCTAATGTCTCAGCTTTAGGAGTAGAATGAAAGAAAGAAAGAATCAAAGAATAGAAAAATCTTCCTGCCTTGGGAAAAGCCTTGAACATTCAGATTAGAAGGTTTGTCTACTAAATGGTAAGCCAGAAAAATAATTAAAAATACCTATAAAAATAGTGAAAACACCTACAAATGCCTAGTAAAATTTTAAGTACAAAATGAATATCCTATGTTACTCAGAGAGAATAAAAAAGTACAAAGGAGATAGAATCAAATTGATCTGTAACTCATTTAAAGTACAGTATGCAAGAGGGAGAAGGAATATGTCCTCAAATTTCTGTGGGAATTCTGGTCCACAGTTCTTCTTTAATCTAAAGCAGTATTTACGGATGATTGAGGAAGAAACATTTTCCATAAAATTTATCATCCGTAATTATTTTATAAAAAATTAAGAAAGAATGTGCTCCAGGAAGAATAAAGAGAGGTAACACATGGAAGAAAAGAAGCAGTAGTGAGCAAAAATATATCACTGTATCTAAAAAATTGGGGCTTCTTTCTTTTTTTTTTTTTGAGATGGAGTTTCACTCTTGTTGCCCAGCCTGTTGTACAGTGGCACCATCTCGGCTCACTGCAACCTCCGCCCCCCAAGTTCAAGCGATTCTCCTGTCTCAGTCTCCCAAGTAGCTGGGATTACAGGAGTGCACCACCATGCCTGGCAAATTTTGTATTTGTAGTAGAGATAGGGTTTCACCCCATGTTGGCCAGGCCGGTCTCAAACTCCTGACCTTAGGTACTCTGCCCGCCTTGGCCTCCTAAATTGCTGAGATTACAAGCATGAGTCACCATGCCCAGTCTTCTTTCTTTCGAGATGGAGTCTTGCTTTGTTGCCTAGGCCTGGAGTGCTTAATGTCAATATAAATAGAAGTATAATATAAAGAAAATTTGATAACTAAACTTAAATTTCTACATCTTTTCAGAAAAACATGGATGGTCTTGGAAGCAGTGCTTGGGTAGGGTTGTACTGGGAAGATTAGAGAGAGGTTATGGATCCTGAAGATTTTTCATGCTGATAGAAGAATGTAATTTAACATTTTTATTAAAGATTAATTGTTTAGGAACTTTTTAAGAAAAATTTTGAATTCTGACACATATCTGTCCAAAAAGTTTTCAGATAAGAGATTTTGGACCTACAAGTAATTTTTAAGGTATGGCAACAGTTTTTCTGTCATGGTATATAAGTGCTGTGTTCTGGATAACATTAAAAATTACTTCAAGATAGTGTTCTGCAACTGAGTCATAAAAAGATACTCTTCCCTGCCCCATAAAAGCTATCTTTGTTAAAAGACTACTAGATCAGTGTTTCCCAAAGGGTGGTCTGAGGACCACCTGCCTCAGATGCTCTGAAATGCATTACAGATTTTGGGCCACATTGCAAACTTTCTAAATAAGCTTCTGTGAGTGAGGCTTGGAATTTGAGGTTCATCTTCCTTGGAACTCCCAAAGTTCTTTACATATATCTTCCTTATGTCATTTACCTCCCTCTGCTTTGTGTTTTGTTTTTGTATTATCTCTTCTCCATTACAAGATTCGAAGGTCATCAAGGCAGCAAACATCCTTGAATACTCTGCAGCTTGTAGCATATTGCCTTTTGCAGAGATATGCACTGACATACACAATTGTTTCTTCACAACATTATCACCTGTCGAAGTCCAAAAGGAATTGGTTTGTTCAAATAGAATCCTGTGCAAAGAGTTATTTCAGTAAATGTTTGGAAATGAGGGTTTTTTTTTTTGTTTGTTTGTTTTTGCTATTTTTGTTGAAAACAAAAGATGAATTATGGAAAACACTACCTCACCATGATCATTCTCCATTAAAGTTGAAGTTGTTTAAATTTAAGCATATGTAAACTGAATGCATTAATACAATGAAAATAAATACCCTATTGTATCTACAAAGGAGAGGGTGTAAAATAGATTATGGGAGAAATATAACCTCCTCCAAAATAAGCAGAGTGATATACCCTAGAAGAAATTCCAGACCTTGGCCATGTAGTCATCCTCAATCCTTTTTCATGGTTAATGCCAACAGTAGAGGGGATATGTTTGTAGCTTCCTTGTAGATCCTAGACCCAAGAAAAGATGAGGGGAATAGTGAGGTAAAGAACTATTTACCGGGGGAGGGCTGGCAAGATAGTCAAATAGGAAGAGATCCAGTCTGCAGCTCCCAGCAAGACCAACGCAGAAGGTGAGCGATTTCTGCATTTCCAACTGAGGTACCCGGTTCATCTCACTGGGACTGGTTAGACAGTGGGTACAGCCCACGGAGGGTGAGCAGAAGCAGGGTGGGGCGTCACCTCACCTGGGAAGAGCAAGGTGTCAGGGAACTACCTCCCCTAGCCAAGGGAAGCTGTGAGGGACTGTGCTGTAAGTGCTATCTGGCCCAGATACTATGCTTTTCCCATAGTCTTCGCAACCTGCAGACCAGGAGGTTCCCTTGGGTGCCTACACCACCAGGGCCCTGGGTTTCAAGCACAAAGCTGGGCAGCCATTTGGGCAGATACCAAGCTAGCTGCAGGAGTTTTTTTTCATACCCCAGTGGCACCTGGAATGCCAGCAAGACAGAACCGTTCATTCCCCTGGAAAGGGGGCTAAAGCCAGTGAGCCAAGTGGTCTTGCTCAGTGGATACCACCCCCACGGAGCCTAGCAAGCTAAGATCCACTGGCTTGAAATTCTCACTGCCAGCACAGCAGTCTGAAGTCAACCTGGGATGCTTGAGCTTGGTGCGGGGAGGAGCGTTCACCATTACTGAGGTTTGAGTAGGCGGTTTTCCCCTCACAGTGTAAACAAAGCCTACAGGAAGTTCGAACTGGGCGGAGCCCACCGCAGCATGGCAAAGCTGCAGTAGCCAGACTGTCTCTCTAGATTCCTCCTCTCTGGGCAGGGCATCTCTGAAAGAAAGGCAGCATCTCCCTGGGACAGAGCACCTGGGGGAAGGGGCGGCTATGGGCACAGCTTCAGCAGACTTAAACGTTCCTGCCTGTCGGCTCTGCAGAGAGCAGCGGATCTCCCAGCACAGCCCTCGAGCTCTGCTAAGGGACAGACTGCCTCCTCAAGTGGGTCCCTGACCTCCGTGCCTCCTGAGTAAGAGACACCTCCCAGCAGGGGTCGACAGACACCTCATACAGGAGAGCTCTGGCTGGCATCTGGCGGATGCCCCTCTGGGATGAAGCTTCCAGAGGAAGGAACAGACAATCTTTGCTGTTCTGCAATCATTGCTGTTCTGCAGCCTCCGCTGGTGATACCCAGGCAAACAGGGTCTGGCGTGGACCTCCAACAAACTCCAGCAGACCTGCAGAAGAGGGGCCTAACTGTTAGAAGGAAAACTAACAAACAGAAGGCAATAACATCAACAAAAAGGATGCCCACACAAAAACCCCATCTGAACCCCAACAGCAAAGACCAAAGGTAGATAA
The DNA here is from genome assembly GCF_000001405.40 of Homo sapiens. Lineage (NCBI taxonomy): Eukaryota > Metazoa > Chordata > Mammalia > Primates > Hominidae > Homo > Homo sapiens. The sequence continues at coordinate 78,201,950 of NC_000009.12, forward strand.
ATCCATGAAGATGAGAAAAAAAACAGTGCAAAAATGCTGAAAATTCCAAAAACCGGAATGTCTCTTCTCCTCCAAAGGATCACAACTCCTTGCCAGTGAGGGAACAAAATTGGACGGAGAATGAGTCTGACGAATTGACAGAAGTAGGCTTCAGAAGGTGGGTAATAACAAACTCTTCTGAACTAAAGGAGCATGTTCTAACCCAATGCAAGGAAACTAAGAACCTTGATAAAAGGTTATAGGAACTGCTAACTAGAATAAGCAGTTCACGGGAGAACATAAATGACCTGATGGAGCTGAAAAACACAGCATGAGAACTTCATGAAGCATACACAAGTGTCAATAGACGAATCAATCAAACAGAAGAAAGGATATCGGAGATTGAAGATCAACTTAATGAAATAAAATGTGAAGACAAGATTAGAGAAAAAAGAATGCAAAGGAACGAATAAAGCCTGCAAGAATATGGGATTATGTGAAAAGATCAAATCTATCTCTAATTGGTGTACCTGAAAATGACAGGGAGAATGGAACCAAGTGAAAAACACATATCAGGATATTATCTAGAACTTCCTCAACCTAGCAAGACAGGCCAACATTCAAATTCAGGAAATACAGAGAACAGCACAAAGATACTCCTTGAGAAGAGTAACCCCAAGACACAAAATCATCAGATTCACTAAGGTTGAAATGAAGGAAAAAATGTTAAGGGCAGCCAGAGAGAAAGGTTGGGTTACCCACAAAGGGAAGCCCATCAGACTAACAGCAGATCTCTTGGCAAAAACCCTACAAGCCAGAAGAGAGTGGGGGCCAATATTCAACATTCTTAAAGAAAAGAATTTTCAATCCAGAATTTCATATCCAGCCAAACTAAGCTTCATAAGCGAAGAAGAAATAAAATCCTTTACAGACAAGCAAATGCTGAGAGATTTTGTCACCACCAGGCCTGCCTTACAAGAGTTCCTGAAGGAAGCACTGAAATATGGAAAGGAAAAACCAGTACCAGCCACTGCAAAAACATGCCAAAATGTAAAGACCATCGACACTATGAAGAAATGCAACAATTAATGTGCAAAATAACCAGCTAGCATCATAATGACAGGATCAAATTCATGCATAACAATTTTAACTTTAAATGTAAATGGGCTAAATGCCCCAATTAAAAGACACAGACTGGTAAATTTGACAAAGAGTCAAGACCCATCTGTGTGCTGTATTAAGGAGACCCATCTCACATGTGAAGACACACATAGGCTCGAAATAAAGGGATGGAGGAACATCCACCAAGCAAATGGAAAGAAAAAAAAAAAAAAAAAAGCAGGGGTTGCAATCCTAGTCTCTGATAAAAAAGACTTTAAACCAACAAAGATCAAAAAAGACAAAGAAGGGCATTACATAATGGTAAAGGGATCAACGCAACAAGAAAAGCTAACTATCCTAAATATATATGCACCCAAGGCAGGAGCACCCAGATTCATAAAGCAAGTTCTTAGAGACCTACAGAGAGACTTAGACTCCCCACAATACTAGTGAGAGACTTTAACACCCCACTGTCAATATTAGACAGATCAATGAGACAGAAAATTAATAAGGATATTCAGGTTTTGAACTCAGCTCTGGACCAAGCGGACCTAATAGACATCTACAGAACTCTCCATCCCAAATCAACAGAATATACATTTTTCTCAGCACAACATGGCACTTATTCTAAAATGGACAACGTAATTGGAAGTAAAACACTCCTCAGCACATGCAAGATAATGGAAATCATAACAAACAGTCTCTCAGACCACAGTGCAATTAAATGAGAACTCAGGATTAAGAAACTCACTCAAAACCACACAACTACGTGGAAACTGAACAATCTTCTCCTGAATGACTACTGGGTAAATAATGAAATTAAGGCAGAAATAAATAAGTTCTTTGAAACCAATGAGAACAAAGACACAACGTACCAGAATCTCTGGGACACATTTACAGCGGTGTGTAAAGGGAAATTTATAGCAGTAAATACCCACAGAAGAAAGCAGGAAAGATCTAAAATTGACACCTTAACATCACAATTAAAGAACTAGAGAAGCAAGAACAAACAAATTCAAAAGCTAGCAGAAGACAAGAAAAAACTAAGATCAAAGCAGAACTGAAGGAGAGAGAGACACGAAAAACCCTGCAAAAAATCAATGAATTCAAGAGGTAGGTTTTTGAAAAGATTAACAGAGTAGACTGCCAGACACAGTAATAAAGAAGAAAAGAGAGAAAAATCAAATAGACACAATAAAAAATGATAAAAGGGAGATCGCCACTGATCCCACAAAAATACAAACTACCATCCAAGAACACTTTAAACACCTCTACGCAAATAAACTAGAAAATCTAGAAGAAATGGATAAATTCCTTGACACATACACCCTCTCAGGACTTAACCAGGAAGCAGTCAAATACCTGAATAGATCAATAACAAATTCTGAAATTGAGGTAGTAATTAATAGACTGCCAACCAAAAACAGCCCAGGACCAGATGGATTCACAGCCAAATTCTACCTGAGGTAAAAAGAGGAGCTGGTACCATTCCTTCTGAAACTATTCCAAACAACAGAAAAAGAGAGACTCCTCTCTAACTCATTTTATGAGGCCAGCATCATCCTGATACCAAAACCTGGCAAAGACACAACAAAAAAAGAAAATGTCAGACCAATATCCCCGATAAGCATCAGTGCAAAAATCCTCAATAAAATACTGGCAAACTGAAACCAACAGCACATCAAAAAGCTTATCCACCACGATCAAGTTGGCTTCATCCCTGGGGTGCAAGGCTGGTTCAACATATGTAGGTAAATAAACGTAATCCATCACATAAACAAAATCAATGACAAAAACCACATTATTATCTCAATAGATGCAGAAAAGGCCTTCGATAAAATTCAACACTGCTTCATGCTAAAAACACTCAATAAACTAGGTATTGATGGAATGTATCTCAAAATAATAAGAGCTGTTTATGATAAACCCACTGCCAATATCATAACGAATGGGCAAAAGCCAGAAGCATTCCCTTTGAAAACCTGCACAGGACAAGGATGCCTTCTCTCACCACTCCTATTCAATATAGTATTGGAAGTTCTGGCCAGGGCAATCAGGCAAGAGAAAGAAATAAAGCGTATTCAAATAGGAAGACAGGGAGTCAAATTGTCTCTGTTTGCAGATAACATAATTGTATATTCAGAAAATCCCTTCATCTAAGCCCCAAAACTCCTTAAACTGATAAGCAACTTCAGCAGAGTCTCAGGATACAAAATCAATGTGCAAAAATCACAAGCATTCCTATACACCAATAACAGGCAAACAGAGAGCCAAATCATGAGTGAACTCTTATTCACAATTGCTACAAAGAGAATAAAATACCTAGGAATACAATTTACAAGGGATGTGAAGAACCTTTTCAAGGAGAACTACAAACCACTGCTCAAGGATATAAGAGAGGACACAAACAAATGGAAGAACATTCCATGCTCATGGATAGGAAGGATCAATATCATGAAAATGGCCATACTACCCAAAGTAATTTATAGATTAAATGCTATTTCCATCAAGCTACCATTGACTTTCTTCACAGAATTAGAAAAAACTACTTTAAATTTAAATTTCTTTTTTTTTTTTTTCTTTTTTTGAGACGGAGTCTCACTCTGTTGCCCAGGCTAGAGTGCAGTGGTGCGATCTCGGCTCACTGCAAGCTCCACCTCCCTGGTTCACGCCACTCTCCTGCCTCAGCCTCCCAAGTAGCTGGGACTACAGGAGCCCGCCACTAAGCCCGGCTAATTTTTTTTGTATTTTTAGAAGAGACGGAGTTTCTCCATGTTAGCCAGGATGGTCTCTATCTCCTGACCTTGTGATCTGCCTGCCTTGGCCTCCCAAAGTGCTGGGATTACAGGCATGAGCCACTGTATCCGGCCAAAACTACTTTAAATTTCATATGGAACCAAAAGAGCCCGTATAGCCAGGACAATCCTATGCAAAAAGAGGCATCATGCTACCTGACTTCAAACTATACTACAAGGCTACAATAACCAAAAGAGCATGGTACTGGTACCAAAACAGATATTTAGACCAATGGAACAGAACAGAGGCCTCAGAAATAATGCCACACATCTACAACCATCTGATCTTTGACAAATCTGACAAAAACAAGCAGTGGGGAAAGGATTCCCTATTTAATAGATGGTGTTGGGAAAACTGACTAGCCACCTGTAGAAAACTGAAACTGGACCCCTTCCTTACACCTTATACAAAAATTAACTCAAGATGGATTAAAGACTTAAATGTAAGACCTAAAACCATAAAAACCCTAGAAGAAAACCTAGGCGGTACCTTTCAGGACACAGGCATGGGCAAAGACTTCATGACTAAAACACCAAAAGCAATGGCAACAGACGCCAAAATTGACAAATGGAATCTAATTAAACTAAAGAGCTTCTGCAAAGCAAAAGAAACTATCATCAGAGTGAACAGTCAACCTACAGAATGGGAGAAAATCTTTGCAATCTATCCATCCGACAAAGGGCTAATATCCAGAATCACAAGGAACTTAAACAAATTTACAAGAAAAAGACAAACAACTCCATCAAAAAGTGAGCAAACAATATGAACAGACACTTCTCAAAAGAAGACATTTATGTGGCCAACAAACATATGAAAAAAAGCTCATCATCACTGGTCATTAGAGAAATACAAATCAAAACCACAATGAGATCCCATTTCATGCCAGTTAGAATGGTGATCATTAAAAAGGAAACAACAGATGCTGGAATGTGGAGAAATAAGAACACTTTTACACTGTTGGTGGAGTGTAAATTAGTTCAACCATTGTGGAAGACAGTATGGCAATTCCTCAGGGATTTAGAACTAGAAAGACCATTTGACCCAGCAATCCCATTATTGGGTATATACCCAAAGGATTATAAATCATTCTACTATAAAGACACATGCACACGTATGTTTATTGCAGCACTGTTCACAATAGCAAAAACTTGGAACCAACCCACATGCCCATTAATGATAGACTGGATAAAGAAAATGTGGCACATATACACCACGGAATACTATGCAGCCATAAAAAAGAATGAGTTTATGTCCTTTGCAGGGACATGGATGAAGGTGGAAACCATCATTCTCAACAAACACAGGAACGAAAAGCAAGCACCTCATGTTCTCACTCATAAGTGGGAGTTGAACAATGAGAACACCTGGACATAGGGAGGGGAACATCACACACTGGGGCCTATCAGGGGTTGGGGGGCAAGGGGAGGGATAGCATTAGGAGAAATAACTAACGTAGATGAAGGGTTGATGGGTGCAGCAAACCACCATGGCACATGTATAACTATGTAACAAACCTGCATGTTCTGCACATGTATCCCAGAACTTAAAGTATAATTAAAAAAAAAAACTATTTAGCTACATAGCATGATATATGAATCTGCCCCTGCGCCCTTTGTTTTGTCTCTAGATATTTTATCAAATGTGTTGAATAGGAAATGAGCTGACCTTGTATCATACCAGGACAATTGCAAGGAAATTACACACGACTCAAAAATGAGGCAATACATCATGATGAATGTGTATGGTGGTGCATTTGATGTTGCATATGGTGGAAATACAGTTTTCTCCATTAGATGGGGAGGTGTTAAAATGTACAAAAATAAACATATTTCACTTTTTTTTGAATATTAACTTTCACTAGTGCTAATATAAATTTCATTTTCTCTTCTATCTGGTAGAACAAAGCTCTAAGATGCCATTCTCGCTTATGTACTTCTGAGAAAATCATTCAGGAGCAGGGTTGCAGCACATTACCCAAGAAAAACAGCCCTGAGAATGTTTATGATTAGGCCGCTTGTAATAGGTAATTTCTATCTCTATTCTTGACATTTATTCCTAGAATATCAACCTGGGGGTGGTGATACATCACCCTACTCTTGATTTTGGAACTTTTAATATGAGATATTTTAAAAACCACATCTCCATCTGTGATCTGGGGATAAGAGAATAAGCTAATAAGCATTGTGCCTGAGTTACAATTTCTAATACTGTGAAAAGAAGAGGCCACATCAATGGGAAAAGGAAAACAGTCTCGTGGGAGCAACTCTGAGCCTCGTTAATGTACCTTATCATTGGTTCCAAAATAGAACCAGCGGGAATCGTACCAGCCCACTATCTGGAAGCAAATAATTAATCACTGGGAAAGGTAATTAAAATGTGGCAACAAATGAGCATAGTAAGCCATAATATCAGATAAAAAGTATACTGGAAACACAGGAAATAAAGTATAGAATTAAAAAAAAGAAGCTATAACAATGTAAAATTTCCTAGTTATCTCTGCTAGTTTTCTCCTCCCAATTCCACAATCACCTCTAAATTAAAAATGAAAATGACATGCATCACTTATCAAAATAATATGAAACAAAAGCCTGTTCATGTTTGTAAACACATTATAAAAACCTAGGATTATACCAGTAACATTGAAATACAGTTGACAAAATATTAAAATAATATGTAACATGTACTGCTTTATTAATAAATAACAAGATCTAGCAGCTGGGCTAACTACCATAATTTTGTTGTAAATTATAATACAAGCTATCTGCAAAACCAGTATGTGATGTGAGCATGTGAGCCTTCATTCTGAGTCTCCTGACACGTTTTCTCACCATCAATCTGAGGGCTAACACATCTGTTTCTGATATGTGGACTCCTGAGAAGAGAAAGCATTGAGAAGGGTCCTGACCATTTCTGTCCTCCCCTCCAAGGTCTCTGAAACTATGATGGAGCAAGTCATTTTGATTATGAAGTTGTTTATGGGTGCAACCAATCATAAAAGTTCCTTGAGACTTCTCATAAAATAAGCCCCAAGACTCTTCCAATTCCTTTCTCACAGTTCAGTGCAACCTAAAAGTTGCCACTAGATTTAAAAAACCCTTGTAACTATGACTTGTGATTACTAGAGAGTCAGACTGCCACAGTGATTTCACTCGCTGTAAATCCTCCCACATGGAAAGCTAACTAGTCTCTGATGCCAGCCTTGAGAGAGTTGGGGATTGGCGAAGCAGTGAGGCTATCCTCATGGTGATAAGGAAACCAACTTATCCCCATCCATCATTATCCTTCATCATGAGTGGCCAGATGTAGATGTCCATCCAGTATGAACTAGTAATTAGAAGACTTGTTCCCTCTCATGCTGACACACACTTATGATTACAGTTGATTCTCAGTGGGTTCTACGATCCATTCTGCATGGTCTAATTAACCAAGAATACAGTAAAAGCATGGAGAACAAGTCAATGGCAGGCGCCTAGAGCAGTAGCTCTCAAACTGCCGCATGTCGCAATCACCTAAGGAGCTTTTGAAAAACACTGAGTCTAGAACATGCCCCCATACCAAATAAATCTGAATATTTGGGGCGGGACCCAGGGATCAGTACATTATTATTACAATTATGAAAAAAAGGAAGACAATTAAGTAAAACGACTATCTCATTACCTCTTTGGGTGGTAGGACCACGCATTACTTTTTTCCACTTTCTAATTTTCTTTGCAATTTGGGCTTTTTGTGATAAATGTGTATGGCTTTTATTATACGTAAGTCATCAATCAACTTTTGCTTTAACAAACACATTGTATTTAATTTTTTGAGGGTGTAAGCAAAATAGTAACCATATCAACCAGTTTTCTCAGTACTTTTATGCCTCTGTGGATGAGCCCAAGAAGCTCATGGAAGAAGTGGAAAAGCTGATCCATACCTTCAAAGATTTAGTAATGACGACATCAATGAGAAATCAAATGAGGATCTGGTTTCCATAGGGCCACCAATGAATAATATCTCAAGAGTAAATGAATATTGCGGGTGGCTAGTAAATGGCAGTTGCAATGATATCACCTGCAAATCCTTCAGGTTTATACCTGATATGAAATTATGATTATGTGACAAGAGCAAATCTTTCTTTTTTTTAATTTTATTATTATTATACTTTAAGTTTTAGGGTACATGTGCACAACGTGCAGGTTTGTTACATATGTATACATGTGCCATGTTGGTGTGCTGCACCCATTAACTCGTCATTTAGCATTAGGTATATCTCCTAATGCTATCTGTCCCTCCTCCCCCTACCCCACAACAGTCCCCGGTGTGTGATGTTCCCCTTCCTGGGTCCATGTGTTCTCATTGTTCAATTCCCACCTATGAGTGAGAACAAGAGCAAATCTTTCTTATGCAATTGGCTGTTCCTTGAAGATTTTGACTGAGGAATCAAGATACAATATATATTGCACTTCAAAGTGAGTTGCTAAAACAAAATACAAATTTTCAAAATAAGTATCTGAACACCAATGACAGAACTCATCCCTCACACACATTAAAAATACAAAGAGGATGAAGTACATGGAGGTTGAAGGTGAAACTGGGAGGAGGATTTTGGAGATAGATGTTGGAGTGCTAGATACCTCAACAAGGGTGAGGAATAGAAGATGTTTCCCACTTAACGGTTTTAAGGAGCCCACATAGAGAATTCAAGATGTGCTACATTCAGTTTAAGGCAGCAGTGTCCAATCTTTTGGCTTCCCTGGACCAAAAGAAAGAATTGAAAGACAATTGAAAGAATTGTCTTGGGCCATACATAAAAATATACTAACAGCAGCTGATTAGCTTTAAAAAAAATTTGCAAGCAAATGTCATAATGTTTTAAAAAGTTTATGAATTTGTGTTGAGCTGCATTCAAAGCTATCCTGGGCTGCATGCAGCCCATGGGCCACAGGTTGGACAAGCTTGATTTAGGGGACTATACTTGTGTCTGATTCCCACTAAGAAATGTAAACACAGTGAGATAGAAGTATTTAGAAGCTGATCTAGGAGAGGTGGCTGTGGCCAAAGAAAGTGTATTTCCTGAGGAAGAGGTTTGTACCACTCTTGAGAGGCAGGCAGTCTGGGAGCATCAAGAATCTTTCTGAGGGCTATCTGAAGACTAAGAGAACATCAGAAGAAGGAAGCTAGCTGTGGGTCACTGGATGGTGAGAAGTCGCAAGAGGAGCTGCCAGTGACCAGCTAGAAGAGACATCATTTCCCACATCAAAGAAACGGAAAGAGAAGCATCCCCCAACAATGGCAGCTTTCATGATAACCCACAAAAAATGCACATAAGAGAAAAAAACAGCTTCACGCTCCAGCAAGCAGAAGCCATCCACTGACAACATCAATCAAATAAGAACTTTCTCGCCCTTTTCACTTCCTTTCCCACCTTGCAGTTCCAGCCTGAGGAAGCCAAGACAGACTTTTACAGGTGGCCTAATCATAGCCTTGATGGGCAGATGGAGGGAAAGTGCTATGGGTAGGATGGAGAAGTCGACCTTGTCCTGAAACAGTACCACAGTGGGAAAGGCAGGATGATTGACCTTTGAACGAAGATTAAAATTTTGATCATCGCGTGGGACTATAGGAGTTTTCAATCAGGAGAGAGGAAGAACGAAACAGTTAAAGGGGCACTGGGAAATAAGAAATTGTTTTACAGTTATATCACATGAGTTGTCTTTATTCCACATAGTGGCTACACAAAAGAGGGCTTTTCAAATGCCCGTATCCTTTGACTCAGTCATTTCACTGCAGAGAAAGTGTCCTGCTGTAGCTTTGTAGTCGAAAGCAGCTTTTTTGCTTGTTTGTTTATTTGTTTTCAGGATAGATGTTCATCTTTGCTCTTGGAATGTTACTCTGAGGTTTTCTTGGTTAGGCAAATCTAAAGAAGGAATGAAGACTCCATTGTCTGGTAATTAAGATATACTAAGACTTCCATCTCCAAAGGAAAATGGAGCAATACTCTCCCCATGCCAGCCTACCTTTATGAATTAAAGAGGTCCATGAGGCTAGGTTGAGAGCCAGTAGGAGGCTAGCCAATAGAGTCATTGAAATAAATTAACCATGGTACTTCTGGAGAAGTGGTTATCCCTATAAACCCAAAGCGCTAAAGCCTGGGACTCCGGCCTATTCCAGCCCATGAGAGTATAATACAGTGGGGTTGCCTTCTCTTGCAAGAGTGCCGAGGTTACGGAAGGGCTCTGGTCCAGCCCAACAGGGAGCTCCAGCAGCTTCAGAGACACCTTCCCTGTGTAGCAGTTTTTACCTTCATGAGGCCCAGACTTTCAGGTGGGAGAAATTTAATGGAGGGCCTTGGGACTTCTACCTTAGTGACTCAACCAAGTCCCAGTGCCATCTTACCCGGCACTTATTTCAGCTCCAAGGGACAGTAATACCACAGCCTTACTGTGGTTCCATCCCCCGACCTGGGGCCAGGGTGCCTTAGATGCTTTACAGGTGGCAGGATGAGCACCTTAAAGGGACTTCAGAGGGGTATCATGGGTGCCTTATCTCTGAACACAACCTATGCCTTCTAATGCACTTTCTCAGCACTACAGCTGCTCCATGAGTGTGGGACTTCACTGCAACTTCTACACCTCCCACCCAAAGCTAGTGTGTAGTGGGCAATGGCCCTGCCACAGGGTCAGCACACCAAGGCCCTCAGAGTCCCACGCTGGGACTCCTTCTTCTCAAGGCATCTGCAAGACTAGTTCTCACAGAGATAAGGTGACAACCTCTGCTTAATAACCATCTTTAAGTGTATGAGCCTGCTATTTTATTTTAACTTCAGTATTACTTCCCTGCCTTACACAGGTGTAAAATTTCAATCCCCTGGCTACCCTTTTATGGCTTGATGGGCATTTAAGATGACCTCTCTGTGGTTCAGTTTGGCCCAGAATTGTTTACTTGCATCTTTGATGAAGAGGAATTTTGTTTACAGCCTCTAGGCTTCATTCAGGCAGACCCTATTTCCAAACAATCCTTTTACAGAGGTAACTGGGAGGCACTAAAGAAAAAGCATGTCACTTAAGTAGGGAACTCATACTGTTGCAGGGGATTATGGATTATTTCTTGTGGAAAGTAAAAAAAAAAAAAAAAAAAAAAAAAAAAAAAATGCTCTCCTTGTGCTGAGAAGTGTTGGGAAGGACAAAGAGTAGGCCAAGTGGGAGGGCTCAAAATGAGCCTGTTCTCATCTCACTTCTGTGGAAGAGCCAAGCTTTTCAGTAAACCACATGAGATTACTAAGGCTAGTGCTTAACTTGGGGTTCATGAGGTTTGTAGGCTCTAGCCAATTCTGAATTTCAGTTCTTTCACTGAAGTTGTGTGAAAGTATTGAGTTTATATGAGTGTTTTCTGGGAAAAGACTTGATTCTCAAGGAGATTCATGATCTCACAGCTTCAGACTCTTGCTATTTGAAAGTGTGATCTGAGAATTATCTGTACGGAAAACACCGTATTTTTTAAAATGTAGGTACCAGGCCCACTCATTCAGAACTTTTTTTGATAAATAACAAATAATTTTTTTAGTATCAGTAGTTGCAAATTATTGCAAGGATCATACTTATACTAAAAAGTGTATTCATTGTTTATCTGCAATTCAAATTTAACTAGCTGTCCTGTATTTTGATTTACTAAATCTGGTAACCCTAACTGATAATGGGATGGAAGAAACTCCTTTTTTTAAAAAGAACCTCAATGCAAGGGCTGTTTTTTCATAAATAAAATTAATACTATACCACTGATCATTGGACAAGTGAGATTATATCACTTGTTCACTAAGGCCTGGAATATACTTCTAGTCCCAGCCTAGAGAGGATTTTTACAGTCATTGGAAGCAACCATGTGCTTTATATCATAGAGTTTTGCAATGTACAGTGACCAGGGGAATAAGTTTTCGTTTGTGCACTCCAACCTTGGAATTTCTGACATTACTGATGTCTCTTTGTGGTCTTAAACCAAGAAGTCTGGTTAAAAAGTTGCTAAGGATGGGTCAAGAAGGCAGCGTTTTCCTTTCTGTTTTAGAGCAGACGCTAATAACCACCCTTTTGGTAAAGGAACATTGCCACCTAGTAACAGAATCAAGTATTTTCCTCTGGGCTCCAGACAAAGGATTGACTCCAACTGCACATTTTCAAGTGCACACGTTTGTGAATTTGGGTTTTGGTTGCCTTCCACTTAGCATTCAGCATTTGTAAGCTTTCCACAGAATGCAGGGAGAAAAAGCCATTTGTCAGTAGAGCCTCAGTTTGTAAGAGGCAAGTGGGAAGGCTTTTAAAAAGGCCAGCAATATCAGTAAGAATGGATTCTCCTTAGTATATACTGGCAAATAGGAGAATAAAACAAGCAAAACTGAGTGGATTTTGTGGAAAGAAACTTCTTTCTGCCAAAAACTGTGTGGATGGAATTGCTATTTATGTTGCAATTTGTAAAATGACTGAGTTTTTGATGCATGCACAAAGCTGAAAAAAATTACTAGTAAATAGTACATAGAATCTCATGTATAAAAATAACCTTACTCAGAAGCATTAAATTTGGCCCCCACTTGAGATCTGAGGATCAACTAAGTGCTCCCTAAGTCCAGCTAATTCTGCAGTCTTAAAACCCATACCATGGATTCATGGTCTCACGGTCTCACGTGTGTTTCTAATATAAGGGATAAATCTTGCCATCACAAAAAAGAAACTATTTAGTTAGAAATTCCCAAGTGTTAGAAGTAGGGCTTTTTTTTTTGTCTTCTTTTGCTTAGTAAGGGGGCTATCACTATTCAAAAAAATTCAACTTACAAATTTAATAGTCACTCTTGGCTTAATGCCACCTGTTTTAATAAATAGGCCCTTGTGAGCTGTGGCAACAAGGATTGTGTTGCTGTTATAAATATTTACTGTCCCTTACTTGATGCTGAAAAATCCAGAGTCCAGAGTAGCGTAGTCTTACAGTTGGTTACTAAGTATGGAAGTGTTTTGCAAGTTTATACAACCTCCATCAATGAGGTTATTTTACATATTAAGAGAAAAAAAAATTTGAACATTTTAACTTTCAATTAAAACAGTCACCTATTACTTCTTGAACACTTAAAATAAGCCAGACCTTGAGCTACAAGCTTACATAAATGAGATGGGTATCATAATGCCCATTTTACGGATGTAGTTTGGAGAATTTGAGGAATTTGGCTCAGATCACACAACTAGTAAGTGTCAGAGTTACACTTCTGTGCCACTGGTTGGTCCTCCAGAGGCCCGGAGAGCTACCTTACCAGCAAAAGAAGTAGTTAAATTCTTTCAGTACTTAGCTACATCTTTTCTTAAGCCAGGCTGAAGCTGGTAACACCTATGTATCTAGCCAAACTGCTTCATACTATGTCCAGAGAGAAGGATGGTTGAACTCAAAAGAAACCCATAGCAAGATCACCAGGTCGTGATCGCATGACAAAAGGTGACCCTACCACAGGAGATTCCAAATGTCTCAGGTAGGTCTGTGGACATTGGGTAATGTTCCGGGAATTGAATGTTACATAACAAACCACTCTAAAATTTAGTGGATTAAAAAAGCAACTACATATATTTTGCTCACGAATCTGCATTTTTGGGCAGGGGTGAGTGGGGGTGGTTCCTCCCTGCTCTACTGAGCTTCAGCTAGCACAGCTCAAAGGCTGGGGTTGGAATCATCTGAAGGCCCGTTCCCTTAAATGTCTAGCTGTGGGCTGGGGCCTTCGCTGGGGCTGTCAGTTGGATCTTTTATATGTGGCCTCTTTATATGTTCTAGGCTTCCCCACAAAATAGTAGCTGGGTTCCAATGGTGATTATCTATTGGGAGAAAGATTCAGGCAGAAGAGGGATTTTCTTTTATGACCTAACCTTAGAAATCTCACCCCTGGAACCTGTGAAGGTGACCTTATTTGGAAATCACATTTTTGCAGATATAATCAAGTTAAAATGAGGTCATACTGCATTAGAATGGGCCTTAATCCAATGACTGGTTTCCTTATAAGAAGAGGAAAATTTGGACACAGAATATACATGGGGGATAATGTCATGTGGCAGTAGAGGCAGAGATTGGAATGATGATCTACAAGCCAAGGAATGCCAAGGATTACTGGCAACCAGCAGAAGCGAGGAGAGAGGCATGGAAAAGATTCTCCTTTGGAGCCTCCAGGGAAAGCTGGGAACCAGCTCTGTGGACACCTTGATTTCTCACTACTGGCCTCTTGAACTCTGAGAAAATAAATTTCCGTTGTTCTAAGCAGCTTCAGAAGGAACCAACCCTGCTGACACCTTGATTTCAGATGTCTAACCTCAGAAACTGTAAGAGAATCCATTTATGTTTTTTTTTTAAGCTACCGAATCTATGGCACTTTGTTGCAGGAGCTCTAGGAAATGAATGCACTCATGTCTGCTGCATTCTATTCACCGAGACAGCAATGGATTCCACCCAACTCTAAAGGAAAGGTAATATGTCTTCAACATTTGGTGGAGGGTAGCAAAGTTCTGGAAGACAATGAGGAACTGGAAATAGTGCTATGGTTAGTTTTAGAAAATACAAGCTATATCCTGGGACATAAAACATGATTGTGTGCATGTATACATGCTTAACAATGGGGATCGAATCTAAGAAATGCATCATTAAGTGAGTTCATCATTGTTAGAACATCACAGAGTGCACTTACACCAACCTAGATGGTAAAACCTACTATACACCTAGGCTATCTGGTACAGCAGATTGCTCCTAGGCCACAAACCTGTACAGCATGTTACGGTACTGAATCCTATAGGCAGTTGTAACACAATGGTATTTGTGTATCTAACATAGAAGGGTGACAGTAAAAATATGGCATAAAAGATTAAAAATGGTACACCTGTATAGGGCACTGACTGTGAATGGAGCTTGCAGGACTACAAGTTGCTCTGGGTAAGTCAGTGAGTGAGTGGTGAGTGAATGAGAAGGCCTAGGACATTATTGTACACTATTGTCGACTTTATAAACACCATACACATAGGCTACACTAAATTTGTTAATTTTTAAAATGCCTTCAATAATAAATTAACCTTAGCTTACTTTAACTTTTTTACTTTATAAACTTTTAATTTTTTTTAATTTTTTGGATTTTTTGCTTAAAACACAAAGGACCGGCCGGGCGCGGCGGCTCACACCTGTAATCCCAGCACTTTGGGAGGCCGAGGTGGGCGGATCATGAGGTAAGGAGATCGAGACCATCCTGGCTAACACGGTGAAACCCCGTCTCTACTAAAAATACACACACACACAAAAATTGGCCAGGCGTGGTGGCGGGCGCCTGTAGTCCCAGCTACTCAGGAGGCTGAGGCAGGAGAATGGCGTGAACCCAGAAGGCAGAGCTTGCAGTGAGCAGAGATCGCACCACTGCACTCCAGCCTGGGCAACAGAGCAAGACTCTGTCTCAAAAAAAAAAAAAAAACCACAAAAGGCTGGGCACGGTGGCTCACACCTGTAATCCCAGCATTTTGGGAGGCCAAGGCAGGCAGGCCACCTGAGGTTAGGAGTTCGAGACCAGCCTGGCCAACATGGCAAAACCCCATCTCTACTAAAAATACAAAAATTAGCGGGGCATGGTGGCACACGCCTGTAATCCCAGCTACTTGGGAGGCTGAGGCAGGGAGAATTGCTTGAACCTGGGAGATGGAGGTTGCAGTGAGCCAAGATTAAGCCACTGTTCTCCAGCCTGGGTGACAGTATGAGACTGTCTCAAAAACAAACAAAAAAACAAACACCACAGATACTTTGAATATTTTCTTTCTTTATATCTTTATTCTACAAACTTCTTTTATTACTTTTTTTTAAATTTTTAAAAAAATTTTTGTTAAAAACAAATACATGAACACACACATTAGCCCAGGCCTACACAGGGTCAGGATCATCAATATTACTGTCTTCTACCTCCACATCTTGTCCTAATGGAAGGTCTTCAGGGTCAATAACATGCATGGAGCTGTCATCTCCTATGATAACAATGCCTTCTTCTGGATACTTTCTGAAGGTCCTGCCTGAGGCTGTTTTATAGTTAACTTAAAAAAATAGGAGTATACTATAAAATAACAATAAAAAGTATATAGTGTAGTTAATACATGAACTAGTAACATGTCATTTACTATCATTATCAAGTATTATATACTATATGTAATTGTATGTGTTATACATTCATAGCTAGACCAGTAGGGTTTTTTTTATATCAGCATCACCACAGACACGTGAGGTGTATGTACAGTGTTTATAAAGTCTATAGTAGTGTACAGTAATGTCATAGACACAATCATAAAACATGATTGTGTACTTTTTCAGTTCCATTATAATCATCATATTTGCCATCCATTTTTGGCTGAAAAGTCATAATGTAGCATGTGACTGTCTAAGTTTTAGTATATTCTTAACTGCATGTTGAAAGGTACTGGAGTTAGAATTCCTTTCTGCCCAGGCTAAGTGCTAAGGTTGGTTTCATAGGAAGGGGTTTATTCTGGGAATGCATACATCCAAAGGCAACAAGAGCTGCAAATGTTTTTCATGTGTGTTTGTTGCTACAAAGAGAGCTTTGAATGGACTTCAGTGATATGGTTTGACATAAAACTAGTGACAGTCTAGAACAATCATCCACTTGCCTTTGCTATGTTAAATAAATCTGTGGTCCCTGAAGCTGGGCTGTGAGGAAGCTGGGCTATGAGGACGCTGAGGGCTCTTCCCTCCCAAGGTGCCTGCCAACTCACGCACTGGTTGCCCTGACATTAGTATGAGATGTGAGGTTTGGTGGTATAGAACTCCAGGGAGTCCCATTCCTATGTTCAATGTCAGTGACACCCGCTGAGGTGCAACTTTTGCGCTTTCTGTACAACCCTGGCAAACTGAATGATAGCGCCTGGGTTAATACCTCTGTGAGCCCTGCGTTTGTGCACAAAGCACTAACAAGTTTCCCTAGTAAAAAGATCGTCCCTCACCATTATTCAGCTGGTTAGCTTTTCTGCCTTTACATTCTCCCATGTGGACAGGCATTGGGGAAGGGGAGGGAGCACAGTGCTGAAACACCTCTCCTGGACCCGTGCCCATCTCCACTGGGGACAGGTCTCATACTAGCTCCCTGAGCATAAAAATCCTGTCTGATTGCTTCATCTGCTATGCGTCTGTGGGGATCCGCAAAGATATGGGATCCAGTTAGTCTCTGGTGAGTCGTTACCTTGGCCGGATGGGGACATGTTGCCTGCTGCACCCCCCTCTTCGCGCTCTCTCATTTCATTTCCTGCAGTGTGCCAGCAGGATGGCCCACAAGCCATCTACTACTCGGACAAGTACTTCGACGAGCACTACAAGTACCGGCATGTTATGTTACCCAGAGAACTTTCCAAACAAGCACCTGAAACTCATCTGATGTCTGAAGAGGAGTGGAGGAGACTTATGTCCAATGGCGTCTAGGCCGGGTTCATTACATGATTCATGAGCCAGAACCACATATTCTTCTCTTCAGAGGACCTCTTCCAAAAGATCAACAAAAATGAAGTTTATCTGGGGATCGTCAAATCTTTTTCAAATTTAATGTATATGTGTATATAAGGTAGTATTCAGTGAATACTTGAGAAACGTACAAATCCTTCATCCATACCTGTGCATGAGCTGTATTCTTCACAGCAACAGAGCTCAGTTAAATGCAACTGCAAGTAGGTTAGTGTAAGATGTTTAAGATAAAAGCTCTTCCAGTCAGTTTTTCTCTTAAGTGCCTGTTTGACTTTACCTGTTACTTTTGTTCAATAAAGTTTGTATGTTGCAGTAAAGAAAAAAAAAAGATATGGGATACAGAAATGACTGTCTATGTCACCAAAGGGCATTCCCTGAGCTCTTTCAAGC
Organism: Homo sapiens; assembly: GCF_000001405.40. NCBI lineage: Eukaryota > Metazoa > Chordata > Mammalia > Primates > Hominidae > Homo > Homo sapiens. Next base: position 78,219,704 of record NC_000009.12, read on the forward strand.
CACAAACTCTCCTTTGGTGAGAAGTCCTTGAGCCTCAGGTACATGAAAAAAACCACAGCCTGGGAGTCTCATCCCTTGAGGTCTCTAGTCCTGGCTTTTCTTCTAATGGGTGACTGAGTACTTTAAATTTCAATTTGGAAAAATCAAATTCAATGATGGGTATTCAGTTTTATTAAATAGATCATTAAGCCAGAAATTAATCTCCCTACACTCTAGTCTTTGTTTGCTCTCCAAGCCTGCCCCACTCAGTGGAAGCTAAATGTGCCTTTTCTAGGACTACCATGCAGGAGTGAGGTCAGGTAGACAGGCTGGGGGCAGACAGGAGGGGCCACACTGTCCTAACTCCTTCACCCCTCTAGGAGGAAAGGGCAGCATTAGAACAAAAGGTGGCTCCTGTGGCTTCTTTCATCGCACATTTATGGAGGCCCCCACACCACCTTTGCTTTGTTCTTTGGTAGCCTCACCCTCTTTGAAATCTTTGAGAGATATTGCTCCACTCAGCCCTTTAAGGCTTTGTCCCAGACAACGCAGCTGTGAATGAGGATGAGGAAGCACTGGGATGCATTTGGACACTCTGGCGTCTGCTGAGTAGGGTTCCCAGGCTAGTTCAGGATCACCGAGCCCTCAGCACAGTTCATATCAGCTACAGGAGTCCTGGGGGCTATTTATTGTGACTCCTCCAAGTTCACGAAGACCACACGATGGTGACTCAACCCAGATGAGTGAACAGTTTGCATCCAGGACAAGATCTGATGTACTGTCATTTAGCATGGCTAGAAAAAGCCACCAAGATACCTTGTCCAAACAGGTCAGTGCTTGGTCTGACAATATCCATGCATGCAGATGTTA